>NC_000008.11:130089222-130714222 GCF_000001405.40 Homo sapiens
GAGGGAAGAAGATTCTAGGTTGAGGGCATACTGTAAGCAAAGGCTCAGATCTGAGAGAAAAAAATAGAACTTTGGGGAATGTGGTGTACCTCAAGATGGCAGACATGTTCAGCTTTGGGGGTGGAGAGGTAAGGCCTGGTGAGAGCTAAGGGGCTGTTCTTTTACTACCTGCTCGTGCCTGGTGTCTACCTCCCAGTCCTGATCTCTCACAGTTCAAAGGCCCTGATCCTCATGGGCTGAGGAGAGATGAGAGGTTTAGGGGAACATAAGAGCGTTGGAAAGGTGCGTCCACAGACGAAAGCTGCAGGCATCAGAGAGGAAGGTTGCCTAGAAGGTTGATCCCCTAAGTGCCTTGCTGATGACCTGTCTGGGCCCTGCCTTTGGCTTCTACAATACAATGTCAGCAGGAGGCGGGGAAGGGATAAAACCAAGCAGTAATAATACAACACAGACCTCAAGCACTAGGAGCAGAGCAACTATAACCTTTCTAAGGAGAAGTCCAGCCGTGTATGAATGCACCCACACATACATGCCCATTACTGACCTGTGTCTGTAGACAGTATATCTCACATACATGCATGTACACCAACATATGCTTTCTAAAATCAAAATTTAAAAAAAAATTTAAATTGTTTTTTAAATTTAAAATTTTGATTTCAACAATCAAAAGTCCATGCCATGTGGCGAACTGTCACTGTGGCCGAGGACAGATGATGATTTTTGTCCTTCAAGGCTGGTTGTAGGTGAGAGGCTCTTAGCTGGTGAGAAACTGACAGACAGAACAGCGTCCTCATCTGGAAAAGGTTATAAGGCTCCCAGCTCACTGTCAGGCACTCTTTTAAAGTAAATTTTGTTTAATAAAAAATGCTCCCTGACCCATCAACAATGGGGGGAAAAACGGCCAGCTGCTAGTCTTGCTCTTGAGTGATGTGAAAATCTAAAAAAGTGATGATTTTCAAGCCAGAAAGCAGAAATTTGGTAAATTTATTTGAGGAATGTTCGAGTCTATACAATGTGAATAAAGGCACTTCAAACCTTAAGAAATAAAGCCACTTAAACAAGAGGATTAAAACTTAAGAGAAATTTGGAAAGGAGGTTAATTTGTGATATGAAACGCTGATGTGAAACTTGTGACTTTCATGGAATGTTATTTGGGGGAAAGGCCTTTTTGATGAAATCTGGGGATCCCGAAGGCCTTACACAGCAGCCTCTGAAAATGTCACGGACATCCTTAGTCTTTATGTACATATGTGCTAGCACACCTCAATTGTTCTTGCCTGGCTTGTGGGAACTAATTCATTAACACCAAACTCCAATGTCTCCTCTTCTCTAAACCTTCCCTGGCTTTCCTCTAAAGTCTGACATTCAGTTTTCTGGCATTTCTAGTGTTTAGACAACATGTCTATCCTGATAGTAAAGAACATGTGCTCTAATGACTTACCCACGTGTGTCCTGCATTAGACCATGAACTCCACGAGCATATGGACTGAGAAGGCCCAAGCAAGGGGCATAGTAAGTGCCTCAAGTAAGCAAACAGAGTCAGAGAATGAACGGCTAAATGCACACACATGCTTGCACACACATAACCCGGGGTGTCTGGGCCAGATGGTGAACAGGTGACAATCAGCAACGGGACAATATAACTTTCCCCCAAAACTCAAAACACAAAAAATATGAAGAAAGCCACAATGAAACTCCACAGCAGGAAGAGGTGAGACACACAAACTAACAAATTTATTCAGCAAAGCTTCTGTGAGTGTCTGTCACGGGCCAAGACCCTGTTTCGTGATGGGGTGACCCCTAAGTCGCTAGCAGGCTAGTAGTAAAGATGGGAATTATGTCCCTTGTAGATGGGAATTTGTCATGTGCAGTCAATGTCACTGAAATGATTAACAAGCTGACTCTGGGCAAATTTATTCATTCTCAAGTGATTCCTGAATATTCACTGTATGCCAGGCGTGGTTCCAGTAAACACTGGTGAGAACAAGACCAAGACAAGGTTCTGGCTCTCATGGAGCTTACATTTTAGTGGGGCGGCTTACATTCTGTGATAAGGTGTTTGGGGGAAAACAGGTAGGGAGGAAGCTGCGTTGGAGGGCGGGGGAGATAGACATGCTGGCTGAGAACTCAAGGATGAAAGGGAAGCAGCTGTTCAAAAAGCATGACAGAGTTCCAGGGAGTGGGAGGGCCCTCAGGAGGCAGAGGATGGTGTATCCAAGAAGTGAAAGAAGGCCAGCCCTGAAGATAGAGTGGCAGGAGAGGGTCTAGGAGATAAGAGCCCGATCATGCAGGGCCCTGTGGGCCTTGATATAGGGAGCTTGCATTTATCTGAAGCTCAAAAGGAAATCTCAAAAGGGTGTTAAGGAGAAAAGTGACCATGAGCTGATTTACACTTTATAAGAAAACCATTCTGGCTGTTGTGAGGAAAATGGATTACTTTGCTTTTCTGAGCCTCTGTTTCCTTATATATAAACGAGACTAATAATACCTACCTCACAGAGTTGCTATTATAATTGAGTAAGATTTAGGAAGTGCTCAGCACCTTTTAGTTTTTAATGGCCTAAATATTTTTCAAAATGTTCCTTTCCCTTAAGAGACAGGTAGAATCATGTCATATATACCCGAGTCAGCACCCAGCATGTGTGTGCATTTTGGCACACTTTCTGAATGTGCTAACAGGCCACTGCCCAGTGGAGCCCCACACGCTGCCTGGCCCCAGCAGCTTTGGCCCTGACTTTAGGATAACTTACCCCAAGGAACTGCGCCTTTGTTTGGGGGCCCATGAGGTAGTGGGCTGGGAGGGTCGGATAGGGTTCTCTTGTGTCCGGGTGGTGGGGGAGGAGGCCTCTTCTTGGATAGGGTGGAGCTGCCACTAGAGGTCTGGGTGCTTAGAGGGAGTGTTGAAGGTGGGCCAGTTGGACCTAGAAAGGAAATTGAATGGGGGCAGGAAGATTAATCCCAGTCTCACAGATACAAAACAGCCAGTATGAAATCACTTCCACACATCAGAATGTGGTATGACACACAGAGACAAAAGCAAAAGGCTGGATATGGCTAACTCCATCAACCTAATAACTCACAAGTAGGGTTTCAAAAATTTGGTTAAAAAAAAAATAAAATTGGCCAGGTGCAGTGGCTCATGCCTGTAATCCCCTGCACTGTAGAAAGCTGAGGTGGGAGGATTGCTTGAGGCCAAGAGTTTGAGACCAGCCTGGGTAACACAGCAAGACGCCATCTCTATAAAAATTTAAAAAATTAGCCAGGTGTGGTGGTGTGTGCTTGTAGTCTCAGCTACTTGGAAGACTGAGGTAGGAGGATCACTTGAAGTCAGGAGTTCGAGGATACACTGAGCTATGATTATGCCACTGCGCTCCAGCCTAGGCAACAGAGAAAAATTTACAACAAAGGTAAGAAGAGTGTGTGCTTTTAGGAACAAAATGCCAGTCAACACAGAATGCTACTGAGTTTAGATCATTTAGGTACAATGGGAAAAACAAACACACACACACATCTTAAAACAATAACTCCTTATAACCATCACAGAACCTACTGAAGGAGAAATCACACACCACTACCAGCAAAATCAACAGAGAAAGAACAGAGTACAGGCTAAGCCTTCACTGGGCCACAAGCTGAAACATGAAATGATTCATATAATAGAATTTTTCTTTCTACAACTTTTTCTTCTAGTCAGCAAACTGCCTGACGCTTTTCTTAAAAAAAAAAAAAAAAAAATTAAGGCTTTTCTAAATAATGAAGAAAGAACTGGACGTAAAGCATTACCTAGAAAAAAGAGAAATCCAAAAACCCTTTGCTCTAGAAACCAAACCATCTGTTATATTGGAAGCCTGAACAACATTTATATAGACACTGATTTTTATAGACTAAAAAAAAGACTCAACTTTCTCCAGAGCTAAAGACAAGACAGCAGGAATGATAGTAATATTCCACATACACACAAAAATGGGGTTCGTTTTTAAAAGCTGTTAAGGGAGTAGTGTATTTGATCTTAGTTTTGTTTATTCAAAGTGACATTGAAGTGGCTGGTGTGTGCCAGGTATTCCATGCTGGGCACTTTCACTACTATTGCTTTATTTAAGGTATATGGTTTAACTGTGTTCATGGCAAACTGCTTCTGTAAACGTTAAGAAAAAAAAGCTAGGACCAGGCACGGTGGCTCTCGCCTGTAACTCCAGCACTTTGAGAGGCCGAGGTGGGCAGATCACTTGAGGTCAGGAGTTCAAGACCAGCCTGGCCAACATGGTGAAACTCTGTCTCTACTAAAAATACAAAAATTAGCCAGGTGTGGCGGTGCACGCCTGTAGTCCCAGCTGCTCGGGAGGCTGAGGCTGGAGAATCGCTTGAACCCAGGAAGTGGCGGTTGCAATGAGCTGAGATCATGCCACTGCATTCCTGCCTGGCTGTCACAGCGAGACTCCGTCTCAAAAAAAAAAAAAAAAAAAAAAAGAAAGCTAAGAACACTGCCACACTGAATGTTTAACACAGATTAGTAGATACCTAGTAATCCAGAAGGGCTCCAAAAGAGCTTTATACACTCTTCATATTAAAAAAAAAAGTCTAATTACTGCTGGCCTCTTTCCTTGGTACAAAGTAAGCTTTCCTATTTCCCATTGTCAATTACTAGTCCCTACCAATATTGACTTAAACCATTATTTCTATAAGATAGGCTAGTTCTGAAAGTAAATACTGTTAATCTCAGTAAAATTATCATCTGCTTTAGGTTTAAATTGCCAGGCTATATAATTTACATCTTTGTCCCATTGCGTAATTCTATTACACAATGGAAGCCTGATGCTTACCCCAAATCAACACTTAATTAGGGTGTCAGTCACAGCAGTTTTCAGAAACTATTTTATTTTTGTAACAATACAGAGATTGTTATTATGGCCTTGCATCTGTATAATGCTTTGTAGTTTTCAAAATGTGTTTATATATGCTATTCCTCAGCTTCTTCCCTAGGTTTATCGTTAAAAAAAATTTTTTTTGAGACAAGGTCTTGCTTTGTCATCCTGCTTGGAGTGCAGTGGCAAGATCACAGCTCACTGCAGCCCTGATCTCCTGGGCTCAAGCAATCTTCCCTCCTCAGCCTCCTGAGTAGCTGGGACTACAGGCATGTATCATAACATCCAGCTAATTTTTAAAAATTTTTAAATTTTTAGTAGAGACAGAGTCTCACTCTGTTGTCCAGGCTGGCCTTGAACTCCTGAGCTGAAGCGACCCTCCCAAAGTGCTAGAATTATAGGCGTGAGTCACCACGCCTAGTCTAAATTTAAAAAAAAAAAATGTTTATGGATACGAATAGTTGTACCTCTTCATTTTCATACTAACTCTGTGAAGTATGTGGGTCAGGTAGTATTGTCCCCATTTTGCAGCCGAGAACTCAGAGGCATGATTAAAGTCACAAGCCATGAGGGGCAGAGCTGGGATAAGGCAGGTGTCCAGGACTGGCGAGGCACTCACCCCATCAAATGATGCTGCTGGTTCCTGAAAGCCAGAGCAGCATTTCCTGTGCTTGGCATATGAGGAAAACAACAACAAATGCTCAGTATCAGGAAGTGTAACTTTCCTTTTGGAAATAAATGGATAATAGATAATAGACAATGGTGAGGTTCTCTAGCAATTTCATCTTTATCGCCATCTAGGGACTTTCTGATGCAGATGCAGTTCCCTGCTAGGAAACAAAAATTGTCAAAGACAAAATGCTAATGGAGCCATGTCTCTGAGCAACGCTGCATTATATATGTATGAGACTGTAGGAGAGATTACACCAAAGAGGCATCCTGTAACCATAAACCATGTAAAATCCAACCTCCTGAATCATTTCAAAAATTAAGTAATTGTGCGTCCCATGCCCTTATATACTTCTGACTTCCTTCATATTGCTGAGTATAATCTCTAATTAAGTCTTTGTTTACTTACTTGTTACCTGACTCTCCCATAAGACTGGGAGAGTTGTATTAGGGCCAGGCTTTTCTCTGGTTTCGTGTAGAGTAAATATTTACTGAATAAATAGAAGACTCAACCACTACTTCTATCTTTTTAGGCCAGTGATTTTTTTTTTTTTTTTTTTTTTTTGAGACGCAGTTTCACTCTGTCGCCCAGGCTGGAGTGCAGTGGCGTGATCTTGGCTCACCGTGACCTCCCCCTCCTGGGTTCAAGTGATTCTCCTGCCTCAGCCTCCCAAGTAGCTGGGACTACAGATGTGTGCCACCACGTCTGGCTAATTTTTGTATTTTTAGTAGAGATGGGGTTTTGCCATGTTGGCCAGGCAGGTCTTGAACTCCCAACCTCAAGTGATTCACCTGCTTCAGTCTTTCAAAGTGCTTGGATTACAGGCGTGAGCCACCATGCCTGGCCTAAGGCCAGTGATTCTTTTGTCTTTTTTTTTTTTTTGAGGCAGAGCTTTACTCTGTCACCCAGGTTGGAGTGCAGTGGTGTAATCTCGGCTCACTGCAACTTCTGCCTCCCAGATTCAAGGGATTCTCCTGTCTCAGCCTCCTGAGTAGCTGGGACTACAGGTGCACGCCGCCACACCCGGCTAAGTTTTGTATTTTTAGTAGAGATGGGGTTTCACCATGTTGGCCAGGCTGGTCTTGAACTCCTGACCTCAGGTGATCCACCCACCTCAGACTCCCAAAGTACTGGGATTACAGGCGTGAGTCACAGTGCCCGGCCAGGCCAGTAATTCTTAAGGAGGCCAATATGTTTCACTTAGGTTGACTGATCAGAAACAAGTGGGGAGAATTAGCAGGAGGGAACAGTGTTAAGTGTGAAAAGGGATATTCAAGTTTATAATCTTACACTTGGAAAACAAACACACAGACAGACCTATCTATTGTCTTGTAGTAGAAGCTACAGAAAGGAAGATGCTACAAAATCTTGGCTGGGAAGACATGAGGTAAAATAAGGTTGAAAAATACTATATATAAGACCCCAGAAATGCAGACTTAAAAAAATGTTTGAAGATTTAAAGAGCTCAGAAGACTTCCAAAATTAGTAACCAGTCCCACAGCATTAAAAGGGATCTTTTATGCAAAATAAATCTGAGTACTGGTTCAGTCAGGAAAAAAGCAATTCTGGTAAGATAAAGAAAGCTGAAACAAAATAAAATGGAACACAGCATCAAACGCAACACAAAAAAGGGTGGGGAGGCAAGATTAGTGAGTGGTGACAGAGATGCAGAGGTGACTAAGAGGCAATTTTCTCTCCTGAACTCTGCCAGAGGCCTGTGGAAGTAACAAGAAAGTGCCCCAAACCTCACTTGCCACTAATATTGGCTACCATGTGAAATAATGTCTATATCTTCTTAAAAACATGGGTCTAGCCTTCCAAAGCTTCTATGAATAAATCTGAGGTTAAATAATTAGAAGATCTTCTAAGAGGAAGTAGAGTACACCTCATTCTTCCTGAGGGTTTACATGTTAGTTTAGCATCAGCTGTCACATTCAAAGAAGCTGAATCATCTAGGAGCATGTGTTTTCCACGAGAAAGCATTCCCTGCCCTTAAACAGAGATGGATGACAGGACTAGTGTTCTGCAGGGTGAGAAGGCAAGCCACATATTTATTTTTAAATAATCCATGATCAGAAAAAGTCCTTGAGGCCGGGCATGGTGGCTCACATCTGTAATCCCAGCACTTTGGGAGGCCGAGGCGTGAGGGTCACTTGAGGCCAGGAGCTTGAGACCAGCCTGGCCAACATAATGAAACCCTGTCTCCACTAAAAAATACAAAATTAGCTGGGCATGGTGGCATGCACCTGTAATCCCAGCTACTTGGGAGGCTGAGGCAGGAGAATCGCTTGAACCCGGGAGATGGAGGTTGCAGTGAGCCGAGATCATGCCACTGCACTCCAGCCTAGGAGACAGAGTGACAGTTAGTCTCCAAAAAAAAAAAAAAAAAAAAAAAAAAAAAAAAAAAGTCCTTGAAAACTGTATTGTGGACACCCACTGGTGCCTGTTCTCACCACCCTTCATTCTGGAGGCACTTCTGGGTCCTCTTTTGGGTATCAGGTGCTGTGCTCTGGACACAGGCCTGTCCTCAAGGCACTCTGCTCTGTGGCTTCTCTCCTCACCTGCCCTGTTCTCCAGGGGTTCTAAATGTGTCTTCTGATCTGTTCTTCACCGTCCTCCCTTGTTAACGGCCCTCCCTGCACAGACAGCATCCCCATCCCTGACCCTGGCTATGCCTGGGTCCCTTCCCACATCTCCAACAGCCTCTTGGTCACTCCATTTGGACATTCTGCTGTGCCTTCAACTCAAGTGGTTGCCGCTGAACCTACCTGATGTGCTGCCAGAGCACCTCAACGTCCTTAGCCTCGGGGATGCCTCTGTCTGAGGTCTATGTCAGAAGTGTGCCCGGCATACAGCCAGGGCTCAGGAAGTGCACCCAGGCAGTGTATTGCAGAAGTGACTATGCTCACCCTGGCAGGCCCACGGGCAGTTTTCAGGCCAAAGCTCTTGTCCCACATTCCTGGGCCCAACAATTTAGTCTCTCAAAAAGTGGCAGCGATCTCCTGAGACTCTCTCCCAGGAACTGACATTCTCTTCTCACTGAAGCTCCCTTATGGGAAATCGATATATTCTTAAACTATGAAGGTGGTTTGAGAATATCTCCCCCAACAGTACTCAGCAAGGCAATCTCTCCACTTAGCCCAGAAAAAATGTCCTGGAAATTCATTCACTTATACCTAAATAGATATAAATATACCTTAAAAAATGAAAATTAATTCCTAAAATCATAATCAGCATGCTTTTCAAATCTCTTCCTCCTCTTCTTGCATTTTCTGGAGCTACCATTTACTGAGTATTATGTGCTTGAGCTAAAACACAGTATTTAAAATTTATCTTGTAAAATATTATCATTATTGTCACATTATCCATTTGAAGGATAAAAAGACCCAAGGCTCAGAGGGTTTAGGAACTTGGCAAGTCACAGCAAATGAGCAGCTACGTCCAGGCAGAACCCCATTCTGTCTGACTCAAGGCCAGACTCTCAGCCTTGACAACAGCTTGCTTCCCTTCCTCTAAATGGCATCACATCCTTTCCGGCTAGAACTTTCAGGGACATAACTGAGTTATCACTTCACTTCCACATTCTCATCTTTAAACACTTTTTTGAGATGAAGTTTTGCTCTTTGTTGCCCAGGCTGGAGTGCAGTGGCATGATCTTAGCTCACTGCAATGTCCACCTCCCGGGTTCAAGCGATTCTCCTGTCTCAGCCTCCGAAGTAGCTGGGATTACAGGTGCCTGCCACCACGCCCGGCTAATTTTTGTATTTTTTTAGTAGAGACAAGGTTTCACCATGTTGGCCACCTAGGCTGGGCTCAAACCCCTGATCTCATGATCCGCCCGCCTCGGCCTCCCAAAGTGCCGAGATTACAGGTGTGAGCCACGGTGCCAGGCCTAAAAACTTTTTAGTTGACACAATTGTACATATTTATAGGATACATAGTGATATTTCAATACATGTGTATAATGTGTAATGATCAAATCAGGGTAGCTAATATCCATCATCTCAAAGATTTATCATTTCTTTGTGTTGTGAACATTCAAAATCCTTGCTTGTAGATTTTGAAAATATACACCAAATTACTGTTAACCACAGTCACTCTACAGTGTTACAGAACACAGGAACTTATCCTTCCCATCTAGCTGTTATTTTGTATCCATTAATCAGCCTCATCCTCCGCTCAACCCCTTCCCAGAACTCTAATAACCTCTCTTATACTCTCTACTAATATAAGCTCAATACTCTCTACTAATATAAGCTTTTTTTTTTTTTTTTTTGAGACAGTCTCACTCTGTTGCCCAGGCTGGAATGCTGCAGTATGATCACAGTTCACTGCAGCCTCAACTTCCGGGGCTCTGGAAGTGATCCTCCTACCTCAGTCTGCCCAGTAGCTGGGACTATACGTGTACGCCACCAGGCCTAGCTAATTTTTTTTTTTTTTGGTGGACTGAGTCTCGCTCTGTTGCCCAGGCTGGAGTGCAGTGGCGAGATCTCGGCTCACTGCAAGCTCCACCTCCCAGGTTCACGCCATTCTCCTGCCTCAGCCTCCCGAGTAGCTGGGACTACAGGTGCCTGCCACCACGCCTGGCTAATTTTTTTTGTATTTTTAGTAGAGACGGGGTTTCACCATGTTAGCCAGGATGGTCTCGATCTCCTGACCTCGTGATCCGCCCATCGTGGCCTCCAAAAGTGCTGGGATTACAGGCATGAGCCACTGCGCCCGGCCAGGCCCAGCTAATTTTTTAAGAAAAACTTTTTGTGGAGATGGGGTTTTGCTATGTTGTCCAGGCTTGAGCTTTTCTTGTTTTGTTTTAGCTCCCACATGAGTGAGAACATGCAGTATTTATCTTTCTGTGCCTGGCTTATTTCACTTAAAATAATGTCCTTCAGGGTCATACATGTTGTAGCACATGAAAGGATTTCATTCTTTTTTTTTTTTTTTTTTTTGAGACAGAGTCTTGCTGTGTCGTCCAGGCTGGAGTGCAGTGGCATGATCTCAGCTCACTGCAACCTGACCTCAGGTGATCCACCCGCCTCGGCCTCCCAAAGTGCTGGGATTACAGATGTGAGTCATTGTGCCCAGCCTATAGGATTTCATTCATTTTTATGGGAATAATATTCCATATGTATATATACACATTTTCTTCATCCATTCACCTGCTGATGGACATTTAGACTGATTCCATATCTTGGCTACTGTAAATAGCACTGCAGTAAACATGGGGTGCAGGTATCCCTTTAATATACTGATTTCCTTTGCACTGGATAAATACCCAGTAGTAGAATTGCTCAGTGGTATGACAGTGCTATTTTCAGTTTTGTGAGAAACCTCCATACTGTTTTTCATTAGTACCTGTACTAATTTACATTCCAACCAACATTATATAAGAGTTCCCCTTTCTCTGCATCCTCATCAGGATTTGTTATTTCTTGTCTTTTTGATGATAGCCATTTTAACTGGAAATAGATAATATCTCATTGTGGTTTTGATTTACATTTCTCTCATGATTAGTGATGTTGAGCATTTTTTCATATACTTATTAGCCATTTATATGTCGTGTTTTCTTTCTTTCTTTCTTTCTTTCTTTTTTTTGAGACGGAGTTTCACTCTTGTTGCCCAGGCTGGAGTGCAATGGTGTGTTCTCGGCTCACTGCAACCTCCGCCTCCCAGGTTCGGGTGATTCTCCTGCCTCAGCCTCCCGAGTAGCTGGGATTACAGGTGTATGCTACCACACCCAGCTAATTTTGTATTTTTAGTAGAGATGGGGTTTCACCATGTTGGCCAGGCTGGTCTCGAAGCCCTGACCTCAGGCAATCTACCCACCTCGGCCTCCCAACGTGCTGGGATTACAGGCATGAACCACCACACCCGGCCTCTACTTCTTCTTTTGAGAAATGTCTGTTCAGATCCTTTGCCCATTTTAAAATCACATTATCATTATTATTTTGCTGCTGAATTGAGTTCCTTGTATATTCCGGATATACAAGTCCCTTGTAAGATGAATAGTTTGCAGATAGTTTCTGCATTCAACAGGTTGTCTCTTTGCTCTGATTGTTTCTTTTGCTGTGCAGAAGCTTTTTAGTTTGATATCGTCTGCTTTGTCTATTTTTTTGTTGCCTGTGCTTTTGATGTGCTACACATACAATTTTTGCCCAGACTAATGTCCTGAAGTGTTTCCCTTATGCTCTCTTCTAGTAGTTTTATAGTTTCGGGTATTATGTTTAAGTCTTTAATTCATCTTGAGTTGAGAGATACCCAGCTTTCTCAGCAAATTAAAGAAGGATCCTTTCCCCAATGTATGTTCTTTGCACCCTTATCAAAAATCAGTTGGCTATAAATATGTGGATTTATTTCTGGGTTCTATGTTCTGTTCCACTGGTCTATGCATTTGTTTTTACACCAATACAAAGCTGTTCTGGTTACTATAGCTTTGTAGTATATTTTGAAGTCAAGTAGTGTAATGACTCCAGCTTTTTTCTTTTGGCTTAGTATTACTTTGGCTATTTGAAGTCTTTTGTGTTTCCATATGAATTTTAGGATTGCTTTTTTCTGTTTCTATGAGGAATGTCATTAGTATTTTGAAAGAGATTGCATCGAATCTGTAGATTGCTCTTGGTAGTATGATCATTTTAACTGCATTAATTCTTCCAATCATGAGCATGTGATGTCTTTCCATTTTTAATTGTCCCCTTCAATTTCTTTTATCACTGTTTTATAAGTTTTCATTGCAGAGCTCTTTCACCTCCTTGGTTAGATTTATTCCTGGGTTTTTTAGTTTTTTGGGGGGTAGCTATCGTAAAAGGGATTGCTTTCTCAATTTTTCTTTTTTTTTCTGAGACAGGGTCTTTCTCTGTCACCCAGGCTGGAGTGCAGTAGCGTAATCACAGCTCACTGCAGCCTCCTATGCTCAAGCGATCTTTTCACCTCAGCCTCCCTACTAGCTGGGGACTACAGGCATGTGCTACCACACCTGGTTAATTTTTTTTTTTTTTTTTTTTGCAGAGATAGGGTTTCACCATGTTGCCCAGGCTGGTCTCAAAACTCCTAAGCTCAAGCAATGCACCCACCTCATCCTCCTAAAGTGCTGGGATTACAGGCATGAAGCATCACACCCGGCTTTTTCTTGATTTTTTAAAGCTAGTTTGTTACTGGTGTATAGAAACACTACTGATTTTTGTATGTTGATTTTGTATCCTGTCACTTTAATGAATTTATTCATCAGTTCTAAATGTGTTTTTTGGTGACGTCTTTAGGTTTTTCTATATAGAAGATCATGTCATCTGAAAAGAGGAACAATTTAACTTCCTCTTTTCCAGTTTGGATGCCCTTTATTGCATTCTCTTGCCTGACTGCTCTGGCTAGGACTACTTCCAGCACTATCTGAGCAGGAGTGGTCAAAGCAGGCATCCTTGTCTTCTTCCAGTTCTTAGAGAAAAAGCTTTCAGCTTTCCCCCATTCAGGATGATTTAGATGTGAGTTTGTCACATACGGCCTTTATTATTTTGAGATATGTTCCTTCTATACCTAATTTATTGAAGGTTTTTATTATGAATGGATGTTGAATTTTATCAAATGCTTTTTCTGCATCCATTTAGGTCATCATATGGCTTTTGTCCTTCATTCTGTTGATGTGGTGTGTCTCATTTATTGATTAGCGTATGTTGAAACATCCTTGCATCCCTGCGATAAATCACACTTCATCATGGTTTATTATCTTTTGATGTGTTGTTGGATTCAGTTTGTTAGTATTTGGTTAGGATTTTTTGCATCTACGTTCCACAAGAATATTGGCTGGTAGTTTTCTTTTTTTGTTGTGTCCTTGTCTGGTTTTGGTATTAGGGCAATGCTGGCCTCATTGGAAGAGTTAGGAAAAATTCCTTTGTCTTCAATTTTTTTGGAACAGTTTAAGAATTGGTGCTAGTTTTTCTTTACTATTTGATTGATTGATTGAGACAGGGTCTTGCTCTGTCACCCAGGCTGGAGTGCAGTGGTGTGATCTTGACTCACTGCAGCTTTGACCTCCTGGGCTCAAGTGATCATCTTGCTTCAGCCTTCTACATAGTTAGCACCACAGGTAGGTACCACCGTGCCCAAGTAATTTTTTATTTATATTTTTTGTAGAGACAGGGTCTCACCATGTTGCCCAGATTGGTCTCAAACTTCTGGCCTCAAGTGAGCCTCCTGACTTGGCCTCCCAAAGCATTGGGATTACAGGCACGAGCCACCACATCCAGCCTAGCTGTCTGTTTTTTAAAGATTTGGCAGAATTCAAGTAATAAAGCCATCTGGTCCTGGAGTTTTCTTTGTTGGGAGGCTTTTTATTACTGATTCAATGTTGTTACTTATTATTAATCTGCTCAGGTTTTCTATTTCTTCTTGGTTCAATCTTGGTGGTTGTTTCCAGGAATTTGTCCATTTCCTCTAGGTTTCCTAATTTGCTGGCCTATCATTATTTATAATAGTCTCCTACAATGACCTTTGTATTTTTGTGGTATCAGCCTCCTTTTTCATTTCTAATCTTATTTATTTGGGTCTTCTCCCTTCTTTTCTTGTCTAGCTAAAGGCTTGTCAATTTTTTTCATCTTTTCAAAAAAACACAACACTTGCTGCTTTTCTGTATTGTCTTTTCAGTTGCAACTTTATATATTTCTGCTCTGATCTTTTTTCTTTCCTTTTACTAATTTTGGATTTGGTTTGTCCTTGCTTTTCTAGTTCCTTGAGGTGCACCATTAGGTTATTTGACATTTTTATTTTTTTATTTTTTTTGAGATGGAGTTTCGCTCTTGTCACCCAGGCTGGAGTGCAGTGACGCGATCTCGGCTCACTACAACCTCTGCCTCCCGGGTTCAAGTGATTTTCTGCCTCAGCCTCCCGAGTAGCTGGGATTATAGGCGTGTGCCACCACGCCCAGCTAATTTTTGTATTTTTAGTAGAGATGGGGTTTCACCATGTTGGCCAGGCTGGTCTTGGGTCTTGAATTCCTGACCTCCCTCAGGTGATCCACCTGCCTCGGCCTCCCAAAGTGCTGGGATTACAGGCGTAAGCCACTGCACCTAGTGATGTTTTTCTTTTTCTATGTAGGCATTTATTGCTATGAACTTCCTTTTTAGTATTGTTTTTACTGTATCCCACAGGTTTTGGTTACATCTTCATTTTTTTAAGGGTCAGTTCAAATGTAACTTCATCCAGAATCCTTCTCTAATCCATCCCCTCTTCCCTGGAATACCCACTCTTATCTCTGAGCTTCCAGGGCTTAATGGATATTCTCTACCATACATTACAGCTACAATTTCTCTTCCTTTCCAGACTGTGTGCATCCATAGGGCATGATCTGTACTGTCTCCACAGCTCTCCTGCCAGGGCCCGGCATGCTCTGGGTACTCAGTACACAACTGAAAAAGTACAGTAGAGGTTCCTCTTCAAAGACTTTCCTCCCCATCTAATTAGGAATAAATAGTAACTTCTCTTAGAAGTAAAATTTATTCAAAGACCTGTGCTAACATTTTTAAATCTCTGCTAGCCATAATAAAGAAATCAATGTACTTTATGTTCTTAGTTCCCAAAATTTAGCCTGAATCTTTGCCCTGGCATGCTTATACTGGTTCAAGCAAGCATTAGGTCATGGCCTGTTCCTCTTCCTTATTTGAAGGTGTTTTTACCTTTCTCAGCATTCCACAAGTTACTTCCTCCGTCCTTTGTTCTCTGCCTTTGCAACTCTTTTAAAAAGTTCTAAGTTACTAGCCAATCAGGACAAATACAAAACAGCCAATGGAAACTGGACACAGCAATAGGATGGACACGTCAGGTTATAAATGATCCTGTCTCATTTGTTCAGTGTACTCTCGTGGCAAAACTGCTGGCAAGTATACCCTTTCTACAGAAAGTATAAAAACGGCCTTGCTGAAAAAATTAAATTTATGTTCAAGTGCTATTTCTTTATGGCACTGGGAAACAAGCATTTCAAACAACGACTATAAAGATAATTCATGATGTAAGTCAGGAGGATGTTTTTTCAATATCCTTGTATATCTGGTTTTTAGTTACACACAGAAAAACCAAAAGTCTCTTACACTGGGAGACCAAATAAAAGTATAACTGAAGTTTCAAAGAAAAAAAAAGACCTAGAAGATGGCTTAAAAATTATCTTGACAGTTTCTGAAAAAGTTGTCTGTAGAAACATAATTTACACATTCTAAGCTGCCACATAGGAAGGGTAATGACAAAAGTTATATCTATCCAACTTGGGACAATATACATGAAGATTTTATCACTTTCTAATAGTTTTCTTTTTTCAATTTATTTTTAATTGATAACATATATATTTATTATGTATAACATATTGTTTTAAAATATGTATACAGTTGGACCTTTGTATCTGGGAGTTCTGCATCTGCAGGTTCAACCAACCCTGGATTAAATATATTCAGAAAAAAGAAACTCACAATAAAAAATAACAATCCAACAACAATAACAACAAACAAACAATATAGTATAGCAACCATTTACATAGCATTTACATTGTAGTAGGTATAACAAGTAATCTAGAGGTGATTTAAAGTACACAGGAGAATGCGTGTAGGTTATATGCAAATACTGCACCATTTTATATAAGGCACTTGAGCATTCCTGGAGTTTTGGCATGGGATAACTGTACATTGTGAAATTGCTAAATTGAGCTAATTAACAGATGCATTACTTCACGTATGCATCTTTTTCTTTGTAGCGAGAACATTTAAAATCTATTCTCTTAGCAATTTTCAAGAATACAGTACGTTATTAACTACAGGCACCAGGTTGTACAACAGATCTCTTGAACTTATTCCTCCTAACTGATCTAATGGTTTTCATAGTATAAAGCTTAAAAGAGTGGAAAGCTTAAGTTAATTACTTTAAAAAGTAATTAACCGTATAATTATACAAAGAAGGACTCAGTGTAGAACGGAGGAGCTGTTATCTCCACATTCAGATGGAGAAACAGGCATGGTGGAGTAGAGTGCGCTGGGACACTAGTGTAAGTCAGCAGGGCTGGCCAGGATTACAGGACAGGCTGGTGCCCGGGCATGATATGTGCCACATTGCTCTGTCAACTGACTTCCACACAGGAAACAGCATTAGCTATCCATCTGTCCTTCCACCTCCTTCTATGACACTGATAATTAAGAAGAAAGTACCAGGATTCAAGAGACTTAGGGCTGATTCTTTAACAATTAACTCATCCACCCCTGAATGCCAGAGGCACAACAAGGATTTCCTCTGCTTCCCTTTCCACACCCTGGCAGTCAGGTGACTTAGCTAGAGAGCCTCAGTCAAGGTCACTATTCAGGGCAAAAATCACAGATGATACTCTGGGCCAGCACTAGGTGATTCACGTGCAATGCCTTACAAAGGACAGGGGGAAAGGATTTAAAAAGGCCAAAAACCCAAATGCAAACCAAACCCAAATGAAAAAAACACCCTAAAACAAAACACGAATCAAGGGTGACAGCCTATGAGAAGCTTTAATATCAAGCTACTCTAATGACTGTCTTCCCATGAGATAAAAAACCGCAGGAAACTGTAAAGTCATCAATATATGAATAACACCACTGATAGGAAAATATTTCCCATGCGAGTCTGAATCATGCAGTAGTGTACTTTCATGGTGGCAGGTGCTGTCATATACTGAGCAAGTCTTCACCCTTTCTACTCTTCTTCCTATCTACTGCCACAGATCTCCAAGGAAAGTTGGAGAAATGTCTAAAATGCATACACAGCTGTGTCTGGGCACAACTGCTGCATTTATTAGATTTTCAGCAAGTCAACTATCACACCTGTGGACATCTGGTTTAGTTTTATAAATGTCCCCTCCTTATCCTGGCCACCTATTTCTGGGACATGCTTTCACTGATTCTTTCTGCTGTTGTTTATGCATCTGACGAGTACTGACGAGCATCCTACTCTCTGTGCCAGGGATGCAAAGGCAGCTCATTCACAGCCCTTATCCTTGAGGAGTTCTGCTCCTAACTGGAAGAGTGCATTGAAGACTTCCCTAATCCTCTCTCTGAAGCTGTGAACAGCACTTCTCTTTCCTGCTCCTCCAGGAATACTCCCTAGTGGCCCCAGGGGCACATTATACTGTGTCCTCTTTCCCTGGAGCCCTGAGAGTGGGAGGTACTTCTTCCTTCTTCTTTACATTTCCAGTGCCCAGAATGTTTGTTAAACTGAAAACATGCAGGAGGATTGAACAAACTTGTATTTACTGAATGCTCACTACGTGCCAGTCATTTCATAGACATTATTTCATGCTCTCTAAGCAAGGTAGACACCTAATCCTTATTTTTCAGTTGAAGACTCTGAAAATCAGCAAGATTGGCTCAATGTTAGGATGAGACAAGTATGGGGCAGGATTGGGCCTTATGAGGAAGAACTATAGTCTCTCTCTTCTTCTTCTTTTTTTTTTTTTTTTTGAGACGGAGTCTCACCCTGTGGCCCAGGTTGGAGAGAAGTGGCACAATCTCGGCTCACTGCAAGCTCCGCTTCCCGGGTTCACGCCATTCTCCTGCCTCAGCCTCCCAAGTAGCTGGGACTACAGGCGTCCTCCACCACACCCGGCTAATTTTTGTTTGTATTTTTAGTAGAGACAGGGTTTTACCATGTTAGCCAGGATGGTCTCGATCTCCTGACCTCGTGATCCGCCCGCCTCAGCCTCCCAAAGTGCTGGGATTACAGGTGTGAGCCACCATGCCCGGCCCATAGTCTCTCTTTTTTTTTTTTTTTAAAAAATGTATGTATGTATGTATGTATGTATGTATGTATGTATGTATGTATTTTTGAGATAGAGTCTCATTCTGTCGCCCGGGCTGAAGTGCAGTGGTGCCATCTTGGCTCACTGCAACCTCTGCCTCCTGGGTTCAAGCAATTCTCCTGCCTCAGAATCCTGAGTAGCTGGGATTACAGGCACGGGCCACCAAGCCTGGTTAATTCTGTGTATTTTTAGTAGAGATAGGGTTTCACCATATTGGCCAGGCTGGTCTCGAACTCCTGACCTCAGGTGATCTGCCTGCCTTGGCCTCCCACAGTGCTGGGATTACAGGCATGAGACACCACGCCCGACCACCATAGTCTCTTTTGTGTGGCACGGAAAAGAAGGCTTCTTGGAAGAGGAGAAGGTGATGCTGGAAAGGCTTCTCAGGAGTTCACAGCTGTCTAGGCAGCCATGGTCTGGCTTGACACAGACTGATCTGCCTTAGTTTGTTACTCTCAAACTACTGCATATACTTTGATTAATGAGAGTAGTTAGTCTCTTCACCTACCTGTTGGCAAGGGTAGCATCTGGTTCAATTTTCTCTGTGGCACCAACCCTTCAACAACAAGCATCTATTGACGCTCTCAGTATGCCACACAGCACGCTACTTTCGTGCAGGTTATCTGCTAGTTTATTAGTTCCAAGCCAGAGCCTCTCTAAGGTAGGAAGTCTACATTATAGCAAATGTGTATGAAATGAAGAATTAATACTTACAGGTATTCACATGCTATTGAGAAGGGCTATATAATGCCTGATTCTAGAGGCCTGGCTTCAGGAATAGATGGGAATGAACTGTAATTAGCATATCAGGTGTTCACCTTTCTAAACGCTTAAAAGGTTAGTTCTTTTAAGCATGTTAAAGAAGGTTCTTGAGATTGGAATTATCATTCTTTTACTTAACACATCCTATCTTTGAGTTAAGATGCCTACCAAGTGCCCGGTCTCATTATCCAGAGCATTTGTTAATTTAACAGGCTTGGCCGGGTGTGGTGGCTCACGCCTGTAATCTTGGCACTTTGGGAGGCCGAGGCAGGTGGACTACCTGAGGTCAGGAGTTCGTGACCAGCCTGGCCAATGTGGTGAAACCCTGTCCCTACTAAAAATACAAAAATTAGCTGGGCATGGTGGCAGTAAATAAACCTAGGTTCTGTGATATTATTTTAATTAATCTTAATCAAAGGTTAAAAAGAAACTAATCTTGGCAAGCCTCAAAAACCAGTTTTTTTTTTTTTTTTTTTTTTTTTTTTTTTTTTTGAGATGGAGTTTCACTCTTGTTGCCCAGGCTGGAGTGCAATGGCACAATCTCGGCTCACCACAACCTCCGCCTCCCAGGTTCAAGCGATTCTCCTGCCTCAGCCTCCCGAGTAGCTGGGATTACAGGCAGGCGCCACTACGCCCGGCTCATTTTGTATTTTTAGTAGAGACGGGGTTTCTCCATGTTGGTCAGGGTGGTCTCGAACTCCCGACGTCAGGTGATCCGGCCACCTCGGTCTCCCAAAGTGTTGGGATTATAGGCGTAAGCCACCGCACCCGGTCCAAGAACCAGTGTTAATAAACGTACAGTAGAAGTGGGGTGGGGGCAGGGGGAAGCTACTGATCACAAACGAGAAACTACCACACACAAATTAATTTTACAGCTTTGATTTAGTCTCTCGGGACCCCACATCTGAAGAGGGGTTAGGCAGCGAAGTGTTTCGGTATGGGGCTTGAGGATAGTGATTTTGGGATTCTGAGCTACTGAGCTCCTCTGAGACTCTGGGGCACTGCTCACTTGTAAGCACAAGGGGGCTTTGCTTGACGGTAATTTAGGTCAAGCTTCCTTGAATTTCGATGAGGCAGCTGGAGTTTCTTGAAAATATTCTCAGCTAGATTCAGAATAATTCTTTCTCCTCTTCGCTTTTGTGGGGACTTTATCTCAAGTGTCTGTTTCTGTCTCACTGGAAGACTTAATTTAGGGGTCCTTCAGACCCCTAAATTCAGTTGAGGAAATGACTTCTGCTGCAAATAGAGACCTCTGCTTTATTTGTCATGGAGAACAAGGAACTCAAATGAGAGATCCAAGGCATCCTTGTTTTCATGCAAATGGTTCTATCAGCTCAACAGAAGGAAATGAAAAAAAACATAGGGGCCAAAAAAACAGAGAAGAATTATCTCTGCACACAGAGTATCAGCTGATCTTTAACAATGTCTTCTAAGAGCTCCATTCTAAACATTATCAGTTTTCCAAATGTAAGCGCATGTGAGCTGAGCTAGCTATGGGATATCGCACACTTCAAATCCCTTATAAAAGTCATGAGAAGGCTGTACTCCCTATGTCTCACCAGCAGACAGGCCAAATCTCTGAATTTGATGTCCTGCTGTGAACAGCCATGAAGAACACTCTTGGTTTTTGTAGGGAGGATTTCTATTTTCAATTATGGGCTTTTTTTGGGGGAAGTGGGGAAAGTACTGTATCCTTAGATGACCACGGTTGCTGTGGCCAAGTCTCAAACACTTGTTTCAGCAGCTGGAACACTAAATAAATTTAGTCTTTGTCTTCTGGGTCTTTGGTAAAGAGCTAGTTAGAATTTATTCAAGACATGAGAGATATGCCTGGCACAAAGTCAGACAGTATATATTATGGGTTTCTGTTGTCCCCCTTGAGATAAAATTACAGAAGGGGGTGGAGGGAAATGAGGGGGTCTCTTGGCCCCCAGGACTCTGGTGTCATTTTCTCCTATAAACCATTTTCAGGACTCTCAATGACCTAGAGGCTCTCTGAACAGGCATAGGCTGTGCCTGTCTAGATAGGTCCCCACTGCTATGTTGGTAACCACACTCAGGAGATGTGAAATCTTTCAGTCACTTTTTCCATTATTGTATTCAGTCTGGAGGCTTCTCACAGTCCTCTGTAGGGTGCAGAAAGAGAATCTCTGCTCTCTGTCAGACTGCTACCCTGATGGGGAATGCCATTACCCACAGGGAAGCAGCAACACAGCATTCTTACACTACAGACCTGCAGCTTGATATGTGAGTGATTTAAAAACATACATTTTAGTACAATGTATGGAATGGTAAGAAAACACTGGTGGGTTAGACCTTTGGCTTACATGCACTATTACTGTGTGGCCACTGGTTATCTTTGAGGATAGCTGTTCATGCCAAAGCGTTATTTTAACTTTTCTCTATTACTTTATGATCTATGAGGCCATTTGGGGTCTCTCTAAGAACACAGCTCCCATTTATAACACTATTTCAATAGAGAATAAGCTCTGAAAAAACACTGTTTTGAATAAAGCTCACATTTCCCAGAAAATAGCCCTAGTGTGATTCAAATAGGCATGGCATTGTGTAGCGAGAAGCCATGAAACCTGTGGGAGCACGAGCTGAGCACACAGGGAGAACCCTGCATTTGGATTCACTGGCAAAGACCAAACTTGAAGCTATAGCTCTGGGTACCTCTCAATTATCCCTACTGGCTGAGGCAACACTTTAATGGTAGCCTGAGGCGCCAGCCCTGTGAGACATTTGACAACTCACAGCACAACAACCCTCCTATGAGCGGGATTCCTCGTCTGGGCGCAGTGGCTCAAGCCTGTAGTCCCAGCACCTTGAGGGGTCAAGGTGGGAGGATCAGTTGAGTACAGGAATTCAAGACCAGCCTGGGCAACATAGCAAGACCTCATCTCTACCAAAAAAAAAAAAAAAAAAAAAAAAAAGCTGGGCATGGTGCCACACACCTGTGGTTCCAGCTACTTGGAAGGCTGAGGTGGGAGGATCAGGATCACTTGAGCCCCGGAGATGGAGGCGACTGAGAAAGGCCTGTCTCAAGGGAAAAAAAAAATTCCTCTCCAAGTACTGTCTCTGGAAAAATGTTCCTTATTAGAGAGTACAAGAGAATGGGCTTTGGTCACACAGAACCTGGGTTAGAATCCCAGGCTGAGAACTACAGGCCAATTACTCAGTATCTCTGAACAAATCCCCTAATTCACATGATGCCAGTAACTGCATAATAGCACCTACCTCATTTTGAGATGATTACAAAAGAAGTACTAGGCGTAGAGCCTCTCATAAGGCAAGTGCTCCATAACTATTAACTACCACTATTATTACTAGCGTCTTCAAAAGAGTGGCATTTTAATGTAGAGAAAAGTAACTTTCCAGAGAACTGAAACTCCACTCCACATTATAAAAAGTACAGGTTCTGGAGCCACGTGGACCTCAGATTGAATCTCAACTTTACCTCTTACCAGTGGTGTGACCTTGGGCTGGTCAGTGTATCTCATTGAGCCTTAGTTTCCTCTTCTGTAAAATGGGCACAAAAGCACATACTTCACAGGATTGTTGTAAGGTTAACACAAATAATGCACAAAGAGAGCCCACAGCACTGCCTGTCCTGCTCTTGGTACCTGGCAAATGGCATGGTCCCTATTTCAAGCTGCTCCTGACAACACGATCCGCGCCACTCAAATGTACCTTGCAATTCTTACCTCAAAGCTGGCTAGACTATCAGCTCTGAGGATGGAGTCACAAGCCCTTCGAGGATGGAGTCACAAGCCCTTCTCAAAGCCCATACCTTTCCCGGCGTTCCTAGGAGGCAGAGGGGGAGCCTCCGTGGTTGGTGATGTGGGCGAGTCTGTGCTTGTGGAAACGAAGATCTGGTTGGTGAAGGCTCCATAGGAGAGCCGCTGTTTGTCCCTTGGAGTGCTGAATCCTGGCAGTGCCAGCTTGTCCTGGGGGGAGATGCTGGAGGAGTGGCAGAAGCTCTGAGGTCTGGGTGAGCGCTCTTTCTTGATAGGGCTTGGCTGGCAGATGAAATAAGAAGGTGAGATAATAATCAAGGACCACCCTTCATGTGTACAGAGGGCCTCCGCAGGGCGGGCTCAGGTGGGAATCTGGGTTCCTGTGGCTCTCTGAGCTTTATGAGGTCAGCCACAATGAGCCTCATGATGCTGACACAGTACAAGGGAAGGATCTAGATACCACACTTTCATATCGTTCACCACTATGAATAATCACACTAGTGAAACACTGGTTAGGATCAGCAGCAGTGTCAGAAGCACAGTAAGGTCACAGGTAGATTTAACTTTTAATAAGCAAACACCTTCAGAATGCAGGACTTTTTCAGCAACATTTGAATAGTATTTCCACCTATTTCTAATTTGCTACATTAAGTTTTGTTCCCTGCTCAACCCTTTAACGTTGAAGTTCTTTCTTTGCCTCTTTTCTCATTTTATATCCCCCTGCAAAGTAAACGGATTCACACCCACTGCCCGCTACACAATAATTACTTACAGATCTGTAAATACAACCCCAGTGACTTGTGTTCCAAACCAATGGCCCATGAGGTATCTCTGGTATTTGCGCTTGTGGTGATGGCATTAGGATCCACTCAACTGCCCAGGTTAGAAACCTCAGTGTCACCTGGAGTCCCTGGTTCCTGCATTCCCCTTGGAAATATCCCTTGAAGCCCCTCCTAGTACAGGTGCTCACCAGCTCCCACTGCAGCTCTAGCCTCCAGAATGGCCCCTTCTCCAGTTTCCTTCCTCCAGTCCATTCTCCACACTGCAGCCAGAGCTGGTGGGAAACCTTGCTCTTTAGACAATAAACCTCTGTGGGCTTCTGACTGCTTGCACAAAAACCCAAAGGCCAAACCTTGCCCACAAAGCCATCCTGATCTGGTTTGCCTGACTCTACAAGGCAGCTGCCTGCCTCTCCCCACCCAGCCAGGTGAATGCATCTCACACACAGTGCTTCTCTCCATTCCTCCGACATCCAGACTCTACCATGACTCCTTCCCTTGGCACGTGGTGTTCTGGAATGATGCATTCCACCCCACTTCTTTCCCTGGCAAGCTTCCACCTATCCTTAGAAACCCATCTCCAATGTCCTTGAGAAGGCAGACTGAGGCAGCTGCTTGGTCCTCTGAATAGCTCTCAGGAATTTTTCCATACTCTTATAATGATTATCACATTGTATTATAATTTATTTCCTCTTAAAGTTGTTAAGGCTTGAGGACCTCTTTGGCCATTCCTTACATCCTGCCTGTGATACAGGAAATGTCCAATACATAGGCAATCAATTAATGCATGAATGAACTTTCAGAGGTAGTTAACTGCTTATAAGGAAAACTCAGTGAGAACTGGGTTTAATCCTCCAAACTGTCTTTACTAGCTGGGAGACTTTAGACAAGTTGCTAAATTCTCTTTGTAAGTTTTCTCTTCTGTAAAATGGGGATAACAATGTCCCTTATGTACTTTTTTTTTTTTTTCCTCTGAGACAGGGTCTCACTCAGACACCCACACCCAGGCTGGAGTGCAATGGGACAATCTTGGCTCATCACAGCCTTGAGTTCCTGGGCTCAGGTGATTCTCCCACCTCTGCCTCCCGGGCAGCTGGGACCACAGGCGCACACCACCACGGCCAGCTAATTTTTGTATTTTTTGTAGAGAGAGGGTTTCGCCATGTTGCCCAGGCTGGTCTCAAGCTTCTGGGCTCAAGGCATCCACCCGTCTCACCCTCCCAAAGTGCTGGGATTACAGGTGTGAGCCACAGCACTCAGTTATGGACTTTCAATAAAGATGATCTGAGATAACGTAAGTGCTTAAATCTGTCTAATCCATATTTAATGAACATCATTCCTTAATGACAGGCATACATTCTGAGAAATGTGTTAGGTGATTTCGTTCTTGTGCGAACATCATAGAGTATACTTACACAAACCTAGATGGGAGAGCCTACTACACACCTAGGCTATATGGTATAGCCTATTGCTCCCAGGCTACAAACCTGTACAGCATGCTACTATACTAAACATTGTAAACAACTGTAACACAATGGTAATTACTTGTGTATCTAAACATAGAAGAGGTAAAATAAAAACATGTTATATAAGATTAAAAAATGGTACATCTATGTAGGACACTTTCCATAAATGGAGCTGGAAGGACTGGAAGCTGCTCTGGGTGTGAGTGAAGGCCTAGGACATTACTGTACATTTTTATACAACTCAGTGCAGTAGGTTGGTTTATACCAGCATCCCACAACCATTTGAGGAATGTGTTGCACTACCGTATTATGACATCTATGGCATCACTAGGTGATGGCTATTTTTCAGCTCCGTTTTAATCTTATATTGATCCCCATTGAGTATGCAGTGTGTTGTGGACTGAAATGTTATTATACAGTGCATGATTATGTTCAATAAATAACAACTGTTATTTACTTACTAATTACTTGTTTTGAAGGTTAATTTTTTTTTTTTTTTTTTTTAAGATATAGGGTCTTGCTCTGTCATTCAGGTCAAGAGTGCAGTAGTACAATCATAGCTCACTGCAGCCTCAAACTCCTGGGCTCAAGCAATCCTCCTGCCTCAGCTTGTCAAATAGCACCACCACGTTTTATTGATTGATCCATTTACTTTGTAGAGACAGGGTCTCACCATTTTGCTTAGGTTGCTCTCGAATTCCTGGTCTCAAGCGATAGTTCTGCCTTGGCCTCCCAAAGCGCTGGGATTATAGGCATGAGCCACCATGCCTAGCTTCATGGTTAATTTTATGTGTCAACAGGCTACAGTGTCCTGGTGTTTGGTCAAATACTAGTCTAGATGTTGCTGTAAAGGAATTTTTTAGATGCAATTACCATTTAAATGAGTAGATTTCGAGTCAAGGGAACTACCCTTCATGATGTGGGTGTGCCTCACCTAATCAGCCAAAGAAAGGCCTTAAAAAGACTGAGGTCCCCCAAAGGGTAAGGAATGCTGCCTCCAGACTGTCTTTAGCCTGAAGACTGCAACATTAACTCCTGCTGGGATTTCCAGCCTGCTGGCCTGCCCTGTGCATTTTGAACTTGACAGCTCCTTCAATCATGTGAGCCAATTCCTTAAAAAAAATTTCTCTGTCTCTCTCCCTATCCTGTTGGCTCTGTTTCTCTGGACAACCTTAATATAGCTGTTAAATGGTGCCCAATAAGGACTGAACAACATAAATGGCCCTGATACATTGGATCATAAAACCACAATCAATCAATCTCACCAAAAATGGATCTTGTCTACACAGACTAGAAAAGTTGGGGTAGTTGTTGAGAATTCGAGGACATAATTTACACTCACTTTGTCATCCAGATCATCATCGCTCTCATCTATCTCCTCCTGTCGAAGATTCCACTCATATTCTACGTGGACGTGTGGATTGAACTTTCCAGATTTAGCCTGGGAAAGCTGGAAGGAACAGCAAATGTGCACCATTTTAATTTAAATGCTGAAACATCCCAATATTATACAAACACTGAGCAAATCCCACCTTATTCCTAGTTTTCAATGAATCATCTGTAGGTGTACTATAGGCAACACTCTGCTTAGACAAGCTGCACTGCTATGTGACAGGCTCAAGAAGAAATGCAAACAATTGCAGGCAGAGCCTTCTTTATTTTGATGACTTGTCTCCAAAATTAAAAGCTTTCTTCTTATTAAATGGGCCTCAAACTTGCAAATTCCTGGCTGAAAGGCAAAACGAGTCTTTGAAGTTTAAGACGTAGGCTTTTAAGGTCCCAGTCCAATCTGTGGCCCCATTTTCTCATTCATAAAATGGGAGCAGGGATAATTGTCTCAAAGGATTCTTTTAAGAATAAAAAGGCCCAACTGGTGGGCCTGGAACCTGGCACTTAGCAGAAACTCAAGAGAATCACACTAATGTGAAGGCCCTGACTTGCTAAGCAAGAACTAGTAGGGTCAAAAAAGGTGAATGTGCACAGGAAGGGGAGGGGCTGGGAGAACAGTGTGTTAACATTTTGAAGACCACTACTCTCTGAGCTTTACTTGCCCAATTTTTGGAGCAGCTTCTCAAATAATTCTTTACTATTAAGCTGCAGAGAAAGTCTAATGGTCTGGGAAATAAAAAGCATGACCTCAATGCACAAGTCGATCTGGTAATAATACTTGTGTAATGCCTTTCACCTCCTTTAACTGCATTCCAAAAACATGTGGATGACAAATTTATCATTTTACCACTTTTTCTAATGTAGCACATTGCTCATCTGATTTTCTTTAGCAAGTGTTAAAAAAAAATGAATCTGCATTTTTAATATTCAATTCTAGCTTCTCAGAATGACACTTTTAAGGCAGCCAATGTCTAATAAATCTCCCACGTCCATTTTTGCTTACCAGATCTTCACACTGGGTAGCTTTTAGTCTCTTTGCTATGTCTAGGGCAGTTTCTCCAGCCTGGTTAACTGAAATAGGAAAAAAATTAATTTGCATAATTATCTAGGAAACACCTTAAGAAGGCAAGGAACAATAATCAAATTACAATGTACCATGCAACACACGCTTACTACAGTCATGAAGACACTAGACACACTCTTACCTATATCCACAGTGGGCTTGCTCCTGAGCAAAAGCTTCAAACACTCAGGTTTACTGTACATACTACAGTAGTGTAGAACTGTGTTTCCCAGGGCCGTCTGCTTATCCAGGTTCCCACTGAAAAATTAGATGATGATTAGAAAAAAATGACTTACTTTATAACTTAAAACTATAGATTAGCCACTTATTTTTGTGCTGACAACTGAGTCAAATTTGAGACCTAATTATTATAATAGAGAAAATTATGATGTTTCTAACCTAGATTTATAAGCAATACAGTGATAACAGGCAGTATTTATTTAGAGTGCCAGGTCCTATGGGACAGACACTGTTTCTTAACATTTACATGTATTAGTTCATTGAATCTTTACAACTATATGATGGGGTAAATACTAATAATAACCGCTTTTACAGATAAAAAACCCTGAAGCGCAGAGAGGCTGAAGTGCTTGCTTTCAAGATTTTCAAGATAGGGATGGTGAAGCAGGGATATTTGAACACAGGTAATCTATCTCTGGAGCCAATGTTTTGAGCCACTATGCTATATTGTCTCTGAGGAAGAAACCTGGACTTTTATACAATTTGGCTTGTGTCTATGTACCATTTTTCCTCTATGGGTTCAAATCCCCTCACTATTTTGATCTTCTTCTTTAGATGAGCTCTAGTTCCTCCTCATCATCTGTTGCTTACAGAACAGATAAAGAGAATAAAGAATCCAGCAAGTCCAAACTTCCTATATTCACTCTTATACTTCCATCAGTATATCCCAAACTTGAATGAGCTATTGATCCAGCCACACACACTGCTGCTGTCTTATATTAAATTTAGGAACAATGAAAACTCACAAATATGGTTGACCTGTGCTGTTAAGTCTTCTCTCTTTTAACCTCTCCTAACGGTTAGCAAATGTGTCCAATCTGTGCAGCAGATTTTTGGATACAGACATAATTTTACATTTATAAAGGCCAAGAGATGGCAAACTACAGCCTGTAGGCCATATCTGGTTCACTGTCTGTTTTTATAAACAAAATAATAAAGTTTCATTGGAATACAGCCACACTTGCTTGTTTACACATTGTCAGTGGCTGCTTTCACACTACCATGGCAGAAGTGAATAGCTCTGACAGAGAGACTTCATGCCTGCAAAGCCAAAAATAATTTTTATATCTAGCATGACACAGAAAAAGCTTGCCAATTCCCGATCTAGGCCACTGATAGGACTGGTTTGTGTTAATTTATAAGGCATATTCAGGTAATTCAACAGAGAAAACAAAAACGATACCAGTTTTGTACAAGGAAGTCAACCAAATGGAGAGATGTCTGATCTGCAGTTCGGACGGCAAGGTGAAGGGCTGTCTCCCCAAGCTCCTAAAAAGGGAAAGAAAAGTATAAGTAAGTCAATAATATGCTCTGCCAAGGGAGGCTTCATATATATCAGTTGCCCCCAAGTAATTATAAGGAGCACACCTCTTCACTCTCATATTCTCTTGATTTAGACATGGCCACCCAATGTATAAGAATCTCATTATATGGTATAATGTTAAAATAAGTCACCTTTTAAACTGATTTTCCACATTACTTTTTATCCAATGATTTTAGTGAGGCCTTACCTGCCCAGGTTCCAGCAGTGGTTCCATTAGCTCTACCCCTTCTGCATAGACTTGAATTAGTGCAAGTAAATCCCTGGATTTGATGGCCTCAAGCAATTCATTTAGTTTAGCTGATGAAGTTGAACAGGTCTTCCTTGAAAACCTATGATCTACATACTTTGCAGTGATATATTCTTTTCGTACAGTCCTAAAACAGAACAAAATAAAGAATTTTTATTTTCCAAGTGCTAGGAAAGGTTTACATTTTTCTGACAAACATTTCTCTTTGAGAAGTTATTTTAATTAAGATACGCTTCTTTTCACCATTCAAATAAACCAGGTTTTAGACCAAATTACTCCAACAGAGACAGAATAAAGAAAATAATATATGTTTACTAATATATACAAGTAATAGATATAGTTACAAAGTAAACGGGCACATAAATCACAGATTTCTTTTTCACCTTGACCAACAGCATGAGAAATCAACTATTTATAAATACTTCAAACTCTGATATATAAGCATATGAATAAATTTAAAAATTTAAGAAGTTAAACACATTCTGAAAGACCAATTAAAAGTTTTCAGAGCTTCACGGAAAGGATTTTGGTCGTCTGATATAACTCTCTATTTTTTATTTATTTTGTAAAATTTTTAAAAGGATCGGGTCTCGCTATGTTGCCCAGGCTGGTCTTGAACTCCTGAGCTCAAGCAATTCTCCTGCCTTGGCCTCCCAAAGAGTTGGGATTACAGGTGTGAGCCGGCCTGTACCCGGCCATAACTCTCTATTTTATAGGTGAGGAAACTAAGGCTCAGAAAGGCTGTCACTGAAGCAACTCCCCCAGGCCAGGCATTGAGCTCCAAAGGGGTGAAGATGAGCTGTCTTTCCTGCACAGGTTCAGTATGGGAGCAGGAGACCACATGGATAACATGCCCAAAGTCTGAAAGGGTGTAGTACTTTTTCCTTTTCTTGAGGAATTGCCTTCTTTACTTCCGTTCAAGTGTTTCTGGTGGGACTGAGCTCACCTCCCAGCCACAGGGGTGAGTAAATGACCTAAGTGGCCCAATGGTCACCTTGGCCACCTCTGGGGAAAGACTAAAATGGAAGTCAGCTCAGAGGAAAGGAGAGGTAGGAGTCAAGGAAAGAGAGCTAGGGTCCACGTGATGCTGTCTGACAGCCTGGATCCAGCTGTACCTGAATCCACCCCTTGAATTTCCCAGTTACATGAGCTAATTAATAAAGACAGTAAATGAACTTTGGATTAAATCTTTTAGTTCTACAGCACCCCAGCTGTGTGACCATAGTAAACTGCTTAATCGTCATGAGCTTCAGTTTTTTTTTTTTAATCTGAAAATGGGGATAAGACATTGGTATATTTTGAATTAAAGGATGTACAGTGCCTAAGAAGTGTTTTCTTCCTTCTGAGAGGGCTCTAACACAAAGGACATAAACTTTCTTGCTCAAAAATATGCATTCCACCTGTGGAAGCTGCTACTGTTTCCAACAGCCCACAGTCAGGCAACACAGTTTAACACTGTGCTGGTACCTTTTTCTTTCATTTTGGGTTGGCAGTAAAAACAGTTGAGCTGGTTGATGATGGCACACAGCCTCTGGTCTTTTCTCAACCCTGTGCAGTTGAGAAGAGACCAACTGATTCTACTAAGTAACCAAAATCTTATGCTCACGTGTGTCCCTTATGCTTAGGTCAAAGTCCTTTTTAGGATGGCTAGAGCCTGATGAATTAGAGGACTTCCAGTAACCAAAAGAACGGCCCAAGCCTGGCTTCTGAGGCCTCTGCTGCATGTGTCTTATATAAAGTGTGAAAGGCAGCTACTGTGTTGATGGATGGAGCAGCAGACTTAAAAATTAAATCGCTCGATTCAAGTCTGAGACCACGTGCTAACTATGTGACCCTGGGTAAATCAAGTTCTCACTGAATCTCAGTTTCTTTACCTGTAAAATATTAGTAATCATAGCTGCCTTCCAAGGAAGCAAGATTATGGGTAAGGAACAAAGAGGGATGCACATGTTAGGGGTTCATTTGAAAGCTTCCTTCCCATTATTATCCGGGAGGCCAGAACTAGGCTTAAAGATGCAAAGTTGCGGGGAGGTAGATCTTAGATTACTGTTTCCATGCATTCATCTGCGTTTCAGGAATGTCTGCAGGTGGCTTCCTGTCACTGGAAATATCATGCAGATGCCACGCAATTATTTGGAAGCAATGATGCAGAGGGTGCTCAGGTATCACATGATCACCTTGAAAATCACCTCTACCCTTAGGTCTCTAATTCTGTGGCCATAGGAAGTATCTGGCCTCTTACTAGGCACAATGCCTTCAACTTTTTATGGGCACTCAGCCCATAGTCCCCTGGCAATTTAATGTTTTCTGACACTGGAGTAATAGGGAGAGTGGAAAATAGATTTGTCTGGAAATCTGGACACTAGAATTCTAGTCCTATGGCTGATAAAGACAACTTTTCTCCTCTGTCCCCTTAAACCCAGTCCTCTCTTTATCTGCTCCGTTTTTGTTAATGCTACTATCTATTTACCTAGATGTAAAACCTTGGGTGTCATCTTGACTGAGTCTTAAACATCTCATATTAAAACTGATCAGCAAATCCTGTTGGCTCTCCCTTCAAAATACATTGGGAAGTCAACCACATTTCATTATCTTCATTGCTACCACCTTTGTCCAGTTTACCTTCAGCGCTCAGTGGATCTATTCTAACAGCTTCTCCTCTGTCTGTTTTCATAGGCACCCAGGCCCCGCCACACTCCCCGCCAGTCTGTCCTTCACACGTCAGCTACAGCTGGGTTTCTCAACCTCAGCCCTACTGACATTTGGGGCTGGGTACATTCTTTTCTCTTGACAGCTGTCCTATGTTTAGCACCATCCCTGACCTCTACCCACTGGGTGACAGTAGCACCTGTCCAAGTCATGACAACTGAGTATCTCCAGACATTGCCAAGTATCCTCTGGGGGCAAAGTCACCCTTGGTTGAGAACCAATATCATATGATCAGTTTAAGAGGCTGGGTGCAGTGGCTCATGCCTGTAATCCCAGCACACTGGGAGGCCGAGGTGGGTGAATCACCTGAGGTCGGGAGTTTGAGACCAGCCTGATCAACATGGAGAAAACTCCTTCTCTACTAAAAATACAAAAAACTAGTCGGGCATAGTGGCGCATGCCTGTAATCCCAGCTATTCGGGAGGCTGCGACAGGAGAATCACTTGAACCCGGGAGGTGGAGGTTGCAGTGAGCAAAGATCGCATCACTGCACTCCAGCCTAGGCTATGAGAGTGAAATTCCATCTCAAAAAAAAAAAAAAAAAAAAAAAAAAAAGAACATACGATCAATTTAGAAAATAACTCAGATCACGCCACTCCTGTTTAAAACCTCTCAATCACACTTACAATCAAATCCCCAGGCAGTCCATGACCTACACGATCTGGCTCCACCTCTATCTTGCCCAGCATTCCCCTGCATCTCCCTCTTGCTCAGTTCTCTCCCGCCACATCTTCCTTCATGACATAGCTCAAATATGCCTTACTGCCCCTTGGGGCACCCATATGACCTGTTCCAGCTGCCTGGCTGCTTCCCCCCAGGGAGGGTGCCTTCATGCCCCTCAATTCTGCACTTTCCCCACCTTCAACTTGAAAAAAATACCCTCTCCCCATTCCCCACACACTTCAACACCTCCTCTTGTTGTAATTTCTTCATAACACCTAATACAATGTGTAATTGTATGACTGACTTTTTAATTCCCTGTGTTTTCATCTCCTCAGAATGTAAGCAGGACAGAAACTCTGTCTTGTTTGCTACTGTATCTTCAGCACCTACAAGACTGGCTGAAGTAGGGAAGCTGCCTCGTAAGGATTTGATCAACAACTAAATGAGTGATCAAACTGCATGTTACAAGAGGTTCACTTTATGCTTCTGGGTCACTGGCCAAACAAGGAAGTAATAATAGTAGTAGTAGTAAATACTTATACAGCACTTACTACAGACCAATAATAATAATAACAGATACTTATACAGCACTAACTATAGACCAAATGCTGCTCCAAGCACTTTTTATTCAAGCCCCTTAATTGTCACCACAACCCTATGAGGTAGATATATGTTCTGGATGAGGAAACTAAGGCACAGACAATTAAAGTTACTTGTCCAAGGTCACATAGTTTAGGAAGTGGCAGAGCTATGATATGAACTCCAGCAGTCTGGCTTCAAAATCTATGACCCTAACCACTACATTAGAGATATTGGAGAATCACAGACATTTTGAAGGTGAAAGTCTTACAGAGGCCAAATGACTAGATGAGGCACAAAGCTGACCAGGTGGCGCTGATGCTGCTTCCCACATGAGAAACAGGACATAAAAACCCATGTTGTTATGACATTCATCTGGCAGCTGTGCCTTCAAGGTTTGGGTCATGCAAACATTTAAAAAATGCTGGTGTGGACAAGAGTGCACTGTGTATGTGCTTGAGCACTTGCTGTTATCAAGCTGGTAAAGTAAAACTTAGGTCTTATTTGTTCATGGTAGTTTTACAATCAAATTAACTTTTGAAAAGCCTTTTCAGTGTAATTTGTGCTTTTTTTTTCCATCTGCATAGTGTTCTGTTGTGTGGCTCTACCATAGAGTATTTCATCAGATGCCTACAGATGGATACTTGTTTTGTTCCTAATCTTTTTGCATTACAGAATAGGAATAAATTCCCAGGAGTGGGACTGCTGAGTCAAAGGGTAAGTACATTTATAATTTTGGTAAATATGGTTAATTTGTTTTTCATAGTGTACCATTTTGTACTCCCACTGGCAATATTATGAGACAGAATGTCAGTTTCCCCACAGTCTTGCTGAGTGGGTTTTTAAGCATTTGGATTTTTGCCAGGCTAAAAGGAATCTCCCATTGTCTTTGAATGTCTCTTACTCATCACAATATGCCATGTTTTTGAGAGAACTGCCCCCATGACAATCTGTGCTTCACAGAGCAGGTGCGCAGCTGCAACAACCTAGGGGAAGGTGAGGGTGAAAAGAATCTGTGCATCCCGGAAATACATTTCTAAATACTTTTCTTTGTTCTGCTTTCCCCTGACAATGGGGTTTGCTCTGGAAAACAAACAAACAAACAAACAAACACTGTAAAAAACTAAAGACTTTCTTTTATTTTTGAGATGGGGTCTCGCACTGTTGCCCAGGCTGGAGTGCAGGGGTGCGATCTCGGCTCACTGCAAGCTCCGCCTCCCGGGTTCATGCCATTCTCCTGCCTCAGCCTCCCGAGTAGCTGGGACTACAAAGTGCCTGCCACCACGCCCGGCTAATTTTTAAAAAATTTTTAATAGAGACGGGTTTCACCGTGTTAGCCAGGATGGTCTTGATCTCCTGACCTCGTGATCCGTTTGCCTCAGCCTCCCAAAGTGCTGGGATTACAGGCGTGAGCCACTGCACCCAGCCAAAAAAAAAAAAAGAAGTTTTTTGGAAGGGTAGAAAAACAATTATAGAATGGTTTAAAAAAGTTCAATATATCAGAAATACTTACATATCACTTGAAGGGGTGGGTTTTGGTGAGGGGCTGGGTAAATTTGCTTCCATAATATCATTAAAACTATTGTTTCCTACATTCTTGGCCAGCTGTAACAGAAAAAACAAACAACCACAATATAGCAAACTCTTTGCTACTAGTTAAAAGTCTCCTATTATTTGTTTTTGAGATTTATGAATATGTATTTTCCCTCATTTGACTTAGAATACAAACCACCGTCCATCTGGTCTACAAATATTTACTGAGCATCTACTACGTGCCAAGCACCAAACTAAGTGCTGGAAATACAGAGATGGGTAAACTATGTTCCCTTTCCATAGATGCTCATAGTCTAGTGGGGCCATTGACAAGGAAATCAATCATGTCTACAAATATGTGATAAATGCTAGAACAGAATCTGGTTCTACACACATATAAACTATATGAGATTACAGAGAGCAGGCTCCATATGTGAGTCTAGGTTAAACTTTTAATAAACAGCAATAGCTTATCAACCACCATCATGTTTCCTTTTTATATTGAACAAATTTACTCCCAGGACAGAAAAGGACACAGGATTACTTTATATCTGGATACAGATTAAGATGCTGCAGGCAGCAGAGGACCCAGGAACCATTTTGCTTCTGGGTTCAAGAGCATTCTAAGAAAATTTGTTCTGAAGGGCCTCTAATCATTTTATGTAATTTTGGGATGCAAAGTTTAAGAAACATACATGCAACCATGTCTTTGAGGGAAAAAGTCTTGGGTTTATTGCATGGCAAACGTTTAGGATTTGGACTTTCCTCTTTCTTGTTGTCAAACTGGGTTTCATTAATACAGGTCAAGGAGATGAGGGACATCATTTCTGCACTAAAGAATGTGTTACAGGTAATAGGTCTGTGTCTTTTCTCTACAATCCTGAAGTGAACTAGGGAGCCGAGTATCAGCATGGTAACTTCCTACATTCTAAATTAGAAGGAATGTCTTGTATTGTGCATAGAACACAAGACAGATCACGATTGCTTAGTGAACGCTCAGATGACCAGGGCTGCTGGCTGGGTCACTAACTGCCCTTTTTGGTTAAGGCTAATGATAAGCTAGACTTTCAGCTTTTTTTTGAGCCCAGGTTCATTCAGGTTCTGCTCAAGGGTGAGCCTCCTGTCTGAGAAGTCATACTTTATTTTAAAAATTTCACTCTTAGTACAAAGACTCTCTCACAGTGCACCAGGTGTTAAAATTATGCAAAATGGGGCATTTGTCCAGTAGGCATCCTACTTGGGGGATGCCAAGTAGGCTCCCCTTCTGTATTTTGGTATATCTCGGGGAGCAATTTGGACCTGATGACAACTCCAAATCTGGGTGACTCATGATGGGAAGGGCAGAGGTTAAAGGAAAACAAGTTTAAGTGTACATAACCCCTTTTTTGGATTAAGAAGCTAAGCACCACAACTTCTCACAATTTCTTCCCTTACTACCTAAAGAAGTTATGGGTTCAAGAGTAGTTGGTTTTATGACAATAGTTAACAAGCCACTTGTAATTCATGTGTACTTTTACAAACTTAGAAATAATAAAAAAAAATTGAGATAAACTCTTTAGTCATTATTTACAACAGAAGCCATGAGGTAATGTGAACATTTGAGTTTAACTGCTATTTCCACGAGTTATATGAAAACTAATTCATAAAGAAAAATGTAGTTTTGAAGAAGACCATCCCAAAAGAAAAGAGCCAATTTCACTGAGCTACTTATAGACATGTATGATTCATCCTTTCTTCAAACAGGAAATAGAAAGTCAGCATTACATACCACAAAAGTTACATTTTAAACGTCTACGCAAACTCACAAAATTCAGGAATTATAATTCTTTGTACTCAGCAGACATACAAAAAAAATCCAAAACAATATATTAAAATTACTCATGACAATAATATCATTCTTCCCAAGTACAGGTCACTACTTACCAAGAGTTCAGAAGTTCCTAATTTGTCTAGTTCCAAAGACTGAATGCGAGAAATATGAACCCCCATTTCCCTATGGATGCCAGAACATTCTATACAGGTCAAAATACCCAAGTTGGTTGAAAGCCAGGTGGGTTCTGTGGAAAGAATGTTGAAGACAATGAAACAAAAAAGACATCTAATTTTAGTGTGCCAACTACAGAGGAAGCTAAAACAGTAGTACAAATTGTTAAGAACTATGAAGAAAAGACTTAAATGGAAGAAATGGACTCTTGAGGTTTAGCCTAGGGGCTACCATAAAAGTTTCCCTTTGATACTGAACTGAAAACAAAATTAAGCACTTTATCCTTGTGAAAAAGTGAGAAAGGCTTTCCTTAAGAGACCCTATGCAACACCTCTAGGCCTGTGAGAGATGTTCCCTCACTGCCACTATCACCTCTGACAGTGATGGACTGAAGGTCTATTAAGTACTGCTCACAGGGGAGTGGATTCTATAGCCATCATTAACCTCCAAGTTGCAACTAACATTAACCTCAACAGTTCTTGGTCATGGCCTCCCCATGAGCACTTCTTAGTAATAAGACAGCTGTAAATATTGAACACCAAATGTTTCTTTCAGTGACCTAAGGCCTTTTTTCTACAACCTCCAATGGCCCTAGAACAATGGGAACTATTACTTCCATGTTAGCCAAATCTTCAGGTTTCTCTCTCTGGGTCAAGCTTCTTCCTGACTGGTCAATGCTTGAGATTTTACTACCTGCTTGCCATTTCCTGACACTACGTGTGTCACTATCATACATGTACACAATAATGGCAGAAAATCTGAGACTTCTCTCTGAGGTGCTTATGGCTTCTTGTGTAGAAAATCCAGTTTCACAAGTAAAACCGCAAAAAAGGTATATCACAGTGCTTAAGAATACCAGGTTTGCATCCTTGTTCTGACTCCTACTAGCTGTGTGACCTTATGCAAGTCATTCAACCTCTCTGAGTCCCAGTTTCCTCATCTGTAAAATGAGAACATTGGGATCTTGCTCACAGGGGTTCTGCAAGGATTCACTGAGATAAGCAAAACACCTAGCATGATTCTCAGTACAGCGGGAACACTCAGTGTTAGCTGTTGCCAATACACTGGTAATATAGTGCTATTTGAAAATAAAAGTTTGGGAGAAGGCGACTTCAATGTGATACAGAGGTGAGGGAAGGTGTGGCTGAGTAGGAAGGAAGGAAAATCATGTACCACATGTCAGTTGATTTCACATGCACCATTTCTTTTTTCTTTTTTTTGAGACAGTCTCGCTCTGTCGCCCAGGCTAGAGTGCAATGGTGCAATCTTGGCTCACTGCAACCTCTGCCTCCTGGGTTCAAATGATTCTTCTGCCTTATCCTCCCAAGTAGCTGGGATTACAGGTGCCCGCCACCTCGCCCAGCTAGTTTTTGTATTTTTAATAGAGATGGGGTTTCACCATGTTGGCCAGGCTGGTCTCGAACTCCTGACCTCAAGTGATCCGCCCGCCTCAGCCTCCCAAAGTGCTGGGATTACAGGCGTGAGCCACCGTGCCATAGCAAGAGGTTTACTGACCCATTTTTTAGGATAAGTAAACTACGAATCAGAATACTAAAGGGACTCAGTGTGAGATGGTCCAGGCTGGGAGTGGTGGACAGTGATACAAAATGTGGACCCCATGCCCCCTACTCTCTCCATAATGTCCATGGTGCTTATATACCTGGACCTTATAGGAAAGGTAGTATTTTGGCAGTGACACCTAGGAGAGCAAGAGGGGGCTTTCCAGGTAGAGAAAACAGCATAGGTAAAAGCAGCTCAGCGGTAGGAAAAATCACGTTGGGAATACGTGTTTTGTGTGTGTATGTGAGTGTGTCCATAGGGGTTAAGGTTTTTCAATAACTAGATCGTTTTATATTCTACAGGAAGAGAAAGGATGTTGTAAAAGCTCGTTCAAATATGGGGACAAAAACCTGATGAGCCACAATCGCAGCAAATGTCATTCCCTGGGAGCCGCTGGACATCCTCAATAATGGCTTTTGTCAGGTCTTCCAGGCTGTTCTCTCCCGCACTCTGCTCTCCACGGAAGGCCATGGTTAGGGCCTCTTCTTTGCTATTTGTCAATACTGATATCCATCTGTTGGTAAAAACATAAGAGGAAAAAAGTCTTTATAAGAGCATGGTCATTTTTTTTTTTTTTTTTTTTTTTTTGCCACTGCAAAAAAAAAAAATCTACTTTTGTCAAGTAATTCCAAAAGAGAAGCCCCCTTCCAAAATAGCAATAAAGTGAGGAAAAACAAAGAAATCAAACTTGAAGGAAGGTGAGAGTTAAAGAATGAAAAATGACACATAGGGGAAAATGAGAGAGAGGAGAGGAGCAGATGAGAAAAGTAAAAAATCAATATAACTGAGGACTTGAACGAATATACAAGGAGACTGCATTTCCGTGTGGGCATACTGAATAAAGGGAATGTTGGAATGGAGAGGACTCAATGAGGGACCCATCCAATGCAAGGATGAGAAAGAAATGATGAGAAATGGAGAGGAGCCAGGAAAAGGAGTTTAGCAAAAGGTATGTATTTTCTGCAAGTCCATGTCAGTGGGGACACTTAACAGTGAAAATGAAGGGATATTTCATTAGCAGCCATAAAAATTTATACTTATGAAAAAGGCATATTAACATGGAAACATGATGACATTTATAATATTAAATGAAGACTGCAGATTTACTTATATACAGTATGACTACTGTATGTCCCAAACAAAATAACCCTTTGCTACTAAAATAACCTAGAAACCCAACAACAGAGAGTTGATTAACTAGGCCTGAAATAACCACAAAGTAGAACAGTTAAGCAGGCATTAAAGTGTACATTTTCAAATAATTTTTGGGTGACATTGGATAAATGCTCATAATATAGTGTTTTGTGAAATCAACAACAAAAAAACCTATTATATGATTGATATGGTTTGGATTTGTGTCCTCACCCAAATCTCATCTTGAATTGTTATCCCCATAATCCCCACGTGTCTGGGGAGAGACCCGTGTAGGAGGTGATTGGATCAAGGTGGCGGTTTCCCCCATGCTGTTCTCATGATAGTGAGTGAGTTGAGATCTGATGGTTTTATAAGGGGCTCTTCCCTCTTTGCTCCACACACTTCTCTCTCCTGCTGCCATGTGAAGAAAGACATGTTTGCTGCCCTTCCACCATAATTGTAAGTCTCCTGAGGCCTCCCCAGCCATGTGGAACTGTGAGTCAATTAAACTTCTTTCCTTTATAAATTACCCAGTCTACAGTATTTCCTTATAGCAGTGTGAGAACGGGCTAATAGAATGATATAATCCCAAATTTAAATATATGTATGTAATAAAGGCTAAAAGGAATTTCACAAATACGTCAATAGTGGTTGTCTCTGAGTGATTTTCTATAGAAAACAACTGATAGAGGAATTGCCCGACTTTGTGCCTTTCTATAATTTTTCAAAACTATAATGAACTTGTATTACTTTCATGAATGAGAAAAAAGCCAAATTTATTTTCTAAAAAGAAAATAAAAAACATTTCCAAACCAGTGTTAATTTTTTGTTACTATATAGACAGCTAATGTTTATTCTCAACAGACAATACAGAGGTTCAGAACTGAGTCTCTCATTTTTTTGTATATCGTTGAATGAAATGGATATGAAACAAAGCACTATACAAAAGACTTTGAATAAGCAATAGTGACAGCATAAGAATTAAAAACCAAATTATGTTTTTGGAGTATGTGAACTATGCAAGTCACACCTTTGACTCTAGGTGGCGCTCACCTTCAGTATGTTGGGAGAAACGCATATACACAGCTTAACTTCTGTGATGCAGAAAACTGAACATTTCAAAACCAAGAGTCTAGGAATTCATATGCAGAAGGAATGGGGGGATTTTATACCTTTTAGAAGATTAAAACAGTATTTTTTATATCAGTCTGAAGTTAGAAACTAGAAATTGTTTTGTTAAAAACAAATCAAGAACCTGGGTTCAACAGGACTGATTACTGCATTTTATCAGCGGCACTGATGTTACTGGATTTTTCACTTGACTGCAAAGCCTCTATTTCGCTTTCCTCAGGCATTCTAGCATTTGGCTAATATTGGCCAGTATCTACTATGTACCAAATACTTACAATTTTTAACATATAGATTGAACACCCCAAATTTGAAATCCAAAAAAGTTGTGGGCCCAAGCATTTCAAATAAGGGATACTCAACCTGTAGAATCTTCTCACATGCCTCTAAGTTAGGGTTTATAATACTTTATAGATGAGGAAACTGAAGTTATATGACTTGCCTAAGGTTCTAGGCTGGATTCTGTCAGACCAGATGGGGATAAGAAAACACTTTTGTTGACTCACTTTTTCAGAGTTCCTTCCATTTGCCTCTTTACTCAGGAGCTCATGACAAATAAATAAAGAAGTTTGTCATGATAATCAGAAAAAGTATATTTAAAGGATAATTTTCTAGAGAAAATAATTCAAATTTGGTGGAATGAAATGGCTAAATTTCAAAAGGACCAAGACTCACAGTGATCATTTGTGACATTAACTTTTAAATTATTTTCAAGTAACAAGCATACTCAAAAGCATAAAGAATGCATAATTGTATTTTAATACTTTAAACGTCGCTTTGAGTTTTATAAGATAAAAAATAACTTGGCACTGTGCTAAGGGCTTTACATAGCTTATCCTCTCAAAATCCTGCAATCGAGGTATATAATCCCATCTTACTGATGAGAAGACTGAAGCCAGATGATCTGCCTAAGGTTAAAAAGCCACTAACCACCATAGTGCACGTATGTAGTCCCAGCTACTGGGGAGGCTGAAGCGGGAAGATCGCTCTAGCCTAGGAGTTCAAGTCCAGCCTGGGCAACATAGATCTCATTTTAAAAAAAAAAGCCACGCTCACGCCTGTAAGCCCAGCACTTTGGGAGGCCAAGGCGGGCAAATCACGAGGTCAGGAGATCGAGACCATCCTGGCTAACACGGTGAAACCCCATCTCTACTAAAAACACAAAAAAATTAGCCAGGCGTGGTGGCACGCGCCTGTAGTTCCAGGTACTCGCGAGGCTGAGGCAGCAGAATTGCTTGAACCCGGGAGGCATAGGTTGCAGTGAGCCGAGATCGCGCCACTGCACTCCAGCCTGGGCGACAGAGCAAGACTCTGAAAACAAACAAACAAACAAACAAACAAACAAACAAACAAAAAAGCCACTAGCCAGCAGAGCCTGGACAAGAAGCCAAATGAGTCTAACATGCATCTGCTCTTTGTGAACTTTCCTCAGTGAGAAGAAATTTTTTCATTCAATTTCATCGAACACTTTCATATGAAAAATAAACTCAATGATGCAGTGAAACTGCCTCTATGTAACCTGGAGGTAAGTGAAGAACTAAGGCTTCCCTCTGAGGCATGTGCTTTCTTTGTGGACTGCCATTACCTCCTACAGCACTCAAAACAAAGTTCCCCTCTCACCACCAGCACCCAGAGAGAATGCAGGCTGGGCACTATAGCTCACGCCTGTAATCCCAGCACTTTCTGGGGTCGAGGTGGGAGGATGGCTTGAGCTCAGGAGTTTGAGGCCAGCCTGGGTAACAACAGCAAGACCTCATGGCTACTGAAAAAAAAAAAAAAAAAAAAAAAAAAAGAAATGAAAATTAGCTGGGCGTGGTGATGCGTGCTTATAGCACTAGCTACTTGCAAGGCTGCGACAGGAGGATCACCTGAGCCTGGGAGACTGAGGACTGAGGCTGCAAGTGAGCTATAATCACGCCACTGCACTCCAGCATGTGTGACAGAGTGAGACCTTGTCTCAGAAACAAAACAAAACTGCAAAGTGCAAAATGCGCAACTTCAGGGTGGGCCATGTAATTCTTTTACTGAAAAATGTTAAGTCTCACGGGCAGGACACCAATCTCTTAACAAAACTGGGACTGAATTACCTGTAAGTTCTAAGAGTAAATAAAATATTGAAGATCTGAGTTTGAGTCATAAGGGAACAAACAGAAAGTGGTTGTGTTCCCTGCCTCACCCAAATTACTCACCTGTGTTTCACTTAGGGTTTTGAGAAAGGGAAATGAGGAAGAGAGAATGAAATCGGAGAAGGAGAAACAATATTCCAAGGTGACTGTGGAATTCTATCTGGGTTCAAATCCTAGCTTACTAGGACTGTTACCATGGGCACATTGTGCCTCTGTTTCCTCATTTGCAAACTAGGGACAAAAGTCCCTACTTTCTGGGGTTGTGAGGATTAATAAGACATGAAGTGCATTTAGCACGTAACATCTCAATAACTATTACCCATTTTTATTATAAATAGTACCTCTCTGAACCTGTGGGTGGAGGGCCAGGCCTCTGACTTCCTCCTCATTGACTTCTAGTCACCTTTCAGTCTACCAACTCTATACCCATAACAACAAGTCATCAATCACTTCCTTCCTATTCCATCCTCCTGTTTCTGTGCCATCAGAGCCTCCTGCCTGGAGTATAGAGTATTTACAACCTTCCCCTACGTTCCTGAGCCAGCTCAGCCTTACCTTCCTCTTGGAAGTCATCTCTGAGGAACAACCCCAGGAAACCATGAGGGTGTGTGCCCCGAGTCTATTCCTCCAGCACATGGCCTCCTCTGTCCTTACACTTAGCACCTGCACCATGTCGTACCAACAGCCTCCTGCAGTAGAGATGCAGTTCCTTCAGGGCAGGGGCTCCATCTAATTTAATGTTGTATTCTCAAGGCTTTGCATAGCCTTGGCATACAGCTGGCATTCATTAAATATTCAAATAATGAATAGCTAATTAGACCTTTCTCATCCTTTTCCTTTGTCTTTCTACCTTCTCTCTCAGTTTTCTTTCCCCACCCTGTTCCTCCCACCTCTGTATCTTTTCTACCCATGTTCTCTTCTCTTTCTGATCCTTTATCATTTCTCCTTTGAAATGGGAAAAGAGTAAAATTCCCCAGAGAAGATTGTGTGTGTGAGCAATAACAAAAGTAAGCGAGTGGGAGAGAGAAAAGAAGTGAGTATAAGGCAAAAAGGGTATGAGCAGAATTCTGTGGCTCTCCAGAAATAAGAGAGGAACATAGCATGTATTCTGTGCCACTGATGGGACAGGAAGTTTGACAGTTTATAAAACTCGGTCCAAATTACCCCAAGTACTCATTAGAAATAAAAAAAAAAAAAGTGAACAATAATTGCCCATTTTAACAAAAACATCCCTCTCCCAAGCAGCTGAGATTTATAATAGTCACACACTGCCTTTTTCCGTCTAGACAGGCTACAGGAAAGAAGAGGGAATAAAGACAGCTCAGGACCAGGGCTAGCATTTTAAAAAAGGGACTAGGGACTATCTAAGGTTGCATACCTGGTCAGGTGAGTGCAAAACTCCAACCCAGGGGCCGGGCGCGGTGGCTCACGCCTGTAATCCCAGCACTTTGGGAGGCCGAGGCGGGTGGATCATGAGGTCAGGAGATCGAGACCATCCTGGCTAACAAGGTGAAACCCCGTCTCTACTAAAAATACAAAAAATTAGCCGGGCGCGGTGGCGGGCGCCTGTAGTCCCAGCTACTCGGGAGGCTGAGGCAGGAGAATGGCGTGAACCCGGGAAGCGGAGCTTGCAGTGAGCCGAGATTGCGCCACTGCAGTCCGCAGTCCGGCCTGGGCGACAGAGCGAGACTCCGTCTCAAAAACAAACAAACAAACAAACAAACAAAAAAAAAAACAAAAAACTCCAACCCAGGAGTATGTGATACCAACCTGTTCCTTTCCACTATATCACGCTCCCTTTTATTGACTCTGTTCACCCCAGTGAAAGGCACATGGCAGTTTCCTTCCTTCAGGGCCTGGCTCACCTGCTCCTCTTACAATAATGGTCAAGTGCCCAGGTAGGCTGGCTGATATGTTTGGCCACCAAAAACTGAGCAAAGGCCCCTCCTGAGGGCAAGGGATGTGATTAAAAGATGCATAAGGCACGGTCCTTGCCCTCGAAAAGCTCTTGGTCTCTAAAGGGCTGCAGACATGCACCACAGGATCACAGAAGGTTATGAAGAGGCCGCGGGCAAGGAGTAGTGAGCTATAACCCCAGAGAGGGTGAGGCTTGAGCAGAATCTTGCAGGAGGTACCAGAGCTTATTGAGTAGACAAGAGGGAGAACCACAGACAGAGAGAAGAGCAACATGTGATGGCCCACAGGCGGGAAAGAAGCATGGAGCCACCAGGCGAGGTTCTTACAAATGAAAAGAAAATGTTGATGTGTATTGTAAACAGAGAGGTGCTTTTTCAATCCAAGGCATCGCACCTTTATTTCAAAACTACTTACGCTACATAATCCTGCTCATCTTCTGCCTGAAAGTGATATGTTCTATTATCTAAAATAAAAAAAAAGAAAAATAAGTGAAACCTTAGAAAGCAGGGTACTTTCAGGTACAACACAGATTTAAGTTCCTGGGAAGAAAACCAGTAAAAGTAGAATTTTAATATTATTTTAGTTTTACGCCATTATGTGCCAGGTGCCTTGTGTATATTATTGCTAATCTTCACAAAAGCTCTATCTGTTTCTCATATTTTTACAGAAAAAAAAACTGAGGCTCCAAGAGGTTCAGTGACTTACACAAGGTCACACGGCAATAAAACAGCTACATGATTCATTCTGTCGAGGTTATTCTTCTTAAGTGCAACAAGAATACAATAAAATAACCACAAATACCATGCATACATCTGGCACTGCTTTTGAATAAACAGTGAGGAGAGGGGAAGGTCCTATTTGATCCAAATGGATTTCCATGACAAACTGGAGAGTGCCAGCTAATTCAGTATTTTCTGTTTCATTTTCAATTCAATTGTTACTGTGTTTTCTTTTTTTTTAAAGAAATCTCCTTTTCAGAAATGATTCATTTACTGTTCCCTATTTGTTCTGAGACTTAACCATGGGGTAGCCCCAACACCCCCAACACTAGACATACTATGCCCCAGATGTTGGGGCTGCTCTCTGGCTGAATCAGGTTGCAGGAAGAAAGGCTCAATCTCTGCTATCCATGTAAGGGAAGGAGTGGGAAGGAGTGACCTAACTTGGATACTTTGGGCTGGATGTACATGAGGGAAGCTCTTTCTCAATATATTCAGGTCAAACTAACATATCCTGAGCACTTCCTGTGTGACTACTCTAGGCTAGGCAGTCACACCCTTCATCTCTCTTGGAGAGAGAGACAATGTGTATGTCAAAGAACATACCATGCTTAATGTTACAGCTCATGGCTATAATCCTAACACTTTGGGAGGTTGAGGTAGGAGGACTGCTTAAGCCTAGGAGTTCGAGACCAGCTTCAGCAACAGAGACCCTGCCTCTAGACAAAAAATTAAAAATCAGCCAGATGTGGTGGCATGCACCTGTGGTCCCAGCTACTTGGGAGGGTGAAGCAGGATCACTAGAGCCCAGGAGGTTGAGGCTGCAGTGAGCTGCGACTGAACCACTGCACTGCAGCCTGGGTGACAGAGTGAGACCCTGCCTCAAAAACAAAAAACAAAACAAAAAAAACCCAAAACAAAACAAAACAAAAAAAAGAACATGCCATGGGTGGCAGAGCCTGAGAGCTTTGGTTGAATCTCTGCTTTATTGCTGTGTGACCTTCTGTAGGTCACTGAACCTCTTGGAGTCTGAGTTTTTTCTTCTGTAAAATGGAAAACTGATAGGGCTTTCATGAGGATTAGCACTAATGTATATAAGGCACCTGGCATGTAACAGATGCTCTATAACTGCCAACTATTATTAATAACCTACAGACTCTCATAACTAGGGGTTTTTGGCTTTTTGAAGTCATAAAATAATTCCAAATTTTCCTATTTCTTTCTCATCAATAACTCAATAAATCTCTTGGTCATGAAAATCACAGGGAATCTAAACTTCATACAGATGCTGCAGAATACAGTTTCGACTACCCCTAAAGAGCCTCATGACTGACTCTATCTTTTGGGTCAGGACTATTCACACAACTGCATCAGAAAGGTTTCAAAGGGCAAGAAAATATTTCTGTGCTTCTATACATAGATCATCCACTTTGGCTGTGGGTCTGCCTTGCTGGGCTGTGATAGAGAAGGAAGGATACTTAAGATTAGTGTTGCAGGATTTCAGGATATTCACGAGAGTCACTTCAATGGCACTGTCATCCTCTCTTTACAAAGAGGAGTCCTCTCAGCTACAGTGTGGGTCGGTAAGCACACCCATAGGAATCAGTACAAGCACAGGTAGCCAGCCTAAAGGAACATCTCCCCCCAACTCTTTACACACTATGAGGGCACAGGCTATAACAGGCTGTGGGGTGGGTAGCTCATTACGCTCTCTCATCACAAGAGAAAAGCAAACTCTGAACCATGAAGTAGAAGAGTGACAGGGTGCAGTGCCATCAATTCACAGAGGTTGAAGGCAGTTCTGCTTGGAAGCAAGGAAATGATTTTTCCTTTAAGAGCTAGATTTTGCAGGGATATAACTCTGGGCAAATTCGTTGTACAGATATAGTGGCACATCTGCATTCCCAAGTCTACATCCGTGCTTCTTAACCACAGGTGCACATTACAATCACCTAGTGGCTTTTTTTTTTTTTTTAAACTATGTCTGGGCCTCATACCAACAACTATAATTCAGTAGATCTAAGACAGAAATGGGAATATACTAAGAAACATCTCTCCAAGGGGATAAAGCTGTGTACTCACAGTCAAGCATTGGTTTAGTTCAATGTACAAATCCTAGATTCTATTCTATTGCTGGTCAGATCTGACACTGCTATGCCTTGTCAACTGCAGGTGGGCTCAGTGGAAATTAAGAGACCTGGGGCATCTTCCTAGAGCAGCACATGCAGGAATAACTGTTCCAATGCCAACTGTGAGGAGCCCTGCTTGGAAAAGCTGCTGACCTGGAGAATGGAAATGTGCAGGTGTCAGAAGCCACAATAACCAACTCAGAGAGAGAAAAAGGACTCACGTGATATCAGGTCAAAAGATTTTTTGTCTTCGGCATTAGGTTTTACTTGGCAGGTGAGAAGGTTCAACTTGGCTGGTTGCCTGTTAGACTGGAAAAAAAGAGAAAATGGAGAAGTTACATGCAGCTCCACTCTCTTGTCTGCAGGTTCAGTGCCCTGTAGGGCAGGTATGCTGTTCATAAGGCCTGCTCAGTGGTACAAAAATACATTTTCAGCAAAGAAGAAACAGACATCTGAGCATTGTTCCAAGTTTGCTGCAAGAAGACAACAGATCTGTAGGTTTCTGCCCTCAAATATAAGCTGGTAAGTTTAGTAAAGTTTTATTTATCCCAGTTGAATTCTGAATCTCATTAAAGATGGAAAAAAAAATTAGGTGTCCTACTAAATGTCTTTAAACTGTGCATAAATATCCTGGTGATTTTTCAGAAGAGAATAAAAAAATAATCCACCTCACTTCCAATGAACAGTCGGCATGGTCCATGGAAATGCACCTTTCTGGAACCTACCCATAACTAAGCACCAACAGTTGGCACTTTTAATGCTGTATCTTACTATGAAATGTAGCTGAGCTATATTTCATTTATTCATTCAAAATGACCCCGGTAATCAATCATCCCCAAATTGATCTCCCAGGTATCCATGGATTCAACAAATTTTGGTTGTGATGCAAAATTTACATTACTTCTCTCAGAAGTACAATGACAATTACTACCTGTGAGGCAATGCTTAATGAACCCCAATATCTGGGGAGAGAGAAAATTTGATAAGGATTTCATATAACTTATCAGCAAATCTCTTGGTCACACATATAAAACAGACCCTATAGTATCTAGATAGTCACGCTAACTTAGGAAGTCTCACCACGTATTCACACTGGTCAAAACACTCTCCTGCCTGCCCATGTTCAAGGTCACATGCTGGACAATGGCTGATACTAGGATCCCTCCTTCCTGCAGAAGCTGACCAAGGAATGAAATGTTTGAGTGCCCAGGCTGGGCTGTGCTCGAACACGAGAAGCCTGGAGAAATAAGCAATGAAACTCTTTAATTGGACCTATATCCCTGTTTCGATTGAGAGCTGTGGTTCTGAAAATCCTAGTACCAGGTGCATCTCCAGCTGAGGAATTAAAATTTTCAGGGAAAAGAGAGGGGGAGGGAGTTAGAGACAAGTCACATCAGTAAGCCTGAAACAACAGAGATGGCATACAATCAAGACACCTTCAATGACACACTGCCACCTCTCCTTCTAAATAATGGGCATTAAACAATTTCTATTTATCTTCCTGTGCTCTCTGGACCATTTTTCAAGATCTTTCTCCCTCTATGATTTCAATGAGATTAAACATAGAAAACAATGCCCTTTGTCCCATATCTATCTATTCCAAAGCGAACTGCTTTAGGGGAGGAAGTGAGAGACCCCAGGGGATTCCATGTTCAATGCATGTACCTTTGATTTAGGAATGGAACCAGAAGTCAAGTACAAGAGAATTTTGCCAAAGAGGAAACAGTGCTTGGGAAGATTCCTGTACTCCAGAACTTGTCACCAAACCTAGAAGGGGAGGCAGGAGCTTGTGGGCCTGCAAGTTTTTCTGAGAAAACAGCTGAAGAGCCAGACGAGGTGGCTCATGCCTGTAATCCCAGCACTTTGAAAGGCTGAGGTGGGTGGATCACCTGAGGTCGGGAGTTCCAGACCCGCCTGATCAACATGGAGAAACCCTGTCTCTACTAAAAATACAAAATTAGCCGGGCGTGGTGTCGGGTGCCTGTAATCCCAGCTACTCGGGAGGCTGAGGCAGGAGAATCGCTTGAACTTGGGAGGTGGAGGTTGCACTGAGCCGAGATCTCGCCACTGCACTCCAGCCTGGGCAACAAGAGTGAAACTCCGTCTCAAAAAAAAAAAAAAAAAAGAAAACAGCTGAAGTGTTTGGGTTGCTAAAGGCCTCAGACTCCAAAATCAGAATCTGTAGCCACGAAGCAGGCTTAGCTCACTGTAAAAAGAACTGTTAGTTCTACATCTCATCTTTTTGGATGTTGATAAAATTGCTGACTTTCTCATATAAATGACAATGGCATATGACCACCTGAAAAGGCAGTGACCCAGTTAATGGTGAGAACAACTCTTGCTACGATATTATGTTCCAATTAGGAAACCACATTTAAAGAAGGATGCAGAAAAGCTTGGGGAGATGAAGAGATGATTGAAAGGGTGGAAAATGGAAACTCTGAAGATGAGTTAGAGGCATTACTTAGTACAGAGGAGGGAAAGCTAGGGGGTGACTTAATGACCATCTTCAAGTATATGAAGGTTGTTATTGGGAAGGTTGGGCAGCTGTTTTCCATTAGCTCAGATGAAAAGAAATACACTCCAATTGCAGAAGATTTGGGCCAGAAATAAGGAAGAACTTCCCAAGCTTAAGTTGATTATGCATAATAAGAGGTTTCAGGTTTCTTAAGTAGAGAAGGACTGCCTTTGAAAAATTTAATAATTTTTAAGCTGACCAGGCGTGGTGTCTCATGCCTGTAATCCCAGCACTTTGGGAGGCTGAGGCAGGCGGATCACCTGAGGCCTGGGGTTCAAGACCAGCCTGGCCAACGTGGCGAAACCCCGTTGTCTCTACTGAAAATACAAAACTTAGCTAAGCATGACGGCGCATGCCTGTAATCCCAGCTACTCAGGAGGCTAAGGCAGGAGAATCACTTGAGCCTGACAGGTGGAGGCTGCTGTAAGCCAAAGTCACGCCATTGCACTCCAGCCTGGGCAACAGGGTGACAGAGCAAGACTCCATCTCAAAAAAACAAACAAACAAAAAACAAAAAAAAAAAGAAAAAGAAAAATTTAGTAATTTTTAGACACTATTCACATTTGAATGTGACAGAAGGTTAACTTTATTTTTTAATTCTCCCAAAATCTAGATTTCTCCGGTGTTTCTGAACAATCTTACCAACAGATACAACCAAGAGTAGATACAAATCTTAAAAAAAAAAAAACAACAAAAAAACACCATACACTCAGCTGAGTATTAACTGCATTCAGGCAAGTTAAACAGCACTATTTACCTCTCATTTCTTTCTTTTTCTTTCTCCTTTTTGTTTTTTTTTTTTTGAGATAGGGTCTCGCTTTGTCGGCCAGGCTAGAGTGCACTGGGGTGATCATAGATCACTGCAGTCTCAACCTCCTAGGCTCAAGCGATCCTCCCACCTCAGCCTCCCAAGTAGCTGGGACTATGGATGCACACCATCACACCTGGTTATTACTATTTTTTTTTGGTATTTTTAGTGGAGACAGTCTCTCCATGTTGCCCAGGCTGCTCTTAAACTCCTGAGCTCAAGTGATCTGTCAGCCTCAAGTGAGATTATAGGCGTGAGGCACCATGCTGGCCTCAGGTCTCAGCTCTCATTTCTTTCTTTCTTTCTTTTTTTTTTAAAAAAAAACTTTTAGGTTTGGGGGTACATGTGAATGTTTATTATGTAGGTAAACATGTGTCACAGGGGTTTGTTGTACGTATTATTTTATCATCCAGGTATTAGGCCAAGTACCCAATAGTTACCTTTTCTGCTCCTTTCCCTCCTCCCATCCTCCTCACCTCTCATTTCTAAGCACGGACTATTTCAAAGTATTTTGCTGATAAGGAATTTATATGGTTTAAGTCATTCCATGATTGACCCACAACTTCAGTGGTGATGACGTTATGATGTTTATTCTCTTAGAAGTTTGCCAAATCTACTAGACTGACTTTTGCTACATTAACATGAACTGCATTTGACACAGGCACATCTTGCCTAAACATAGTGCTCTTCTCCAAACTGAGCTGCCAGTGAGGCACTTGACAAATGGCCATCATCCCAAATGTGACTTTGAGGAGCCAAGTACGCATAAGTTTTGACTGTCTAAGCAGCTGACTTACCCAGGGCTGAGCCCACGAATACCAGAGGGGAGTGGTATGTTCCACAGAAGTCCAAAAACCAAGGCATTTGAAGCACAGAAATCACTACAGTAATAATTGTAACTTCAGATGTTTGTGTAACTTTCCAAAATTTCAAAGCACTTTCTTGACATTTAGTACTAATTTATAGGTATATTGATTGGAGACTGTATAATCTTTCCTGGGATTTCAGCAGACTAAAATTAAAGTAAAACTAAATGATTTACTCTGGGCTACACCACAGTGGAACAGTTTAGGAAATGCTTTCATATTGTTTAAGTACAGGAGAGAAAAAAGAAAACAAAACAGGAGAAACTCTGGAAACGTCTATGTATCTATTGAGTCCTTGCTGTTGATTCCCATCCTGTTCAGAATAAACACACATCTGTGCCATGACCTCCAGGCACCAATCGCAGGCCCCTTCTCGCACTCAGCTCCTGTCACTCTGAGTTGTTCCTTTGGCTGAGGAGGGGCACTGGTCCCTCCTGCTGCTCACACACTCCTGCAGGCCCTCGGAGAGCTCCCTGCTCACTCCCTGCAGAACTCTCATCAATCAGCACCTCCTCAGAGGAGGCGGTACCTGGCCTGACCACCTCCCCATGATGTTCCATTTTTGTACACCCTGCTGTATTTTCTTTCTGGCTCTTAACACTCCTTATTTGCTTCCTGTCTTCCTTCTCACTAAGGACACACACATTTTTCTCATTAAAATGTGCTTGGCACACATCGGGTACTAGCAAGATCATGGCTCATGGCAGCCTTGACCTCCCAGGCGAAGTGATTGTCCTACCTTAGCCTTCCCAGTAACTGGCACTATATGCGCACGCTACCACACGAGGCTAATTTTAAAAATATGTATTTTTTAGAGACAGGATTTCACTCTGTTGCCCAGGCTGGAATGCAGTGGCACAATCATGGCTCACTGCAGCCTTGAACTCCTGGGCTCAAGGCATCCTCCTGCCTCAGCCTCCCAAGTAGCTGGGACTACAGGCATGCCTCACCATGCTTGACTAATTTTTTAAATTTTTGTAGAGATGGGATCTTGGTTTGTTGCCCAGGCTGATCTTAAACTCCCGGCCTCAAGTGATCCTCCTGCCTCAGCCTCTCAAAGTGCTGAGATTATAGCCATGTACCACCGTGCCCAGCCCTCAATAAATATTTACTAAATTAATGACTACATTCCAGGCATCTTATGTCATATACTATCTCATGTACTACCTGTGAGGGAAGTCTTCAGTTTCTTTTACTAAGTGAAGAAATAAAGGCACAGAAAGGTTAAGTAACATTCCTAAGCTCTCCCGGTAAGAAAGTGGTTTGGATGGGTCAGAGCCCCCACTCCTTCTCTTCTGCGGTCACTCTGCAGTCCAGCCTGGAAAGAAAGTAATCTGATATAGCTCGGAGAATAACAGCTGGATGCCCAGCACACAAGAACATTTCCTCCTGATTACAGTAAGGGTTAGAGGTCAATGAAGCAAAAGCTCCAAAGATTAATTTCTATTTTAATATCTTCTTGGGTTATCTGACTCTCCTCTAAGTACTTACTTTCATAATTGGGGAAAAGAGAAATTTTAGAAGCCACTTTGAAATTCCTACTTACTCATTCATCATATATTTATTAAGTCTCTACCACATTCCAAGCACATCTGAGAAACACATGGTCCATGCCATTAAACATCTGTGGAAACAGACTTGATTACGTATGGGGGCCCAGGGAGCCCAGGGACCTGAGCTCAAGGGTGTGCACCAAAGATGTAGGCAAGGTTCCACACAGGCAGCCTCAACCTTCAGAGAGGACTTGGAGGAGGGAATATGGACAAACTGGGAAGTGTGATAAGCAGGTCCAAAGGCCTGGGGCATAGGAGGGGACAAGCTGCAGGAGGTGACACTGAGCACACAGGAAGGGAGACTCTGCATATGATACTAAGAAACTCACATTCCTATCCATGACTCTGGCAATCTACTGGAGAAAGCAGAGTGGCCAGTTAGATCTCTATTTCACGGTGGGGTGGTGGGGGGGCAGTTGGTGGGAAAGGTAGAGGAGGCAGAGAGAGGCTGAGAGAGTAAGGAAGATGAGCAATGAAATGAGGAGGGCCTGAATTAGAGCTACGTACGGTAGTGGTGCTGGTGGCCAGAGGCTTAAGACAGCTAGAAAAGGAGACTTTCAATGCATCATTCCACAAGTAATCATTACCTACTATGTGAATTATTCAGTGCAGAAATTTGAATGGTGAATGGAGGGACACATTGTTCCTGAAGGCTGTCTTGAGCAGCATCTCTTTCAAAAGCTACAAGAGCTTCTCTAAATATAGTTATGACACTTTTCAAAGCTGACAATTCTACAACTCTGTTCCTTCAAACTCTGAGGCTTGTCCTTTTATAGGTTTCACTTCTCATTAAAATAAAACACATTCATAGAAGAAAAGGAGACAGAGATAGTACAAAGAAGAAACCAAACATTAGTTGTTGGAATCTCACTTTCACATGCAGCAATAATCACTGTTAATACCTTAATTTTACCAAGATGTGTGTGTGAGATGTCTGTTTTTTTTTTTTTTGACATATGTTGGTTCAACTTGTATATACTATTTTGTAAACTGTTTTTCCCAATTAACAATATACACAGATGTCTTCATTTTACACACCCCTCTCCTACACACCCTCAGACAAAAGGCAAACCTATTCAAGTTTTTGATTTTTGAAAATGTTTCAATCAGGGAAGCTCTGGGTACATTTCATGAAGAGAAGTGATGAAGATATCCCTCTGACATAACAGAAAGTGGCTGTTTAGCTAGGAAAATCATCAAATAAGTAAGTAGAAATGCATGCAGAAACAGAATGAGTCAATCCCAATTAATGTTTCTGTGTTTCCTAAAAGAAAATAAACACCGCACATTTGTCTTTAGACAGCTTAGTGTGCACCATGGTTCCAGTGTTTTTGCTGGAAGTGTAAAGTTGTTAGCACAGGCATATTTCTCAGTTAGCAGAAAACAGCTGCTACTGGAATTAGTACCCAGAAATGAAATTATTTCCTCCCATCATCTTACTGAATTGCTCTGCTTTACAAACAAGAAGTGAACATTAATTACTTGGAAAATAGGCCTGACCCAGCCAGGATGAGGCTGACGCGTGGAAAGAGGTAAAAATAAAATGACAAAGCTCTCTTCACTTCCTATGCTAGTGTCTGAAAACAGAGCTGCTCAGACCATTATGGTCATTTCAAAGTTTTCATTCAATAAATAGTTTTTTAGACACCTACTGTGCCCTACAGGGACATATATTTTTGGCATACAATCAATAACTACAACCGTGGTAAGAAATTAAGGTACATGCTGAACACTTACCACTGCAGAGAGATCTTATCGCCAGAATTTTAGCAATCAAGACTATTGGCTTTTGGCCTTCCAAACAGATAAAAGGTAACAATTTTTTGAAAAACTGAGTACCTAAACTGCCAGATACATTATATGAATTCTATTATTTAATTTTTGCAATGACTCTATGAGTTAGGTACTGTTCCCAAACCCATTTCATAAATGAGGTAACCAAGGATCAGGAAGGTGAAGTAAACTAACCTATGTTTTACAAAAAATAAAAGGCAAAGCTGAATTCTGAACAAATCTCTTCTCACTTATCACACTGTTTCCCTGTCAAGCCAAGCCCTAGGAAAACTTACAAAGTCAGTCAAAATATAGCTTTACTGTTTTGCCTTTTCTGGTTCTTACTGCCCTTAAATGGCCAGTTCCCTCATCTTCCCTCCAGATGCACGTTCCAAATTCCAAACTTATTACTCTGTGGCCACAACTAAAGCTCTCACATCCCCTGTGTGATCCTTCAGACAGGGAAAAAGATAAGTAGTGATTATCTAACTGAAGTAATTCATTCTAGGGTAGATGGCTGAATTCCCTTAACCCTCCCAACCATTTTACTAATTTTTTTGTCAAACATTTATCACTGTATCTCCCAATCATTTTAATAAAGGGACTCATTTCCAGTTGGCAGAATGTATGTATATGTGAGAAAGAAATATTTGAAAATGGAGATCTCCAAGAAAATGTTTTTTATTGCAGCAAGGAATCGGTTACCTTACTTTTGAGAGGATGTTCCACTCAAATCAACATTAAACAATCAATGCTACAATGCAAATAGAAAAAAAGAGCTTACTGGGGCTCCTGCTAAGACGTGGCGCTGAGGTTACTGCACCCAATGAATGTGCTAGATAGTCATCCACGCAGGCATTTCTGCAAATATGTATTAAGTACCTACTATTTGATAGTATATAGAGTTTGGGCCAATACAGGAAGAATTTTTAAATTCACATTTCCTATTAATTTCAGTAGCCACTTTACGTCATGCTATCCAACAAGGGTACATAAAACTAAAACCTTCAGACTTGGAATATTTGTATAAAATGCATTAATTTGATAGTAAAACATCTGAGCTATGGCATATGTTTTTTTCTTTTTTTTAGACGGAGTCTCGCTCTGTTGCCCAGACTGGAGTACAGTGGTGTGATCTTGGCTTACTGCAACCTCTGCCTCCTGGGTTCAAGCGATTCTCCTGCCTCAGCCTCCCGAGTAGCTGGGATTACAGGCACGCGCCACCACACCCGGCTACTTTTCTGTATTTTTAGTAGAGACGGGGTTTCACCATGTTGGCCAGGCTGTTCTTGAACTCATGACCTCATGAATGGCTGAGACAAAATGTGCTTGAGGCTTTTATTAGCCTCACACAGAAAGGGCAGTCTTTAAAGCGAGGGCATCATTATGTTGATGAGAACACAGCATTTACTCATGCTGGGCTCCATGCCATATGTTTTACATATACTTGCTCACTTAATTCTGATAACCACCCTACAACTAAGTACCACTATTATTACTATTTGAGAGATGTGGAAAATAAGGCACCAAAAGGTTAAGTTAACTCAGCCTTAAGGTCACAGCTGTTAACAACAGAACATTAGGTCAAAGTAAAACTTTTTTTTTTTTTTTTGAGATGGGGTCTCACTCTGTCGCCCAGGGTGGGGTACGGTGGTGTGATCTCGGCTCATTGCAACCTCTGCCACATGGGCTTCAGTGATCCTCCTGCCTGAGCCTCCCAAGGAGCTGGTACAACAGGCATGTGCCACCATACCTGGCTAAGTTTTGTGTTTTTTTTTTTTTTTTTTAGAGATGGGGTTTTGCCACGTAGCCCAGGCTGGTCTCCAAGTCCTGGACTTAAGCCTCAAACTCCCAAAGTGCTGGGTTTACAGGTGAGAGCCAATGCACCTGGCCTGAAACATTTTAAAGAACTCTATTATTTCTTATATTAGGAATGTGGGCAGGAGGTAACATCACAGCTGATGTCAAACTGCAGGTTCCTTGGTTTTATACCTTCAAATTTGTAAATCAAGACTTTAAAAAAGCCTTTTTACCCCTTAGTAAAAGTAAAAAAAACCTTTTTACCCCTTAGCATATACCTTCGTATATGCTAAGACCTCTGTATATGCTAAGGACCAACAGCACATACTCTAACCAAATGGTCACACTTTCTAAATTTGTGAGCTCTAAATTTGTGAGCCTGGGTTTAACTGGCTCCAAAGTTCGCCCTCTTACAACTGACAGTGCTGCTTTCTAATCTGTTGGAGCGAAGAAAAATATTCTCATTCTCTCTTTTCAGTGACAATGAGAGTAAAGACGTGGAATCAGAGGACAGCCAAGGAGAGCTCCGAAGGCCAGTAACAGAAACAAGGTTACTGAATACATTAATAGCAAAGAAGAGAGCAATCCATTTTGCAGGTCTCTTCCTGTTTCCTGTATGTGCTTTCAGTGCTTCTTTTAAAGCCCTGGAAGCTGAATGTTATCTTCAGCGCTCTGGATGGGGCAAGAAAACAACAGACCTTAGACCCAAAGATCCAAAGGAAAGGGAGAAGAGACACATCCAATTCTTGCTTTAGTGAAATGCCATGGAAGGTGACAGAGCTGCTGTTAATCCCTAAAGGCAGAAATTAAATTTCTATGAAAGAAGAGGTACCCCAAATGGGCTCTGTAAAGTACACTGAGTAGTAATGAAAATAGCAATACAAAAGAATTCCAACGGCCAGGTGTGGCAGCTCATGTCTGTAATCCCAGAACTTTGGGAAGCCGAGGTGGGTGGATCACTTGAAGTCATGAATTTGAGACCAGCCCGGCCAACATGGTGAAACCCCGTCTCTACTAAAAATACTAAAAATTAGCTGGCTGTGGTGGCGCATGCCTGTAGTCCCAGCTACTCAGGAGGCTGTGACATGAGAATTGCTTGAGCCCAGGGAGCCAAGATGGTGCCACTGCACTCCAAAGGGAAATGCAGTCTCAAAAAAAAAAAAAAAAAAAAAAAAAAAAAGAATTCCAATAAACCACAGTTTAAAATGGGGATAGTTGTACATTAGAGAAGTAGTAATACTAATAGCTGACATTTATTGAGCACTAATTCTGCCCTACATTCTGTTCTAATTATTTATAATCAATAAACTCATTTAATCTTTACAATCACTTATGAATTAGGCCTCATTAATAGCCCCATTTTATTTAGATGGAAAATCCTCACTAGAGATTCAGTGTCAGGGTTGAAATTCAAGTCTAGGCAGTCTGGCTCCAGGGTTCCAGATGCTGTGATCCTACTTCAGCTCACTGAGATGACAACAGCTATTAAGTTTAAGGAACACTTATTGCGGTCCAGGCTCTGCAAAGCTTTAAATGCATCATCTTATTTAATTCTCGTAACATGGAAGACAGGTACTGTTATTCTGTTTCACAGATTAGTACAAGTTAAGTAGCTTAATAAAAGGCACATACAATAAGATCCTGAATGGGCATTTACTGCAGATGGACTCAAAAGGATGTGGTCTGACTCTCCCCCTGTTCAAAATGATCAGCCCATCAAGCAGGTGGACACACACACATTATCTACCTAAGAGGTGGAACCTCTAAAGAGGCCAGCTGGATTTCCAACCCTTTTGAGTAAAACACCAGACCTTAATGAACTTCTGTGTGCTATTAAAAATACTGTTGGTGTTGGTTGATTGAGAAAAAAGTGACAATAAATTTAATAATCGTTGTAAGTGTTAATCATAAGGGCATCTGAAGACATCTGAAAGATGTAATGCATTATTTAGGCAGTTTCAGATTCAAATATAAATTCTTAGAACACTTGCATTATCTTCATGACAAGTACTCCTCCTTCTCCTCCCTTCCCGGAATCCCTTACAGCCCTCTCTACCCTAAGACCCCTGACTAATTCAAGGAGTATCAAGGTAAGGCCAAGGTAAGCAGTTCCACTGCAAAGAACTGTTATTCATGAAACTTTCAAAGACCTAACAACAATCTGGCAGCTGAGGAAAAAAAAACCCTATGATACAGTAGAAAGAGTACAGGCTTTAAGGCTGGAAAACTGGTCCAGCTATTTACAAACTTCATGACCCTGAGCATGGGATTTAACCTCTCTGAGCTTCATCTATAAAATGCAGTCTCATTAGAAAAGTATTCACTGAGCACTAAGTACACGTCAGGCAATGTGTTAGGTACTGAAAATTCAAAGATGAGTAAGATGCGGTCCCTACCTCCTAGGAATTTCCAGCATGGTGAGAAATGAAGATAGTGATGCCTATCCTGTAGGGCCATCTTGAAGATGAAGTGCAGGGTGCATTCTAAGTGCTGCATAAATGGCAGTTCTCTTTCTTTTTACAACCCATTATTTAAACAGAATGTGACACTGGTTAATTCACAGAACAGGGTTTTTGAAGAACATAGCTGCTTATACTTTTGAAATTGATTTCTCAAGATTACTACAATAAATATGTCAACTATAATTCTTATACTTTCTGTTGTAATTTGTTTTATGATATTTATTTATACTACAATACTTTTAGTTAGAAAAAACAAACAATTCAAAACTATAGAAATGATAATAGTTTAGTCGCTTCATATAAGCTTTATACTTGAGTTTTGAGGCTAAAACTTTTTTTTCTTGAGACAGGGCCTGGCTCTGTCGCCCAGGCTGGAGTGCAGTGGCGCAATCTTGGCTCACTGCGGCCTCTGCCTCCCAGGTTCAAGCGATCCTCCCACTTCACAGCCTCCCAAGTAGCTGGGAATACAGGTGTGCACCATCATGCCCAGCTAATTTTTGCATTTTTTTTTTTTTTTTTGTAGAGATAGGGTTTCTCCATGTTGCCCAGGCTGGTCTCGAACTCCTGGGCTCAAGTGATCTGCCTGTCTCAGCCTCCCAAAATGAGGCATGAGCGGATTACAGGCATGAGCCACCGCGCCTGGCCTGAGGCTAACTGAAATGTTTGCCAAAGATTTGTTGGAACTGGTATTTTGAAATGAAAGCATCTTATACTGTGTTTAGAACATACTAGATGGTCCATAGTTGGAAGCTGCTATCACAATATTACTACTGTTATAGCAAATTCAGAGATTCACACTGAATTTGGTTCCCACAATTCTGCATTACTTTGAATAGTTGGTAAAAGAATTTTTTTTGTTTTAACAGATACATGAAAAGCAAAGAATTTATGAATGAAATCTTCTAAGGATGGGCTGCCAATTTTTCAGGTGTACACAGAAATGTATTTCTCTTTAGAACAGTAAGCTGGGGAGATGAATCACCTCTGGTGCAGACCTTGCTTGGGTGGCCAAGCCAACAAACCCTGCATCATTAATCTAAATGCATACTTGGCCTTCTCCTGAATCACTTTGATAAGAACAATTTGCAAAGGTGACACTGATGAGGGCCTTCAAACCAAAGAATTTCCATGTGTCCCAAACACCTCAAGTTTTCTGACAACAAAAGCTCTTCTCCCCACTTTTTCAAAGAAGCCCTTTATGTTTTTCTCAGAAAACTGCTGGCCTTGATTTTCAATCTAATTCTAATCAATGGTGTTTGCAAAGTCAGGAAAAGCCCGCTAAAACTGGCTAGAGACCTTTCTGTGGGAGCAGCAATGTGATTATGAGTGATGTTACTGGCAGCAAAAAAGGTCTGGGCCAAAGCCAGTGAAAAGTGGGGAACAGAATAGCACAAATTAGCAGGAGGGAATCAGAAGTTAGGAGAGTAAGCCATTTCCCTCCAGGCTGCTCTGGGGGCAGGAGAGTGCTGATGTTTGTAGCAGGAGGGTTTGCTTGTCAACAGATTTCAGTATTGTCAGCAACATCCAATAAACTAACGGTAATAGCAGCAATAAGTATTAACAGAATGGCCACACATGGCATGTTATCTCACTGAATCCTCATATAATCTTTATGTGTTAAATACTTTTCTCAAGGTCACAAAGTAAATGGCAAAGTTGGCATTCAGACTCACATCAGACAGATGCCACAGTCCATTATCTTAGCCACTAAACAATGTGGATGATGTGATGAGACTTGTTAATTCAAGCCTTAAGAATGCATATAAACAGTTGTTTTGGCCACAACAATGTGTTTTGGCAGGAATAAAATCAGGAGGGGGAAGGGAACTTATTTTATTTTTAGCAAATTGCCCAAGGTCATATAACCACTAAGCAGTGCCACTGATTCACTTCATCAACTATATGATCTCCCATCACTCTGCACTGCCTTCCACAGCAGATTCCTAAGAAAAGCAAATAGATACAACATGATAAAACCATCATATAACTTCTCAAAATGCCTAGTGAGGACTGTTACAGCCTCACAAATCCCAGGGGAGAGCTCTGCAGCAGAAGGCAAAGAGAGTTAGGGTATGCATGGTAACGCTGGCCAGGTGCGGTGGCTCATGCCTGTAATCCCAGCACTTTGGGAGGCCGAGGCGGGTGGATCACTTAAGCTCAGGAGCTTGAGACCAGCTGGGCAACACAGCGAAACCCCTACCTCTACAAAAAAATACCAAAATTAGCTGGGCGTGGTGAAGTGTGCCTGCATTCCCAGCTACTTAGGAGGCTGAGATGGGAGGATGGCTTGGGCCCAGGATGCAGAGGTTGCAGTAAGCCGAGATCGTGCTACTGCATTCCAGCCTGGGCGACAGAGCCAGACCCTGTCTCAAACAAAACAAAACAAAAACATGGTAACTGACTAAAAACTCACCATCTATATAGTCAAAGGATCAGAAATGTTCACTCTGGCATACACAGATGACTGTGTATGGAATTAAATATAAGAAAATAAAAATTATCTAATTTTTCATTCATGCATCTTTGATGCCTACACCAGAACATGGCAGAATGGAAGCTTAACAAAAGATTGCTGAAGAAGGGCCAGGCGTGCAGGCTCACGCCTGTAATCCCAGCACTTTGGGAGGCCGAAGCGGGCAGATCACAAGGTCAGGAGTTTGAGACCAGCCTGGTCAATATGATGAAACCCTGTCTCTACTAAAAATACAAAAATTAGCCAGGTGTGGTGGTGGGCGCCTGTAGTCCCAGCTACTCAAGAGGCTGAGGCAGGAGACTCGCTTGAACCTGGGAGATGGAGGTTACAGTGAGCCAAGACTGCACCACTGCACTCCAGCCTGGGTGAAAGAGCGAGACTCAGTCTCAAAAAAAAAAAAAAAAAAAAAAAAAAAAAAAAAAAAAAAAAGATTGCTGAAGAAATGAATAACTGTTAGACAGCCTCAATCATAATTACAAACAGATCCAAGTCTGTAGACAGGATTTCTGATATCAGATGGGTAGCTGGACACAACTGGCATGACAGCTAAAAATCTCAGCTGGGCTGTTTGAGGGAAATTGCAGACCTCTGAGGAATTCCTCCGAAGAATCACTGAAAAGTGTGCTGCGAGGGGCAAGGGACAGAGACAATGCAACTGCTCAAGTTCCATAAAGGACAACAATCTTTAAGATGTGTGCAGTCATTTACCACAAAGGACTGGGCCACAAGTGTATACTAAGAGCCTTCTGTATGTCAAGTTCTGTGTGAGAGGCTGAAGACAGAAAGAACAGGACTAGTAAGTGCCCAAGGGGGCGCTTACAGTCTAGTAAGATGATGTGTTCTGCAGGAAGAGAGAGAAAGGCCACAAGGACTAATGTCAGACAGACACCCGAGTTTGAACTTCCAATTCTGTGAGTAACTAGCCAAGTTACAGCTGTTCTTTGTGCTTCAGTTTCTTCATCTGTAAAATGAAGGTTATTATACCACATGGGTTGTTGGGAGGATTAACTGAAATAAAGTTTATGAAGGTAAGTGGTACTTCCTTTCCTCCCTGATAGATATCTAAAGTCAGCTGTAAGTCATACAAAATTGCCAACATAATAAATGCTCATCTCTCTTTTCTACTATTCTGCTGGCAATTCATTGAGCAGTGCCCCAAGGACATCACTTGGCACAGGATACTGTAATTTAATGAGTTTTTAAAATCCAAACTGAGATTACTGGGTTAAACAGCAAGCACATTAAAAAAGTCTTGGCATATACTTTGCCATTTCCATTCCTGCTTGGTACATTTTCCACTACAATCTCTGCATCTTTAAGAACTGAAAAGAGTTTTCTGTTGGTTTAAAAAGGGCAAAACTTACTGTGCACTTCTTTGACTACCACCAAGGTTTTTACATCTACTGTTACGTTTCCTACATTATTTTTACATGCAAAGAACAGCCTGTCATCTCTATAATTCAAAGACCTAGGTTTTTCAGAACAATCAATATTTCCCAAAAGATAATATTATGAAATCAAAATACCGTATTCATTTTGAGAGAGCAAAAAAACAAGTTTCTAGTGATGCCAAAGAATGGTGCAGACTACCACAGGACAAGATAAAACTTTTTTTTTTTTTTTTTGGTAAAGGAATATCTAAAATGATCTGACCCAAATGCATAAATATATTTGCGCCAATTTTTACTGCTGAGTACATAATCGTGTTTGCTTTCTGGCCCATGAGGCAGGGTAAATTAAGAAACATACTTACTGTGGCATGTGAGATGGTCAGAATCCCATTCTTGACTGAACACTTCCTCCTCTGCCATACTTTCCGGATCCTAAGGAGGAAGTCAAACACAACTAGATATAGTAACTGATTCACTCTGGGACATGCGACGATACAGTATGATACATAATAATAATTACAAAATAACTTCCCCAAACCAAAAAATCCAACCCCCCCAAAAAAATCCTGGTTGCCTTTTATTATCCCAGGTGGAAGGTAATTCACACAAGTAGCCATGTACAAGGATGCTCATTACAGCACTGCTTTTTAATTTTTTTTTTGAGATGGAGTCTTGCTCTGTTGCCCAAGATAGAGTGGTGCAGTGGCATGATCTCGGCTCACTGCAACCTCCATCTCCCGGGTTGAAGCGATTCTCCTGCCTCAGCCTCCCGAGCAGCTGGGATTACAGGCTCCTGCCACTGCGCCCGGCTAATTTTTTTATTTTTAGTAGAAATGGGGCTTCACCATCTTGGCCAGGCTGGTCTCGAACTCCTGACCTCATGATCCACCAGCCTTGGCCTCCCAAAGTGCTGAGATTACAGGTGTGAGCCACAGCACCTGGCCAGCACTGCTTTTTAAATATATATATATATATATATATATATGTATATATATATATATATATATATATTTTGAGACAGGGTCTTGCTCTGACATCCAGGCTAGAGTACAGTGGCATAATCATGGCTCACTGCAGCCTTGACTTCTCAGACTCATATGATCCTCCCACCTCAACCTCCAGAGTAGCTGGGACCACAGGCACACCCCACCATGCCTGGCTAATTTTTACATTTTTTGTAGACAAGGTTTTGCCATGTTGCCCAGAATGGTCTCAAACTCCTGGGCTCATGCAATCTGCCCGCCTCGCCCTCCCAGAATGCTGAAATTACAGGTGTGAGCCACTGTGACTGGCCGTGGCACTGCTTTGGACAGTAAAAATGGGAAATAGAAACAATAATAATCTAACAGCAGGAGACTCAATAAATGAATGACAGGTACTACAATGATATAATAATAACTCCTCTCTAGGAAGGGGACCCAAACCTGTTGGGGGTGGTGTTAATTAAGTAGTTTTCAATCATATCTGTGAATCTTTCATAAGAATGTTCAATTGATTACTTTTGTTATTAATAATTGATTTTTAAAAATTAAGAAAGTGGTTGGGCATGGTGGCTCATGCCCGTAATCCCAGCACTCTGGGAGGCTGAGGTGGGAGGACTGCTTCAGCCCAGGAGTTCAAGACCAGCCTGGACAACATAGGGAAATCCCATATCTACAAAAAATAAAAATTAAAGTTAAGAAAGTAACTCAAGAAGTCTGCCATGCAAGGAGCGAGGGGTGAACTGCCTCGGGAGGTACAGGACAAGCTTAGCCAGGGCTCAAGAATGCATCATCATTTTTGGTAACTCATACACCACCCCTTTAGGGGTCTTCCAGAGACAGAATGGTGCCTCAGAGCCCCGAGAAAAAACTGTTCATGATTCACAAAGGGAAGTAAATGGTGACCAAATCATTCACAAATAGTTAGTAACAAGTGATAGACATTTTGAAAAATGTGATTTGATGATATTGAAGGATAAAAAAAGCCAAAGAGAACGAATTAAAACTTGGAAGAGTTTTGTGTGTGTGAAGCTCCAGGCACAGACGAGACTGCATGTGTGGTAGATCTGCGTGTGTGCAGGTAGATGCAAATGCACTAGTTGAGACTAACTACTTCCATCAGATAAGAAGAAATGGGCAGGGAACAGTGATTCCCTAGGCTGGAAGTAAGTTTTGAAGGCCTTCTGTTGCTGTGGAAACAAATGACATCAGGAGACCACTGTAGCTTTCCCAGGCATTTAAAACAGTATCATCTTATGTTTTTCTTTTCCTTCTTAAATTAGTCCTCTAAGAAAGCTGCCACAACACAAATTTAAAACCATCTCTAAACACAAATAATATTGTGCATTTAACTACTAGAAGCACAGTTTGTTCTAAAGCATGCTTCACAGAAGGAAGTAAGAATCTGACACCATCTAACCAAATGCAAATTGAACATACTGTATTCAGAATGCTAGCCTTGCTGAGGAGGTAATTTAACTACTAATTGATAAACCATCCTCAAATAAGAGCTAAATCACATACTTTCTTCTAGAAGTACTGGCCAGGGAAATGTCTGATTAGAGGTGGCATCTCTCAACTAATCAGAGCCACATTTGGTTAACGTGACTAACTCTCTGCAAGTAGTTTTGCATCCATCTTACTCTCACAAGAGCCTGCTAACATAGGTGAGGCATCCCTGTATACACTAAGCCAAAACCAGTGTCATCCTAAATATCAAACACTCAATCCACCAATCAAACTATTCAACCTTCAGGAATAGTTTAAAGCCTCAGTTTATCCATTTTATTAAGTCTTTACTCATTAGTTTTACTTACACATGTATATTATGGAAACAATACACACACACGCGCGCACACACCCCTTCTCTTCTGCTGCTAATAAAGCCAAGGAAAGTAACACAGAAGCATTATTCTGGGTTGACAGAGATTGTGACTGAGGCACTTTCAGATCGCCAGAGGAAAGGGAACAATCTTGAGATATCTCCTGGCACAGTTGAGAGCAGTATTGCCTGATCTTTTGTGTGCGAGAGAGACAGGGTGTCACTTTGTAACCCAGGCTAGAGTGCAGTGGTGCGATCATGGCTCACTGCAGTCTTGACCTCCCAGGCTCAAGCGATACTCCCACCTCGGCCTCCTGAGTAGCTGGGCCTACAAGCATGTGCCACTACGCCTGGCTAATTTTTGTAGAGATAGGGTTTTGCCATGTCGCCCAGGCTGGTGGGCTCACGTGATCTGCCGGCCTCGGCCTCCTAAAGTGTTGGGATTACAGGCATGAGCCACTGCGCCCAGCCAGCACCTGATCTTTGTGAACATTTTGATAGCTTCTATTCCCAAGACTTCTATGGACTAGACTGAATTGCTGTGATCTCCCCCACTCTCTGTACTGAAAGCTTTACAAATGTTCCAGTCTGCATAGCTCCTGAATGGACATACCAAAGACTCTTGGCATCTGGTGCTCACAGAGAGTGCCACACACGATTACTGATTATGCCATGCTAGAATCTTACAATTCCAGAAAAGAAAATTCTATTAGAAAATGGTCTCGTATAAATAGATAATTCCAACTTTGATGCCAGATCACTTGAGCTTTGATCCCAGCGCGATCTCTAGCTATGTGACTTTGCTCATGTTATTTGACCTCTTGGAGACTCATTCTCCTTTTCTGTATTACAAAGACAGTAATGCCCACTTTCGTACATATAATGAGAAAATATAATAAAGCAATTGCTCCTTTGTCTCTCAATAATTGCCTCTGGTCCATAAAGTTTTAAAAAATTATTTTTATAATCCTTTAAGTAATAAAGAGCATTCCAAAGCTAGGGTCAAAAATTACCAACGCAAATAATACTTCAGAGAAAAATCACAGGACATATCAGTGGTCATTGTTTGCAAATGAGTCTGTTTTCATGTATAAGCATTTCAATTTTTTACTCTTCCACAGAAGTCACAAGCAACTCCAGGTTATTAGTGCTCATCTTTGCTATCTGTGCCATTATTAGGAGGTGGAACCACCTGACTTCCAACCTCCTTTCCAACTCTATGATCCAACAGCTCTGTCTGTATCTCTTTCCAACAGACTGCAGTCAAAGTGAGGGTGAGGACCGTATCTCATTTATGTTTTACCTCCAGCATCTAGCAGGCTGCCTCATACACTAGAGTATTTCATCTATGTGTGTGGAATGAGTACATGAAGGAAAAGAACAAAAGAACGAAGAAGTCAAGGGGGTGAATTTGTGCCAGTTTATGCCTTGCATATCCTTAGAGTGATAACAGCAGCAGTGGCCCTTTTGAAAAACAAAGGGGAGATACCCTGGCATTAAGTCAGAAGACCCAGGTTCAAATTTGAGTGTTCATACTTACTGTCCGTATGATCTTAGTCAAATTATTTAATCCCTCTGTAAAAGATGTCAAATGAGATGAGTGAGCAGGCACCTGGGTGTGTGGCAGGCATACACAGGTGCTCTCAAGATAATTTACTTGAACACTTTAGGGTTTGAACTATGCAACACTTAAGAAAAGACTGTTGATCTTCCTTGGATATACAGATTTTAACCGTTTCACTTAGAATTAGGCAATTCTAATTTCAAGAAGATCATTGTGATTTCGGGAGAGTAGTGTTAAAAAATGACTTTTATACTTTTGCTTCAATAGATATGTAATAGTACATTGTTGCTCATAATGGAACACAATATTAACTTTTCGTTTGATGACAGAACAGGTCACATTTCCAAGAGATGTTTGTACCACAGATGGTCAGGGAAGAACAAGGAGCTGAGCCTGAGGCTTTTCAGCAAGATAAGCTATGGAATTTACAATTTATGTACACTTTATCTCATGCAGTTTGGACTAGCATTTGGTCACCATTCTAGAGCCCAGTTTAAATCTGTGAATTGTTAGTTGGGATTTCTTTTCTCCTTTTACTTTCACAGCAGGATTAAGCTAACTGATTCTACAATGAGCCAGATGCTGGACGAGGGGTGATTTTCTTTCTCTACACCCCATATCAGCAAGTCCTGCTGCCCCTGCCTCCATTATCCACAACTGACCACTTTTTACCCTCTCTTCTGCAGTTCCCCTGGCCTCATCATCAGCTCCCATCTAGGTTTCTGATGCAGCCCTCCCTCTAACTGGTCTCCTTGTCTCTGTGCTTTCACCCTCCATGACTCTGCTTTGCTTGGTAGTCAGAGAGAAGCTTCCAAAACATGTTGGATTATGTCACTCTTGTGCTCAAAACCCTCTAATGATTCCCCACCTCACGGAGTGGTTCCCTGTCCCTCTGACCTTATCTCCTATGACCTCCTGGCTTGCTCACTACTCTAGCTACATTGAACTCTCAAGTATTTGTCACCATGAGATGCATGCTCCTGACTACTTCCTCTTCTCCCAGGTATCTGCATAGATTTCTCTCACTTCCTTTGCTCAAACATCAACTTGATAAAGTCTTCCCTAATCACCTGTATAATAGCAAGAACCACTCCCATCCCCCACACCACCTGCATCTCTTGCTTGATCTTTCTCCGTAGCACTAATTACCATCTGATCTACCATATATTGAGTATTTTTTGTCTCTTTCCTTCCTTAGAATGTCAGCTCTATCAGGGCCAGATTTTCTTTTGTTCAATGCTGTATTCTCAGGACCTAGAAGAGTGAGTCCTAGACATACAGCAGGACTCAAAATATCTTTGTTGAATGCATGAGTAGAATAATAAGCAAAACAGTCAATGACCCCAGAAATTTAGAAGAGAAATATTTATAATTTTAACAAACAAATTACAGTAAAAAATGTACATGTCTCAGATTAAGCCAAGGAGTACGTATCCACAAGTAATCAGAAAACAAGGAGCTTTCTTTTAAAAAAAAACAATGACAATAGGCCAGGCACAGTGAGTCATGCCCGTAATCCCAATACTTTGGGGGACCAAGGTGGGAGAATTTCTTGAGGCCAGGAGTTCAAGACCAGCCTGGGCAACAAAGAGGGACCCTGCTTATATTTAAAAAAAAAAAAAAAAAGTATCCAGGCATGGTGGCATGTGCCTATAGTCCCAGCTACTCAGGAGGCTGAGGTGGTAGAATCGCTTGTGCCCAGGAATTGGGAGGTTGTAGTGAGCTGTGATGGTGCCACTGTACTCCAGCCTGGAAGACAGAGCAAGGTCCTGTCCCCTCCCTCCAAAAAGACAATTATTAAAGGGAATAATGAAGATTCTACTTATGCACTTACTGTGAAGCAGAATCATTTGTTTAAGCAACAGAAAAGAAGCCTCATGTGGCAGGATCAGGGGAGAAAATGGAACAAGATGAGGTGGGACAGGAAGGCAGGGTTGAGATGCTATATGCAAAGGGAAGCCGCTGGAGTATTTTAAGCAGGCGAATGACATCATATGCTTTATGATTTTTTTTTTTTTGTCTCGCACTGTTGCCCAGGCTGGAGTGCAGTGGTGCGATCTCAGCTCACTGCAAGCTCTGCCTCCAGGGTTCGCACCATTCTCCTGCCTCAGCCTCCCAAGTAGCTGGGACCACAGGTGCCTGCCACCATGCCTGGCTAATTTTTTGTATTTTTAGTAGAGACGGGGTTTCACTGTGTTAGCCAGGATGGTCTCGATCTCCTGACCTCGTGATCTGCCCACCTCGGCCTCCCAAAGTGCTGGGATTACAGGCGTGAGCCACCGCGCCCGGCTGTGCTTTATGATTTTTAAAAGACCACTCTAATTGCTGTGTGAAGGTGAACTGCAGAAAAAGAAGAATGAGCGATACAAAGAGACCAGTTAGGAGGCCGCTGAATACTCCAGGAGAGACAGCAGCAGCTCACCCTAGAGCAGGGGCTGAGGGGATGGCAAGAGTATATTACTTTCAGAGTTAGAAATGGAAGAGCTTTTGCCAGATTGGCTATAATACAAGAGGCAAAAGAGGAGTCAAGGGTGACACCCAAGGTTGGGTGGCCTGGTGAGCAACAGGCAGAGAAAACTGCAGTGAATAAAAGGGTAGAGGGGCCGGGCACGGTGGCTCACACCTAAAATCCCAGCACTTTGGGAGGCTGAGGTGGGCAGATCACAAGGTCAGAAGATCGAGACCAACCTGGCTAACATGGTGAAATCTCGTCTCTAGTAAAAATACAAAAAATTAGCCAGGCGTGGTGGCAGGCGCCTGCAGTCCCAGCTACTCGGGAGGCTGAGGCAGGAGAATGGCGTGAACTCAGGAAAAAAAAAAAAAAAAAAAAGCGGAGAGGTGGGTGAGTATGAGGTCAGCACTTGCCTGCTGCATGTGCTACTCAGTAGCTGCCTTCCTATAATTGCACGTTACAAGACAGAAGTGCCATTTAGGGACCACAGAGCAATTACTGTTTCTTCTAAAGAGAGCTGGTCAAATCTCGGATTTACTTGAAGAAAACCAGTGTGCTAAAGGTCTGCAGCTAGTGTATTATAAAATTTTAAGTGTGTTTCCCTATATGAGAGACTGGAAACATTTTCTAGGTTAATCACACACTGAGACACTGGGCTGGGCTCATACATACCCGTCACTTTTCTTTAGCAGGTACCCCTTCTTTTCACTGCCATATTCCTTATTGCCCTGGAGCTGATGCATGCTGTATCCTCCTTGCCGGCTCTGAGAATCCTAGGAAAGAAAAACTACAGATTAAACAAAAACTAGAGACAATTCTCCCATCTTTGATTCTATTCTGCCATTGAGCCTTTGGCACTGGTCTGGGTCTAAGGGAATTATGGAACTTTAAGAGCTGTCAGGTCCTTTCCTTTATTTTAGAGGAGGAAACAGGGCAGCTAAACACTTGCCAGAGTCACAAAGCAAGTCCGAGGCAGAGCTGGGGTCTGGGTCTCTGATTTCTAGTTCAAAACCCACCTCTACTCTGAACTGAATTCAAACAAGCACAATGCACTGGTAGACAGACTACTGTAAGACTGAATCCAGTTTACACTAGCGGCAGAGGCAAACACAGGAGGGACTGGAAAAAATGAAGTGGACCAGAAAATAAAGTCCATGCAACCCAAACATGTTCTTCCCTTAGGCTGTACCTTTCTCCCTTTACACATTCTGCCAATATGCCCCCAAATAAAAGGGGAACCTTCTAAGCAAGGTTTTAACAATTATTATGTCTCTCATTTTGTAATTAGTGCTCTGTAAAATATACCTATAACCACATTTTTTAAATTAAGACAATTCTACAGCAGTGAAAAGTGTTATGATGTCGTGGAGGGTGACAAGGGCCAAACCAACAACATAGATGTAAAAAAGGTTGATTTATTATTAGCATTCCACTGACATTTAACCATAGTTTCTAAGGACTACATGACTAGAAACAGCCATTACATTACGAAAATGTAAGAAATAAAATCAACAACGTTGAACTGCAGAACGAGAACATGGTCTTTAGACATACAAGTAGGACAATATATTCTCATAAAAAGTATTGACTTACTCTCCTAGACTTCGATCAGGAAGGGCAAAAGAAACAGAGAAAAAAGGCAGAACATTTGAAAATATAGTTAATTTCATTGAAAATGTTATCCATAATTTAAGCATTTTATATAATGTACACAGAAAATATCACTGTAAAGATAATACCAGAAAACACATACACCTCTAGATTCAGGATAAACTTTGGGTGACAGGACAATCAAATGTCTGTATTTATCAGGTTTTATTTCAGGTCATATGGCGTGAGAACAGAAACATGGCTAAATAGAAGAATGTGAGGCACACACACATTTTAGGAAGATAAAATGGTTGACAAACCTCAAATGTGTATGTATAGGGAATCAATACCTCAGTGAAACCCAAAATGAATTATTCAGAAAATCTAGGAATAGCCACAAATTGTAGCAGGACTTTTTTTTTTTATTTTTCCCCAAGGGAAAAGAACTTAAATATATCCAGTTCATAAACAACACCTGAAATGTGATAGTGTCGAGGTAAGCTGAACCAACCACTGGCTATTTACTGACTTGTGTACGAAATACCTTTAACGCCAGGATGGCTTCTTTCTGACACTCAGGATCCTTTTGGGCCAAGTAATGTATGTTCAGTGATGCAAAATTAATATAAGTAACAATCAAAGGAAAATCATAGATTCCGTGTTCAAAAGCATGTCCTGAATACCTCCTAAAAGCCAGGTATTAAGGACCCTGAGTATACAACATAAGCCCTGGCTTTGACATGGACGCTCACACTCTCACCATATCACTGTCCTGCTCTCTTGTGTAGGTAACTGGGAGCTTACTGTACACTTAACCAGGCAAGCTGACTCACATTAAAGAGGTTACAAACTTGAGTTATTTTCTATTTGAATAATTTCTCTGTTTATAACTGGCCAGATTCCCTCCATATGAAACATTTAATTGGACAATATTAATCATTTGGGAGAGATGAGGCATGGACTTGAATCTAGGATTTTCTTGCAAAATTCTCCCTAAATATTTCCTTTTAAAAAATACATATGTATATATTTATTTTTGAGACAGGGTCTTGCTTTGTTGCCCAGGCTGAATGCAATAGTGTGATCACAGCTCACTGCGGCCTGAACCTCCCAAGCTGAAATGAGTCTCTCGCCTCAGCCTTCTGAGTAGCTGGGACTACAGGTGTGTGCTACCATGTCAGGCTAATTTTTGCTTTTTTGTAGGGATGGGGTTTCACTGTGTTGCCCAGGCTGGTCTTGAACTCCTGGACACAAGCAATTCTCCTACTTTGGCCTTCCGAGGTGCTGGGATTACAGGTGTGAGCACCATGCTCGACCTAAATGTTCACTTTTAATCAGGGCCTATAGCCTTGAATTCTATAGTAATGTGGTTCACTAAGTCCTCCCTAATAGATATTTTCACACTTTCTAAATGGAGGTAGGACTGAGGGACTGTACTAAATAGCAGACAAGCAAGAAGAGCAGCCTTCCCCTACCAATACCTCCAGCAACAGTCCCTAGTAACAACAGTAGTAACAGGTTTTTGTTTTGTTGTTGTTTTTTTAAGAGAGGCAGCAGTGTGTTCATAATCCTAATGAAGAAAAATGGATTGGGTTGCAGGGAACTGAGGCATGAGACAAAGCAAGAGGCAGGGATTAAAGAAATCCACAGGGCTTTCTGCTTTAATCCAACAAAATCACAGGAAAATTACTCAATTATGAATTTGGAGTCAGGGATCTCTGCCCTATCTGTATCTTCCAGAAACATTAAAAACATGGCCAGGCGCAGTGGCTCACGCCTGTAATCCCAGCACTTTGGGAGGCTGAGGCGGGTGGATCATGAGGTCAGGAGATCGAGACCATCCTGGCTAACACGGTGAAACCCCGTCTCTACTAAAAATACAAAAAATTAGCCGGGCGTGGTGGCGGGCGCCTGTACTCCCAGCTACTCAGGAGGCTGAGGCAGAAGAATGGCGTGAACCCAGGAGGCGGGGCTTGCAGTGAACCGAGATTGCGCCACTGCACTCCAGCCTGGGCGACAGAGGGAGACTCCGTCTCAAAAAAAAAAAAAAACAAACAAAATCTAAAATTTCCCTGTACACTGGTGCTCACTCATAACCCTCTTCCTTGGAACCCTTGTTACGGAACTAGACTTCTCTTCATCTGCCCACATAATTCCTAGGTCTGTCCAAATGCTTTAAAACTATGTATCTCTCGTGGTAGTTTTCTTTTTGGCACATTTGTTAAGTTTTCAAATGGGCCTAACACTGCCACATGTATTATACTGGAGTTGGCAAAGGCCTGTGACAATGAGATATCTCTCAAGCCTTTCACGCCTTTCCTCTATCAGAGAATGGCTCCCACATGTGGCAGGAAAACAAAAACAAAAACAAAAATGGATGTCTCACTACTAGGCACTCAATCAAAAACAAGCAACTGTGTATCTCTAATCTTAACCTTTGCTAACCTTTAAAATAAAACACTAAGTTTAAAAAATAAAAATACTTCTTTTAAACAAGGATTCAGACACTAACAACTTATAAAAACGATTATATTCTGTAAATGTATCATTAAGACGTTCCTTATATATTTATTACTAGCTTAAGTAAACCTTAAATTCTGAATAACAAACTCCTCGGAGTGAATGTGCTTGCTTTACATCAAACTAATATGCTTTTAAAGATGAATAAAGTGGCTAAACTCCAGGGTTTGACCTCATTAAACTGAGCAGAAAGGAAGCAGTATGTTTCAGAAGTTTAGTATCAACAATCCTAAATTAACTATGAATGAGTTTCATGGCTTAATAAAGTCACACCGATTATTACTTGTGCTCTTTGAGAAATGATGGCCATTCAGCTTGCTAAGCAGGGCACTCTAGACAAATGCAAAGAGGATTTTCTTTCCTGAGAAAGTAGATACTGGACATTTAATAACATTAACAACAATTTAAAAACTGACACACTGAAGGAATGAAATAGGTTCTGAATCCTTTGATAGTGTTAACGGAAATTATGTATTCAGGAAACAGAAAAACTCATTTGGGCAAAAACATAAAACATAAACAATGAACTTAAAATCTTTTTAATTTCCTATTCTCTATTAGTATAGACAAATCACTTTCTTATTTGAAAATCTTATTAATGTATAAAATGTATTATTAAGAGGTAGAGTCTCAAATCTTTTAAAAGTGCAAGCAATTATACATTCATTGATTTAATGGGGCTATAAATGTTTCTGGTATCCAATTTAAAACTAAACCTCTACTACAGAAGCCTAAAATTTCTAATGCAAGGTATCAATGGAGTGGGCAAAAGATTCCTTCTGTTTCATTTTTCTAAATATTTGAATAGTTTTCTGGGACCAGGCTACAGGACAGATACTGTGACATGAGTAAAACAGAAACAAAGAATCTGTCAAACCTGCAAACGATAATGTGATGGGGTTTTAAAAGAGTCCATAAGTGAATTCAAACAAAACAGGTGTAATTTTTGGAATAATTCTGTATATCCTAAATATGACTTATCACCATTTAAAATACTTTCAGGCCAGGCGCAGTAGCTCATGCCTGTAATCCCAGCACTTTGGGAGGCTGAGGCGGGCAGATCACTTGAGGTCACTTGAGGAGTTCGAGACCAGCCTGGCCAACATGGTGAAACCCCGGTCTCTACTAAAAACATAAAAATTAGCCAGGCGTGGTGGTACATGCCTGTAGTCCCAGCTACTTGGGAGGCTGAGGCACGAGAATCACTTGAACCTGGGAGGCAGAGGCTGCAGTGAGCGAGATTTGTACCACTGCACTCCAGTCTGGGCGACAGAGACTCCGTCTCAAAAAAACCAAAACAAAAACCTACTTCCAACTCTAAAAACAGTTATATAGCAAATAGTTCTTTTGTAGATTAAGCTATTACAAAAGCTTAATATAATTTCATAGAACATTTATTTGCTAAGACAATAAAAACTTAATAGAAAAAAAATGAGTTTACTGAAATTCCAGGGATCCTATTCACAACTAAAATTCTTGGAACTTCCTTTAATGGAGCCAAGTTAGAACCCGGTGGGGATGAGTAGGCTAAATGATTTGTTGGGTGCTTTTGATTCCTCAGTTAATCTTTAAGATTACTTGACATTCTTTTCAAATAGTACCATGGTCAGAACTCTCTGTGGATGGTCTCCTCTCACATTTAATCTCAGTCATGAAAAATCACTATCTTCTAAACATATTCTGCAATGAGTGATGATAAACAGCATGAGAAAGGAACAGGCATGTTGTGAAAGATCAATGTATTACTTGTAAAACTCTGTGATGCAAGGTACTAATGAAAACTCATCATTTATTAATCTGGGGTGGGGTTAAATCAAATCATGTGCATTTCATCATGTACACATTCCTTTGGCTTATATGCAACTTTGTTCTTTAGCTAGCATGAGCGGAACACTTAAGTCTCCATGCAAAACAAAAAGGGGTTGTAACAGTCCTCCTCTTTATTTTTCAAGAAAGCTTCCATATGTAGGAAAGAGGTAATACTGTGTGACAAAACAAAGGTAGGGAGTGGTTAAGTACATACAGTAAGTAAAACAACAATAAACAAAAAAACCCCAAAAAACCTCACAATATTCTCCCAAGACTGAAATCTACCACCCCGTACTCCCTTCTACCTGGGTCTTTTTAATGCTCTTACACTGAGAAATCATTCAAAGAGACCACATTTCTCCTAGGATTTATGTGTCAGTAATAAGCACCTTCAAAGGGCATGCATGGCATATCTGTGCTTCAGTCTGAAGTCTACTGGGGGTCTAATACTTGGAAATTCTTGTAAATCACAGTCAGAGGCCTCAAACCACAGGTGCAGTCACTGCCTGAGACTGAATGACATGGATGCAGAAACTGCCTTAGTGTACACAGATGTTCCTGGCCACTCTGCCTACTCCACAGGTTAGCAGATGCCTAGTGTTACAGTGCTATAGACTTCTCTCACTTGACCAATCCCCAGTGCATATACCTGGATTTGGAGAACCAGAAAAATAGAGGCTTATATTCACTCAATAAAGAAAACCTTCAGGGTTGCTTTAAAAGATTAGTGTCACTAGTGCAGGGCTTCCCATGTTTTATGGGAGTTGTTTTGTTTTAGACTCATAAACCCCTTTCAGAAATTTTAGAAATTAAAATAAGTGAACTTGCTATTGTTGTGTGATAGTATTTAAAAACTGACTATAAAAATGCTGTATTTCATGTTATTATTATTAAATATTGCTCTTCATTTTTTGTTTGTTTGTTTGTTTGAGGCAGGGTCTTCCTCCATTGCCCAGGCTGGAGTACAGTGACACAAATACAGCTTACTACAGCCTCCACTTCCTGGGCTCCTCAGCTTCCCTAGTAGCTGGGACTACAGGCACATGCCACCATGCGTGGCTAATTTTTCAAAATTTTTTGTAGACACAGGCTCTTACTTTGTTGCCTAGGCTGGTCTCAAACTCCTGGGCCCAAGTGATCCTCCCACCTTGGCCTCCCAAAATGTTTGGATTACAGGCATGAGCCACTGCTCTTAAATTTAACCCATAATTTCATAACAAAAACAGGCACGTTTTTAATTTCTCCCAGAAAACAAATGGTGCTTACTGTTTAATTTATCCTTATCATGAAGTCTACGTCCCTTAGTACAACACCCAAGGTCCTCCGTAGTCAGGTCTGAGTTTTTACCTCAGAAACTGCATTTCTGACTCCTCCACCCATCCTGCCCCAAAATGTCTGCAGCCCCTTGAATATGCTGGGGAGTTTTCCATCTCTGGGTCTTGTAGGTTTCTGTCTGGCTGCAGTCATCTTCCAATGTATCTCTAATAGTATCCATACCACTTTAGGCATGATGGATTGTTCATATGGCTGACTAGATAATGAGCTACTAGATGAAAGGGACTAAAGCTTAGTACCTAGAACTGTGCCTGGCACACAGCAGGTGTTAATGAAATGTTTGAACAAATGACATTTATAACTAAGGATCTGTACTGCATTCATCCAGCCTCTACCATGCATTCTATGCTCTTTCAATATCCAAGGACCAACTCACCTCAAATTTCCTAATTGTGGGGCAAAGCTTCTGTAGGATTCTGCATCAAAATATTTCCCTGGCAAATGAGACATGCCTGTTTTGGCTGCCCAGAAAGACAGAAGTGGTCTAAAGAGGAAAGTTGTAGAATGTACTATGTTTCAGCATATGCTCCTGAAGTGCATGTCCTCAAAACTAGGATTGAAAATCTATAGTCATGGGGCTGGGCACAGTGGCTCATGTCTGTAATCCCAGAATTTTGGGAGGCCGAGGTGGGAGAATTGCTTGAGTCCAGCAGTTCAAGACCAGCCAGGGCAACATGGTCAAACTCCATCTCTACAAAAAATACAAAAATTATCCAGGCATGGTGGCATGTGCCTGTAGTCCCAGCTACCTGGGAGGCTGAGGTGGAATGGTTGAGGTCAAGGCTGCGATGAGCCATAAGTGTGCCTGCCGCCTCACTCTAGCCTGGGTGACAGAGTGAGACCCTGTCTCAAAAAAGTAAAGAAAAAAGAAAAAAAAAAAATCCAGAGTCATGGAATTGGATACCCAGAACATCTTTCCTATAAGCAAGGAAAAGGAACTAAAATACAGTTTCTACATGGGGCTTATGGTAGGTACATACTTGCATATTATATATCACTGTGCCTGTCTTGCAGATCAGGAAACACAAAGGGTATTACAAGCAGCCTTACCTACACTGTTAGCCCTGTTGTAAACATGTAAACCACTTACTTCTTTCTGATCCAGTTGAAGAGAGGATTTTATTAAGTCTCGGAGTGCAGTTAGCTGTTTCTTTTCTTCATCCTGGGTCTGTTTTATCTATGAAAAAAAAATTACTTCTATTACTTACCATTTACACTTTCACAGGCAGAGTTTAATTTATCCAAAAATACCACTCATCAAAATTCTATTATATATTTGGTTTTCTTACTAAAAGTCCTTTATACTGTCTCATTTTTGATATGATATTTCTCATCTTATAAAAGCAGCAGTGGGTTTTGAAATTAGTGAATAATGCAACATGCATTCTTATTAAATAACCTATCTAAGCTAGATAGTTAACTCTGAAGTACTATTCTAAACAGCTTATATCATTGAGATTATTTGCTTCTGGTTTTTCAAAGGGTGGTAATGAAAATACCATAATGTGATTAAATGGTCCAGGAGAGAATCCTAAGAATGACCAGGAGTCTAATGGGCCAATGCATACATCAAAGTTTACATAGCATGAAATGGGGACAAGGGATCAGTGCTGCTTTTTTTAACCACTTGGGACTTAACTGTAACCTGAACCATGTTAACTACTAAAAGAAAATCAGAAAAAATACATAGCTATGCATTTTTAAAGTTATATAAAAGGCATTCTTTGTAATTATAAAACTTTATTTGAGGATATTTACTCATACTCATAATATATACGCTTTTATTTACCCCCAAATGATTTTTGGGCAACAACTTTACCATTTCTAATATATACATTTAGACCTAGACACTAAAAAAAGAGAGATAATATAAAACATGCAAAAAACAAAACAAAACAAAACAAAAACCCTTATAAATCAAAGGCGTGGTGGCTCACGCTTGTAATCCCAGCACTTTGGGAGGCCAAGGCGGGTGGATCACTTGAGCTCAGGAGTTCAAGACTAGTCTGGGCAACACAGTGAAACCCCATCTGTACCAAAAGGCTGAGGCACGAGAATTGCTTGAGCCCAGAAGGCGGACATTGCAGTGAGCCAAGATCGTGCCACTGTACTCCAGCCTGGGCGACAGAGTGAGACTCTGAAAAACAAAAACAAAAACAGAAACAAACAAACAAAAACCCCAAAAAACTCTATAAACCTGCCTATTCAGAGTCAATTTTTATCCTTCCACAATCATGCATTCTTTCTGCAACTGCTGACCAAGGAACACTCAAATGTGATGCTAACTGAATCGTAAATGCAGAACCATCTGGAACTGATGGCTGTATACTCCCCTCCCTGCTCCTCTTATGGCCCCAGAAGGACTCTGGAGCATTTGACCATCGATGACTTCTCTGACTTAAACTGAAGGGTTATCTGTCCTAGGTTTGTACAGACATATCATTTAATCTTTTCTGCTTTTAACACCTTTCTAATACAGATTTCAAATTTACTGAAACTTATCCATGAAAGCAAGTTAAACTGCATGTATTTTATAAAGAACTTACATTATATAAATCAGCAGCCAGTTTTTCAATGTACTGTTTCAACTTATCAGCTGTTTTCAAGCCATCTTGAAAGAAACTACAATTAAAAAAATCAGAGATTTACCACCAGTATAAAAAAAAAAGAGTATTTGTTTCCTTATGTGGAAATAAAAAAAGGAACTATAATAACCTACAAAATCTGAAAATACACTTATCTGTATATATATACTCATTCTCTATGGATTTATCTATACAAGACAGTTATAAAACTAATTACGGCATTTTATAAAGATGTACCAACAAATAAATTATGGCTGTCAGTTGACATTTGATAGAAGATATCACAAGGACACTGGAAATTACAGTTGCAGTCCCAAAACAGTGATTTCATAACGTACATATGCATCTATACATAGAACAGTTCTTCCCAGTTAAACCATATTTGAATTTGAAGGAGAGAGAAGGACACATTAACCAGTGGAATATCATGAGGTTGATCTGGACACTATAAAGAGAAATATGATGGAACTACAGATAAAGGCAGGAGAAAAGTCAAAATTCATTCAGTTCCTCAAAGATCCCTGTGTTCCAACATATATTTGAAACACAAGAATTCAAAGCAATAATACCAACGGGTTTGGAAAGCTTTATCCTACAACACATGGTTGCATGACTTCACCTGAAAAATAACAAGAATTAATATCTGTGGAGCATTTAGCACATGCCCAGTACTGCACTGAACACTTTACACAAGTGATTTCATGTACACAACTCTAATGAATTAAAGCACTTCAATCTCATCTCCATTTGTAAAACTGAGGTACAGAGTATGTATAAAACTTGGTTAAGTTGCAGCTAGTAAGCAGCAGAGCTGGTGGAATTCAGATCCAGGTCTGCCAGATTCTGATCCACGCTCTTTACCAGCAAGTGAAGATTTCTTGTCTCAGGTGGCACACTTCCACTCAGGAACCCAGTCTCTGATATCAGTTTAGAAAAATAAACAATATGCCTCAGAAAACGTGTTTAGAATTTTCTCTGCCCTATTGGAAGCTTCTCTAACCATGTCCCTACAGCAGACTATTTCTCAAAACACTATCTGTTTTGCTGTCTCCCTACAAACAACGAGGACCTTGAGCATGAGGACTGTCTCATCTCCCTATCACAGTGGGCCCAACACAAAGCAGACTGAATGAAGCAATATCAAGACATTTTAAGGAATATCTTTTTTTTTTTTGAGATGGAGTCTCTCTTCGTTGCCCAGGCTGGAGTGCAGCGGCGTGATCTCAGCTCACTGAAACCTCTGCCTCCCAGGTAGCTGGGACTACAGGTGCCTGCCACCACACCAGGCTAATTTTTGTATTTTCAGTAGAGACAGGGTTTCACCAAGTTGATCAGGCTCGTCTTGAACTCCTGACCTCAAGTGATCTGCCCACCTCGGCCTCCCAAAATGCTGGGATTACAGGTGTGAGCCACTGCGCCCAGCTTAAGGCATATCTTAAGAGACATATTTTAAGCTTAATATGTATATTCAGTGTTCAGTGGCAATAACACAGGCTATTAGAAGTGGCCTTCAGAATGATTACTGAAATCCTACAAGTTCCAACATTTTTTAAGGCTGACATCTTTGGCAAAGAAACCTTATTGAAATAAAGAAGAAAAATACTACCTTTAGAAAGTTTTTCAGCAACAGGGATGAGAGATAAAAATGGCCTTTTAGTTAACCATTTAACTGAAAAATACATGAACACATGTAAAGCCTCATCTCTCTCTCTCTCTCTCGGCAGGGTCTCACTCTGTCACCCACACTGGAGTGCAGTGGCTCAATGAAGCCTAGACTTCCTGGGCTCAAGTGATCCTCCCATCTCAGCCTTCTGAGTAGCCGGGACTACAGAGGCACCCCACCATGCCTGGCTCATTTTTATTTTTGTAAAGATAAGGTTTTGCCACATTGCTTGGGCTGGTCTCCAACTCCTGGACTCAAGTAATCTGCTCTCCTTGGTCTCCCGAAGTGCTGAGATTAAAGGTGTGAGCCACCGTGCCTGGCCTAAACCCTTATTTTCTAGCATTTGGGTTTTCGGCACTGCCTATAGCGATGCAAGTAAAACTTCTCAGTATAGAATTTTAAAAGTTTACGTTCTGACCCTTGAATACTTCTGTTTTATCTCTTACCATTTTCCCTTAAAAACTCCAAGGTCTAGCCATGCTACATTATTTCTAGTTGCCTGTTCTTTTTCAATCCATCCTTCCCCACTTCAGCCTTTGCATATGCTATTCCCTCTGCCTGGAATGCCCTTCCCCTCTATACCTGTGTAGTAGTACGTTCCCATGTTGCTATGAAGGAACACCCAAGACGGAGTAATTTATAAAGAAAAGAGGTTTAATTGACTCACAGTTCCACATGGCTAGGGAGACCTCAGGAAACTTACAACCATGGCAGAAGGCACCTCTTCACAGGGCGGCAGGAGAGAGAATAATGCCAGCAGGAGAAATGCTAGACACTTAAAAAACCATCAGATTCCTTGAGACTCACTCATTATCAAGAGAACAGCATGGGGGAAACTGCCCCCATGACTCAATTAACTCCACCTGGTCCTGCCCTTGACATGTGGGGATTATGGAAATTACAATTCAAGGTGAGATTTGGGTGGGGACATGGAGCCAAACCCTATCAACCTGCCTGCCAAACTCTCTTTTATCAAGACTCAGCTCGGCTGCTACCCCATAAGCAGTATTCTCTAGACCTGATAGTCAAAGCAGCGGCTTCATTGAGCATGTGGGCCCAGGCCTAAGTGCCAGACCTGGAGAGGTTGGCAATGTTCTGCACAGAGCAGGCCATCTATAAGTGTTAACCTGAAACCAGCATCCTCTACATCAAGGAAGGGATATATGCCCAGGAGTTAAAAGTATGGGTACAAAGTTAATCATAGCAAAATCTGTTTTGGTCTCTGATACTGCACTTAAGTGATTTCTGGAGAAAAGTTTTGAAGGTAGAGCATTTAAATTTAAGATGGATGTTGTCAGGACTTCTTACAACAGAAGAAGCAATGGCTTTGGGGTCAGATGATTATGACCAAGAATCTGTGTTCTGGCAAGTCATTTAACTTCTCTTGGCCTCAGTTTGCTCATGTGTAAATGGGCAAATAATACAGATAGGACATGTGAAACTACCCAGCAAAGTGTGGGGCAGTTAGCATGTGCTCAAGAAATCATTCTCTTCCCCGGAGCTGCATAACTTTATCATATAAGGAACTGTTTCCTTTGCAGAGGGATACAGATTCTTTGTAGATATTTTTGAAAAGGTATTTCATTTTCACTTTTAACATAAAGGGAATTTAATCTTTATGCTTTAAAAAAATGTGAGTTTTGCTCGGGTGACAGGTACACCAAGATCCCAGAAATCACCACTAAATAACTTATCCATGTAACCAAAAACCACCTGTACTCCAGAAACTACTGAAATAAACATTTTTTAAAAATAAGAGAACACTAATTAAATCTCTTCCCAATTTTTTTTTTTAAAGGTGAGTTTCAATGAGAATGCTCTACATCTGTGTTTTCCAATATGGTAGCCACTAGTCACATCTGGCTATTAAAAATTAAATGAAAAATTCTGTTCCTGAAGACTCATAAGCCATATTTCAAGTGCTTGGTAGCCACGTGTGGCCAATGGGTACCATGTAGATGGTAAAGAGTATGAACATTTCCACCATAGCAGAAAGTTCTACTGGACAACACTCTAGAAAAAGAATAAGCAAATATTTGAACAGCACAAAAGAAATACTGAAGAACACATTATAAATTTTAGGGAGAAAGACGGAACTGTTTTAGTTTGAAATGGCACTGATAAAAATGAAAATTCCTGCCAATTACAAGGCTGAAGACTCCAAACAAATTTACTTTCCTTCTGCTTCAATTATTCAGACTGTTACATACCCAGATTCTAAGAAAAATCAATGTAATAATTGCTTTAATCTGTAGCATAATCCCATTTTTGTAAACAAAACAAACCAGATACATGAATCTAGTAATCATCTAAGTGAGGAGATTACAGGGTTTTTTCATTCTTCCTTAACTTCAGTTTCTAATTTTTTTCTTAAGGATATCACGTATTAATCAGTTAAAACAAAATTAAAGAGTCAACATTTTCTCTGGGATGAACAATTTGGAGGCAAGCCCCTTGCAGAAAGTAATTTCAGGGAGGGCCAAGTTCTAGTTTTGGTAAGAAATAGGAGCAGGAAAGGAGGACGAGTTGTAGAAGAATAAAATAACCATGGCAGTCATTAGCAATGTATCAGTGACACCATAAAAAGCAAAGGGTGACATGCTGTCATCTGCACTGTCCCTCTGAGCTTCATTCTCTTCTCCTTGAGGGTCACAGTTCCAGCTGTGGACAGGGTAGACAGAGAGCCACCACGACCTGCCAAAACATTTCACAGAGGGCAGTGGCTTCTCTGTTCCTCCTTTCTCTCTTCTCTCTGTTTTAGCTCGTCCTAGTTCAGTGGACATGCAAGGGCTACTGCACACATGGCTCATGCCTGTAATACCAGCACTTTGGGGGGCCAAGGCAGGACGATTGCTTGAGCCCAGGAGTTTGAGACCAGCCTGGACAACATGGTGAAGCCCTGTCTCTACAAAAAAAATACAAACATTAGCCGGGCGTGGTGGTACATGCCTGTAGTCCCTGCTACTTGGGAGACTGAGGTGGGTGGATCGCTTGAACCCAGGAGGTTGAAGCTGCAGTGAGCTAGGATTGTACCACTGCACTCCAGGCTGGGTGACAGAGTGAGACTCTGACTCAAAAAGAAAAAAAAAAATAAAAAGGCCGGGTGTGGTGGCTCACGCCTGTAATCCTAACACTTTGGGAGGCCGAGATGGGTAGATTGCCTGAGCTCAGGAGTTCGAGACCAGCCTGGGCAACAAGGTAAAACCTTGTCTCTACTAAAAAAAAAAGAAAAAAAAAATTAGCTTGGCGTGGCAGCATGCGCCTGTAGTCCCAGCTACTTGGGAGGCTGAGGCAGGAGGACTGCTTGATGTTTGAACCCAGTAGGTGGAGGGTGCAGTGAGCAGAAATCACGCCACTGTACTCCCACCTGGGTGACAGAGTGGCAAGACTCCGTCTCCAAAAAAAAAAAAAAAAAAAAAAAAAGGCTTAGGAGTCAAAACCATATCATATTTTATATTTTGGCTCTAAACCTTACTATACGTGGTAACCTTGGGCAGTTATTCACCCTGTCTGAATAACAGAATGCTCATCTCCAAAGTGGACATTTTCTAGTTTCAAGGAGCATCAGATGAGCTACTACAGATAAAAGTGTTGTTAGCTGGAAAGTGAAGCACATGTGTGAGTTCTGACTACCTATCACTACACTTAACACATAAATCTTCCAAATAGAAGGGAAAATTACCTCGAGGATGTCTCATTTATCTCTTAGCCACTTTCTCTATAAATTACTGTAACATAACAAGATCTTCAAAAACCAGTAACAGTAACAGTAATGGCAGCTAACATGTAACTGAGTATTTACTCTGTACCAGTCACCGCACTATTATACACAATTCATGGAATCTCTTTTTAGTCTCGTTACAGAACCAACCATGCAACTAGGTTCAGAACTTTCAGCCCCACCCCTCCTCCCACCTCTGGGGAGGGCAGAGGGGCTGGAGATTGGGCCAATAACCAACAGCCAATGATTTAATCAATCATGCCTATGTAATAAAACCTCTATAAAATCTTCTAAACAAAGGGGTTTAGAGAGCTGCTGAGTTAGTGAACATATGCCATCTTTTGTGTCTGGCTTCTTTCACTTAGCATTAATGTTTTAAATGTTCACCCATATGTAACATGTATCAATATTTCATTCACATTCAGCATTGTGGCTGAACAATGTTCCATTTTGATATACCACATTTTGTTTAACCTTTTATCAACTGATGGATATCTGGGTGTTTCCGTGTTTTGTTTATTGTAAATAACGCTGTTATAAATATTCATGTACACATTTTATTTAAATAATTCTATGCTTAACTTTGTGAGAAATTCCCAAACTGTTTTCCAAAGAAGTTGCACCATTTACATTCCTACTGGCAATGCATAGGTTGCAATCTTCCCACATCCTCACCAAGACTTTTTTTGTTTTAATTACAACAATCCCAGTGGGTGTGAAGTGCTATTTCATTGAGGTTTTGATTTGTACTTAACACCGACTAATGATGTTGAGCACCTTTTCACGTGTTTTTCTGGCCATTTGTGTGTGTGTGTGTACAATTTTTTTAATATACAGAGTCTTGCTTTGTTGCCTAGGCTGGAGTAAGTCATTATGGCTCACTGCAGCCTTGATCTCCCAGGCTCAAGCGATCCTCCCACCTTGGCCTCCCAAGTAGCTGGGAAAATAGGCGTGTGCCACCACACCAGGGTAATTTTTTATTTTTATTTTTTGTAGAGACAGAGTCTCCCTGTGTTGCCCAGGCTGGTCTCGAACTCCTGGGCTCAAGTGATCCTCCTGCATCGGCCTCCTAAAGTGCTAGGATTATAGGTGTGAGCCAGTACACCTGGACTGTTGTTGAGTTTTTTTTATATATTCTGGATATCAGACTCTTATCAGAAAAATATTTTGTAAATATTTTCTCCTATTCTGTGGGTTGTCTTTTACTTTCTTGATAATATACTTCCATGAACAAAAGTTTTTAATTTTGAAGTCCAATTTATATTTTTATTTGGTTTCCTGTGCTTACTTTGTCTGCTTTGACACATTTACTAAGCGTTTATTAAATGAATGAACATGACTTTGAGCAAAATACTGATCCTTTCTGAGCTACAACTTCTTGAGTGTTGGGAATATTAAATGAGAAAACACATGTAAGGAACTTAGAGGCAGGGCCTATATAATTCGTCCCAGAAAATAAGCTCTCGGTAAATGTTAGCTATTATTCTTATTATCTGTAAAATGACAGATAATAAAGCAATGTTTATAAATGCTGTTAACTCTGCAGGTCATAATGACACTTGTGAGGAGGTAAAAGGAGCAGGTGAACTGGAGGATATGTCTGTTTGGAAAGCAGCATGTTCCCGACAATGTTCATGTCTGAAATTGAGCAGTAATTAGTGAGTGAGCTGAAATGAGTTGGAAACAGTTAAAAGCCCTTCTTTTCTGTTCCCTTTATTTATTTCTCCAGTGTAGTAGCTTCATCCACACGGAAGTGTCGTGACTATTACTACCTAGGCAAATTCACTGTTGAATACCAGCTGACTTTGTACTGAAAATCACTTTGGGAACTGAAGTAAGTACTGAGAAGAATAAATCTTAAAAACAAAACAAAACAAAAAACACCTACGTAGAGAATGCTTAACAGGTCCATACAATATGCCTATTAAGAGTTTTGAGGAACTGACAGAAGTAGAAAAGAATAAAGGAAACTACTCTGGCTTCTTGCTATGATAGAGTTCTTGGGGTTCCACCATGGAGTAACTTTTAGTTGAATCCCCTTATAACATGGTTCTACTACTTGATGTCTCAGAACATCTCTCTCCCTACAAGGTTTTTACTGTGTAGGGTTTTCTTCTGATGATCTCTCTCTGACCTAGGGGACATTCGTCTACCAGATTGCAATCTGGTAACAAAATCCTAGCTATCCTCCAAGTTCAATGACAAGTCCCACCACCTCCTTCAAGGTGCTAATACCTTCTCCTCAGTCCTCCTGGTCAGATGTCTCTCTTCCTGTTTTTTTTTTTTTTCTTTTGAGACAGAGTTTTGCTCTTGTTGTCCAGGCTGGAGTGCAATGGCGTGATCTCGGCTCACTGCAACCTCTGCCTCCTGGATTCAAGCGATTCTCCTGCCTCAGCCTCCCAAGTAGCTGGGATTACAGGTATGCGCAACCACACCTGGCTAATTTTGTACTTTTAGTAGAAACGGGGTTTTGCCATGTTGGTCAGGCTGGTGTTGAACTCCTGTAATCTAATAATCCACCTGCCTCAGCCTCCCAAAGTGCGGGGATTACAGGCGTGAGCCACCGCGCCCAGCCGTCTCTCTTCCTCTTGATGCTCCATGGTACCCGTCACTGTCCAGCCCCATTATGATTAATAATGGATCTGACTTACTTCCTATACCTGGACAATTAACTCCTGAGCGGAAAAGCCTTGCTTTATCTCTGTCCCAGAACTGGGCACAGTAGCTGATCTTTGGTAAAAGACTAATACATATTTGTGGAAAGGGAAAAAGCAAAGAATAAGAGAATAAAGGGAGGATGCATTAGCTATACAAGTTAGCATCACCATTACTAGCGAAGGCTAATATATGTATACTTTACAAAGCATCTTCTATTTTGAAAAACTCTTGTTTGTGTAGGCCAAACTCTTCCTTATAAACTTAGAGAATTTAACGTGAAAATAGATTTCTAAAGTCAGGTGAAATCAGTTTTGCTGCCAAAGTACTGCAGAATTCAGGAGACTGAGAGATTCACTTATTTCTTTAAAACTTTCAAAGGAATTAAATGTTTCCAGGAAAACTAAATTTGATGAAAGATAAAAAATTCCACCCAATACTAAAATCAGGGACCATTAGAACACAGGCCAAAGTTTCATAACTGCCCAACCACACTACAAAGCCAAAAGTAAGTTAGTTAATCCAGGTCTTCAATAAACAAACTTAATCTTAAGAAGGTGAAAACTTTCTACTTCAATATATTATTTTTATTTTTGAAAGACACTTATATAAGGTACAATTTACTTTGAAAAAAAGTTATCATCAAATTTATGTAAACAACAATTTGATCATCAAAAAGGTTTTCCTTAAGAGAAATATCCTAGACAATAAAATATATAAATAAATAATTTTAAATGCCACTTAGAATCATCACAGCTGTCAACACATACAAGGTCGCAGGCACTGGGCTAAGCACTCCACATGCATTCTTTTTCACTTTTTACAGCCTTACAAAAACCCTAAGGTGGTTGCTACAGAATCGTAACCCAGCTTGACGAGTGAGTATACTGAGGTTTAGTGAAGTACCTGATTAAGAATACAGTTAACCAGCTGCAGAGCCAAAATGTTGACTCATCTAATTTGTCTAACCCAAGCTTTGTGCTTTTGACATAATATTAATGCTGACCTCCTTAAATGTTTCAGTTGAATACAGGTATCTTTCTAAATATAACTATTGAAAAGAATAAGAAAGATCAAAGGAAATTATGAATTTAACTTTTTTGAGAGTATTTTATCTAGTCCAAACGACCTTTACATTATTTTGCTTATGAGAGCTGTCCATTCCATTTCTGGAAGGTCCTTCCATTATTTTCGGTATAACTTCCATCAACGAATACAGACTTTACTAATACAGACTTTACTTTTCTGGTAGAGTCTCCATGTGTAGCTGGCACATTTTCACACACAGACTCTACCAGAAAACCCATGAAAGTTAACCCAATAAGTAAACAAGCAAATGTGGCACCACAGAATCACAAACATAACAAAAAGATAGCCCTGCAATATAGGCAAACAAAAATGGTGCCAGTGTAGAACAATGGTATTTCTCAAAATGTAACACAAATTATATAGGAATCCATGTACAAATGCAAAGTATTCTTAATGCCCCAACTATTTAAATTCACTTATTTTAGATGAAACAAAACAAAACTGAAGACTCCAGGTGGAAATACATGGTGCAAATGGTGCAATAATAGGCCAAGGCCAAGGTGGATCGCGAGGTCAGGAGATCAAGGCCATCCTGGCCAACACGGTGAGACCCAGTCTCTACTAACAATACAAAAAAAAAATTAACTGGGTGTGGTGGCGTGCGCCTGTCATCCCAACTACTGGGGAGGCTGAGGCAGAAGAATTGCCTGAACCCAGGAGGCGGAGATTAGAGTGAGCCGAGACTGCACCACTGCACTCCAGCCAGGCAACAGAGTGAGACTCCGTCTCAAAGGAAAAAAAAAAAAAGGCAAAATGCCAAGTAAGAGAGTCAGGGTAGGGGGTCATCAGAAAGGACTCTTCAGTGACAGGGGATCATGCATCTGTAATAAGAGCTCCACAGGCGATCAAATTTAGGAAGAAGTATTTGTAAGTATTTGTCTTCTTGTAAGGAAGACAATATTTTTAAGCCCTAATTTGAGCTACTGATTTGTATAAAACACTGAAGATGGAAGACACTATTTCTTATCCATTTAGCTGAAAAAGGTCATTATATCACTTTATTTAGTCACGAGATGAAGAAAAGATATGAAGAGGATTAAGACAAATAATGAAGTACAGGGGGCAGTAATTGGGCTAATAACAATGCTTGCAATATTCTACTCACTTGCACTGTGCATGGTAATACTTTATAAGATTCTGCAGCAGATCCACACCCTTTTTGGTCTTGATTTCATTAACTTTAATGAGATACTGTGAAAATAAAACAGGGTTTTGCGTTGATTAATTCCAGATGGGGCTCTTCAGCCATGGGTTCAGGTGGCTGAACATCACCCCTGAATCTGCACAAGTTACCAAGCCTTGGTGTCCTTTAGACAGTTTAGAGAATGCTGATTTCGCAGTCACAAAGTGTTCAAAACAAATTGACTAGAGTGTTAGCATTTTATAAATTATTTTATGATTAGTTTACTCGACAAGCAGAAATAAAACACAGCAAAACATTCTAGAATTATTATTTCCCCTTGGTGCAGTGGATCTCAAACGTATAGTTTATGTGGTCAAAAACTGGAAAGATTGATTGTTTTTTGCAGAAAGTACGCAGAATAGCATTCTCATCAAAGAATATACCATAGGATATTGAAACTTTAGGAAAAAGAGGTGAATCAGAAAGAATTTTTACTACTCAAAAATTAAAGAATAAAAGTAAGAATAACCCACTAATTTATTGAGGTAACTAAACACAGTAGTGTACTTGTACTGTGCACTGGTCAAGATTTTCTATTGACACTGTTTGCTCACTTGTTTTATTCTGTAAAAAGGTTCATGAGCACACAAACTCAAGGAGCCAAAGGGTTATGAAACAGAAAAAAGAGAGAAAGAGAAAGAGAATGAGAGAGAGAGAGGTGAGAAAGAGAGAGAGAGAAAGAAAGGAGAGGGAGGGAAGGAAGGAAGGGAGGGAGGGAGGAGAAGGGGAAGGGGAAGGGGGAAAGAGAAAGAGAAGGAGGGAATAGAGAGAGAAAGCGAGGAAGAAGGAAAAGGAAAGGAGAAAAAAATCTAGGGAAGGAAAAAAATTTGACAAAGTTCTCCACTTTAATATTTTCTGAAAACTGCAAAAGAAACTCTTACTCAACAGCCGTGTCAGAACAGGTTGGTTTCTAGGTCAAGAAGTGTTCATGTTCAATTGGAATTCAGTTTGAGAACCACTGCTCTAAGTTTAAGGCAGCATGCTTTTTGTTGCATTTTTCGTGAAATCGACTTTCTTAATGACAACTTCATTTGAGTTTTCATTCAAACTGGACATATGGTTAAAAAAACATGCTCTAAACATACACCAATAAAACTTAATATTCACCAGTGTTACCTCTCACCAATGTTTTCCTCCCACAACCACTCACAAGCAACATTAAGGTTCTCACCAAAGAATCCTGTTTTGGCTTAAACAGCCCCATAGGGCCAAGGCTCAAAATATGAGACAACAGTGCAATGGCAGGTTCCCAAAAGGCTTGGAGAAAAATGGAGATTAGAATCCTTAAGAAACAGTTTCCTCTCTAATAATCAAACAGAGTCTGCCTTTAAGCATAAAGACTGCTGACTAGCAGGAAAAGATCACAGTTGTTATAATTCTAGGCAAATGGTGGAAAAGTCCATTCTTACTTCACACATTTGGAGCTGAAAGAGGCGCCTTTCCTTCTCCATTTCTTCCGCAATCTCAGCTCCTGTTATCTCTGTGCGGATCATCCCATGTTGTTTTGCGTGCTCTCTTTTCTCTTTCTCAATTTTTGTACTGTAATTAAAGCCAATGTCATTATTTAAAAAAAAAAAATACACTCATGTACAATACCAACAGCAGATCCTAATACAAACTATGGATTTGGGGTGACGATGTGTCTATGTAGGTTCATCAGTTGTATCAATTGTACCACTCTGGTGGGGGTCAGTGATAACGGGGGAGGCTGTGCATGTGTGGGGGGAGGGAGCATATGGGAACTCTCTTGTATCTTCTGCTCAAGAAGGAAGTCTACTAAAAACAAACCACACTCATGTCTTCCCGTTAACAAAAGCCACTGATTATTAATTCCTAAAGTTAAAAGGCAAGAATTCTTAAGTTGGTAGAATCAATCAGAAGTAAAAGCCTACAATCAAACAGAACACAAACACTGTATGGATTTTCATATGGGAAACCTCTTACATTTTTCCTTTGATCTTACACATGACAGATTCATATACATTCTCTTAAATTTTGGTAGGCATGAAGAAATTTTGATAGTTTACCTACTATTGGGTAAAGCACTTTATAATAAAAAAAGAATCAGAAAGTTGGAGACATGAGGCTTTCCTTGAATATCGACAGCTTGCAAGACTTCAATTATTTCAAATAATTAAAGTATATAATGGGTCTTTGTGGGTATGCACAAAATTTAGTCAAAGGTAATTTCCAACATTCCTCTAAACTTGAGCTATTTCCACATTCCAAGAATACATTTTAATCAGTCAACCACTTGTCACTGGAATGTACAAAATTCAGAAGAAATCCTAATTTGGAATCCTATCACAATGTTCTTCTGTGTGTGGGGAGGGGGCCAGGGGAAACGAGGTGATAAAGAAGAAAGGCCCACATTAAACATACAGTAGCTGACGCTAGTGCTCGGCTCTGATAGATGATACTCTGGTAATAATACCAAAGATTATAGCCTGCTTTCCAAAAATCATTAACCTGAAAATGGACTTCTAATTTCAGAAACAACCTGTAATTTCTAGCTGTGAATGCAAAGACTAACTGATTTATCCGTCAAGTCTTCTTTAAGTTATGGTGGTGGTAGGGGAAACCAACTCTGAAGAAAGCCAACATCCTTACCTATACACAGACATAGTGGAAAATCCACCGATCAAGCCAATGAAAAATCTACTTATAAACCCAGTCGGGATTGACTCTAATACCCTAATGCTATTATATTTAAGAAACTCTTTAATCATGCCACCTTGGCAGTCGAAGAGGCATAACAGGGATTTTAACAGAAAGAATAAATCTCAGCTCTTTCTCCACTGATGTGGGTGGGAAGAGAAGAAATATGGAGGGACAGGCATAACTTAATAATAAGCCTTTCAATTTACCATGGTGACTTAAACATACATGTCTTTATTTCTTCTTCCTCCAGTGATCCCACTAAAATGAGAGTAAAGGCATAAGAACAGATAATCTCCCAAAGAAAGAATTGAAGACAAAAAAGGATGACGGAATTCAATAAATATTTGGAAGAGCAAGGCTGAAGAGAGAAGGAGAGCACCTCAAACTATAGGGTTCTCTGTCTCCCTCACTTACATAGCTTCCAAAATGCCACCATATGTGATTACTAAGCAGGAGCGTGAAAGAACTGCAAGGTTCTGAGACAAACCTCAGACACTGACATTTGGAAAACCCCTAATAAAAGAGCTGCCTTCACATCCTAAAACTTGAAACCTAAAAAGAAGGCTTTCTGCTTTCTTGGAGAAAGCAGATCTCTAATGATGCATATAAACTTTTAGTCTTTGGGTACCTTGCTCTGAAATATGAATGCACCCAAAGATTATAAGTCTCCAAAATGAAAGTGAGAGTGAAAGTATTAATAACAAAAGGGGGAGGGTTGGGAAGGAACCAGAGGCACTAAGGAAGCAGATAAAACATTTTACAAAATGTCATTAAATCTTCAGCTAAAATATTGCATCTATGAAACAAGAAATAGAAACTATAAAAAGGCAAAAAAAAAAAAAAAAAAACCCAACTGAGCAAAAGAGCTCTTAGAAATTTAAAATGACAGCCAAAATAAAAAAGCTAACTGAAACAGTGGGGAAAAAACACTGAAAAAATAACCTAAAATATAATATAAATAGAACAGAAAAGAGAAGAAAATTTTAAGAACTGTCTAGGAAGTCAAATATTATATAATGAAAATTCCCGAAAGAGGAATAAAAGAAAAAACAGGAAGAATTACAAGAAGTTTCCAGGAGTGATGAACTCAAACTTGTAAACAGAAAGATTGCAAACAGAATGCACATACCGTGGCACTTGAAGACTCTTCGTAAAACCTTTTACAGAGACAAGACCTTACATTCTCTAACCAAAAATAAATGCAACAAACAACAACCACATATCACATACAAATAAATGGGAATCAGAAAGGTATCAGATTTTTTTTTTTATTAGCAATACTGGAAAGTAGAAAACAATGGAACAATGCCTTCAACATTTAGAGATAAAATTATTATTATTATTGTTATTATTTTTGAGACAAAGTCTCGCTTTCTTGCCCAGGCTGGAGTGCAGTGGTCCGATCTCGGCTCACTACAACCTCTGCCTCCTGGGTTCAAGCGATTCTCCTGCCTCAGCCTCCTGAGTAGCTGGGACTACAGGAACCCGCCACCACGCCCAGCTAATTTTTGTATTTTTTAGTAGAGACAAGGTTTTGCCACGTTGGTCAGGCTGGTCTCAAACTTTCGACCTCAAGCGATTTGCCCACCTTGGTTTCCCAAAGTGCTGGGACCACAGGCATGAGCCACCGTGCCTGAAAATTATTATAAAATCAGTATTTTATACTGATTTACCACTTTTATAAAAATGATTTATAACTATCACTTTTTGTGGTGGCAGAATGAAGATAGTTTTGGAAACACAAAACCTAAACTCTTTGCCTCCTTTAGAGCTGTTCTCTGAAAACTACTGGAGGTAATGGGCCACCAAAATATGGAACTATACTAGTCAAGAGGAATTAGATTTAAAACTAAAGAGAGTCAAACGCCATCCCAGGATGGCAGCTGTACTGCTGATCTAAAGAGCTCTGCAAAGGGATGTCTCCAGGAAAGAAGAAGCTGACACAATTTAATACTAATAGATATATAATCATGCTAATAAAATACATAATGTACTTTATAAACAGAAATATTATTGACAGGTGTCTGACATCTGCTAGAGCAGATAAGAATTCACAGAAGATTCACACAGAACTAAGCAAATGAAGAAATGAGGCCATTATGTCATTAAGAAAAAGTAAACAACTGTACTCTAAGAACAGAAATTCAATCCTATTCTACCATTCAGATTAGCAATGAATGCTTATACCTATAAAAATGTAAACACTGAAACTAGTTTAATAAAAATTGTTCTATTAACCACAATGGATGAACAAGGGTGCGAAAGTGATGGGGTGTCTATGCAAGGGAATGTAATCCTCGTCTACCACAGCAATACATCACAGCTAAAGCTAGAAAGAGCAAGAAAATACTGAGGAACGTGTAGATAAGTCAGGAAGCAGGTAAAAGAGTTGGAAAAAGGGGAGGGACTAACAGGATCAAGAGGGGCAGGCAGAAGGCCACTGTGTTTCCATTAGAAGCACATTTGTTGCCTACTTAATATTTTCCCTGTCATGATTTGTAAAGAACCCTGTACCATTAGGTATGACATAAAATCACTGAGTTTAGATTGTGGAGGACAATACAGATAAGTGAGAAGTGCTACAAAGGGTACCTGGTCCATCCTAGAATGCTCTGTTCTATGATAAACTTTAACAATGTTGAAGCCACTGTTATTTGGGGTTTCCATTACATGCTGACAGAGTAAGTCTTAACTAGTAAAAGCACTATCTGATGTTTTAGTTTACGTACATTTATCACTTTGACCAAATGAAATTTGATTCTTAAAGAGAACTTAGTAGAAACTATTTATTGTGTGACTTCCCTATGCTAAACACTGTGACAACTGCTTCAACACACTACCTTATCTCGTCCTCACAAAAACCCTGAGAAGTAGGTAATTTTTATATTATTTTACAAGTAAGGATCATCAAAATTAAGTATTTTGGCTCAATGTCACAAAACTGGTAATGATTTCTAAGTCTGTGATCTAAATCATTACAAACTTCACTGCCTCCAGAGTTCCAAATAGAAGACCACAGAAAATGTCCAGCCTTCTCCATTATCAAAACTAATAAATGAACTTTTTTGTGTGGAGTCATTTTGTTTTCTCTAACTTATAACAGCATAAGTCCCAGTACATCAAAGAGACAAATGCTTGTTTTCTTTCTTTCCTGCACCACTATACTTTAGTGACAAAGAAGTCTATCTCAGGAAAATTGTTGACAGGGATTTACTAAGCAAACAAACAAAACCTGCCTTCATAAGGTCTTAAATTCAGGAGGCACTCAACTTGCTATTCCTGTTATACATTTCCAGGTCTGAATAATTCTTTTATTTCTTCAATGAAATAGTACATAAACTATGAGTCATTAGGCACTGGTAGAATAACACCATATATAAGAATAATGTGGTTGTGGTCTTCACCAAATTTAGATTGTAGAGGACAATACAGAAAAATGAACAGCCAGGCCGGGCATGGTGGCTCACGCCTGTAATCCCAGCACTTTGGCTGAGGCAGGTGGATACCTGAGGCCAGGAGTTAGAGACCAGCCTGGCCAAAATGGTGAAACTCCGTCTCTACTAAAAATACAAAAAATTAGCTGGGTGTTGGTGGCAGGCACCTGTAATCCCAATTACTCGGGAGGCTGAGGCAGGAGAATCGCTTGAACCCAGGAGGCAGAGGCTGCAGTGAGACGAGATTGAGCCACTGAACTCTAGCCTGGGCAACAAGAGTGAAACTCCGCCTCAAAAAAAAAAAAAAAAAAAGAAAAAGAAAAAGAAAAAAAAAGAAAAGCCAGACAAGTTCATATGTTGAGTGAGAAGTACAAGGAAGAGCACCTGTACCATCTTAGAATGCTTTATATTCTAAGTCATTTATAATACTAAGCACCAGATACTTCTAGGTCTTCAGCCAACAGAGATTTAAAAAATATAAATAAAGTTGTACTACCTAATATTGGTAGTACTTTAGTTGACAAAGCACATATTACATCATGTTTCGTTGTTCCTATATCCTACAAAGAAGACATATTCTACAAGTGTAGAACAAGGTTTTTTTCTTCCCCCTTTGTCCTTCCATTTTCTAAGTACTTAATTCTATTCCATTCCAAGTTCATGCACTGTTGTCTCTGGGCAGCGGCAGTACTTCGCTTACAAGTTGAGTACTCATGACCCACTTTTCATACAGAAAGACTCATAGCCCACAGCATTCATTTATCAGTTGACCATTTTAAGAACGTTTTTGTTCTCTGCTGCATTTAGAACTGTCAATGTACGGATATATTCCTAAGACAGCAAGTCCCTAACAATGCACTTTTCACATAATTACAAAAGTAGTTTGGGAAAAACTACTTTTTTTAATCCTGAATTTGTTTTTCTTTTGCTTGTTTTTATCCTGCTGCTATTGCTGCCTACAGAAATGTTTTATTCTCTTATGTTTATAGTTGTCCAAGACTTTTATTAAAAGCTTTAAAAATACATATCTCCTCCCACCCCACCCTACTGCTTGGTGTTACAAATGTCTCAGGGTAATAATAATAAAGGAATGTGGTATGATACACACAGTATCGAGATGGGCCGAGCACCCTGCAAAGTGCTTATTGTCCTAATCCCTAACAAGAACTCCACGAGGTTGGTGGTCTGACTTCAGTGCCCATGCTATGCTGAGGCTCTGTGGTCAAGACAGACCTGGAGTGAATGCTAGCTGGACACATAACTAGCTTTCTAGCCTTTCATGAGCCCCTTAGCCTCTCCAGGTTTCAGTTTCCCTGATGTATATAAACAGAGAGTAAAGCTGTACAGATAGTTTCCTGTGAAGAGGTCATACATGCAAAAAACACTTAGTGCACGTCCTGGCAGGCACCAAGATGTCACAGTATTAGCTGTTACTTCTATTATTTCCCAATTTTTATACTATACAGAAACATAAATGGTCCATAATTACATGCTATCTATAATGAGAGTCATAGCCCTATAACTTGATAGTACTAGCAGCCATAAATGCGAGAACAACTGATAGTAAAAGTACCTCTCCCTTCAGACAAATAGCACAGGACATGCAACCACTTTAGGTCAGTGTACCCAACCTCTTAGCCCTAATAAGGATATGCTAGAGGATATACTAAACAGGTTTTTGTTGAGAAGTTATTAGTTAAGGGCTCTGTCCTTTTTCCAGTTAAGTTTTTTTTTTTGTTGTCCAAAATTCACAACAATATTAAAAAACAAACAAAAACTCTAAACAAAAAACCACTTACAACTTTGTCTCATAATCTTTCCAGGCTTTGTCAAATGGCTTCTTGAGATCCTTAGAAACGAGAAAATGAGATTAAAATTGCAACTACTTTTGCTGAAAATTAATAAATAGTTTTGAAATGACATCTTAGCAAGAATTGTTTCCTTTATAGGACACTGGGAACTTCACTTTATGCACGTTACACCATTTTTTTTTTTTTTTGACAGGGTCTCACTCTGTTGCCTAGAATGGAGTGCAGTGCCACAATCACAGCTCACTGTAGCCTTGAACTCCCAGGCTCAATTGATCTTCCCACCTCAGCTTCCTGAGTAGCTAGAACTACAGGCACTCACCACCACCCCTGGCTAATTCTTGTACTTCTTCTGTAGACATGGGGGTCTTATTATGTTGCCCAGGCTGGTCTTGAACTCCTGGGCTCAAGCAATTTACCCGCCGCCATGGTCTCCCAAAGTGCTCAGATTATAGGCATGACCACTGTGCCTGGCCAACATCAAACCATGTGTTATATACACAAGAAGCCTGAGAGAGGAAAGAAGGGTAAGCGCCCTGGTCATGCTGATGAAGCAGGAGCCCGAGGTTCAGAAGGGCTGGGTCCCCAGTGGTCACACTGTGGGAGCCAAGACTCGGGCTTAGCTTCTCTCTCCCACCCATGGAGGACCTTCCCAATCTTCTTGAAAGTGCCTAATCTCATTCCTCTGTCAATACCATTATGTGAAGAGGCACATTTTTTCCAATGATCATTTTCCAAGAGCATTTTTAACGCTGAAAATGTTCAAAGAGTCTTTCAAATACAAGTACTACTATGATCTTGAAAGAGGAAAAAAAAAATTAATCCTTTCAAGTTAAAGTGAAAATCAAATTTCTGAACACTTACTCCTTTGACTCCCTTTAGGTCTCCTTTTAACAAAGAATCCAAGGTGAAGATCACATTGTGGCTCAAACCCTGGAGCTGAAAAAGCAAAGGGAAGATGGGAGATGGTTAAAAAATAAAGTCCACATGAACAATAAAACCAGCTACTATTGACTGAGCATTTTCCACACACCAGGCTCTGTTGAAGGGCTTTCCATGCATTATTTCATTGAACCTACATGACACCTCTGTAGGTTAGGCGACACAATTATCACTACTTTGCAGCTGAGGGAACAGAGGTGGAGTCATTTGTGCAGAACCATAAAGCATGTGAGTGAGGAGCTAAGATTTGAATTTAGGCAGTGTAGGCTGGGCATGGTGGCTTACGCCTGTAATCCCAGCACTTTGGGAGGCTGAGGCAGGAGGATCACTGGAGGTCAGGAGTTCGAGACCAGCCTGGCCAACATGGGGAGACACCGTCTCTGCTAAAAATACAAAAATTAGCCAGGTATGGTGGTCTACAACTGTAGTTCCAGCTACCTGGGAGGCTGAGGCAGGAGAATCATTTAAACCTGGGAGGCGGAGGTTGCAGTGAGCCGAGATCACCACTGCATTCCAGCCTGAGTGAGAGACTCTCTCAAAAAAAAAAAAAAAAAAAAAAGAAAAGAAAAGAAAATTGAATTTAGGTGGTGTAGCTCCAGAGCTTGTGTTCTTAAACACTATACTACAGTACACGTATATGTGTACAAATAATTCCTCAAATCATTTTAGCACTTCCATTAACACCTCTGCCAAAATTGTAGCTCTTACGGTGAATTTTCTTCAACTGCTTCTGTCAGAGTAAGGAGGGCTTTTCTCATTTCCTTTTCACATTTTTTTATAGCATGTATCATTATCTGAAATTACTGTGTTTGGATTTTTTTTTGCTCAGATTTATCTTTTAATTTTTAGTTTTTATGGATACATAATAGTTGTATTTATGAAGTACATGTGAAATTTGATACAAGCGTACAATGTATAATGATCGAATCAGGGAATTGGGGTTTCCATCACCTCAAGCATTTATCATTTCTTTGTGCTAGAACATTTCAATTCCACTCTAGTTATTTTGAAATATATAATAAAAATCATTAACTACAGTCACTCTGCTGTGCTACCTAACACTAGACTGTGTTACTTCTATCTAACTGTATTTTTGTACCTAATAACCAATCCCTCTTTATTCCCTCCTCCCCACTATCCTTCCCAGCCTCTGGTAACCATCATTCTATTCTCTATCTCTATGAGATCAATTTCCTTTTTTAGCTCCCACATGAGACAGAACATGCAATACTTATCTTTCTGTACTTGGCTTATTTCACCTAACATAATGTTGGATCCATTTTGTGGCAAGTGGCATGACTTTGTTTTTTATGGCTGAATAATATTCCATTGTGTATATATACTGTATTTTCTTTATCTACTCAACTGTTGATGGACACTTAGGTTGATTCCGTATCTTGGCTACTGTGAATAGTGCTCCGATGAACATGAGAGTACGGGTTATCTTGTTGATACACTGATTTCTTTTCTTTTAGGTATATACCCAGCACTGGGATTCCTGGATCTTATGGTAGTTCTCTTTTTAGTTTTCTGAGGAGCCTCTATACCATTCTCCATAGTGGTTGTACTAATTTATATTACCACCAACAGCGTATGAGAGTTCCCCTTTCTCTGCATCCTTGCTAGCATCCATTACTGTTTTTTTTATAAAAGCCATTTTAGCTGGCTTGAGATGATATTTCACTGAAGTTTTGATTCGCATTCCTCTGATGATTAGTGATGTTGAGCATTTTTTAATAAACCTGTGGGCCATTTGTAGGTCTTCTTTTGAGAAATATATATTCAGATCTTTTGCCCAGTTTAAAACTGGATTTTTTTCCTATGAGTTATTTGAGATCCTTATATATTCTGGTTATTAGTCCCTTGTCAGATGGGTAATTTGCAAATATTTTCTCCTATTCTGTGGGTTGTCTCTTCACTTTGTTGATTGTTTCCTTTGTGGTGCAGAAGCTTTTTAACTTCATATGATCCCACTTGCGTTTGCTCATTTTTGCTTTGGTTGTCTGTGCTTTTGAGGTCTTTCTCAAGACATCTTTGCTGAGAGCAATGTGCTGGAGAGTTTCCCCCAAAGTTTTCTTCTGGTAGGTTCACAGTTTCAGGTCTTAGATTTAAGTCTTTAATCCATTTGGATTTGATTTTTGTATATGGTGAGAGATAGGGTCTAGTTTTATTCTTCTAAATATGGATATCCAATTTTCCCAGCACCATTTATTGAAGAGGATATTCTTTCCCCAATGTATGTTCTTGGTGCCTTTGTCAAAAATAAGTTGACTGTGAGCATGTGAATTTATCTCTGGGTTCTCTATTTGGTTCCACTGATTTATGCATTTATTTTTATTTTTATTTTTTGAGACAGAGTCTCACTCTGTCGCCCAGGCTGGAGTGCAGTGGCATGATCTCTGCTCACTGCAATCTCCACCTCTTAGGTTCAAGCGATTCTCCTGTCTCAGCCTCCTGAATAGCTGGGATCACAGGCATGCATCACTACGTCCGGCCAATTCTTGTATTTTTAGTAGAGATGGGGTTTCACCATATTAGTCATGCTGGTCTCAAACTCCTGACCTTGTGATCCACCCTCCTTGGCCTCCCAAAGTGCTGGGATTACAGACGTGAGCCACCGCACCTGGCCTATGCATCTGTTTTTATGCCAGCATCATGCTGGTTTGATTACTACAGCTTAGTAGTATAATTTGAAGTCAGGTAATGTGATGCCTCCAGCTTGTGTATTCTGTCTCCCTCACTAGTACATAACCTCGATGGGGACAGGGACTTTGACTTTTCTGTTCACAGCTATATCCTTAATGCCTAGATTCCATTAAAAAGATGAGATATTTAGGAAGTGCAATCTATAACCGGGAAATAGTTTTTTTTTTTTTTTCCACTGCTCTGCGGCAGTGGCCTGAGTCTCCTTGATTTTAAGATGGCACAAAGAGGAATCTACAAAGGAGAAGGAAATGGAGATGGAGATGCTACCCAGCTGCAGAGAAGAATGGCAGGAGGGAACCAAGGGAGGCAGAGTCAGGTGTGAAAGGAGTAACCAAAACAAGGACTGAGAAGAGTTTTTACCTACTTGTCTTCAAGGAGACCCCAAGTAATCTTGGTAAAATCAAGTTTTAGTAGGTGTGGAACCCAAGACTGCAGAGACCTGCAGGAGCAGATTATAGATGGAAAGGTTTGTGGGTCCCCTCACTCAAGAAATGATTTTACTCACACATAAGTGTATTCAACTGTCAGCCTGTCCATCCATCCATCATTAATAAGATATCTACTCTGTGCCACACACTACACTAGAAGCTTGATAGGCAAAGATGAATAAACACTGTTCCTACCTGTGGAGAGCTCATATTCTAGGAACAGAGGCAGTCACTACACAGCCAACTCTACTACATTATGCTATTATGTATTATGTGTTAGTGGCAGAGGGAGAGAGTGGTGTGAGAAGGACCAACGCTGACTTGAAAGGGCTTTGTGCATGACCCTCTTAACCACATCTGTAAAGTAGAATATTATAACCTACTGCAAGCAGCTGTTGTGAGGATGGAATGAATTAATATGTGTAAAAAGTGCTAGCTTACTCCCTGATACCTAGGAAGTGTTGAATACATGTTTATATTTTAAATGCTATGGCATGCTAAATATGGATAAGATAATGAGGGAGCAGAGAGGGGCGGGGAACAGGTTTTCCCCTTTTTGCTCTTAACTTCTTCCTAACCCTTTCCTGTTGTTTTCATCTTAGGCTTCTTGAAATTCTCAGTCATTCTACCTCTTTACTCTCCCTGAACAACAACTAATTTTACACACCGGAAGGTTTCCCAATGTGTGTCACCAGAGGGCTTCTCTGGTGACACACATCTAAGAAACAATCACTTCTTTCTTATTTCAAAGACAAAGGGATTTCTACCAAGACAATTCTGTCTGTGATTTTGCCAACAATCACACACCAACAGACTGGCTGGCATACCAGAGAGCTATAGTCTGAGAGTCTACATTCTGTGAGGCTCTAAGACACTGGTTCTTGGGGAGTGGGGCAAAAAATAAAAAACCAAAAAATCTTAGCTGTTATAACTGTCTGTGGCCCTCCAAAGGGCCACAGTATATAACTGATATCAACTATGTCTATTAGCTGTATTAAAATTTCACGGGGGGGAGCGATGGGGGACTATGTCTAAAAAGGCTCTTGGGGAAAAGGAGGAAGGCTTTGGATCATAATGAGGAAAAAAAAGGTTGAGCAACACTAACTGGGTCTGAGACTGAAAATATGAAGATTAATAGGACTCACCCTCTATTCTACACAGATAGCTGAAATAATTTGCTCTGAGTCCTCAATTTCATTCTTGGAGTACAATTCCCTAGCATCCTCCTATCCTATGGGCCTTAGAAGTTTGGATGGATGGTGGGTAAGTAAGGTTGGGGGGCCTGACCTGCCTTCACTAGCCAAGCCATTGCCTACTTTTCCTCTGTTCACGGAGATCCTTGCCTTATTTTTCTTCAAAGCACTTACCATCCCTACCCATTTGTATATATGTTTGTTTCCCTATTTGTTGCTGTCTCCCCAGCCTGGTTGCCAGTTTGAGAGAGGGGTCAATATGCTCACTGCTATATTCCCAGAACACTGCCTAGCACAGAGAGGGTGCTCAAAAAATACTTGCAGAAGAAATGAAATACAGAATCATTTGTGTACAAAGTTCTTCTCTACAGGGCTATCTATAACTGATGGAAAGTTACGTGCCTATCAATAGGGCACTGGCTAAATAAATTACAGAGTTTCTAAACAACAGCCAAAAAAAACGAGAAAGCTCTTTATGCTTCACTTTGAAAATATCTCCAAGATAAATATTTATGTGATAAAAGCAAGGTATAAAACATTACTTATGGTATGCAAGAATTTGCATAACAAGGAGGAAAAAAGGCCAGGCTCACACCTCCAATCCCAGCATTTTGGGAGGCCGAGGCGGGCGAATCACTTGAGGTCAGGAGTTTGAGACCAGCCTGGCCAACAAGATGAAACCCTGCCTCTACTAAAAATACAAAAATTAGCCAGGCATGGTGGCACACATCTATAATCCCAGCTACTTGGGAGGCTGAGACAGGAGAATCGCCTGAACCTGGGAGGTGGAGGTTGCAGTGAGCCAAGATTGTGCCACTGCACTCCAGCCTGGGTGACAGAGCAAGACTCCATCTAAAAAAAAAACCCCAAAAAACAAAAGACAAAAAAAACCCCCAAAAAACTCTCTGCTTTAATTATTTCTGAAATAATACACAGAAATCTGTTGATACCAATTTCCTCCAGGGTTGGAAACTGGGCAAAGAAATAGGGTGGGAGAGGAGATTTTTGCATTTTAAAAAAATTGTAATATGTAATATGTTGTTTATTTAAAAAGTCAAAAATTTAAAACAAAATATGAAAAGACAGTGATTATAAATAACCCCTTTTCAACTCTTTGTTCCAAATTACGGTTTGCATCAATGCCTCAAATCCTTTGTGAAATGAAGCAGCAAATTAAAAAAAATACATTAATGTTATTAGTACCTTGATCTGAAAGGCTGTATTATAAAATAACAATTAAAGAATTATGAAACTCTGTGGTTAGTACTGAATGTGCAGGTTGTTCCAAACAAAAAGTGCCTCAAATCATGTACTGACCACACACCAAACACAAACAGTAAATCCTTTTTTTTAAAAAGCAGATATGGGGTCTTCCCTTGTTGGTCAGGCTGGTTTCCAACTCCTGGCCTCATGTGATCTGCCCGCCTCTGCCTCCCAAAGTGCTGGGATTACAGGCGTGAGCAACCATGCTCCGCCACACATAGTAACTTTTTAATGTCATCATTGTGGTTAGGCATGAGGGGAAGATAGAAAACCCCAAGAATTAAGAATTTCTCCGTGGTTATCTACACACATTCTTGAGGGCTGATAAGAAATCATGAACGCAAAACATGTTATTATGAATTCAGAATGTTCCCAGTGACTAGTCAATGAAAAGGCTACAGGAAAAATAAAATTTAAATTTACAAAGTCTTTCCAACTAACTTCCCAGGAAAACGTAGGTTAATTAAAAAAACCAGCAACGAAAATTTTAAGTGACAAGTGAATAGTAATTACCTTTGTCATTATAAAGGCACAAAGAAAGGTTAAAGAGAAAGCAAACCAATCTCAAGAGGAGGAAATTTTAGGAAATATTCACTGGGGGGAGCAAAAAAAAAAAAATCCTTTCTTGGAGATCTCAAAGAACAGAAAACCTATTCTCTCAGTTATTTTAGGTGATTATTGTGCCACGAAGATGGAGTATATGACTTCACAGTCATGGGATTCTACAAATTTCCTGTGTTTTCACTTCTATAGTTCTTTCAGGAATCCTTTATATTAGCAGTCCCCAACCTTTCTGGCACCAGAGGCTGGTTTTGTGGAAGACAGTTTTTCTACAGATGGCAGGGGTTGGGGGAGCTGTTTTCAGGATGAAACTCTTCCACCTCAGATCACCAGGCATTAGATTCTCATAAAGAGTGTTCAACCTAAGTCCCTCACATTCACAGTTCACAACAGGGTTTGCGCTGCTTTGAGAATCTAATGTCACCGCTGATGTGACAGGAGGTGGAGCTCAGGAGGTAATGCTTGCTCACCCACCGCTCACCTCCTGCTATGCAGCAAGGTTCCTAACAAAGACAATGAGTCAGCAGGGGTTGGGGGCCCCTCCTTTATATGACCTGAGCAAGAGTTTTGCAAACTGATGTGTAACAGTCATCTCCAAGGCACTTACAATACAGCCGACATAATACAATAACAGTATCAGTAAACTTCCTGTATGACCTTCATTATCTTCAATAAATTTTTAAAAAAGCTTTTCAAATCCATTATATAATTATTTCCCATTGATTTTACTAAAATTCTATTGATTACTCTATCTCCATTTACTCAACTTCCAAATCATTTCCTTTCCTTTATTCATTAAGTTGAATTAACATAAGTTCTTTACATGATTCAAGTCTATAAGAAGTCGAAGGGTATGTTTTTTAAAGTGCATTTTTTTCATTTTATTAAGCAAACAACACATTTAAAATCATTTCAGGACGAGGAATGGTGGCTCATGCCTGTAATCCAAGCAATTGGCGGGGGCCAAGGTGTGGGAACTGCTTGAGCCCATGAGTTCAAGAACAGCCTGGGAAGTATAGCAAGACTCCACCATCTCTTTAGGAAAAAAAAAAAAAAAAAAAAAAAGATGAGCTGGGCATGATGGCGCACGCCTGTAGTTTCAGCTACTCAGGAGGCTGAGGCAAGGACTGCAAGATTACAGTGAGCTATGATCCTGCCACTGCCTGAGTGATAGAGTGTGACCCTGTCTCTTAAAAAAAAAATTCCAGAATGATATTTAGGTATGGTAAATATTTTTGCTTTCTGCACAAATTGCTTCTAAATTTCTTTCCTCAAAGAAGAGGTATTCCCCCTGCTAGTACATACATCAAGCCTAACCAGAAATTTGGAGTAAATCAAACAGAGGGAGGCCGAGGTCTATCTTTCATTATGCAAAAGGGGCTTAAGGAAGCAAGTGACTGTAATTAATATTAAACTGGACAAAAATAGCCGTTTATTCCTTACAATTGCTTCAACACTGCCAGCAGTATACAAATAGCCCGTTATCCTAGTCACTGGAGATGACTTCATAAACAGTTTTCCCTCTGTATATATAAACATACATCTTCTGCTCTGATTTTTAAAATGTCTTTATGCTTTACCACTAAAAGAAATGATCTCACTTATTGTTTACTGATTTATCATCTTTCTTCACTAGAAGGTTTGCTTCTTAAGGGGAGGCCCTGTATCTATTTTGTTTACTAACTGATCAGATCCCAAAGAAGGAATCAAGAAGCAGTTGTAGGTCGGGCACAGTGGCTCACGCCTGTAATCCGAGCACGCTGGAAGGCCGAGGCAGGCGGATCACCTGAGGTCAGGAGTTCGAGACCAGCCTAGCCAATGTGGTGAAACCCCATCTCTACTAAAAATACAAAAATTAGCCAGGTGTGTTGGCAGGCACCTGTAATCCCAGCTACTCAGGAGGCTGAAGCAGGAGAATCGCTTGAACCTGGGAGGTGGAGGATGCAGTGAGCTGAGATCACGCCACTGTGCTCCAGCCTGGGTGACAAGAGTGAAACTCCATCTCAAAAAAAAAAAAAAAAGTTGTAGGTCACACTGTACTATCATTTCTGGCTTGCCTGAATACTGCCCAACTCAGCTCCAAGCCCCTCTATGGGCCTGCAGGTGGAGTGCCCTTAAGGGAGGGCTCACCCCAACAAGCCACCCTGTCCTGCTGGAGCAGCCAACTGGCAGAAAGACAGTCAGTCAGCAGGGCCTCGTTTTTTCTTGCCTCTGACAGAAGAGCAGAGCACAGCTCTACAAATGGTACTTCCAGGACACCTACATGCACACAAGACTGTATTAATTAATGAGGACATAATTTGCTTGCTTTGTCATCTTGCATTAATCTTGACATTCCCTCTCCACTGCCCATTGGTTCTCTCTCTCTCCATAACTGAAACAGTTTCTCTGAAAGTAAGGCTAATGCAAATCTGCTGACTTGCTCAACGCATTGGAAAATCCAATTAAAATAATGAGCCAGCTCCCAGTAGTTAAGTCTGCGATTCCCTGGTATAAACTGGGTATTCTGTCTAGTATATTAACTCCTTCATGCCCTACAGAGTTATAATACCTTGAAGCTATTTAAAACTGGTGCCTCCTGAAGTGGCAGGTCAAAAAATAAAACTAAATAAAAATAAAACTGATGCCTCGTCATTAGGCTGCTTTCCAAGGTACTGTGATACAGAGCAAAGAATCCCAGAGGCATGTGGCCACTCATCACTCCCGGCCTGCGTGAACTGGGAAAACCGTTTAACCTTGCTGGTGTCCCAGCACCTTCCTGAACTAGCCCATGCCAGTGTCAGTGGATCGAGACAGAACTGACACCAACGGGCCAGGTGCAGTGGCACATCTGTAATTCCAGCACTTTGGGAGGCTGAGGCAGGTGGTTTGCTTGAGTTCAGGAGTTCGAGACCCGCCTAGGCGACATGGTGAAACCCTCATCTCTACAAAAAAATACAAACATTAGCTGGGCTTGGTAGTGCATGCCTAAACCTCAGCTGCTCAGAAGGCTGAGGTGGGAGGATTGCCTGAGCCCAGGAGGTTGAGGCTGCAGTGAGCTGAGATCATGCCATTGCGCTCCAGCCTGGGCAACAGAATGAGACCTTTTGAGACAGAACAGACTGTCTCAAAAGAAAAAAGAAAAGAAAAGAACTGACACCAATGAAGCTCCACTTTATTCCAGGCCACAGAGGTGGCTCGTTTTACACACAGTCTCATTAGCTGCTCCTGGTAACCCTACAAGGTATTACTAAATAACTTGGCCAAACACACGCAGTTAGCTGAGACACAGTGGATGCAAATACAGGCAAAATGCCTGACACTACTGTAGGGCAAGTGCCCTGATAGCAGTAACTTAAGCACACCCTTAGAATGACCCTGTGGCAGATGCACCTGAATGTGTGTTCTGAGTTAGGGAATCCCAGGAGTAGTAATCACAGAAATTAGTTCCTTGTCTATGAGAAACGTCCAAGTCCCCGGCCCGAACTGTGGAACACAGGCCATACAGAAGATTGAGGCCCTGAGTTTTGGGTTCCATGAAGGTTGCCAGATGGAAGTCATTAAGGGGAGTGTTAAGTGAAAATCCTATATAAGCTACGTGCTGTTCACTAGTGGGTGAAGTTTTCTTGTTCAGCCTGCTGCCACTGGACTCTCTCCCCTGTATGTAAGCCCCTAATACACCCCATGTCTCATTTGCTGGCTCTGGGTCTTTTCTTCGGCCTCTTGAACCTGGTGCCTTCCCTACTGAGGCTAGGGGTTTGGCACAACAACTACATAATACCCCTTAATCAAATTTAACTAGGTTTATTTTCATAAGATTTTTTTTTTTTTTTTTGAGACAGAGTCTTACTCTGTCATCCAGGCTGGAGTGCAGCCTTGCTCACTGCAACCTCTGCCTCCTGGGTTCAAGCGATTCTCCTGTTTCAGCCTCCTGAGTAGCTGGGACTACAGGCACCTGCCACCACACCCAGCTGATTTTTGTATTTTTAGTAGAGACAGGGTTTCGTCATGTTGAATCATAAGATTCTTTACACTTGAAAAGCTCAGCAGTAGTGGTGAAAAAATGATAATGAGCTGGCATTTCAGGTACTTTTAAGGCTGGGATGGGGAGCTCCAAAATTTCCTTTTTATTGCACCACATTCTCTCCATCTCACAGTTCCTGCCTCCCTGCCTCGTCTGCAAGGCAGTCTCCATAAACTGTAAGATAATGCAGCCCATTATACTGTGTTCTAATCTAGGCAGAACAGCATGAATTTTATTTAAATGACAGAGGGTACTGTATCTAACATATATTATCTAAAGATATTGCTCACAACACCTCTGTAAGATGGGTCTTAGTCTCACTAGGTTAACGAGGAAACAGGCTTAGAGAGGTTAAGTAACTCGCCCAAGGTCAAACAGTGAGTAAAGCAGATGATCAGGTTATTAATTAAGGTTTTTACTGACTCCAAAGGCCACTCTCATTTCCTCTGTGCTCTGCTGTTACAGCGATCTTTTAAAGTGATTACCAGATTATATCACTCTCCTGCTTAAAACCCATCATTGGCTTCCCACTGAACTACACTCATATCCAAGCTCCCAATTTAGCTCTGGCCCTGCCAACCTGTTTTGAGTCCCTCTACCCATTCTCACTGCACTACAACTCCTTTTGGCTTCTCAACCCACAGAGATCTCTCCCACTTTGCACGTGCTTTACTCTGTCTGGAACACTCTTCCTCTGTCTCCATGTCACTTTCTCAGTGAGGCCTTGACCATTCTAAATAATAAATAAGTCCCTTCTCCCTAACCTCCTGTTACTCTGGACCAGTGGCAGAATAGGCTCACTTTCACAGAGTACTGCACTTTACAATTATCCGTGTGTTCCTTTACTGTCTAGAGCAAAGCTTCTTGGAGGCAGAGGCTATGACTGCTTTGCCCACCATTGAGCTACATCAAACTCCTAGAGCAAAGTGTTGACTTGTTCTATACACCAAATAAAAATGCTTACTGATTAAGTAAATGGATGAATGAATTCCTCTCCAAATCAGAAGGACTGCTCTGAAACATCAAGTGTTATAGAACCTGAACCAGTTTTGGTCGTCCTGGAGTGCTCAGCACCAGAATGGGGGAAGGGGCTAGATTCAGGAGAGGGACAGAAGAGTTAGAACTGCTCCCAGGATATGGTTGGGAGTGACAAACCAAGGGTACCCCTCCCATCCTGCAGCTGTTAGGCTTTGTCTGGCAAGAAGAGAAGAAAGAATGAAGGTCAGGAGACCTGTTCTAGACTTGAACCTGTCTCCAACCAGCTGTGGATGTTTAGGCAGGTCACTTTTTGTTTCTGGCATCAATAAAGTGTGAGGTCTCTAAAAAGACCTCTAAGGTACCTTCCAGTTGTAACACTCTTACAGCTTAAAATGAGCTACTGAGATACAACTGAATAAAGCAGAAAAAATTCCACCTCAAATGGGTGAGAACTATAGGGAGATGCTCAAACTGCCTCAGAGACAGGGCAGCCCTGGTCCCCAACTCAACAAAGTAACAAAAACAAACAAACAAACAGTTCTGTGGTAAAGCCGGAGAGTTAGAAAAGTCCATTCATAATTCTTATAACAATTCTCAATTTTTTAGTATAGTCCATCCACAATGTTCACTATGAAACTTCTGGCACAGTATAAACATAACTTTTTGAAAAAGTCTGAAATATTTCAACAAAGTGAGCATCTTAATTTGATCAGAGCAAGGCACCAACTATGACCTACCAGGGCCTTGGGCTACTGGCAGTTTTCCCCCACTTCTTGACTCTTAAATGACAGGGAAGGAGGAGAAGCAAAAGCATTACAAACTGAATTAATGGAGTAATGACAACCAGTAACTAAATAATATATAATCATGAGATGTGTAGAGATTTCAAACTATTACATTTTGGACAGTGGTAAATGGAAACAATAGAAATATTCAAAACAGGAAGTTGGGTAAATAAATTATAGTGCAAATATAAGATGGGCATTCTATACAGTTTTTAGAATGTGCCTCTGGGTTCTGCAGACCCCTCTTCGGAGACTGCCAGGGGTAATGGGGGAGAGGATCCTTTCTCCAAACCCTGCACAAACAAGCCTTGATTTAAGAGGTTGTATGGCTTCCAACTAAGCAAAGGTTCTTAGGCTGCAGTATTTTACAAAACAGGAAAACATTTTCAAAATGTTATCGGTGGAAAACCACAGTATAAAATAGCACTGCAGTATGAACCCAATGTTAAAAAAATTATATGACTTTAAAAATACGAGAAAAAAGATGTTTAAACAGCAAAAAGTTTAGAAAGACAGAGGGTGTACACACAAACACACATACACACACTCCATAACAGATAAGATTACTGTTGATTTTTATTTTAGTCTTTTTCTCCCTACATTTTCTGAGTTTTCAACAATGAAGTGGTATTATTTTTGTACGTACAAAGTTATTAAAAAGAAACATGATGCAAAATCACAAGAGGGTGATATAATTAACCAGCAGCCTATTTCTCATTCAACTTGTTCTTTATTCAGTGATAAAGATGTAAATCAGATGTCATGTATAAAAGTAAAAACAATTAATATAAAAGTGAATCTGGAGAGAAAAACAGTTGCAGCTTCTCCGTAACACTAGGAAATTCTGGATCTCTGTCCAGAGTGACAATCCTTCCTAGTGGTTCTCAAAAGTGTGGTCCTCAAATCAGTAGTGTCAATATCACCTGGAAACTTGTTGGTTATGAAATCCCAGACCTAATTAATCAGAAACTCCAAGAGTGGGTCCCAGCAACCTAAGTTTTAACAAGCTCTCAAGGTGAAATGGATGCAAGATCAAGTGTGAGAACCACTGCCTTAGACTAAAGGCTGTCCAAGTGGAAGAAAAACCAAAGTTCCTTTAGAGAAGGAAAGACTTACAGCCAGAGAGCAGAAATCACTTGCCTATGGTCTAAGGCATAATTACAATGAAGAACAGAGGTACTGCTCTGGAAGATCTGGGAAAGGCCCAAGGAAAAATGCAAGACAAATTACACCATGTGCTAAAGGCACTCGGGACTGACAAGACTGAATTTACTCATAAAGTACATTTTACTGGAAATGCTAGAAAGAAAAATGGGTAGGTCTAAGAGTACCAGGGAATATGAGAATTCCTTAACTTAAAATAATGCAATTATATTTTATCTAATTCAATTTAGTAAATGGTGGGTTAGATTTAACATCATCTCCTACATCAAGTGAAAATGAAAGTACCATTTCCCTGTGCATTATCTGCAGCATCTGATTTCATTTGACGATAATTATATGGAAAGGGGAAGTAGCTAGGATTTATAAGACCAAGACAAAGGAGAAAGTAAAAGGAGGGGGTGTGCTATATGGCTAGGCCTTGGTTTGAGAAAGATATCCCTATCCTAAGGATTTCTTTGTTGTACTTAAAATGATAATCAGTTAGTTCATGATCAACTTTCAGACCTTTAATTTCATTTCCACGCATGGCATCTACAATTTGTTCTTTTTCCCTAGAATAAAACCACACTGTAACATCGGATCACATTTTCCTTGCTTTCACTCAACATCTTTATCACAGATTATGATAAATGTTTTGCAATATCTTTTACTCAGGACACACCTTCTTAACACAATTTAAAAAATTCAACAAACATATGCAAGCACACAGGGCTTACCACGTACTAGGGTGACATAGTAATGTCTCATAGTAGACATTATTGTCTTCATTTAACTGACAGGAGGTCAAAGCCATCTCTGCTCCCTTTGCTTGGAAAGCCCTGCCCTGTCTGCTTGGTCTACATCTTCATGTTTTAAGACTTATTTCACTTAATCCTCATTAAATTTTTCAGAAGTCAAAGAATCCACCTAAATGGTAACTGTGATAGGCAGTTGTTTGATATATTTCAAAGCTTCCCTTGCAGAAAAGGAATCTTCTTAGATATTACATTTGTGATGCCAGCTGCTGCCAGGAAACCCCACTTGTGGGAAACCAAAAGCACAATGTTTTAAAAGTCTGGTCCTATACCTTTGTCCATCTTTCCTTGTAAAATTAAGTAGTGCTTTAGGGTAAACTATTAAAATATTATGTATAAGCAATCTCTCACATAGAAAATGACAGTCTTAGCACAGATTCTGGAACAGAGTGGGCACTTGGTAACTGCTGGCAGAGATAAGAACACACTTCATAGGAAGTTTCTTTCTTACTACTAAAGTATAGACTTTCACCTCACCCTTTATCAAGTATATCAACCATTGCTTAATATTATTTAATGTTTCTACTTATGAAAACAGTCTCTGCTAGCTTAAGAGAACAGCGTTTCATGAATATCTCTTGATAATTTACGGCTCAGATAAAGGGTACCTCCTCTGTAAAGCCTTCTTAGATACTCTTGCTTTCTAGAGGAATGAATGAGTGAATGAATGAATCTGCCTCAGGTGACCTAGCTTGGGAGGTGGTGGAGCAGAGATAGAACTCAATTATATCCAACTTCAAAGTCAAGCTATTTCTGCCAATTTTCTGAATTTTCAGTTGCTTAACATATCTGTGGCAATATGTCAATGAAAAGATCCACTCATTTTTACTGAAAGATGTAGTCAGATACTAGTTCAAGACTGCATCAGCGGGCCATTTCTTCATGTTTAACCCTAAGGGGTTACCATACAGTATAATCTAAAATGAAAAGAAAAGGGGAAGTGGCAACCAGCTTAAAAACAATGAGAAATTACATACTGAAATATAAATTAGAAATAAATTGTTGGAGGGCAGAAGTGAATTTGAATTAAAAAAAAAACACACACAACAACAAATGAAATGGATCACCTGGTCCAGCAAAACATCTAAATCAGCATTTTCTGAAGTGGTTCCATGAAAAGTCAATGTTTCTTATACAACAACAAAGTCCATGCTCAAATAAATTAGAAAGCACTGCATTGGACAAGTTTCTTTATACTCTTGCTCCCAGGCAAGAAGATGCCAGATGCACTGGACACAGTATGGCCACTGTGTACGGCTGTGCAGGGTGTACATGGCTCAAAGCACCCACCTGGCTTGTACAAGGGAAGCCTGAAGTCCAGCCATGCTCCCCTCACTAACCCGTGTTTCCCGGTGCTGGCTAACATCAGCCCTGAAAAAAGCACCAGGCTGGGCTGTAGGACCTCCCAACAGTCCAGATCTGGAGTGGTGGCCTTGTCTGAGGGCCATGGTATGTGGAGGTGAGGAGAGACTCAGGCAACATTGTGCAGAGGAATCCAAAGTCAGCTCAAGACAGAACATTTAATCTGAATCGGCTAGGAAGAGTGGGAGATCCAGATAAAAGGTTATGCCTGGGATGGAAAATGGGAAATCAAGGAATAGTGGAAGGGAATGTGGAGTGGAAAGAAGTGGAAGAAGTGAATGTGGGGCAGAGTTTGACAGAATTTTCTGTTAAGAAAGGAAAAGAGAAAAAGACTTGCATTTGCTGTTTGCAATGTACTTCCAGATCTGGGCCTAAAGAAAGAGCTCTGGAGGCTTCTGGGACAAAGATCATGCAGACAGAAGGCTGTTAATTCTCTCCAATCAGTGTTTGCCTTATCTTTGTAACATCATTGTCTATGTTTTAATTGCTGTTTTTTAAATCAATACAACTTTTAACTTAAATTAATTTAAAAGTAAATTTTACATTATGTCCAAAACAGGATGTCCATATCTTTTGCGAGGAGGTACAGCATACTCTAGAGCACGGGTCCCCAGTCCCCAGGCCACGAACCGGTACAGGTCTGTGGCTTGTTAGGAACCAGGCCACACAGCAGGAGTGAGTTGCGGGCTATTGAGCGAAGCTGAGTTCCGCCTCCTGTTAGATCAAGGGCAGCATCAGACTCTCATAGGAGACGGAACCCTACTGTGAACTGCATATGCAAGGGATCTAGGTTGCACGCTACTTATGAGAATCTAATGATAAATGTAATGTGCTCAAATCATCCCGAAACCATCCTCCCGGCTACCCTCTTGTATGTGGAAAAACTGTCATCCACAAAACCGGTCCCTGGTGCCAAAAAGGTTGGGGACCGATGCCCTAGAGCAGACCACCTGGGTTTGAATGCTGAATCTGAGATCTACTTAATGCTCTGTGACTCAGTTTGTGAGCTCTTAAATAAGGGTAACTATGGTTACTACCTGGTAGGGCTGCTGTGAGGAGTAAATGAGGCTACATACAGATGAGGCAGAGGATAATGCTCACCAAATACTCCCCTTTCCAGGTCTCCTGCAGCTCCTGCTCCCTCCCATTTCCAGGTCTCCTGCAGCTAGGTAGGTGGGGCCAAGATCACAGTTCAAACCAATGAACTACAACACCTAGGAAAGCTGTGAAAAGTATGCATACGCTTCTCTAGTCTCTCTCTTCCCCTGTAGAGAAGGGGGAGCTTCCATGCGTCTAAGTCTCTGAGTTGCTGTTGCTAAGCAGAACAGATCCCTTCAGTAGACATGTCACACGAGAAGAAAATAAACCATGTTAAGCCATGGAGATTTGGGGGTTCATGTATTACTGCAGTATATCCTAGCCTATCTTAACCAATAAAACATGTAAAGTACTCAAAGTGCCAGTGCCTGGCATACAGTCACCACAGTATAAAGACAAGCTCCTGTTATCAGAATTACTTGTATAGTAAAAGTTAACCATAAAAATAAAAATAATGAAAACTTCACCTGCCTTAAGGCTGTGAGGGTGAGACCAGCTCTTTTATCAAAGAGATATTGATTAGCAAAATGTTAGAGACAGCATAAAGCATTCCAGTACCAATCATTCTTAAAGTTCAATCTTTTCTTATGGTCAATGAAACTTTGCTCCAATAAGCGATGGTTTTTCTTCTCCCTTCTCCACTCTCCCTTTTCCTTCTTCCTTCCTCTCACATAGAACCAAAACTCTATACCAAATGTAAGTGAAATAATACTAGACAATCACGTACACATATCGCGTGCATACACCCTTTAGACAAGTGCTATGAACAACATGCAAAAGCCACAAGCTGAAAATGCAATCCTATTTAAAATGTATTATTTGAAATCCTACCTTGAAACACTGAATGTGAATCCTTATAAGAAAAAAAAAAAAAAAAAACAAAAACCATATTCAAATTCAGCCTGAGGTATATATACACTAGGATACCTGTTTATTGGATGTATTTAAGACAAGGTATACCTGTATTGACAAACAGAAAATTCAAATAATCAGTTATGGTACAGATATACAATGAAACAGTATGCAGCCTGTTAGAGCAAATTTGCATATATATATATAAAATACACGGCTTTTTTTTTTTTTTTTTTAGCTTAAACTCACTTAATAGCAAAACCTGTTCTGACTCCATTTGGTTGGTAATCTCTTGACTAGACTTGAGGTGGGGCACCTAATAGTCTTTATATATCAGACTTCATGTGAATATTCAAGTTTCACTGCAGACACAAAACTGTGTTTAATTATAAGCATCTTCCCAAGAAGTCACTAGGGGGTGTGCTGCATAATATAAGGCATGTACACCCTGTCACCCTTCTGAAATCGGTAAAACTCTGAATTTTGAAACAAATCTAACCCCAAGGATTTTGGACCTGAATGAGATATATACCTATACCTGCAGATATCTATGCAAATCAGCAGTATCTCTGTGTACAAATCCATAAAATTGTTTCAAATACTACTCTTAAATATTAACAGAAGCTAGAATTATAATTTTTATTTTAAAATTTTCCATATATCTCAAATTTTTATAATAAATATGTATGATTTTTTAAATAGAAGGAGTTAAAAATAAACCTTTCCCTCTTACCCACCCACCAACCCACATGGATAGATCACATTTCACAAAATGTCCCACAGTATTAATTGGTAGTGAGGCAGTGAGGCATGTCAGGAAATAAGGGGATACCTGGTAGATCAAACGCTGAAAACTGCCAATGATTGATGACCATTTTTTTAAAAGATAAGGTTTTAAAAATGCATTATATAGTTCAGGGCACCCAGAAGCTACCAATTTTACCATTAGGCACATCCATGCTCTCCATACTTTTTAACATTTCAAAGAAGAACTTGAGAAATAATCTGCTGGCTACAAATCTAGATCCAACCTGTACATTATCAGATATTCTTATTTGAGGGGAAAGAAAAGAAGAAAAATAAAAAAAAAAACAACTTTAACACAAACCACAATACCCTACAGTCAGAGATTGCAAACAGGAAATGCTATGCAGATGGAGAAATCTTTGCTTTGCTTCAACAGCTCTGAAGCAATAACTGCCCTCCAACTGTTTAATGAGACTCAAGCTCTTATGCAAGCTATAGAATTGTCCAAAGGCCTCCGGAGAGAAGAAACCAGATGCATGGTGAGTCCTGGCTGACCTAGAATACTTCCGGGTGACTCCCACTATTTAAAAAATAATTTATATACATTTTCTAAAACCATTGCTGCCTTGGGACTTTCAAAGGGTATGGCATTTAAATGGTTTTCCTCTGTCCATTGAGAATCTATTTCAATCCACCAGTTATTCCTTTCCTGACCCATTTTGCGGTTTTGGTATTAAATGGATGCAAATCTCTGCTGACTCCTTAACTTCTTTGCTAGGATCACAGGAATGATGCCTGATGCCAGGAGTAGAGCAGACCCAGCATTGCTTAGCAAGTAATGATTTTATTGGTTTCCTTTTCATGGTTAAAAAAAAAAGGTTGAACGTAATTTTTCAGTACTATACATTTAATCAAACATATAACAAAACCACTTAGAAACAGCTAAAACTCAAGAGCATTCTGCTTCCTTTTTCTTTTTTTAAACAAGAAAGCTGCATTGCAAAGAAAGTCTTTATTATTAATACACTAACTACTAAGGGGCACTCAAAGTGGAAGGAATGGAATCTATAAAGGCATGGAAGCGTGAAATGGTATATATTCCATGAACAACAAATCGTTTGTTATGTCTGGAGTTGGCTTTGATTAGGAAGGCATCTTTAATGAGAGGAAGGATAAGTTTAGAGAGATTGCAAGGCAACTAAATAAATATTTAAAAAATGTTTTTAAAAATGTCATTATCTGTTAAGTACATGCTACGAACTGAATGCTTTCATAGGTATTTCACATAAATTATTTCTAAAAATGCCACCAGAATGGCAACTCCAAGAGGATACGGCCCTTGTCTGTGTTCTTCTTACTGCTGCATCCCTACAGCCTACCCACAGTGCTTATGTAGAACCCTAATAAGTAACAGAATGAATCATAAATGAACACAAGGAGGGATTACTAAACCCTTTTTACAAAAATGAAGAAACCAAGACTCAAAGAACTCAACAAGCCCACACAAGTAAGATGCTGAGTATTTTAATACAGGCCTCATTAAAAATCAAAACCCATGCACTTGTAAGTATGCCACAAATATAGTAAAAACAACAGCAATAGAATAGATCTTGTCCACATTTCTCTGGCTTCTCACCACTAAGAGGCAGCATTCCCTAGATATATTCAATCATGACAACTAGACTCACTTCTGGGAGGAAATAGCTAATCATTCCTACTTTTATGGAATAGCAACCACATATAGGACTTCAATTAGAGGAAGAAATTAGAAAACCTATTAAAGTGCGAAGGAAGCAGGACTGAGGACTGCAGATCAGTTGGCTCAAAGAGTATCAGGAAGTGAGTTTGATTTGTGTTCTGCACATTTGTTTTATGCTGAAATTTTTATGTAACAATGTATACTAAACACTTTCCCCTACTTTTCTCTCCTTGATAATAATTTGATAGGTTATACTTTTATTTAAACTTATTTTGAAAAAATTATAGACTCACCAAAAAATTGTAAAACTAGTAGAGAGGTCCCTTGTACCCATCAACCAGCTTCCCCCAATAGTAACATCTTATATATGTTAAACAGTACATTATCAAAACGAAAAAACAGACACTGGTGCAAGACAACTAGGCCACAGACTTTACTAGAATTCCCCCCATTTTTGCATGCATTCATTGTTTTGGTATGTCTTTGTGTATAGTTCTATGGCATTCTGTCACATGTATAGATAACTACAACAATCACCACCACCAAGTTATCAAACTGTTCCATCAATACAAAGCAACTCCCTCAGGTTACACTGCTGCTCCCTTTCCTAACCGCTGGTAACTACTGATCTGCTCTCCATCTTTGTAATTTTGGATGACTTTGACTTTAGTCATAAAAATACACAGATGGCAAGGTTATCTTATTTAAAGTCACTCTTTTAGGGAACTTTTTTTTTTTCACTTTAAGGCAATAAAAGCTTACAGGGGTATAAAGAACGTGGATGTAAAAGACAAAAGATCTTGCACGTACTTGGGTCATCTTCGATCATCTTCCTGCCCCAGTAGTTGGATTGCCATTCCGCAGATGTCACCGCATTGGCTCTCACAACTAGAAGGGGATGAGGCTGCAATGAGGATGAAGGCTGATCTGCCAATGATGAGGAATTCATTACATGGGGCTCTCGGATAAGTCATATTCTTTTGAACTTCTGAATCTATGACTTGACTCAACTTGGGAAAGTGTGTCTGCTCTAGTTCCAGTACTACATGAAATCTAGCAAATTCAAAATTGCTTAGAACATGTCATTTCATCTATTTGCCATCCCCCTAAAAAAAAAGAGGTACAGACAAAAGGACTAGAAAGATAAACTCCAAGTGTCAATTATAGTTATCTTTGATTAGGGGGAATATGAAAGAGAAATTGCAATTCCCCTGTAGGCATGTGTTCTTTTTATAATACAAAGTCCCCTATAGTGGCTATTAATACCATAGTAATACTAATATTAATGTAGCCTATTAATACTATAATAATCCAGTGTGTACAAAGGACTTTGCAGGTTACAATATTTTTCACATGAATGGTATGATTTGATCCCTACACAACCAATAAAGTATGCAGAAAAAGTACTTTCCCCATTCTACTAGTGAGGAAATTTACGTCTGTAAGTTAGGCAACATTAACCTACTTAACGGTAGGGTTGGAATCATAACAAAGCCTTCAATTTCTGACACCAGTGGTTCTCAAAGTATGGCGCCTAGGCCCCTAGAGGTTCCCAAGGTCCAAACTATTTTCACAATAATACTAAGAGGTTATCTGAATCTTTCACTGTGTTGACATTTGCACTGACAGTGTAAAAGCAACAGTGAGTAAAACAGCTGTTGTCTTAAGCATAAATCAAGGCACTGCTACAAACTAAAGTTACTGTATTCTTCATGGTCTTGCTCTTACAGTAAAAAAAAAAAAAAGAAAGGCTATTTTCATTTAAGAATACCCATAATGAAAAAGTAAAAATGGATTTTTATCACATCTTGACCCTCAAATGCATCTTTTCAATGTTCTGTTTGATGAAATAGGAAGTATGCATAAAGCCCTTTTTAGGCATACCAAAATATGATGGTTGTTTTGAGGAAAAGTACTTATGTAATTTTTTGAGTTGCAAGTTGAACTAACTGGCATTGTTTTTTTAGTGGAACACCTTTTTTTTTGAAAGAAAGACTAGCAAACTATGGTTATTCGGACTCCAGTATTTGCCAAACATTTTCTTGAAAATGAATGAAGTGAGCTTATCACCTCGAGGTAAACAACTGATAGCATTTATTGCTAATGATAAAAACAGAGCTTTCAGTGGAAGCTAAAATTTTGGAAAACTTGAATTTGCCACGAGCTGACAGTTTCCAAATAATGTTCATTTGCATGGTTTCAGATTCACACCGTTAATAACATTTAAGGAAGGACTACTTATGAAGTTTTTATGTAGTATCAAAGATTACCTGAAATGGCTCTTAAAATACTCTTCTCTTTTCCCAATACAGATCTGTATGAGGCCTTATTTCCCATCTACCTCAACTAAAACAATAAATTGCAACAAAATGAATACAGAAGTAGACATGAAAATATAGCTACCGTCTATTAAGTTGGCTTTAAAGGGATTTACAAAAATGTTAAACAATGCCACCCTTCTAATGTTTTTTGGTTTGAGAAAATAGTTATTTTTCCATAAAAATAGATTTTTAAAGTGGGTTTATTTTAAAATACATAATACACATGGAAAACGTCTCAGTTTTAATTTCTAAGACAGTAAATATGAATAGAAGTAGTCCACATAAACAGAAACCACATAGTGTCCTTAGTCATTTTTAAGACTGAGGTCCTAAAACCAAAAAGTTTGAGAACTACCATCTAACACTCTCACTCTTTCCAATATGCTATAACTCACCAATGAGAGAAATCAAAGGACAAAAACAACCAAGAAAGTACCTTGCACGCTAAACACACACATTAGTTTAATTATCACCAGGACAGGCCCTGGTCATTGTGTCAGGTGGGCCTTTACCATCCACATAATCCATCAAGGCAATGTAATTCGTGGGGCAGCATCACTGAAACAAGGCATAATCTGTAGCCACAGGGCTTGAGCTCAATCCCTAATTGCACCATTTTGCAGGTATATATTTTTTGAAGATTTGGTGCATCTATCTCTAAAATGGGATATGACTGATAGCTGTCTTTACACTGAGTTACCTTAAAAATAAAATGAGAAGATGTAAATAACAATTAAGGTTTGTATTTGTGAAACAAATTTTTTGTCAGGTATTATGCTTAGTGACTTGCTTCTCTGACCTCAATGAAACCCTGCCACTACCAAGAAACAGTCACTCTTATTTATTTTTAGAGACAAGGAAACTAGCATTAGAAAAGTTAAGTGAATTGCCAAAGGCTATAAAGCTGGTGAGGCGGAAACTAGGATTCCAGGTGTGATTGGGACCAAAACCCATGATCCTCCAACCACCTATGCTTCATAGCCTCTCGAATCCTATGTTACAAGGTAGAAAAACTTTTTATAGGAACAATTTTCTATAATGTGGAGGAGGGGGGAGTAAGAAAAGCAAGTTACTTTAAAACTGACTTGGTGCATCAACTGCGGTATGGGCTCACAGAGTAATCAGCTGTAAGTGCAATCCTTTTCGCAGTCCTCAGACGTATGGTTAATTAAAAACAGCCTCAGCCCTATGCACTGTTAATGCCAACATCTTTGTAGGTAGCCCTTGGGAGTTTTCACATAACATCTCACTTGATCGTACTTTCTATAATCACAGACAGTTCAGAAAAAGGAAAAAAACCCGAAGCATCTCAATGATGGTTGAGATAGTTACCATCATTTAGTGCACTGATATTTTTTAAGACCACTGCCCCAGAAACTGATAAACACAATACACCTGCAATAGTGATTTCTTACATCGAACAAATAACAAATGTTTTTCTCATCCAGAGTTAGTCAAAAGCTGAAAGCTAGTATGAGACCTGGCCCGCAAATCTATCCTTTCCTTTTTCTCCATAAAAATAAGTAATGATTTAGTATAAACTATTAAAATACTCTTCAAAGGCAATACTTAATTAGAAAATGACATTTTTTAGTATTTAGCATAGACCTTCGAACATAATAGACTTTTGGTACTTGCTGGTTGAACTGGGAATACAATTTACAAAGTCTATAAAGTACCAAAGCACCTTCTCTTTAATTTCTACTGTATCAGTTTGCTTAACGTTTCTGGCCTTCACTAGCCTAAGAGAACAGGATTTTTGGGAATCTTCTGAGAAGTATGGGTTCCCACGGGGGTACTCCTGAGCCCCAGGAGGGTGTTGAGTGCTGCTCAGCTGGGGGCTGCAGGTGCTGCACGAAGATCCAGAACCCTGACCCCCTCGGGGTGAGTTGGCTTTCTGGGAGCCCTCTAATCCAAGGTGTGGCCCTATCAATCTGTCTAGTTTGCTCTTCCCTTTCCAGGAAAAGCATAAAAAGGGAAGCAGAAAGTTGCTGGCTGTTGTCAAGTTGTGTAAACTCCTGGGACTGCCTTTTATTCAATCAGAATAATGTTTTCTTAGTAACCAAACTACAGTAGAAACTGATTCTTCTACTTGGCTCCCTCACCAGGAATGCCACCACCACTTTCAAAGGCAAAATTTGTTTTCCTTTACTAAATGAATTAGGTTTTCCAGCAATTTCCTTTAGATTTTTCTTAGACTTCTACTCCTTAAAGGGGAGTGGGTGTGGAAAAAGGGCTGTAGCTTGAGGTATGTATATGGGAGTAGCTTGATCAGTACTTCTGCTGAGGGAAACAGCACAACCAGAGCATGAGGTGACAGAGGCAGGATATTGTAGAAGAGCAAAGGCAACGGGTTCAGAGACAGAATGTTTGGGTTCAAGTCTGTAACACATACTAATAGGGTAAATGAACAAGTTATATATCTCAATTTGCCTCAGTTTCCTCATCTGGATTAAAGGTACAGTAACCACAGGATTGTTGTAATGTCTTCAATGAAATAATCTACATAACACACCCACCAAACTGCCAGGTTCATCAAAAACATTCAATAAATCTCAGATGGTTTTGTATGGAGACAAACAAATGTATTAGGTGAGCAAACGCAGATGATGAATGTTGGCCTGAATGGCCACTGAGCTGTGTGTATGGCACATATACACACAGTTGAAAGGAACCTGCAGCGTAGCAAACCGTAGAGATGAGATTGGTCCAGGAACCTTGGAGGTGATGACTCTTGACTTAAGCCAATACATTTGGTCCTTGGAAACTAAAGCAAGACATCAATGCGAAAACACCCATCTCAGAGAAAACAGATCTTCCTGCCCAAGCAAGTCCTTTACCAGCTATTACCAAAGTGAACTGTCAGTCTTGTTTTGCTTCCTCTCTTTCTACCACACCACACTTTGAGCAAGGCCTCCAGTGAAAGTGCAGGCAATGCTCAGAGTGAAGGAAAACCGAGGGTGCTCTTCTGAATAAATGAGGTTTATATAATCTAAGATTTACAAAAACATGGATTTGTTAAATCCAAAAGCACAGAAACATTAGAGCCAAAGTTCAAAATTATCCTTTCCGAAGTTTTTGAAAATAATAAATAATTCTATGTTCGATATTTATTTTCTTTCAGATTTGCTTATTCGCTGTGTAAGATTAATTCAATGGCATACATCGCCAATTAGAAAAACTGTCAGGAAGACAGACACATACACACGTTTATTTATTGTGACAGAGAAAAAGAATATTGTAACTGGCCAAATAGGTTAATGGAGTGTAGAAAGGTAGTTTTCATTTTTCAAATAGGTTATCTTCATCTGTAAACTAACCTTTTGTATCTAATGGATTATGACAAATTATCACCTAAGGCCACAGAAGCCTATGTGATACATGAATAACTGACCTAGGTTAAGGACATCTTGAGAATGAGTTCTGGATCCTTAAAGGAGGTAAAAGCACAATACCAAGAGACTGGGAGAGAAGAGGGAACAGCTCCTCTTCTCCAGGGCAGGGCTAACTTGGAAAAGCATGATATAAATAGTTTTCCTTTGGCACCTTTCAACCTCATTGTACTCCTTTCTCTGGGGACTTAGGAGGATTAAATTATTTCACTGGGTGGCTCTTAGAGAAATAATTTCATCCCCCAAAACCAACAAAATCCAAATGATCCGTCCAGGTGGTGTTACCCAGAACCTTTCTAAGTGTGCACATGGTATGAGGGCTGGGGAGGGGGTTGCAGCACAACATGGGGATGCCCACACACGACTGCCTGGCAAACAGTTTCCTCCACCACCCCCATCCCTGGGTCTGCCTCCCGGGGCCAGCACCTCTAGTGTCTCAGATCGTTAGGGATTCTTCCTGTCATTTACTTTGGAAACCAGAGATTCCTTAAATCTCAAAACCCTTTTCTTGGTTGGGGGTTAAAAGGATGTGGGGAGTTGAGGGAGGTTCATTATTTATATATCAGAAACCAAAATGCATGATCACCTTCACACAAGTGAGATATAATACTTTCAATGTGTATTTCCAATGTATGTTCGACACAGAAATCATCATTCTTTTAGCCAATTAAAAAGCAAAAGTTGCTAAAGGTTATCTTTAAAAAAAAATCAATGGTAGAGATGTGGAAGAGAATTCAGGTTAAGCAGTTTCTCTCTCAGCTTCGATAAATCTACTCTATCAGCTGGGCCAAAGGTACAAATTCCAGGAATTTCACAATGGGATTTTCTTTAAGCAAATCCTAGGCGACTAAAAAGCTTTTTAGTTGAGGTGTGGAAGTTACCTAGGACTAAAAAGCTTTTTGTTTTTTCTTTCTCACCCCTAGGACCAAGGATTGAGGGGGAAGGATTATTGAAATGTTCTCTATATGACGTAATATTTTGGAAAGGCTGTAATTCTTTTTACTCACATATGAAATGTCTTACCAGATTTTTCAGCAGTGTGGACAGTTCCTTTGTAAGAGTAGAAAACTTGACAAACGCGGTGCCAAGGTCGGGGTTGTCTCGACTTAAAAAATTACTCCCAAACTTATCAAGAACTTGTGCATAGTTTTCTTCATTTTGTACATGATCTAAAAACAAAAAAGAAGAAGAAAGGAGTCTGAACTATTATTTGCCACAATGAAAAGTTACTTTGAACACCGATCACTACGAATTCTCAAAATGGAAGCATAAACTGTATCAATTATTTATTGCACATGTCCCAAAGGTTAGGTTAGGAGTACACTAAATATTCTAACTCACTCTACTAAGGAAGATTTTCCCTTTTATCTTTTTTTCTTTTTTTTTGAGACAGAGTCTCACTCTGTCTCCCAGGCTGGAGTGCAATGGCACAATCTCGGCTCACTGCACCCTCCGCCTCCCAGGATCAAGTGATTCTCCTGCCTCAGCCTCTTGAGTAGCTGGGATTAAAGATGCATGCCACCATGCCCGGCTAATTTTTTGTATTTTTAGTAGAGACAGGGTTTCACCAAGTTGGTGAGGCTGGTCTCAAACTCCTGACCTTGTGATCCGCCCACCTCGGCCTCCAAAAGTGCTGGGATTACAGGTGTGAGCCACCGCACCTCGCCTTTCCCTTTTTCTTTCATAGAATTTAGCTCATTTATAGTCCAGTTAATCCACTAATTCCTCATAGGCTGAGGGGTCAAATTACATCACATTTTCAAGCAATTAAGAAACTATGATTGACTGGGTATGGTGGCTCACGCCTGTAATCCTAGAACTTTGGGAGGCTAACGTAGGCAGGTCGCTTGAGCCCAGGAGTTCAAGACCAGCCTGGGCAACATGGCGAGACCCCGTCTCTACAAAAAATTAACAATTAGCTGGGTGTAGGGCCGGGAGCGGTGGCTCACGCCTATAATCCCAGCACTTTGGGAGGCCAAGGCGGGCCGATCACGAGGTCAGGAGATCGAGACCATCCTGACTAACACGGTGAAACCCCATCTCTACTAAAAATACAAAAAAGTTAGCCAGGTGTAGTAGCGGGTGCCTGTAATCCCAGCTACTCGGGAGGCGGAGGCAGGAGAATGGTGTGAACCTGGGAGGCGGAGCTTGCAGTGAGCCGAGACCGCGTCACTGCACTCCAGCCTGAGCAACAGAGTGAGACTCTGTCTCAAAACAACAACAACAACAACAACAAAAAACAATTAGCTGGGTATTGTGGCATGCACCTGTGGTCTCAGCTACTTGGGAGGCTGAGGCAGGAGGACTGCTGGAGACTGGGAAGTCGAGGCTACAGTGAGCTGTGCTTGTGCCACTGCACCCAGCCTGGGTGATAGAATGAGACCCTATCTCCAAAAAAAAAGAAAGAAAGGAAAGGGGAAAGGGGAAAGAAAAAGAAAAAGAAAAAGGAAAGGAAAGGAAAGGAAAGGAAAGGAAAGGAAAGGAAAAAGGAAAGGAAAGGAAAAAGGAAAGGAAAAGAAAGAAAAGGAAAAAGGAAAGGAAAGGGAAAAGGAAGAAAGAAACTATGATTACCTGAAAAAGTAGAAAATTCTCCTTGGAAAAACAATCTTGGATTGCAAAAGAAAAATTCATGTGTCCTAACAGGTTTCTTTCCCTGCAACTAATCTTCATTTCCTTTAATTTTGTCTAAGTTCCAGGTCTGAGGAATAGTATTTGTAAAATGCTTTTCACAGTCCAGCTCTTGCTGCAAAATGTTCAGAATTGGATCAGATGAATTAGGTGCACATGAGAAACATTAATTTGTGAAAATTTCTCCTCCCTGAGCTTTTGTTTTCCAATCCATAAAATGAGTCCAATATCTAACTTACAGAATTGTGGTATTGATGAGCTGACATAAAGTATATAAAAGTTTCTCAGTAGAGCAAATACTGCATAAACAATAACCCCCACTGCCTTGAAACATGTTCTTTGTCTGGCTTCCAGGATATCACACTTTCTTGAGTGTCCTCTTGCCTCACGACTGGTCCTCTCCATTGTCTTTGCTGGTTCTTCATCTCTCTGACCTCATCATGTTGAGGCCCCTCAGTCTTGGACCTTTCTTCTCTATTTTTGCTTACTCTCTTGGGATCTCAGTCTTACGGCTTTAAATACTTTCTATCAGCTGATAACTCCTAAATTGATATCCCCAGCCCAGAAAAACCCACCCTCTGTAATACAGACATATATTCAACTACCTATTCAGTATCTCCACTAACTATGTTGAATCTTAACATGTCTAAAACCAAACTCTTGATCTTCTTCCCATTCTTTTTCTCACAGTCCCCTATCTGTGGCAATGGCAAATACACTCTGCTTCTGAAATGGTCTCTCTGTTGCTACTTTTGCCTCCCAGCAGTCTGGTACCAACACAGCATCCAATGCAACACTGTTATACTGTGCATCAGATCTTGTGACTCTTGTGGCAGACATTACCACTTGCCATGGATATCCAAGTTCCCAATCCTTGCAGGGTTACAGAAAGGAGTACTGCATTTCCCCATACTCTCAAAGTAAGGCAGGAAATATGGCATGCACCATCCAAGGCCATGTGAGTGGAAGTGATGCATACCACGTTCTCTTGGAAGCATTTCAGATGCCTGTACTCAACTCTCCACCTCCCTCCTCTGTTGTGGCGCACAGAGAAGCATGAATTTGTAGGGAGGCCCACAGTAGATGCATAGTATTTACATAATGAATAAATGAATAAATAGATATTTATCAAAGTCATATCTTTTTTTTTGGTTTTTTTTGGTCATATTTTTAAAGGCTTTACAATAAATTACTTTTCTTTATAAAGTCTTCCTTTAGTTGGAAACAATCCTTCCTTGCCCACAATTCTCTGTACCTCTACTGCAGTATTTTCTACCACATCCTATATGTGTATATATGTATATATACACGTATATATACACACGTATATATGTATATTATATGTGTATATATGTGTATATATGTGTGTATATATGTACACACACACACACACACACACAGATCTTTTCCTACCACCAGACCGCAAGAGGCAGGGATTACCTATGGTTCACTTCTGCATCCCTACCCAATGGACACTGCTGTAGTTCTTTCAGTGAGCTGGACTTTCAAAGCTGCGGCTTGGTTAATATTTGTTGACCTGGATTTATTGAATTCCTTTTCAGGAATTTAAGAAGCATCCCTTTCTGAAATAGCGTAGGATGTTCAATAACTGAGATCAAATTTTTAAATTCTGCTTTCAAACACACCTCAATAAGTGCATGGGTGCAATGGGCACTCATGAAACAGAACATGAGTCTGGATTGGGAAATAACCCAGGAAGTCTAAATACCATGAAGGAAACAAGTGTCACAGCAGTCCAATGAAACGAAATGAGGCCCTAGCCAGCCTTCTAATCACCACCACATTAAAAATTCATGGTGCCTGCAGTGGTTGTCAGCATCTCAGGCTGAGATATTAAAAAATGCAGCTCTGGTTACTATCCAAGTTCACTCAGAGGAGCGGCTCAGAAAAACAGAAAAGAAAGGCCACACGAGCTCAACCGAGAAGACACACAGGTTTCATCTCCCTCATGTGCTGGAGCTACTCCTGATACCTTCTGTCTGAGGCCAAAGAGGTCCCACCTTACCACCAAGACTCCTACCTCATCTGATATCCTTTTCTGATTTTGGAGACCTATGAAAAAAGAATTCAGCTGTGTGTTCATTTTACCTGCTCCCAAGGGAAGCACCTCAGTAGTAAAAATAGGTATATAGGCTGCTTTCTTGAGACTATCAAATATTTCAAGTGAAAAATATAATTAGTTAATCGAATATACATGTATGCGCCACCCAGCTTAATAAATAAAATATTAAAGAATGATTCCCTATTCCCCTACTCCTGTCCCTCTACCCAATTCCGATCTCCTTCCTTCCCTCCCTAGACACAGCCATTATCCTGAATTGAAATTTCATGCAAAGGTTAGAAAGAATTACAAGAAGCTCTCCATCTATCTGTGATGACAGACTCATTAAAGAATAAGATGGAGTTGGCTAAAGGCTAAGGCAGAGACAGGCCATAGGAAGAAGGTGTTGGGAGAAGCTCAGAACCTTCTGTGACCCAAATCCTTATGCTTTCTACAATCTCATATTTCACCCCCACTAGTTCTGCAAGGGAAGAATTATGCTTATTAGGTAGATGAAACATGAAATGTGACGTGAGTGAGGCAGAAGACTAGATAAGTATAGGCTAGGTCATGGGTCCTGTATGTTTTGCTAATTCCACAGCTGAATAACCATGTAGTCTCTTTCCATATATATATATATATGCATATGTATGTATGTATGTGTGTATATACTGGCATATATGTCTCACATATATATACATGTCTCACATATATATGTGTATATATATAATTTCCTAGCATAAAAATATAACAGTTTAGTAAGATATATCTTGGGGTAATAATAACAATAATAATCATAATCCTATGAAAATAGAATGATAGAAAATTAAATGTAAGGTGCTTAAAATAGTGTCTGGCATGTGGCATGTGCCCCAAAATGTCAGCTACTGTTACCGCTATATATCCATGACTACTTACAATACAGAGCGATGTCTGTAATATCAAACAGAATAAAAACACAGGTCTCACATGTCTTTTTTTTTTTTAACATACTGTATTATAAAGTTAGTAAAGTCAATACTAGAAAGATCACACACATGTCCCCTAACACACACACACTTGTGTACAAAATTAAGGGTTTACCCAGCAGACTTTCAACAGGCACAGAGAGTGAGACAGCAAAGAACCATGATTCTGGTGGAGGAAATAGCAAGGGCAACGGCAGAAGGGAGGAACACACTGCAGAGTACAGTAAGCCATCTGAGGGGAATGTCAGTTCAGAGGTATAGGGAAGAGGAGGGAAAGAAGGCTGCGGTGGTGGGACACTGCCACAGGAATGAGTGTTTCTGAAGGAGACGGACTGATAAGGCAGAAAATGGCCCACTCACTTCAAGAGGTTTCAGAGAGCAGGATGCAGCTCTGTTTTAAGATCTTTACTACATGCGAGTGCTAGAAGACTTTTGGGCACATAGTACAGTGGGAGTTAGGGTAAGTAGGTGAGAAAAGAAGACTGGATAAAAGAAAAGAACAGAGAAATGTGATCCATCCGTTAAGAAGACACATTCTTTCCCAATATTCCTAAGAAACTTCTGGCATCCACGACATTGTTGCAGAAGGCAAGATAATTGTTTTGTTGCTGATGTTGAGACAAGGTCTTGCTATTGTAGACCTGCGTGGAGTGCAGTGGCATGAACATGGCTCACTGCAGCCTCAACCTACTGGGCTCAAGTAATCCTCCCAACTCAGCCTCTGAAGTAGCTGGGACTACAGGCACATGCCATCATGACCGGCTAATTTTTAATTTTTTGTAGAGATGGGGTCTTGCCATGTTGCCCAGGCTCGTCTCCAACTCCTGGGCTCATGTGTTCCTCCCACATTGGCCACCCAAAGTGCTAGGATTTACAGGTGTAAGCCACCACGCCTGGCCTGCAAGATAATTCTAACAGCTAGGTGAATCCTTTCAGTTCAAACAAGAATGAAATAATATGAGAATGAAATCTGGTCTAGTTTTAAAAACTAGACCAGAAAAGGCCACTTCATCACGATTTCAACTGCCAGCATTTCTGTGGGGAAATGACTAATATAAACTAATCACTGATTTACTACTCTAGTATTACTATTCCAGTAATAATCGTTACAATAGCTAGTTTGTTGGGTATTGACTAAATGTTATTGTATTAAGCACTTTACATACAGTACATTACTTCATTCACTCTTACTAACAGTCCATGAGATAAGTACTATTACCATCCTCACTGTGTAGATATAAACACTTACCCTTGATCATACAACTCATAAATAAGGAAATTTAAATTAGAATATGCCACCCCAAAACAAGCCACTTCGGCATAACAATTATTTTGAGCTTAAAGCAATTAAGAAACAGCAAGGTGGCTGGGTGCAGTGGTTCATACCTGTAATCCCAGTACTTTGGGAGGCTGAGGTGGGCAGATGGCTTGAGCCTAGGAGTTTGAGACCAGCGTGGGCAACATGGTAAAACCCCACTGTATTAGTCCGTTCTCACACTGCTAATAAAAGACATACCTGAGGCTGGGTAATTTATTTAAAAAAGAGGTTTAATTGACTCAGTTCAGCCATGGCTGAGGAGGGCCTCAGGAAACTTAGAGTCATGGTGGAAGGGGAAGCAAACACATCCTTCTTCACATGGTAACGGCAAGGAGAAGTATGAGTAAAGTGCAGAGTGAAGGAAGGAAAAACTCCCCACAAAACCATCAGATCTTGTGAGAACTCAGTCACTATGATGAGAACAGCATGGGGGAACCACCCCCATGATTCAATAACTTCCTATGAGGTCCCTCCCCCAACATGTGGGGATTACAATTCAGATTACAATTCAAGATGAGATTTGGGTGGGAACACAGAGCCAGACCATATCACCGGTCTCTACCAAAAATACGAAAATTAGCCAGGCACTGTGGTATGAGCCTGTGGTCCCAGCTACTTGTGAGGCTGAGGCAGGAGGCTTGCTGGAGCCTGGGAAGTTGAGGCTGCAGTGAGTGGTGATAGTGCCGCTACTCTCCAGCCTGGGTGACAGAGTGAGACCTTGAACAAAGAAAAGAGGAAGAAAGGAAAGAAAAGAAAGAAAGAGAAGGAAGGAAGAAGGGAGAGGAGGATGGAAGTAAAGGAAAGGAAGAACATTTTCTGCCTAAAAGCAAGGCATAAATCTCCCTTTGTGAAAGTGTTTCCCCTACCTCCTTTCTAGGAAGAGGAGAAAAACTGTTGTCACAAGAGATGAAATGTCAGTACCAAGATGAGTCTGCATAAATAAACCTTGTTAAAATAATCCCTATCATCTATTTGTTTCCCCCTTATATTTATCTTCCCTATAATTTACTGCCCTATAATTCCTAGAAGTCTCCTTTTCTCTGTCTTGTCACTTCTCCACAATTTTCTGCTCTTTGCTAAAATGGTATATAAGCTCCTAGGCCTAGCTGCTTCTTTGGGGTTTTTCATTTCTTTTCCGTGAGGCCCCTTATGTCCATACTAAATAAGCCTTTTCTCCTGTTAATTTGTCTTTTGTCCATATAATTTGCAGATGTCAGCCACTGAACCTTACAGGGTACCCTCCTCTATACTCCATATCCTAAAGTAGGACAGGCCTAGGTTCAAATCTCAAGTCTATCATTTACTGTCTGTGTGGTACCTTGGTCAAGCAGCTTTATCTTTCTAAACCTCATCCTCCCCATCTGGAAAATGGAAATTATAATGGCATTTACCTCACAGAGATGTTATTAAATTTAAGCAAGATACTGCATGCCAAGTGCCTCGTACACGATGAGCTCAATAAATATTTATAATGGCAATGACACAATGATGACAACCATACCAACTATCCATCCTTGGCCACTGCATTGGAGCCAGCCTTTTACCCCGTGGACAGGAAGCAGAAGCTTCAGACAACGCTGAAGAGTTTATATCCCTAGGCGTTGGCAATAACAAGTACCTTAGGAATACATTAAAATTCAATACTCTTTAAACATACTTTGTATATTCATCCAATGAGGCCTTCCTCAAAACTTTCAGAACCACAGCAATTATTAAATAGGTCTCTCCCTGAGGGGTTTATCTAACTGACACTATGTGTTATACCTTACCAAACTGGGCAATATTCACAAAACCTCTGGACTGGACTGCCTGCCAACCTAACCTTTGATTCTCAGCGACTCTAATTATGGCTGCTACTTATTAAGCACTGACTAAGTAGAGGGATTCAATCACAGTGAATATCCTGAAACTCATGCGATACTCCCTCAAGGCAGTTGCTTTATAGATAAGAAAAATGAAACTCAGTGGTGAAGAAAGGATTAGATCCCACTTCATTTGATTCCAAATCCTATCCTTCTCCACTGACACACTCAGGAAAGACTATCGTGGATACTAGAATATTGTGTGCCACAATATCTATTCAGAATCCACTATGTGAAAGACTTGATGACAAATACCAGGAACAAAAAGGTGAATAAGACAAGACTTCCTGTCCTGTAATAATATTGACAAAGTAATAATAATAATAATTTGCAATCACAAGTTTTGATTAATGTGCCAAGAACTGTGCTAAGTATTTCTCCTGCATTATCTCGTTCAGTGTTCACAATTTAGAAACTGGTTTAGAGTAGTTAAGCAAGTTGCTCAATGTCATACAGCTAAGAAGCAGTAGTGACAGGCACTGACCCCAAAGCCTGTGCTCCTAACTAGTGTACTTGGTAAAGTGCAGGAGCCTCTAGAAGTCTTTTAACTTTAGCCAGATGCCAAGTGATTGAGAAACCTGAAAATCCAGGTCTTAGCTCCAGACTCTACCATGTCAGGAGACTGAAGCTCCTAGGGGCCTTAATTTCTTCATATATAAAACAGGTCTAATAACATCTGCCCTGCTGATTGGCCACTAAGAGGTAAAGGTGTCATAATTAATATAAAAGCTCTTTTGGAAAAATGCAAAAAAATTATAAAACCACAAAGGATTATTTCTACTTAATGGGTATAATAAGGCCTTGAGAACACTCTCATAAATCCATCCTGAGGAGCATTCCAAACCACAACCAAGCACAACCTAGACAACATTTGGTGAAAGATCACACAGAACACAGGCCTCAGTGACACAGAGACTTGGGTCTGAATCCCCACTCTGGTTCTAACTGGGCATATATAACCTTGGAAATGGCACTTAACTTATGTGGGCCTCAACTTCATACGTGAAATGGGACAATGCCTATAAGGAACATGGAATGAGTCTAAAAATACCTTTACTTCTATTAATTTCATTTACTCCAAAATTCAGAGCTGAAGTTCTGATGCTAATGGATGCTAATTTAAACATGGTATTTTTTGGAGGATTCCAGGATATATAAGATGACTGTGGATCAAATTCCAGGTTTTCTGTTTATAAACTGTGATCTAGGGCAATTTATACATCATCTCAGACTCTTGTCTTCTTAGCCATAGTAATACCTACTTGATGGGGTTATTAAAGGAAATAGATGAGAAAGACTATGAAGTGCCTCATCTAGTATCTGGTATACAGTGGGTGTTTATAAAATGCTAAGTACCATCCCACACTCCAGAGTCTCACTTCCTTAATTTCCCATACTCTTTCCTGGGAGCCTAGCCTCTCTTCCAAGGTCTTTATGCAAGTTCTCCTTCTGTGTCAAGAGTCCAGAGGAACACATGATAAACATTTGTTTATCATCTTATCTTCATGAACGAAGAAAAATCTTCCAGAGGATAGCTGGGATACACGCATTATTACACTCCAGTCATAAAACCTATCCAAAGTTCTCCTGTCTGTAAGTTCCATCACAATTTCAGGATTCACCCTGACTCTTTCAATGTAAGTGTAACCTACCAAGCATCCTGTTTTTCACTCTCTTCTTAGCCTCTTGCCAAGGTGGGGGTCCCAGCTTTACATACTTTGTTATACGCCCAGTTCCCAGTGCTGAGCCTGGCACATAGTGAATGCTCAGTAAAATGCTCACTGCATGTAGTGGATTCTCCTAGAACAAGTCTTTTTCCTTCTTTCAAAAAATACTTACCAGCAGCCATGTGCCAGCCATATAAAATACAGTGAGCTATAATGTAATAATAAAGCCATGTAATATGTGACATAAATCATAGCACTGCCATAAAAGGGGAAGTGACAAATTCTTTTTATATTATCCTATGCATACTTTGTAGCACTAATCACACTTATAAAATATTTAATTCTATTTGTTTTTAAAATTATATAAGTAATTCATATGCTATTACAGAGAAATATAAAGATAAAATTATAATTTCCTTTCCCTTTTTCCAATCCCACCTCCTTAAGATAAGCAAAGTTAATAATCTGGAGTGTATCTCAGTGAAACCTTAGGATTAAAAAAGATATACACACACATACAGACACACAAATATAGGTGTTTTCACCCCTTTCTCCCTTTTAAAAAAAATAAATGGGATATTACATACGACCACCATGGCTTGCTTTTTTCCTATGGAATAAAAATCATGAAATTTAATATAAGTAAATCTAATTATTTTAACTGGGATATGTTCCATAATAAATACGCCTGCTGAAAGGATACTAGGTTTTCTGCAGCTTTTGCCATCAAAACACAATGCTACAATAAATACTCTTATACACAAGCTCTTACACGCTGTTACTTTATCTCTGGAAAAATATCTTCACAAAAGCAGGACTGCTGGGGGATAGTGTGTACATTTCAAGTTTTAGTTAATATTGCCACATTCTTTCCAGAGAAGCTGGTTAAAGCAATTCACATTCCCAACAGCAATGCACATATAAAAGGGGCTAATTCTCTTCAACCATATCAGCACATAGATGTTACTGTTCTTTTTTAATTCTGGCCACATGTGTATAAAAAACTGCCTATAGTAAGCCTATCTTTTTGCATTTTATTGTCCATTAACATTTCCTTTTCTGCCTGTTTACATATTTAGCCCTGTTTTCCAATGCTAGTATTTTTCCTATCAGTTTGTAAGAATGTCTTGTACAAGGGATAGAAACTTTTATAATATGTGTTGCAAATATTTCTTCCACTTGTCTTGTAACTTGTTAGTGGTGTCCTTTGCCATGGAGAAATTTAAAAATGTCATGTAGTCATATATATCAATCTGTATGCAAAAGACTTTTTTGGGTTTCCGGCCTTATGTTCCTAAGCCTTCTAATATTTAGTATTTTTAAAAACCCTTAACCTTTAACCCAAAACAATGTATTTGTTTATATAGCACAGGAAAGGGTTCGTTAAAGTAAGTTATTAAACTTTTTAAAGTTTTATTCACTTCAATATTTAAATACGTAATACATCTGCAATGAAATTATCTATATGGCATGAGGAGGAGTTCTAACTTTTTTTTCTTTCTTCTGTATGAAAACATACTGCTATTTCAGATGGCCTATAGAAGGCAACTATTTAATATTTGATAAAAAAAGAACACACAGACAACACTTGGATGGAGTGGGTTAGGTTTCATAAGAGAAGATAATTGAGCAGAAACTTGAAAAATGAATAGTTGTTTAACAAGTAGACTTGGGGTGTGGACATTCAAGGCAAGAGGTAGCAGCATACCATACAGGCACCATAAAGTACTCAGCAATAAGGAAGTCAGTGTTTGCTTAGGTGGGCTGAGATACACAGAAACTAATATGGAGCCTTTGGTTGCTCCAGAGCTTACCACCTTCAATCTAGAGCTAGGTAGATTAAGATTTTGTTTTGTTTTGAGACAGGGTCTTGCTCTGTTGCCCAGGCTGTAATGCCGCGGCATGGTCATAGCTTGCTGTAGCCTCGATCTCCTGGCTCAAGTGATATTCCCACTTCAGTCTCTCCCTAGTAGCTGGGACTATAGGAATGCACTACCATGCTTGGCTTTTTTTTTTTTTTTTAAGAGATGGGGCCCTACTATGCTGCCCAGGCTAGTCTCAAAATCCAGCCCTCAGGCAATTCTCTCGCCTCAGCCTCCCAAAGTGCTGTGATTAACGTTTTAAAAGCACTGCCCTCTGTTCCTGTTCATCATCAGATAGTGGCTCAGATCCTTTTTGCCACCAATCCAAAAACTTAGTGCCACCTGTCCTGTGACCCGGAAAATAATTTGTTTTAACTTTACAGACACCATATTATTGGGGAATGAGGGCTGGATTTGGGGTCTAAACTCTTTATTTTCTTATCTATAACACTAATTTGGAAACAACTGCTGATTATGAGCAAATTATTTCACTTCCCTGAGCCTCAGTTTCCTTACATTTTCCCACCACTAACTGTATTAGTCTATTGTTAAGATTAAAGACAAAATCCTTGGAGGCAGAAAGCCCTGTGGACATTTTTTAAAACTGCTTTCCTCCATGCCACTTTGGATGATTCATTTCTATAATTTCTCAAGGTCATTTTGACTTTGGAGTTGTTCTTTCAAAGTCCTAACCAAGCCTCAGCAAGAGTCTGGCCCCAGCCTCTGGGGTGTTATCTGGAAACTCAGCATGCATATTCTCATTTCTGCAGCACTGACAAATCCATTAAATAACAGAGCCCCAAGAAAAGATACTCAAAGAGTTCCACAGGGCTATTACTCAGCATTTAAACAGCACCTGAACATCACTCTCCTATAGCAGAAGCAGAAATGTTCTCTCTTCTGGCTTCATCATACAGCCTTCCTACCTGCCAGAAGAAATACACAATACACTTTGGTTTACTGATGGCTCTGTAGGTAATTGCAATGCTTTGAGATGTGGTCCTAAAATAGGTAGCAAAGACACAACCAATTCCTCCCCTACTTCAGCCTCCACAGTATGACTACCCAATGGAGTCAACCCTTCTAAATAAATAGGTGTTTAAAAATAGGACCCCATATTTAACTACTAATTCACAAACTTTCATCAAGCACCTACAATGGGATACAAAGGTTATTTAGTGTTTAGAATTATGGCCTTGGGTACCACCTTTAAGTCCTTCTGAGCTTTAGCTTCTTGGCTTATAAATTATATGTAAAATCGAGATAATAAAACCTCATTGGGTTCTTGTTCTGCTAATGAGGTGGTAGCCTACGATAGGACTCAGCCTGAGCAGCTACCCTCTGAACACTATTTTTTTGTGGTTTTTTTTTGAGACAGGATCTCACTCTGTTGCGCAGGTTGGAGCACACTGGCGCAATTACAGCTCACTGCACACTTGACCTCACTGGTTCTGGCAATTCTCCCACCTCAGACTCCTGAGTAGCTGGAACCACAGGTGCATGCCACCATGCCCAGCTAATTTTTTTTTTGTATTTTTTGCAGAGATGGGGTTTTGCCATGTTGCCCAGGCTGGTCTCGAATTCCTGGGCTCAAGTGATTCGCCTCCCTTGGCCTCCCAAAGTGCTGGAACTACAGGCATGAGCCACACTGCACCTGGACTCTCCAAACTATTTTTAATCATCAATCCGTGTCAGTAAAACATTTCAAAGCATTTCCAATCAATGCTTATATGTTTATTTAATCAATTATAAATTATTATATATATTATACTATATATAACACAGTATATAGTATAGATAACATATTGTTTATATAAATCAATGGTTCTGATCTCAATGTCAGGGGTTCCAAAAACCCCTGAAATTGACTGAAATATTCTGCTTTGTAAGATTTTTTGTTTTAAGTTCAGATAACGTGTGTCGTCGTTCTGAGGCTTACTAAGGGGTCTATGACCCCAAAATGTTCAGAATTAGAAGAAATGTTAGCTGTATCTGAAGACAAAGCTTCTTGCCCTTTCTGGGTGCACAGTTGGCGAGTCTGAGGGAAGGGCAACAGCACATGTGAGATCAAAAGGGGCAGGTCTCTTTGGATCAGTTGCTAGGGAAATGCAGTATTGTTAGACACTATCAACTCCCCTTTGGGTATAAACAGTGCATTTTAGAGGCTACAAAAGTATCTTCATCTCATTTCATAAACAGACAAGAAAAAAAATCATCTCTGTTTCACTGGTAGAAAAACCAAGGTCCTGAGAAACGAAGGACTTGTTAAGAAATACTCAGTTACTTCCTGTCAGAGTAGAGATCACATCCCAGCTCTCTACCTAGGAGCATCCTAGCTCCTCACTGTACAGGTGGCATAGAACACCCCCCAAAACATGACCTCAACTAGGCTTCTCCACTTCAGAACTCTGGGAAAAAGCATCACCCTCAAATGTGGACAAGATAATGAGGGCCACAGAGAACACAGATGTGCTGGGTGCTCCAAAAGTATGTGTGTTTGTGATTCAGAATATACACAATGGGCCAGGAGCAGTGGCTTACGCTGGTAATCAGAGCTTTGGGAAGCGAAGGTGGGTGAATAGCTTGAGCCCAGGCGGTCAAGACCAGCCTGGGAAACACGGCAAAACCACGTCCCTACAAAAACCACAAAAATTAGCCAGGCATGGTAGCAAGTGCCTGTGGTCCTAGCTACTCAGAAGGCTGAGGTGGGAGGACCACCTGAGTCCAGGATGGCGAGGCTGAAGTGAGCCAAGATCATGCCATCGCACTCCAGCCTGGGCAACAGAGTGAGACCCTGTCTTAAAAAAAAAAAAAAAGAAAAAGAATCTAAATAATGAAAAAAAACAAAAAAACCTTTAACTTGAAAAATATATAAACAATGGGAAAAAACCTTTAAAAAGACCAGTGGCTATTATTTTTTTTTCTTTTAGCTCATCTGAATTTTCTATAGTAAACACATTAATATCACTGCACTTTCACAATGGGGAAAGAAACCAGAAAACACCAGTGAGAAAAATCAGCACGGGGTGTTCCAGTCCCCCCAGCACCCATACAGCTCTCCACAATGAAACAAGTACATGTCTGATCAATTACCCAAGACATGGAAGATCTGAGAATATCCTTCTGTTGTCTGTGAATGCAACAGACAAACTAGCCGAGCAAAGTCATCCTCTATCAACCTCTAAATGTTCTGTCTTATGGCACTGATTATCAATGAAAACCAGTTCAGAATCAGCAACAATCTGCTTGACTTGCATACCCAAATGAGGCATCACAGAATCAGTAAATAGTTATTCTTTCTTGCTAAACGCTTAATTGGAGAAACCTCTCCAGTCATAAAAATACACTTAAAAATTCACATTGACATGTGAACTAGAAATAAAACTAAACACACACATATGACTGCTTGTTAGAGGTTGTCATGGCATGGTTGTTTTCAGAGGGCAGATTCTTTGCTACAGTTTAAGTGCAACAGCTTTATACAGGAAAATACAATCCTACTTTGATGAGACATAAACCATTTAAGAATGAGGAAAATGCATTTTGAAATAGGAGGCAGCAAGATATAGGTAAAGCCATAGAATCTTTTGACTGTAGTTGTCAAGAAGGGTCTGTTTAAGGCTCAAAGGTGGTCCTTAACAGTCATTAATCTGAATCTTTATGTAAACAGTGAAAATAACTAATTGAAGACTGAAAAGCACAATGGACTCTACCTGGCACAGAGTAGGTATTCAACAAATGGCAGCTATATTTATTTTTACCAAAATAAATCATTAAAGCAGAGAAATACATTTTTATATTCACCTTTAACAGAGCAAATTTGTTGTTCATCCTAAGGCTTTAAAAAACCCCAAAATAGGCTGGGCGTGCTGGCTCACACCTGTAAATCCCAACGCTTTAGTAGGCAGAGGTGGGTGGATGGCTTGGGCCCAGGAGTTCAAGACTAGCCTGGGCAACATGGTGAAGCCCCATCTCTACCAAACACCACCTCCCTCCCACACACAAAACAAAAATTAGCTGGGCATGGTGGCATGCAACTGTGGTCCCAGCTGCTACTCGGGAGGCTGAGGAGGGAGGATCACCTGAGCCTGGGAGGTCAAGGATGCCGTGAGTGAGACTGCGTTACTGCTCTCCAGCCTGGGCAACACAGTGAGATCCTGTCTCCAAAACAAACAAACAAACAAACAAACAAACAAACAAACAAACACCAACCCCAAACTAGCGGTCGTGGGATGAGTACTCACAAATTTATTTTAAACTACTTAATTTATCATGATGTACATTCCCCAAAGATAGAAGAAGCACACATCATTAAAAAATTAACTCATTTTAAGTAAAATGAGAGCACTCATTCTACAACCAGCAAAACGGAGGAAGTGCATACACAGGCTCATACACACAGTGAATAGCTTCTAATTTCAAGTAAAAGAATATGTGAGCCAATAACTAGGATCCAAAAATTGAAACTTCCTAAGAAGCCTCGGGTTTTAATATTATTCTGGAAAGAGACACTGATTTTTAAACAGCATTCTTTTGAATCCCTCTAGTTTATCCCCACATAATTTAAGGAGTAATGCTCTCCTGGGTAAGTATATTCCCTTTGGGGGAAAAAAACCCCTTCCTTGACCCTTCATTATTAAAATAATGAAGGAACTCATTATTTTAATTTGTTTTCACCTCCCAAGGAGGTGGACCCACAAGAATGCAAAATGCCTTGAAGGCCCAAAGAAATCTGTTTAGATTTTGCTCAATCCCAGTATTTCTATCTAAAGCCTTTTGAGAGCTTAAGAATTGTTATTATTTTTACTAATCAATTTACTGTAATTCAAAAAGATTTTTTAAAAAATCTGGCTATCCACAAACTTGAAAAACAGCAAAAAAAGGTAAAATTTCCTAGAGACAAGCTGCTTTTGTACACCTTGTGACATTTTATTCTAATCTATTATGTCTCTTACATATGCTTGTTAAGAAAACTTTTCTCCCCACTGAAAACCGCAGGATTAAAATAAGCATTACATGACACCATGGTAAGACACCGAACCTAATTACCAACTCTAGTTACAACTGAATTCACACTATACCTTCAAGTTTGAGGAAATACTTAACTAAAAAATAGCTCAAATGAAGTTGTTTGGTTACAAAAACATTTGCTTCCTATCCACTGATAAATTTAGTACTTTACCTTTAAAATCCTAGATTTCCTTGTGCACTATGAGCTTTTTCTTAAAATAGATAATTTAACAAAATGAAAAAGTGGAGAGAACACCACACATTTTTTGCCTTAAAAAACACAAACCCTGTGTTATAAAACTATCTACTACTTAATTCTAACTGAAAAGGAATGGGAGACAAAAATGTAAGGAAATGAGAAAATCAATGGCTGTCTTCCTTGTAATGAAAAAGCTGCAAAACTGTTTATAACAATTTAGCTGTGTTTTGAAAATATGACTTCCACATCATATGCTGGTAATAAAATTATATACCACTGTCATTTTTTTCCTGCCCAGAAATATTAAAGGATTTACAAGCCTCAACTTTCAGACCAACAATGTTATAGATTCTAAGGGGCACCATGTGTTACCAATAAGCTAACATTTATTCTGAATATATCCTGGCATAAATTCTAAGGAACCAGCCATATAATAATATGTTCATTTAATTTGAGCAAAGAAAAAAAAAGCCAACACTTTAACACAGAAAAAGACCTAGTAGCAGGAATATCCTGAGTTCCTAGTCCCAGAAAGAAGTGTATACCTGTACCTGTGTTGTGTGAGAATGTATCTGCTCAAAAAGATTAACATTTTCAACCTAATTCATTTGGTAGAATAGCCAACTCAGTATACCCACGCTTATTATGAACCACATGCTTCCATTTCTAAAAGTGCAGTATGTCTCACTGTGTTTTTTAAACAATACTGAGAAGCAAGCAGTAAGCTCTTTTCTCAAGCCACACCTGACTTACGTGCATTCACATGCCCATGCTTCCAAGGGAAAGCCAGCCCCACTCCTACTGTACTGACCCAGGGTCTCTCACAAAGATCAAGATCAAGATGTCTGCCAGGGCTGCAGTCACCTGAAAGTTTGACTGGGGTTAGATTTGCTTCTACGTCTCACTTGCATGGCTAGTAAGTGAGTGGTAGTTCTCCATAGGACTGCTTGAGTATCCTCAATATGGTAGCTGGCTTCCTCCAAAGAAAATGATCAGAAAAAGAACAGAAGGACGAGGTTGAAGCTATCTTGTCTATGGACTGGCCTTGGAAATCACATGGCATCACCTCTACTACATTCTATTCATTAGAAGGGAGTTAGTAACTCTGGTGTACATTCAAGGGGAAAGGGGATTAGGCTCTATCTTTCTAAAGAAAATTGCCCAAGAATTACAATAAATTAAAACCTCCACAGTGCCCAAGAAACTACTAGTCATTTTAATCATATATTAGCAAAAGGGCGAAGGAGGGAGAAAATGGGAAAGGGAGAGGGACCACTAAGGCAGACTTCCTTAACGACAATGTGTTTCACAGATTAATAATGTTAAAACTTCAAAACTTAGAGAACAACACAGGAAAACTGAATGGCTTGGAGAATTTTCCATTGGTCTAAGTAGTTCACAGAATTGAGTTTTGTGTTGTTTTTTAAAATGTCCTCATACACAACAAGGAAAAGTGAGACACAAATTCCTAGAACAATCTTGAAACCAAAGGGCTTGCATGGAGACAATTTGTTTAAAAAAAAAAAACCAAAAAACCCTCATTTTTATAATGTTTACTAGTACTGATAAAAGTTTATGTGTAAAAATAATACATTTTAAGAGTAAGAAGCTTCACAATGTTTAGCCATTTTTCAAATCACTTTGGGAAGCTGAGTGATTGGTAATCTCCAACCAGAAATATAGAAATCCTTTTTAAATGTTTAAAAAATATCACATGGGTTTTGTATCACTTAAGCATTGTGAGAAAACAAGAAAATTATGAAAATGCATTGGGAAACAGATAGCAGGGTTCAGCTTCTTGTGGTTTCTCTGGATGAGGCCAAAAGCCCTTGGAGGGGAACAGCTTGGATTCCACTGAGCATGTATCATGGAAAGCTATGCAACACCACTGTTTTACTCATTTAGTCATTTTTAAAGAATTAAATGTCATAGTGCTGCCCACAAACCCAGCTATACTATACTTGTTCGTGACTGCAGAAACCCTATCAGGCCTCAATAGTCTGTGAGGAACCCAGAGGGATCTGAGTTTGTCCCTATATTTCTGAGACATGACCATGGAAACTACTATTGGTGGTCTCATCTGGGAAACACCAAAGTCATCCCACAGGTTACAATGCTGGGATTTTCCATTTGATGGATCCATTCATGAATATTCATGATTAGTGAATATTAATAGCTGGTCTCAGAGAGCTTCCCAGGTAGTAACACATCCAGCCAACATGTAGCGATTCACTCAACCCTTGTTGAGCCCCTACCATGTGTTAGGTAGAAGACAAATACAGAGTACCTGTAAAGAGCAAAGCTGGGGTCAGCTGGGCTCTCTTTCCATTATTTGCTAGGTATGGTACCCTGAACAAGTTATTCTGTCTCTCTAAGCTTCAGTTTCATCATCTATAAAATGAGAACAATGGTACTTACCTTATTGGCTTGTTTGGCTTAGCCTAGTACAGTATAAATACAAAATGAATATCATTTCCTCCAAGTGGTACTCCCTTAGCACCTTCCTCACGCTACCTCAGATCCTTCTTCCTATTTCACCCTTTGCACTTTGTAAGCTTTCTTTTATAGCGCTTCCTAGTTTCTAGTTATAAATACTTCCCAGTTTGATGATCTGATTAACATTTATCTCTCCCCTACTGGATTGTAAAATTCATGAAGGCAGAGACTTTGATGTGCCAAACACCTAACACCCAGAACAGGAGAATATAATAGGTGCTCAATAAATATCTTTTCAAACAAACAAATTACATTGACAAATGCATAAACTACAAAAACGAAAAACATAGTACTAGTCTTATCAAAAAACTCATAGGCCAGTGCAACAGTTCTTAATTTTGGCTGCAAGTTAGAATCAGCTGGGGAATAATATTTTTTTAATCTCAATAGCTAGGCTCTACTCTGGAACAATTCGAGGGTAAGGGTCTGAGAGATTCCTGTTTTTGTTTTTAAGAGTTCTTCAGGTGATCCTAATCAACAAAGGTAAGAATCATTATCTACTCCAAGAGAGATGGTTAGTAATTGCAATACAATGGGATACATGTTCTCCTACAGTATCAGTCTAACAGGACTTCCTGTGATGATGGAGAAGTTTCTATTTCTGCACTATCCAATATGGCACCCACTAGTCATATACGGCTGTTAAGTTCTTGAAATGTGGCTAAAACTGAGGAACTGAATTTTAAATTTTATTTTAATTCATTTAAAATTTAAAACCATATCTCACCAGAGGCTACTCTAATAGTACAAACCTAGGAGGAGGGCACACAGAACCCCTAATCCAGACTGGAGAGATTCAATGTTCAATAAGCTGTACCACCCCCATCCACAAAGAGGGTGCAGTCTACTGGAGGAGGCTGCACCCAAACTCTGCATACAGCCCTTGAACTCTCACCTCTTTACATCCATACAGGAACAATCTCTCCCTTCTGTCATACCCATGGCAGCTGTGATCAAGGAAATCCTTTAAAGAACAGGAAGAAGCATATCCCCCAGTAGAGGAGCCTTTGTATGAGCTGCTGAGTGATGTGGTCATTGTGGCCAAGGGATGAAATGCATCTTGAGGGGGAACATTTGGAAAAGAGTCACATGGAGGGAGCCCTCAGCACGGTAAATACAGCAGCACCTCGTGGCTGTAAAGCAAGGGTCTCCCTTTTGCAGCTCACAAGCATAGAGCCTCAGGTACAAACCATCATCACATTACAGAGAACTGACCATTCTTCCTGAGACAAACAATGGTTCTCATTAAGCTCTTTATAAAATCAGGCTGGTCAAATGTTGTATGTGGAATCACTGAATTAAAATAGAGAAGGCACTCAAGAATTCATCTAGCTGTCCTTTTCCCCCATCTACCATTTGTTAGGCACCTACTATGTGGCAGGCAGTGTATTAGGGGCCTTAGATGGTCTCTCCTTTTGTCCATACAATCCCCTGCACATTAGATATTATTTTTTAAATTTATGGTAAGGAAATGTAAGACTCCTGGAAGTTAAATAATATACTTGACTTGAACAAGTATAACAAAGCTAGGATTCAAACTCAGACCTAGACTACTTGAGTTTCTCTCTTTTTCAAAGGGGTGTGTAGTAGTCTATTATATGTATACTATGGTTTATTTAATAAATCCCTTTTATTTTCTGCTCTTCCAAATCACAATCAAGGCTTCAGTGAACCTCCTTGTATATAATACTTTAAATATATTTTTATTGGTATATAATATACATACCTACAGAAAAGTACATAAATCCTAAGTTCAGCATCTGATGAATTATCAAAAAGTGAACTTTACCATGTAACCACCACTAACATCAAGAAACAACAATATCAGCACCTTAGAAGCCCACTTTGTGGCATCTCCTAGTTATTTATTTCACTCACCTCCCCAAAGAGCTAGTATCAAACATAAGGGCCTACCACAGTGTGGGAGTTCATTGAAATAAAAGCGAAAGGGCAGGAGTTATAAATTAGGTATATAACTTAGGCCAAGACCTAAAACAACATTTGGTCATAACTACATGACTATTAGTTATCTACCTTAATGAGAAGTTAGTGGATATAAAGAAATTAGGGAGCAAAATGAAGGCACCAGGGTGCAAAATGTGTTAACAATTAATATTACAGAATGTCTCAAGGCCTAGGGGGGTTTAAAAAACAAGAGAATATTAGGTTTCCAGTTTCATTTGGCTAGGGATTCCCAGCTCTGATGAGACGGGAAGGCCATAAAGTACCTGAGGGTTTTGGCTTGTTCAGGTTCCATTCAGCTCAATAATTTCATGATGATAAAATTAAGAGGAACATGCATTTACTGAACTCCCATAACCTGGCAGACCCTTTACAGATATGAGATCATTAAATCCCTTCAACAACTTTTTTTAATACCACTATCCTCACGTTACAGAAGAAAAATGGAGGCTCAAGAAGGAGAAATAACCAGCTCAAGGTCACCTTGCTAATAAGAAGTGGATTAGCAAGGACGAAAGCCCACATCTGTCCAACTTCACGGCCTGCGCTCTTTCTATTATAGTCTGCTGCCTTCCCTTCCAGGTTTTCTGTTAAGTTACAGACCACTGATTTCCTAGAGAAGTAACCTATTGGTAGGTGAGCTGGTACTGCAATAGTAACAAAAGATGTGAGTGAGAAACTCTGAAATCCATTTTATGTTTCCAAGCTTCTCTTCTACAGTGCTGGAGCCTACCATTTTTTGTGGTTACTCATTTTTTTTTTTTTAATTTAGTTTGTTTCCTCTTATTCACTGATGACATACTTTTGCCTCCAAGGTGACAAAGTCACTAGACAGTTAAAACATTTAGTTACACAGGTTATCTGGCACACCTTCCAACAAAAGAAAAGATGATAGTTCACAGGTCTGTTGAGGTCTGAATTTAACTTTGCCCCCTCCTCTCTAACTTTTTCCACAACCATCGCCAATATTGATTTTCAAATGTGTACAGGTACACTGAAGAAGGGAAAAGATTCTGATGTGTTTAACTGAAGCCACTGAGTTACAGGTTGACCAAATTCACACAGAGATTTTATCTATCTCATGTTACTTGTGACAAATTTACTCATAACTCTATTAAGCACTTAAGTGTACAGTAAAATCCACTGTGACTAATGCTTTTCTTCTTTCTGTTTTGGAAACACTAATAGGTTTGGGCTGACAGTCGAGATAAGAGAAAAAAAGAGAAATTTCTTTTACCTACTTACTTTTCCATTTGTGTCAAGTTTCCTATAAACTTAACATCTTTTAAATAACTAACAAAACTCTGTAGACATTATTTATAATTCATGTTACCTCATTTTTAGTAAGTGCTTACCTTGACCAGAATTATATATTGCTTTTACAGACTTCTTCACTTTCTGAAGGGCTGTTCTATCTTGGTCTAGAGCCTAAAAGAGAAAAAAGGGGGAAAAGATATTAGAAGATTTGGTAAATTAAAAAAATAATAAGAAAAATTCATTTGTAATTGCATTTGTTTTCCTGAGTACCAAAGCAACAGCAAACTGACATATTCATTAACAATGAATCATATCAGACTGGAAGTCCCTGGGATCTGAGTAGTTATATTTTCCGGAGAAGTGCAGTCATTCCACAAAGCTCAGTGTGTGAAATGGATAGCATTTTAGTCAGTCAATTATCATGCTAAGCTATGCACAAGAAAGACAGTACAAGACACTGAAGAAATCTTAAGGCTTGGATTCTTTCATGCATTTACAATCTGGTAAGGAGAAAAGGCAAGCATAGACATGAATGGCACAATACCCAGGCAACAGGACACACTTTATCACCTAAATGGTAATTTTAGCCAGAAAAACATTTCAAGGGGTATAATGAGTAGGAATGACCTGAAGAGCTTTTCACAGTGCTTTTAAGTTTTGCGATTTCTTTTAGTGTTAAAAAAAAAAATTAGTTATGACATATGGCAGTTGAATTTTGGCAATCTTTTAATTTAAAAAAACAGGTTGGAAAATGCCATCATGATGCTGGTAATGCTTTTAAATGATTTCTTGGATGATGAATCAACACATTAATCTACCTGTGGTATAAGCAGGGGGGCTTCTAGGAGTCTATTGTTGTTGATTCTTAATCCAGGTACAGGATATACCATTGTGTTTAGTTTGTTAAAATTCAGCAAATTGTGCGTTTAGGCTATGTACTCCTTTCTGTATGTGTATCACACTCCAAAAACAAGTTTAAAATGGGGCATAGTCAATATACTTGGCACACTGGACTAACTTGTTAAAACAATTTTAGGCCCCTTTCTGCTACTTCAAGGGCCTCTGGTCTGCTTGGGAACCCCTAGATGATATGTCAAGATTTGGAAGGCATGAGCAATAACAGTAATAAACTGCATAAATAAAAATTTAAAACATTAAATGTACACTCACATCCATTACATCATCTAAACCTCAGAACTTCAGACCAGAAAACTGAAGCCCACAGAGGCTAAGTACTTCCCTGAAGAAGCCGAAAGGGATAAATGCAATGGTAGCAGGCACCTACAATTCCCCTTATGGAAAATGGTCTTTCCTACCACCTTCCTTCACCTCTTGTTCTCTAGACCCCAGTGTCTGGCCAGGTGAGCACCAGACTCATACTGGACTCAACGTCATTCCTCGGATTTCTGGGCTTGGAAACAAGGACCACAATGCTCAGTCGCTTTCTGGTCACATCAGCTTAAGACTGCCAGTGGTTCTGTTTCTTGATGTGAGGAAAAATCTGGCCAGACAAAATGACATTAACAGAGACACAGTAACAGAGAAAAGAGGTAGAGACACTCCTCTGGCATCTGAGTTTTTGCTTCCAGCTGTTCCCAAGGCATATGTCACTGTTAACCTTCCTACAGTCTGAGTACACGAGACAACAAATTCCTTCTGTCCCAAGCCAGTTGAGCTTGGAATTCTGTCACTTGCAACCACAGGTCCTAAGTAACACTAGAACTAACATTTACTGAGCACTTACTAGACATCAGGTATAAAACTTATTATATTTATAAAACATATCAATTATATAAGATATATACACTTTCAAATATTTTATCTCTTTGCATTGCATCTTTACAGAAACCTGTTAAGGATCATCTTCATTTTTCAGATAAGGAAATGTAGTAGACCTTCAATAAATATTTATAGAAAGGCAAGGTGAGAAAGGTTAAGTAACTTTCCCAAGGTCACAGAGCCAGAAAATGCTAATGTCACATTCTACACTTATATCTACCAAATCCCAAAGTGTATGCTTTCTTTACTGGGATGCTGAGACAAAAAACAGGGTTTCCAGACTGCAAGTCTAACACGATTTCCACCATACCCATCACCTACATTCTAACTCCATATCTTATCACATCCACTGCCTACCTGTACTTCTGTTCAATATCTTCCTTTAAATACTCTTGTATCTTTTTAAAAAAATTTAAATAACTGTATTGTAAAGAGTTACAATAAATGAAAAACCAGGATCACTTACCATTGATAGAAGACACTTTGAAAATTACAATGTACCTCTACCTATACAAAATGCTCCTCCGCTTAGGATCTCAAGTCATCTCACATACCTGTCATGCTGCATGTCATGCTTAAGGGAATGTTTTATGAGACATTTCAGGGAAGAGATAAATTTTGTATTACTGAAAAGATTTAAGATTTGCATTGTAGAGGAAAGAGGGAAGATAACTAATATTTAACATATACTTGGTATAAACCAGAAAGCATGCTAAGAGGTTTACAGAGATTATCTCACTTAATTCTCACAAAAGTCCTGTGAAATAAATATTCTTATTATATCCATTTTATGGATGAGGAAACAGAGGCTTGGCTTAGAAAGGTTAACTTGTCCAGGGTGGCTGAGCTGGAATTTGAACCCAGGTCTTTGACAACACAGAGCCTTATCTTCTAACCACTACCTAATTCTGCATTCTAATGATATCCGCGATAGGCTGAAACTAAAAACAGTCTCATCATATGGGGGAGGTGACGACTATATACCAGTTTTGAGATAAACCTGAGTTTTAAAAATATATAAGACATTTAGATTGCTAAGAGCAGGAGGGAAAGAACATGATGCAAATAAGCATTTACTTAAAAGACTGAATCCAATGGGTTTATTCTTAGATGAACTGTTTTTGTGATGTCATTGTTTTAAAATGCTAAAAATAGTCATTAATTTTTTTCCATACTTATGATTGCCCTTTTTCCCTGATGAAAAACCTTGGGCCTTAGAGAAATTAGTTAGCTTGCCAAGTGTCACATACTAAGTAAGAGAAGAGCCAGCCTATGCTTTTTCAACCATGCCATCTAATCTGTTGTGGAAGGCAAGTCCAAGTTTCCCCTGAATCAACATTTCTTAATTATTTTCAAGAAAGAAACAAAGATCTGCTTCTGGAGGAGAATAACCTATCGGTTATCTTTGGGGGAATAATGACTAAAAAAGGATGGCTGTAGTCTAACAGAAATTACTAAGTGGACTTTACAGTTAACTCCAAATGAGCAAATGAATGTGAAAGATTTCAGCCATAACATTTTTTGAGACCATCTACCTACTTCCTTTTGTGGGGGGGAGCGGGTACAGTCTCAGAATTTCTGTTCAATGTTTACCAACTTGCCTATGAACTGGTAGGGTGTAAAGTTCATCTACTTACTTTTAAAGTTTATTGAAAGCATCCTCATTTGACAGCTACAGTCAGGTAAGTCTAGGTGACACTTCTTTTTTTTTAAGCTTGAGTGTTTGGCCACTGGCAAAAATAAGCTAAATAAAATGCACTTTTAAGAGCCTCATGTTTTAGAGAGACAGGGGATACTGTCCTTCAATCAAACAAGGCTCCCTCTAGAAATAATACAAGTCTAAGTGTGCTACAAAGTTTTATTCCCATAAATGCCAAACAACAACTGCAGTGACATCCTCTGAAATGTCATATATGTAAAATTAAATAAGGGCTAAGAGAAAAATGGTAGATAATATAGGCTATAAGATTATCTTTCCCAAATCATTAGAAGTATGATAAAACGTGTGCGGGCATTTCTAAGTATGTATCCGCAGTTGGACAACTCAAAAGAGTGGGGTGAGGGGGAAAGAATGAATTAACAAATAAATGAATACAGGAGAATGTAAAGTTGTGCCATACGGCATTATTACATTCTCTTTAACATTACATAACTAAGGATCAGGGATGGTAGTCTAGGAGAGCACTTCCAACCTTGATACGAAGACTTTTTACTTTTATTTCACACATAGTCCTAACAAGTTTTGTCATTTGAATCTAGGCCCAGAGAAGATGCAGGCTGCTGCAAATCAGAGAGAGGCTGCTAGGAAGCCATACTGACAGAGGCACTACATGAGAGCTGACAGCCAAAAGGATGTAGAAAAATTATACAAACCAGACCATAAGGACAGAAAAGTCCTTGAGACTTTGAGGACAAGGAGGGTAGCATACCTCTCCAGGCCGAGTGGTATCCCTCAGTCACAGCAGAGTGTAAGAGCAGATGTTCTCAGAGACGCGTATGAATCTGACCATGCCTGCTCAGGACATTTGAACTAGTTGATTGCTCTGCCTAGAACTCTTCCCCAAAGCTCTCTGGATGACTGGCTCTTTCTTCTTACACAAGCCTCGGATTAAGAGTCCTTTCCCCACAAAAGCCTTCTAAGGATACCCTACAGCAGTGTATACCCTCGGCCCACCCAAGGGTTACTCTCAAATGCACGTCATGCCAGTTTTTCCATAGTGTTACCACATCCTGAAATGATCCTGTTCATGATTTGTTTGCTTTTACGGTATTTTTCTCTCTACTAGAAGAATGGAAGTTCTATGAAAGCAGGGGCTTGTATAACCTGTTCATGGCTGAGTTCCTAGTCCTAGTGTCTAGCACACAGTAGATGCTCAAAAATGCTTATGAAATGAAGCGACAAATGACTGAATACATAAACTCATCAGTATAATCATCTCCACAAAACAGAGAAGTAGGCAACATAAGACTTGCTTTGAAAATGGTTGACAAAATAGTTCTAGATTCAGAAAACATGGTCCTCTGTAATTCTTCCCCTAATGGTTTTGAATAAAGTTTAAAGGTATACATATCTAATATGTATAGCCATATATGTAGAAGAGATATGACTATACAGTCATGAGAATAATGTCTTAACAGGACATTGCCTTCAAATAGTTATTCTGTGAACTTTCTTTAAAAATATTTTATTGAAATATATTTATGCTAACTGAGCAATGGCAATACTGTTGCCACTATTCATTAAGACTTTCTATTTTAGAATTACTTTCTAAATCTATGGCACTTTCTATATACTCAAGTGGGAAAATTGCTTTTATTTTGGGTAGATTAGATTTTAGACAATAACCACAACTCTTTGGAGCTAAATTTTATGTTTACAGAGGCAGGAAATAGTACATAACAATAAAATATTAGCATAGAACTTCCTAGAGATATGCCAAGGTAGCAGGGAATTATACCTACCATCTAGGAGTGCTCTGAGCATTCAATACATTAATGTGCCTAGAAGTGGCTAGCACAAAGTCTTGAATGGAGCAGGTGCTCAAAAATGACCAGCTATCATTACTCTCACCTCAGAAGGCAGTTGCCAGTGAAACACTTGGAGCAGTGACAGCAAAACACCTCTGAAACAAATACTCCTATACCAAAGTGATTTCCTTAAAAAAAAAAAAAAAAAAAAAACAACTTTTTTTTTTTTTTAACTCACTTGGAAAAAAAAAGGGCTTCCATTGTATTGCTTTATAGTATATTCAGAGAGGTCATTTAAAAAATGCTTTTTAATGGATGCATTTGTCCCATAATCGCCACAAGGCAAATGTTCTTATATGTGTTATTCCTTTAATAGGGGAAGCAAGGGAATGCTACTTTGGCCTAATTTTGGTTTAGACTCTGATTACTTCAGCCTTGAGCTTGTTGGGCAATCATGCTACCTTGATGGGAGGAGTGAGGATTGAAGAGCAATGTGTTTAGGGATGCCTAATTAACACTTGCATAAGAGGATGAAAAAGTGACATAAGTTCTCATGCAGCCTCACAGCCAAATCAGTAAATTATTTACCCATTGTAAATCTCCATATGCTAGAACATATACGTGAATAATCATAATGTGAAGGCATAAGCTCTTTCTATGCATTCATTCACACTGTCCAATGTGATCATGAGTAGAGTTGTGGATAAAGGTGCCAGAAGAAAGAATTGACAATGAAGAATTGTCACTGTCTCCTCCTCAAAAAGGGGAAAGATATAGGCAAACCACGCAAATGTGTGCTGTTGACCTTCCATACCTGTGGGTTCCACAGGCCAACTGTGGGACTTGCATGTGCATAGATTTTGGTATCTGTGGGGATCCTGGAACCAATTTCTCTGAGATTTTTTCTGATGATCATCAAACTTGGGTTTTTACATCATTTAGGCACTTATTCATCCACTCAGTGTGCTAGACGCTTCAACAGGCACCAGCCAAAGTGTGAAAACCAAATTGTGCATCTACCTCTCCTTAACCAGCTGCAGGCCTCCTCACTTCTTGCCACAGCAAAGCAGCAGCAGCAAAACCCTTTGCTAGAAGAAATGGGAAGCCTGGTAAGGCTTCTGATAAGATTGATAAAGTAAGTTGTTCATAAAACATTCATTATTGCTAACCTGGGGCTTGCTTTATCCATACTTCTCACATCATTCCACTCTACCTTATTTTTTAGATGTTTAAGTACCTGCGTCTCTCCCTGTACTCCATCAACTAAAAACTCCGTAAGAATAATACCAGGATAATATTCATGTTTATTTCTTCACATAGAAGATGCTTTGTAAGGATTCACTGACATGAATGAAAGGAATGAACACATACACACTCTCTCTCTCTTTGGAGGAAGAAAGGAAAGATGAAAGAATTCACTGTTCTTCCAATAAAACTAAGTCCTCGCTACTGCCTGCAAGGCCCTACGTGACCCAGCCTTCTGCCCTCTCCCCTCTGTTCCCACACCCTCCACTACTCATTATGTTCCAGCCACACCTACAGTCTTTCTAACCCCAATGAGCTAGTCCTGCCTTAAAGCTTTTAGAATTGCTGACCTCTCTCCTGAAATCTTTTTCTTAAAACTCTCTTCGCCTAAATCTAAACGGGCCTAGCTTGTACCTTCTCTCTTTTTTTCTGCCATTCAGGTCAAATGCCATCTCACAAGGACATTCTGATGGTCCAACTCCCAGTCACTGTCCATTCATTACCCTCTCTTACTTCCTAGGAAGAACTAACACTCTCTGAAATGATCTTATTGTTATGCTCCTGCGTTTATGATCTGTCCCAATAGAATGTAATCTCTCAAAGAAGGTGGTGCTATCCTGTTCATGGCAATGTCACCAGCACTGAAAACAATAGGAGATGTGCAGTAAATATCTATTATTTTTTTTACTTTCCCTTCTTTTCACAGGTGATGACCTATTAAATTCATTTTAAAGACTTGTGTTAGTCACTGATCTGGCTGGAGGGCCGAATCAAGGGTGTATAGATCACCCTGTTGTAATCTTCAGATCCAGACTAAAAGGCCCCAACAGGTAGCATGGTATCAGACCTATTAGAGCACTCAGTGGAAGCTGACTGAATGAACAAGCAAACAAATGGAAGGTGAAAGAATGAATATCTCTCTTATGTCTGTGTCTGACATTTGAGGACCTGTTGGTGGTTTCAGTTAAACTGGCCTGAGTACTATGTGAATATGAACTCCTTGTTGCCTTGCCCTCTCCTATACTAGTGAACAGATGGTCCCGGAATCTCCTGATTACTTGAAATTAAAACAAGAATGCCCATTCCTGGAGACTGTGCAAGAATCCAAAATGACCACGTGGGTACAATAAACCCTTCCAAAGCAGCTCTATCTCCTCATCTGAAAGGGTAAGTGGAGTGGCCACAAATGAAATTAAAACCTAACTAGTCTGAAAATATGTCTCATCATTTCCCCTCACTAGAATTATCTTTCTATGCACTCATCCACCCAGCAAACATTTACTAAGCAATGGCTAGGGGTTAGGCTATAAAGATACAGAAGCGAGTGAAACATAGCCTGTCTGTATGGCACACCTTTGGAAGAGCAAAGTTAAGTTTCACGGGGTTCCAGGGATAACAAAAAGAAGGTTGGAAAGTAATTAAGCAGAGAAGAAGGGAGCTAACTAAGAGTGTCCCCTGTGGGCCAGGTGCTGTCCTAGGTCATCTCCATCTTTAACCCCTGCAATCCTGGAGGAGAAGACGCCCATGGCATTCTATCTGACACTCCTCTTGGAACAAGCCAGGAAGGAATGGGAGTAAGGGTGCAGACAGGAAAGACAAGTTGAGGCAGAGAGAAGCAGAACAGAAATAGGAACTCCAATTACAGCAGTTTGAGGAGTTGAGGTGTGGAGTGCTAAGAATCATCCTGTGTAACAACACCCACAGTTAGTGGGGTTCAACCAGGAAGCAGCAGTGCAGAATACTTGCCAACAGAGGAAGAGGGACCTGGCAGCCGCAGCTTATATGAAAGGAAGAGGTAAAGATGTTATCATGTTAGTTTCAAGATTAATATGAGTTGATTGAGGCTGCCATGAAGGGGAAATGACCAACCTAAAATAAAATTTGATTTGCATAACACAGCCCCAAAATTGAAAGTTGGTATGTTATCTGCAAATAAAGGTTTTAAGATGTTTATCTGTGCTGTTTTAGACTATAAAAAGTGTCCTTAAGATTCTCCTGTGCTTATAAAGATTTCTGTCAGAAACATTTAACGTCTTCTACGGTGCCTACAGCTTAATGGCTGCATGGTTCTCAGCTGGAATTTGACCAAAGAACAGGAAAGATCTGTAAATCCTAAACTTTGAAAGGTTTGGGCCCCACTTGACAAGTTACTTCACAGTTCAGATCCTTGGCAAAAATTTAACATACCACCTTCGACCAATATCTCCTAAACAATTCTAAGGATTTAGTCCATCCAAGAAAACACCACCAAGCTATCAACTTCCCAAGCCAAAGAAAAGGTACTGCATAAAACTAGCTCGCAAAAGTCTGCTCTCCTACGTAGGCATAAATTATCTGTTAGGTGTGTATACGTTTTGAGGGCAGGGCCTATGTTAGGCCCAGAGTAGGGCTCAATAAATATCTGTCAAATAAATCTGCCTCTATATTAAAAGCATCAAGAATTAAAGCTGTACAGAAGAAAACTGGAACTCAATAATGCTGCTATTTCTCATGTACTATTTGTTTTAATGCCTTAGTGTTTATTACAATCACTTAAAGGAAGCACCATCTTAACTAAGGTAAATATTGCAACACATATTTTTTGTTTGGGTAGCACACGTAAAAATATTCACTATCTAATCGCCCCGGGACTCTTGGAGGCTACAGTGGTTCCCAAGCCTCATCTTGCCTTTCAAAAGTCAGTCACATCACGTATCAATAATGAAATCATTTTATAATCATTTATGAGGGCTTACGACCTGGATGAAGCACACTCCTCTCAATTAATCACTGCGAGTTGTAAAGGAAGTCTTACAAAGTCCTACATGTAACACGGGCAAAAGGAAGCCATTTGCGGTGAAGGGCCTGCCTACCTCCCTCCCCTTCGCCCCCCCATGGGAAAAGCAGACTCCGAGAGAGACTAGATGAGTGAAGGGAGATGAGTGAAGTATGGGCCTCCTATCATATCAACAACCTTTTCATTAAACCACTCTGCCTTTTGTACCAATGGCAGAATTCAGCAATGTGTACAGAGAAAGGAAAACAGATCCCCTTCAAAACCCTTGATATGGTTTGGCTCTGTGTCCCCACTCAAATCTCATGTTGAACTGTAATCCCCACATGTCAGGGAAGGGGCCTGGTGGGAGGTGACTGGATCATGGGGGTGGTTTCCCCCATTCTGTTATCATAATAGTGAGTGAGTTCTCACAAGATCTGATGGTTAAAAAGTACGGTGCTTCCACTCTCTCTCTCTCCAGCGGCCTTGTGAAGAAGGTGCTTGCTTCGTCTTTGCCTTCTGCCATGACAGTAAGTTTCCTGAGGCTTCCCCAGCCACGCGGAACTGTGAGTCAATTAAACGTCTTTTCTTTATAAATTACCCAATATCAGGTAGTTCTTTATACCAGTGTGAAAACAAACTAATACAACCCTTAAAATCAAACCTGTCATCCTAAACAACTACAGCCATTCCATACATTCTGTAAAGAGAACTCAACCCACCTCTGAGGGCTAAGCTAAGTTTTGCTTTTCTCTGGGATGCTCATTCTCTGCACCTAATCAGTAGAATCCTTGATGGTCCCACACCATCTGGCACTAAGTTACTATGAGTACCCACAGTTCTAAGTGACCATTAATGTTCCAGAAATCAACTACCATTTGTTAAGAGGTCCAACCTTTGCCTCTTGGAAGAAACATAGCCTATCACGCGGCAAGCTACCATCTTGAGAGGTGTAAAGCCACGGCTACAAACACAAGCTTTGAGGTCATAGAGACCTGTGTCACTGCTTGGCTACCACACACTGACTGTGTGACCCTGGTCAAGTTAGTCACTCTCTCTGATACTAAAGGTACTGTTAACACCTTTCTCATATAATACCTGGCACAGACATGTGTTTGCTTCTTTTCCTCCTTTCCCCAATGGTCCTCAGAGTCTGATTTTGGTTCATTCTTGTCTCTTTTCTCCCCAGTATTGATGATGATAAAATGACAATGTGACATTGCCATTAATCTTATATCATCTTATATAATCAACACAGTAACTTATAAGAAGGTTTCTATTACCTATGTTTGACAGATAAGAAAATTGAACATCAGAATGGCCCTAAGATATGCAGCTAATAAGAGAGCCAGGATTCCAAAGCAGGTCTTCCTGATCTCAAGGTCTATATTCATAACCATGTTGCTCTCCAACCCTTCAACCTGACACAATGGGGTTCAAAAGATGGAGGACCCTTAAAAAAAAACAACAACAAGGATTCAGTCATCAGGCCACTAGACAATCAGTTTCAAAGACCTTTTTCTTCCCATTCCAGGAGGCTCTATGTAAAACAGCTAAAGAGTAGTTGAGATAAAAAGCAAAGTGGGAAGGAGTCAACTTGCAGGTCACTGGGGTTGTGCCACCCAAGCAGGTCAGACGTGAGCTGCACATCAGCCATTTCACATAGGTCTATCTGCTAAATACTTTGCTCAGCATAGTGAGTGTCAGTTAAAACCACAGAGGGGCTTTCCACTTAGCTTCAGGCACACCCTGGGAACCACAGCTTTTGTGGACTTCACAAATTGAAAACTAGTCTTGACAATGAGCATCATTTTCACTAAAACTGATCGCTGGCATGTGTACCTGCATACAGAAAATAGGCTTAATATAAATAACCAACCACAACACCACGTGGAGATGCACAGGCTTGTGAAAGCTTCCAGGTGCCCTTTAAAATACTGGTGACTTACTGAAAAACACCACTGAGAGTGACTGATTGGTAGAAAAATCCTTGAAAAGAATTAGTGGGCCTATCTGTGGCATCAGGAAAGAAAATAGGAGCTTACTTATCAAAGAGGAATAGTTTATCTACCTGGTATTTCTAATCCTAACTCTGGCCCATTGAGAGGTCACTCAAGCATTCAGTCTGTGCTGAGGAATGTGGCGGGTGCCGGGGGGGTTGGAGGGGGGAGTGCGGAATGAACAGGCAGATACGGCTCCTACATCTACAAAGACCTGTACCTCCAGGCATCAAGTCTGTTCTAGGTGTGGGGATACCTGGTGAAGACAAGAATGTTCTCTTCTTCAAGGTGGAGTAGACAGAGAACAACCACGTGCATGCCAACATTCTGAGAAAACAGGCCCTTGTTGTTAAGAAGCATCAGGGAGATCAGATGCCTGAAACAAGTGGCCACAGGAGGGATGAAGAGATACACTGGGACCCATCACACAGGGAGGAAAGGGCCATGGTAAGGAGACTGGATTGTATTCTGGAGGCCGTAGTTTGGCCAAGATGGAGCCTCTAGGGTTTTAGAACAAAGACGTGATTAGCTCTGACCTTGAGAAAAATGACTCTGGCTGTTGTGGTGGAAATGGAAGGTAAAGGGGCAAGACTGGAAAGGGAGGAGACAAGCTGGGTATTACATCACAACACTTATCTGAAGTATTTCTGTTGTGGTTCAATCCACTTCCTCCTCTGGGACCACACCCCAAACTCAAGGCTTCCTCCAAATCTTCTCTTCCTCCTCCATGTCTATTTAGTACCACAGTGATGGCACAAAGATGTTCACCCGGACACCAAAGTCACATTCCTCTTGTTTAACCCTTTTCCCAAGAGGCCACAAAATTCTGCCAATTCAATCTCAGCAGCATTTCTTTTTTGTTGCTTTCTATTTTTTAGAAACAGGGGTCTCACTATGTTAATAGGCTAGATTCGAACCCTTGGGCTCAAGGGATCCTCCTGCCTCAGCTTCCAGAGCAGCTGGGACTACAAGTGTGTGCCTCTATGTCAGGTTATTCTGCAGCATTACTGAAACCCATTCCAAGGGCTCCTGTCTTACTTTAGGACTTAATCATGCCCCAGCCAGGTACTTCCACAGCCTCTAGCAGTTCATCCTCCACCCATCCATCTTCCGCACCATTGCAGAGTGTTTCTAAATATGTCTAGTCATGCCACTCTCTGACTTTAAAACAGAATCAAGTGGAACCCCCAACCATGGCTCATAAAGCCCTTCTCTGCCTCACCTCAATCTACTTTCACAGACTCGCCTTTGCAGCCAACCCACCCTTGTCACTGTGACTGTCCACTTTATATTCCTGGTTCTCCAAGTTCATGATGTCCTAACATGCCAGGCTCCTTTCTGGCCTTTATGACTCTGGAGATGCTAATTCTAGTAGCTAAAATTTTCTCTTTTCTGAACAATACTTCTGCCTCTCACCATTTTCTCCATCATCTTCTTAACAATTTTACAAACTCTTGTTCAACCTTTCAGATTGGGTTTTATCACCCAATAAGAAAGTTTCACTGCCCCCCTTCCCCAATTAAGAAATAATCTCTCTTCATTCACTAGTGCTATGAGAGCACCTGCCAGGTTATAATGACATTTTCCTCACATTTTTATCTTGACAAAGAACAGTTATTAATCTTTTAAGATACCAGACACACATATGTATGTGTTTATTTATATATTACTTCCTCCCAGTTGTAGAGCCATCTTGCTGGCCCTGCACCCCAGGGTGTAGGAGAAGATCTAGATGTGCCCAGTGTACAGAAACTGGAACCTACCATCTAAATTTGACTGCCCCTCAGATGTCTCTGGTTCTCAGCTTCCTGACCTGCAAATGTGCAAGACTACACCAATCTGCAGTCTCTTCTGGCTCTGATTTCTGAAAATCACGTATTTTCAAATCCTAGGAACATTATTCTTCTCTCTTAGCATGCTAGATTTCCTTTTAAATGAAAGAAATTTTAATTTAAAAAAAAGTAACACAAATAGCATCAACATGGAAATATATTTGGGAAAGTATCTGATATTCAAGATTTCCATGCAATTAAAAAGATAGGCCATAGTGTCAGGCTCAGATTCTAATTCCAGCCATTTCGGTGTCCCTATTTTGCATCCTCTGACCTCCAAGAGATATTCTGAAAAGTCTACCTTGAATTTACTACTCAAAGACTTCATCAATCTAAGAAGACATGCATTAATAATGCCTTTTTGGAGATGAAGAAATTAAGTCAGAAAGTAGGGATCCAGGGCCAAAAAACTAGTAAACGGAAAAATCAGGATTTTAACCCTGGAAAGCTTAACTCCAAAGTCTGTGCTTTCTGCCATGTCTGACTGCTTCTCCAACTAAAAAACATGTTTTATTCTACTTTTTGTCACGTCCAAGTATGGCGCATGCTAAGCTTACTATAGTTGCTTCATGTTCCTAGTTTCTGAGAACAGAAGTTTGAAGGGAATACAAGTGGTAAGCCATTGGTGACTTCTCCACTTCAATTATGAGTTTAGACCCAATTGTTTATTCATCAAAACAAACCTCAGAGCTGCCAACCACAGATCTGGTCATTGTGGGTTTTGTTTTGTTTTATTTTTTAATAAGGAGAGAAAGACCTAATTTGGCAGAGGAGACCAAGAAGCCCGGGCTATACATTTGCATAAAGATGATTACTAAAACTGAAGAATTGCTTCTCATAAAAAAAACTGATGGAGTTAAAAAAAAATCCAAATGAATTAAACCAGCAGTTCCTACCCTGTGATTTGTAGAAAACTGTTTCTGAGAGATGCTGGAAAGTATTCTGGAGAAAACAATTAATCTGTTTACCATTTGTAAAATGGTAAATTTGGAAAATACTACATTCTAACGATATCTTTTTCCTGGAGATACTGAATGCACGTCAGGCTATCAAAGACTGGAATGTTTTAAAGAAACATGTTTAACTCTATACTCCAACAATTCCCAACAAAGATAAAGTAAATAATTAAATAACTAATTACAATCAGAATACCTAGTTTTGTTTTTATTTTTGCACACCTGCAGAACAATGTTTTTTGGAACACCAATATAGAACACTAAATTTTTTAAAATGGGCCAGGCGTGATGGCTCACGCCTATAATCTCAGCTCTCTGGGAGGCTGAGGTAGGTGGATCACTTGAGGTCAGGAGTTCAAGACCAGCCTGGCCAACATAGCGAAACCGCATTTCTACTAAAAATACAAAAATTAGCCCGATGTGGTGATGGGCACTTGTAATCCCAGCTAGTCGGGAGGCTGAGGCAGGAGAAGTGCTTGAACCTGGGGGGAGGAGGCTGAAGTGAGATGAGGTAGAGCCACTGCTCTCAAGCCTGGGCGATAGAGTGAGACTCTGTCTTAAAATAAATAAATAAATACATAAATAATAAATTAATTTTAAAAAACTGAACAAAGTTAGGCCTCAAAAAAATATACTATGTACATCAGCTAAAGAGGTCTGACAATTTTCTGATGTCAACAACAGATACTATCAGCAAAAAGATAAATAATTGTAATCAATTTTTATAGAACAAACAAAACCAAGACAAAAGAACTAAGAGGGAAAAATACAACAAAAATCATGCATTAGACATATCGAAGTTGACATCTCTAATACATACTTAGGATGTAGAATTCTTATGTTGCTGCTATAAAGACCCAGAAGAACAGAGGGACAAAAAACATTAACACAAGAAACCGAAAATAGCAAACATATGCAAGTAATTTCAATTGCACTGATAAGTTTAAAATTCCACATGGAACAATAATAAAATGCATTTTTTATCCTTCTAAAGCTGTAAGAAATAGAAAAAAGAAATTTGGTGAATGGAGAGGCTTTGGAGAAATGGCCACAAACCATACAGAAGACAAATTATATTTCAAGTCACAAAACCACCCTTACATTTGACATAGTAAATCCAGTCCTGATAATTCCTTTCAAAACAACTGTTGCCATTTCCTCAATAATAAAGGATGTGTATTATCAAATGTTCTAAATCATCATTAGCAGTGTTTTATAGAAAGTTAGAAGTAACCTAAATCCAACAACAGTAAAATGGTAAACTAAAATAAAATAGAAATAGGAAGGACTCTATGGTTACTAAAAATTATGTATGGAACAAATTAGAATGGACAAAGGTCTATCATTTATTGTCTAATACATATGTGCAGATATCATAAAATATCATAATTTAGAACATCAAGTTACATGTATTATAATAATGTAAATTATCTAGAACTGTAAAGTGCAGAGAGGTACCTACAGATGTTTAACAGCTGTGCTATGTTGTAATTAAGAAAATTTTTTCTTTTAAAATAATTTCCTTATACAATATTAAAAGATTGATTCAGTACTTAAAATATTTTTAATCCTCTTAACAGTGTCTTATAATACATGCAATGCCTGCTTTTTCCTGAGCAATTTCAAAGGACCCAACAATATGTTAACTTTCATAGAAAACAAGGCAGAAATGGTACATACTCTCAGTAATCTCCATGTTGCCTTGTGAACTGTACATTTAAAAAATTAGTAGAATATTGTGTTTCAAGAGCTCCTGTCTGGGGCCCAAAAGAAAACTGTAATCACAGCAATTACCTTGTGAACCTCTAATTTCTGTTGTAGTTTTAAAGTTCGGAGTTAGCACACCCACCCACAAGCACCATGGCTTGTTCATCTTGATGCAATTTCAGTCCCATTCTTGGGAAAATAATAATTATAGGTACAACAAGGTATTTAAAGACCAAAAAAATACTCATGAAAACACCACTTCCATGTTACAACACAGTGAGAGTTCCTTAAAAGAATTAAAACCCAGACTGGAAAGAAGTTTCCTGAGTCACATCTTTTCAGGACAGTAAGAACTTACAGGATCCTACTTCAAAAGACAACAGATTGGAACAGTTTGGAAACCACCAAGCCTTTTAGCTTCCCACCAGTTCTAAGATCCTATAATGTCCTAATAAACCTATTTGTCTGGGTCTTGACCTAAATGATTCAAAATATGCTATGCATGGCTCACAGTCATTCAGGCTTAGTTACACAATTTTTGTCTGAGATGGAGAATCACATAGCTACCAACTAGATGCTGGAATTTAAATAACATGGTTTGGAACACAAAATCTAGAGCCAAACCGCCTGTGGTCAAATCCTAGCTCCACTACTTACATGACCTGGGCCAGAAACTTAACCCGGCTGTGCCTCAGTTTCCTCCCTCTATAAAACAGGGAAATTTATAGTAATTAATCTCATAGAGTTATAAGGATTAAGTGAAGAAATCCATATAAAGTGCCTTAGAATGGTACTTGGAAGAGAGCAAACCCTCAATAAATGTTAGCTAGAATTTGCAGATGCATACGCTTTGATTTTTTTCCCCAAAGTTCCCAACAGATACATAGTTAGCAAGAACAAATTTTATGTGAATGGTGGTGCTACTATAGAAGGAAAAGAAAAGGGAGATGTAGATACAAAGCCTTCCATTGAACAAGCTCTTTAGATTAGTGATCTCCTAGAAGACAGCACACAAGTCGGTCTACTGTGGTGTGGGAAGAAAAATACTGTAACTTCCGTCTGCCATTTTTATTTTGTATAATTATATGGCATTAGAACAGAAAATAGGTATGTATGTACATGTATATAGATGAAGACGAAATGCACGCTCAAAAAGCTTTACAAATGAGATGTACAAAAGTTTGGGCACCACTGCTATTAAGGAAGTTAAGATTTTACTTTTTCTTAAATATTTCTGGTAAAAAATTATGACAATGACGAGCCTGGCCAACATGGTGAAACCCCGTCTCTACTAAAAATATAAAAATTAGCCAGCCGTGGCGGTGGGAGCCTGTAATCCCAGCTACTCAGGAGGCTGAGCCATGAGAATCGCTTGAACCCAGGAGGTGGAGCTTTCGGTGAGCTGAGGTCACACCATTGCACTCCAGTTTGGGCAACAAGAGTGAAACTTCATCTCCAAAAAAAACCTATGACAATAAAACGTCTTGGTCCTATACATACAGAATAATTCAACATGTATTTACTGACTGCCATCCATGCTTATAAGCATTACAGGAAAGGTGGAGTAAAATGTGACAAAAATGCAGCGCAGGAGCTATCTATTGTCTGTACAAAGAGACAGCAACAACACTGCCTGATGTTTAAAGGCCACTGCCAAGGATTCCAGTGGGTTTTTCTTTTTAAATATATTTTAGATGCTTTTATTTAATTAATAAATTCAGGAAAGAGCATTGTAAAAAGTGCATTGTTAAAATTCACGGCACTTAAAACAAGAATGTGACTAGTATAAAACAAGAAGGGAAACTCAAATGGTGAGAAGTAATCATACAGTGGTCTGTTATGGTACTAATTCAAAGTAAGACTTGCATAAATGATAGCTGCGGCATGAACCACAGTATAACTTCACACATTCATTAAAAAGGCAAATTTATAGTTAAAACTTCAAAGAAAAAGTACTGATAAAAAAGTTTTACCCCAAAATTGCAAACAAATACATTAAAAGATTAGAAGATAAAAAGCACCAGACATTAAACAAAATAAAAATAATAAAATTCAACTCAAAAGGTCCCCTTTCAGCAAATAGTCTGTAAATTATGACCCTTATGTAAACAGTGCTAAATCAAGGACTTTTTAGCTAAATCAGTACTTTTATCTAAGGCTTCAATTTGTAAAGAGAAGTTACCAAACATCAAGTAACTCTTAAAATGGTACACAGGTTTTCAAGCTATTGGTTTTTCCTTCCTAACTCTCTGAATGAGTTTTTCTTAAGTAGCAACAACCAATCTAACAACTTTAAACTTAGAACACAGGATGGCATCAAATGATATTACCATTATTCAAAAACAAAATAATACCTTATATCTTGCCATTTTTACCACTGTGCTTCTGATTTCCCCAACTGCCAAAATATTATCCCCATCTTCCCTTTCTGGGAAAATTAAGGCTCTCTAGAGAGACTAAGTGACTTTCCACATAAGTAATAAATGTCTCGAAAGTCATCTCCCAAATCAAAATTCAGTTTTTAAAAAATTATTCTGTTCACAGATCTCCCATAATCTTAAAGATATTTATATTGCTAAAAGCAAATAAAAATATATATATTTCACCCCTAAGTCTGTTTCCTACTTATCACAAGGCACTTAGGACACCTGGTACTGGCAAAAAGAAAAACTCCAAGACAAGTTCCTTTTTGTTTTGAACACAATACCCAGCAAACTAAAGACAAAAAGCTTAAACTTTAGCCAGAACTCTACCACTCTAAAACGCTATTTTCTTTTTTGTTGGCTTCCTAACTTGTTCATGTACATTTTCTCTATGTACCTAATAAATGTTTTATGTGCAACCTGTATTCTGCTTTTTTCACTTAATATTAAACTGCAAATAACCTTTGCATATTTTTTTTCCTGCATGTGCATGGCTACTTCAGCAGTTGCATAGCATTGTATCACTCTGATAGATCATCTGTCTCCTATTCACTCCTGTCAAAAATTAGCTTAATGGTCAGTTTTTCCACTTTCATTAATGGTACTGATTATAAAAGCCTAATTTTCAGGATGAATGTCAAATAACAAAAAGTTGCTTTTATGAAAAATAATTTTAAGTTGTGTGTGTTTAAAAATATGATTATGAATTATCAGCAAACACGAATAGTATTTTTTCAGATACTAATAATTTATGTCCCTAAGTCGCAACACTGACAAAAAGTCTTGCTTAAGTTTTTGACTTCTAAAAAGATGGTCACATACCAGAAATGTCACAAAAATCTAACTAATCCTCTTGCAAATTACATGTGAGTGCAATTTAGGATATGGTTAACTCAAAGTGAAGGTATCTTAAAAGGGTCCAATGGCTAATATGGACCCCTGCTCCCAACACCCACTCCTCCCACACACACAGAACAGCTGGTTCTTAACATGCACCCTTTCAAACAAAGCTCCCTCAGGACGGCCAATTCAGACAGAATATCTTATTAGGAAGAGAGTGAGAGAATGTTCACAGACCCAGGGACCTAACGATTCAATATTAACTTGAGGAAGACAGGGATGAGGTACCAACCTTTGCCCTGAAGCACTAATGAACATTATGTTCCACTAGGTATTGTTTCCGTAAACATAAATCTTCCTGTTCGCAAGAGTTGATGAAGTTTTCTATAAATTAAACCTTTTTCCTTGAAGATGCACACTAACACTTCAGAGATGTTTTCCTCAGGTTTTTTGTTTTAGGAGAATGAGTACTTTTGTAAAGCAAATGGTCAGTCTCCCTTGTCCCTAGCTCATACATTCAGACTTCTGGTATACCAAGCTTACTTGAACGGGGAATACATCTGCAGAGGATCTGGGGGGTGGGGGGCGGTGGGGGAACTTCCATCACCACTCTGAATTCATTCATTTGGCACAATATTCAAGAGTTGAGAAATACAGAGATAATCTTGACCTTGGGGACTGTGATAGGTTACCTCAATCCCACTTATTAGGTGGCTAGATACAAAATATTTTAAAACACGAATGCTTCCCTCTAGTATTTTTGCCTTGGAGATAAAATTTCCAGGGCAAAAATGTATTCACTTAGAAGCTAAGTATGTAGTAAATTTTAGAACATATTTAAAGAAAAATATAGCTTGAAGTCAGGAAGGATAAAGAAAATTCAAAATCTTCTTCCTGAATATACACATTCTTATATATATATATATATATATATATATATATATATATATATATCCTTATATATATATAAGCTTTTATTAAATTACATTTTGTGGATTGAGTTATACTATAAAGGGAGGGGACAAATTTCCTTTGAAAGTTTTATTTAATATACCGCTGGGAGTAAAATTAAAGGGATATCGATGATTTAAGAAGTGTGTTTCCATTTCCAATCCCAACATTTAAAAAATGGAGCTGGAGTGCTAAAGGTGGTAAAGAAGCATCATTTCTTCCCTTTTTTAAAATTTCCCACACTATATCAATGTACCTTCTTATAACCCATAATTTTATAAAAACTAATGTAACTGTTTTCCAAATGTCCACGCTGATAATACAGTAAAGTCACATATTTAGAGGGTATGTCTTTGGAGCCTGTGTGGGCCCAGAGCAGTAACTATAATATACACCCCCAAGTAAATCTTTTATTTCTTTAAAAATACAATCCAGTCATTATGGTACTACTTAATAGAATGTCAAGCAACATTTTACTATCTACACAACCCAGAGATTCACCAAATTACTCTACTTCTCAAAAATGAGCAAGCAGTTCCCCCAATATCCAATGACAAGGTCCACTAAGAACAAACAAGTAGTTCAAAACCAGTCACAATCCAACTACATTTATTTACATAGTTTGGCTAATGTTTCACAAAGCACTACTCTGGAGGATCTGGTATTAGGCACAGTACTTCATAAAGAATATTTCACTTCATAAGCTTCTGTTTTATAGGTCTGGTTAAAAAAAACAGGATTTAGAAATTTTGACATATTTAGAAAATACTTAAATTTGAGTAATATTCATTGAGATCAGTATTTCTCAAAATCTGTGCCCAACTAGCCCAATTAATGCTGTTGCGAAAAAAAGGGATCTACAGTCGGTAAATTTGGGAAATACTCCAAGCTGTATCTCCTTTCGAAAATTCAAAAAGCATTAATATACTAAAATTCATTACATTTCTGTTTTTTAAAAAATGTTTCTTTAACACAATATTTTCTAAACTGATTTGGACTCAAGAGCACCCCCCCCCCATTATTTTTTAGAAGTGCCTACTAATCTCAGAAGTAGTTCTCCATGTAACATGTTAGTTATATGCACTTGAACCACAATATTCTAGCAAATCTGTTAAAGAAGAGATTGCAAATGTGGGGCCCCAAATCCAAATTCAACCTGCCATGGGTGTTTTACATGGCCTGTATAATATCTTTTGTAAATTTGTGTATTAGTGTACAAACATTTCAAAACTTGGGATATTTAAAATAAAAATTTAAAAGATCAGCTTTTCCTATAGAAGGCCCTGGTTGATCTGAACTCACCTTTTTCCAGCAACAACAGTCAGTGGGCCTACAGAGGCCCACAATGCCTTTTTAGGTTCTCCAGCTGCCACTGAACCAGTTTGCTGACACCTGGCCCCAGCTCCATAATGGAAGACGTTAGGGCACGTTTAGATGCTTGAGGAGAAAAGTCAATCGTCAACCAGCCCATCCCCTGCAGTCTACCTCCTCCAAGAATTCTGCACGTGACCCAGGATGGTTTGTCAAGGACAGTCCCTGTTTACACCCATTGCCCTGGCATATTTAACACAGCCACCTTCACCCTTGCCTTCTTTTGAAGAAGTTAAATGTACACTCTAGCTGTGAAGCTGTCACAGACCACCCTGATAATTCACTAAACTTCCTCCACCCTTAAGTCCCACGGATGTTTTAAAACACTGAGTGTATCCTTCATTACTTTCCAGTTGTTTCATGTAAGTGTAGTGGAAACAACAGAGACGAGAGCCCAGATAACTTGGTCTGCATTCAGGCTCTACCTCGGAAGGGCTCTGTGAGTTGGGTATGTCTCCTACTCCCTTTGGGATTGAGGATCTTCATCCCACTATTTTACAGGGTGAATGGGAGGTTCAAAGATGGAGCAAGTGCTTGGTACATAGTAGGTGCTCAACAAATAGTACTTATCAGTTCTGAGACTGTATCTCCATGAAATTATGACTGTCTCTCACACATCTCTTATACTCCAAATGGAATGGTTTTGGGTTCTTACAGTAAATAGATAACATACGTGGTGGTTGACTGATTTGCTGATTTCTTCCCTGCAAAACTGGAAATGTCCTTGTTTCGATTCCCATGTTTCTTATGCCTTCCCTACTCCTCTCCTCCCCAATTTTGGGGCAAGTGGTAGGAAGGCCTTTTCCCTATTTGCCCCATCGATTCCAAAAATAAATTCCAGAGGAGCATGTGTCCATTTGCTTATGGTATTTTAATTTTTTGATGGCTGGGGGTAAGAAGAGAACTCTTTAAAGAAAAAAAAAATCTCCCCACAGAGTACGGTTCACAAAATTCATGACCTGAGCTGATTTGAGAAATAACAATCTGCCTCTATTTCAGAAAATAAAGTGATGACTCACTCACTAAGATGGGCTGAATTTTCTTCCTCTGTGCTTTGGGATTTCTAAATATCAGAGAATTTCCCTTGGGATTTTCCCCAAAATCTTTATTTGCTCCCAACAAGCTTTAAACAATCTTCTATTTTCTACTCCTTTTAAATCTGTCCCCTTTTATTTTAGCTAATAACAAGTTATTTCTCACGAGTTCCTTCTATGAAAAGAAAACCTCAAAGTGGATGCTAAAATGCTTAAAATTCACTTTAAACCCTTGCCAGGCCTCTTTTGTGAGACTACACTGAAATCACCCTGGATGCAAGGTCTCTCCTGCTGACTTTGAAGTTTGTAGATGGACAAAACAAAACAACAAAAAAAGCAGGGCTCTGATCCAACAAGTGCCCTTTGTGGGCTGGTTATGACTGTACAAAAATTTCAAGTAAAATTGGCATAAATTAGAAATGCTGTTCTTTAAAACCCAACCTAATGAACCATCATTATCTTGTCATGCTAGCTGACTAATTAGCTATGCCCCACTGCCTCACATGACTTCCAAACATTTTAGTTGCTTATAATGGACAGGAAGGGGCGACAGTGTGTGCAATTCTACAATGTCTTCACTTGAGAAAGAAAGTATAAAAGGTTAGATTTTAATTCAATGAACTTCACACATACAGGCCAAGAGTTCTAAGACAAGCAAACTGTACCTTTGTGGATAATGCTCATGAGGATAAATAAATACTAAGGCTTTCAAATTAAGTGCATTTATCTATCAGTCATAGGCAGCACCGAAAATTATTTTAAAATTCCTTGCCAAGTGACTCTTCTCTCTTCCAAAAACTTTAGGGAAAATGGATAAAGAATATGTTAACTTCCTATTCTTTTTGAAAAGAACAAAAAAGGACAATGTTGTTCATTTATACATTGTCCAGTTATGGGAAAAAACCCATTAAGAATCTATGTTTTTCTTTCCATTCAGTAGTTATTCCCAATGTTTCTTGTTATTTCTGTGACAGTATAAGATCTTTACAATGTAAGGTGTATAATAATGAACTAATAGATCTGAGTAAAACCTGAGAGAGTATTCACAACAGGGGTGTATTCTATACCATCACAGTCTCTTCCAATCAAATCACTGTGCACTCTGATTGTTGGGCTACTAGACCATAAATGAGCTCTGTGCCATTCTCTTCTCTTATACTCACTGCAGTTCAGCCTCCATGCTAACAATGTTTTAGCCACTTTTCTCTTAACAGCCAAAAGCTCATCCCATCTTACTGACTAACAGAGCTGGTAAGACCTTAGAGGTAACATATTCTAATTGCCATATTAAAAATAATAAAAAAGCAAAACCTGAAATCCTGAGAGGTTCAATGACTTGCCTAAGTTCACATAACTTGGACGGGTTAGCACCAGGACTAAATCTGGGTGTGGCTCCCACTCCTGTGGCTTCTCCCTCTATTGAGATGTAACTGGAATTTCAGACTGTGGGGAGCACTGGCCCAGGCTAGCAAGTAAGTCCCTCAGCTCAGATACTTGGTGGATGAGCCTCAAAAGCATGGATCAATTTGGCCTCTGAAGGGATCCCCAGGGTCTGTCTCTATGTGCCGAACCACTTGCGCTCTCCAGCCAGTACACTACAGTATAAACAAAGGAATACCAGGGCACATCCAGCCACGGGATGAACACAGGCACTGAAGATTTTTGGGAGAAAGAAGTTTTATATTAAAACAGACATAAACTATATTGTGGTGCATAAAACCAAATTTGCTTTTCCCCCCCTCAAGATAAAACACTGTATTTCCAGGAAATTTCAAAGTCTCCCAGGGTCTTTCATTCCTCAATCAACTTTACGCAGAGATGCAGTCCACATTTATTCAATTATATATTCTCAAAAAACGTCTGTGGGGAGAGGTCAATTACTAGTCACAGACCCCACTGTGAGGAAGCCATGCCAGTGAGACTGTGAAAGATGATTAAGGAATCTGCTGGCCCCTCAGCTCCTGCATGCTCTCTCATATTCCAAGGATCCCACTACTCTGAAAGTGATTCCAGTTTAAATATATGTGTGTATGGCGATGTATGTGTACACATGACATCATAGCCCCTAAACACAGGCCAGTTACTTTGGTGCTCAAATGAATAAATAATGTTCTGAAGGGAAAAGCACCCAGATATGTAAGCCTCCATCATGGAATCTTCCTAAGCAACTTTCAAGGGCATTTCTGCCTATATGCTACTTGCACCTAATGTGATGACTTAACCACCCAATAAATTCCAACTCTACTTCCAGGGGGTAGGTTTGAAAAGGACTAGAAGGGAGATGTAGGGTGGTGGGAGGCTCGGAAAATACGGGAATGGGGTGATGAGTGAGCAAGTGGCTTGGGGTAGGCTTAGGGAAACCCAGGGCATCTTTGATTGTGAGTAAAGATGACCAGGAAGACCTCATACAAGAGATACCTAACACACACTCTGGCCCATCTAAATTAGAGGCTGATAACTCCTCAGGTGGAAGTACCCTGAGGCAATCATATAGTCAACAGAGAGTAAGAACTCTGATACACAATACAATCTTGAGAGTTCATGCAAATAGTGTGAGTGCCTACATGGAAGCCTGTGTGGAGGGGGGCAAGGGACCTGGGGCGGAGAGATTCTGAAGGAGTTAGGATTATAGTCAAGGGATCTCCCTCCCTCCCTATGTTAGTTTTTGTTCTTAGTTCTATGACTACTGACAGTTGAACCTCTCCCCAAGCTACTTCACAATTCCTACATATCATATATATATAATAAACAGAATGAACAAAAGGAATATGGTAAACAGGTATAAAACTTAACTGCTAGACAATATATAAATATATGGAGAATACAAACTATGAATACTTTTTTCACTTGCTAACAACCAGCATATGAGGGAAAAAATGTATTTTATACATTGTCTTCATGTTTCCAGTGCTATTAAAAAAGGGAGTACCGGCTGGGCGCGGTGGCTCACACCTGTAATCCCAGCACTTTAGGAGGCCAAAGTGGGTGGATCACGAGGTCAGGAGTTCAAGACCAGCCTGGCCAAGATCATGAAACCCTGTCTCTACTAAAAATACAAAAACTAGCCGGGCACGGTGGCAGGAGCCTGTAATCCCAGCTACTTGGGAGGCTGAGGCAGGACAATAGCTTGAACTCGGGGGATGGAGGTTGCAGTGAGCCGAGATTGTGCCACTGCACTCCAGCCTGGGCAACAGTGAGACTCCATCTCAAAAAAAAAAAAAAAAAAAAAAAAAGAGAGAGAGAGAGAGAGAGAGAGAGAGAGAGAGAGAGAGAACCTGTGGAATTTCAGATAGGTTAGACAGAAGGTTTATTCACTACTCTCTCCTCAAGTGAATGCTTGAGGTAGAAAATAATTATCAAGTATGAAGAAAGTAGCCTTTGAATGTTAACTGGAATTCCTAGCTCCTCAAATGTCTTTAACTAATATTTAGACTAAAAGAACCCCTTACTTTCCATGATCCATGTTGGGATAAAGGGTATAACAGAATTTTGAAAATATTTATAAAATAGGCTCCATTGAAAATTCCCCCCAAAAGCTCTAAGAGAGCAGACCTCAAATACAAGTTTATTTTCAGATGCATTATTAAATGCTTCACATTTTTTACTTCAGCAGAAGCATAAACACAAAAGCCTGTTCCATGACCCTAAAGACAGGATTTCCTTGAATGACGCGCTAATGAAAAATGCAAACCAGTGGAAGTTTTGACTCATTGCACCAGGGTCTGCAACATTCCAACCAAAGATCTGCCCTGGACCAAGAGAGAAATCACTCCTCAAATCAAAAGTTACCCTTAACCCCTTACGTTGAGAATATTTCTGCTTTTGTACAACATGGAAACAGAAAAAGATCCATCCCCAGAAATACCTGATTTTTACTAATACGAATATGAATTTACTAATATGAATAGCTCCCTTTGACTTGGCATATAGTGTCTGATTACGTGTGTTGATCACAAAACTTACCTTCAAAATGCCCAAATTCAGAGATCAGGTGGCCAGGTTCTGGACCAAAGGGCCACACTTTTCTCCTAGCTATAGCTAACTGAACCAGGGAAGGTAGCATGACCCAAAGGCTTCCCAGCAACCCAAGATGTGGCTGGAGGAAAAAAAGATGAGCTGGGCCAGTCAGATCCCACCCTCTCAGGAATTTGAACTAGAGAAGAGAATTTGACAGAGAAGAGACCATGATGGGCCATGCACAAATTTTACTGAAGGAACACAAACTACAACTAGGTGTAGAAAAAAGATGCAACAAGCAAAGGCAAGTCTGGGTACAGCATGAGTGTGAAGAGAACAAAACATAAATACAAAAAAGAAGACATCCTTGAGAGACACCAGGAGGTGGCTGGAATTAATCCCCCACCAACCACCACTTTTGAGTAAGTTTAAATGAGCCTTTGCTCACTTAGGGAGCCTAACTGAAATGGTTCTCTCTGTTATTTTATTTAAGCCTAAAAACCCTATGAAGTGAGTATTATTAACCTCTGCAGGCCACAGAGCTATTAAGTAGCAAGATCAGGGAATCAAGCTCAGCAATGTCTTGCTCTACATCCTAGGGCTTATTCACCATGCTATATGCATTCCACAATAACAACTTCCAGTGCCTTCTACCAACTATGCACAGAGGGACACTTTACATCTGTTTTACAACAAATTTGCCTTGAAAAGTGGGCATATTTCACAGATGAGGAAACCGAGGTTCAGAGCAGTTCAGTGTGTCTAAAGTAACGTAGACAATAATGACAGGCCAATGACTCACACACATTCTTCTTGCCACAGACCTCTGTGGTGCACACACTGACAACTTAGGTTCTAGCCCCTGTTAAAACTAGTGAGGAGGAAAAAACCACAACTGGAAAAGGCAGAGGATTCCTAAATATGATGGACAGGACATGGTGTGGAGGTCAACAGAGAGACACAACACACATGTCTTTCTTGAGTGCTACCTCCAGATAAGGAGAAGAGAATGAAATTTCAGAACATCAGAGATGGGCTTAACCTAAAGGCAAATCAAATCAAGAATGCTAGCTAAACAACGGAGGCTCCTAAATAGGATTGGAAATGGAGAGAGAAAAGTGCTGATGTTTCATTTCACCTGGTCCTTCCATGGTTGACCTGTCAGAAAACGCTGCTGGGATCTATATAGGATCCTGTGGTCACCAGCACTCTGTCCAGATGGACACGACTCTCAGGCCAGCCAAGTCCTCTCAGTCAGCAAAGGCAGTCGTGCGTGCCAGGCAGCTGACTTGGCTAGCAGGACTTATCCTCCCTTTCCTCTGCCTGCTTAGATACCAATAGTGCTTGGAAGGAAAAGTGGCCCAAGCAACACCTCTGACTGTGGAAGCCTACTTTGTCTCTCCTTTCTTGATCAATACTAGCAAGCAATGGTTATCTAAGCTTTTTTTGGAACTATAACTGTATTCTTGAAATGTTACCAGATATTCACGCACAACATATTTCATTTTGTTTCAATTCACTTCACTATGTGCTAATAAATAATGTGTTTGCTCCTCATCCTCAACCCATGAATATGAACATGAGAAAGGGTGAATCCTTCCCTTCTAGAAACATGCCGGGTGACAGTGCTGGTGCATCACAAGTAAACCACAATGTCAACACACGATGATCACTATGTACGCAAAGGGGTTCCAGAAGCCCTACTTGGGTGAGTCAGGGAGAATGTCCTGGAGAAGGTGGCATTTCACCATCTTTGAAGAGTAAATGACCCCCAAGAATCAAAGGAAAAGAAAAACATCTTAAGAAAGAGGGAGGAACACAGGCAAAGTATGGGAGGAGAAGCTATGAAGACTAAAATTACTGGTGTACAAGGAAGTGGTAAAAAAGAAAAAGATCTTTCAAAGAATATTGTGAACTGAGCCAAGGATGTGGCCCTTTTCTCATGGCAACAAAGGGCTGCTGGCAGCTTTAAATAGGAACTGTGATGGGGGAGCTTGTTCCCTTCAGTTCCCCAGAGCACCTAGAGCAGGCAGAATAACAGGAGATGCTCATAAATGTTTCTAGAAGTGAATGATTAAATAAGCAATCAGGATTTGGGAGGGTGTCCCATCATACTTTCCCCAAAACAAGATAAAGAAGCAAAGATTGGCCGGGTGTGGTGGCTCACCCCTGTAATCCTGGCACTTTGGGAAGCTGAGATGGGAGGACTGCTTGAGCCCAGGAGCTTGAGACCAGTCTGGGTAACATAGCAAGACCTCATCTCAACTAAAATTTTTAAAAAAGTAACAGGGTGTGGTGGTACACACCTACAGTCCCAGTGACTCATGAGGCTGAAGCAGGAGGTTTGTTTGAGTCTAGGAGTTCAAGGCTGCAGTGAGCTATGATGGTGCCACTGCACTCCAGCCTGGGTAACAGAGTGAAACCCTGTCTTTAAAAAAAAAAAAAAAAAAAGGTCAGGTTTGGCAGCTCACACTTGTAATCCCAGCACTTTGGAAGATTGAGGTGGGCAGACTGCTAGAGCCCAGGAGTTCAAGACCAGCGACCAGCTTGGGCATCATGGCAAAACCCTGTCTCGCTAAACAAAAAGTAGCCAGGTGAGGTGGCACAAGCCTGTGGTCCCAAGTACTTAGGAGACTGAGGTGGGGATATCATCTGGGCCTGGGAGGTCGAGGCTGAAGAGCCAAGACTGCGCCACTGTACTCAAGTCTCAAGCCTGGGCGAAAGTGAAACTGTCTCCCCCGAAAAAAGCAAAGAAGGACTTCCAGTGTTACAGCATAAAGCACACAGAAGTTCTGGATAAAGTATGGCTAACATCCATAGTGAGTAAGCAGTAAGCATGTGAGGTGATTTTGCCACAGCCCTTTTCCATTGTTTTGGTAACCTAAGGGAGCTTAGGTTTCAACACTCTTGCAGAGACAGCAAAAAATGACCCACAGGTGCGGGGTTGAAACTTAGATTCCCTCCCAAAGTTGGACCTCTTGAGGGACTACAATCTCAATGAAAGGTGAACTAGGGAAGAGAAAAATCCACCCACCAGCACAGAGAGATGCAAGAAAGCTGGTCTGTCTCTAAGGTGGGGGTAGGAGTGAAGGTGCGGCTGGAGGAGTCTGACCTGAGATTACATAACTAGTGGTCAGTGATTCCACCTGAGTGGAATCCACTCTCAAGCTGCAAAGTGATTGTATACAACAGGGGTCTAGACATTCAGGGATGAGGGGAATCATATCAGTGACTTAATCTCAAATAAGTGGTTGTAGGGGGGAGGGTTCTGTGTACTGTACTTGCCATTTTTCAGAAAGTTTAAAATCTTTTAAAAAATATTTTTAAATGAATTAAATAAGCAGTTTGGAGCTGGAAGCACCCCAGGAGAATCAAATGCAAAACCACTCTGGAAGGTAATGACTCACATCAGGCCATATAAATTTCCCACAGAGAAAGCCCTCCTGATAACGAGATTACCTTCCAAAAATATAAAAACATGAAAGAATACAATCTACCATGGGAGAGAACCAACAGTTATAAAAAACAGAACTAATTTCCCCAATAATTTGATTTAATACAGTTACTGAATACATGACACAATTTGTAAAAATAAAGACCTAAATAGTAAAATAAAATGAGAATAAAAATGAGAAAAGAACAAGACACTATGAACGATAGACAGATATAAATACACATTAAGCAGGTCTAAAATATAAAAAATATGTATCAAAGGAACCATTAAAATAGCTGATGAGAGAATTAGTTAACTGGAAGATATATCTGATGAAATTATCCTTAAAATGAAGCACAGAGAAAGAAAAAGTAGGATAATAAGTGAGGATAAGAGACATAGAAGATAGAATGAGAAAGCTTAATATTAACCTAAACCTACAGGTACCGCCGCCACCCACCCCCTCAAAAAAAAAGTAGTCATTAAGAGGACAAAGAAGTAGTACAGCCCAGAGTGAGACTCTGTCTCAAAACAAACAAACAAACAAACAAAAAAAAAACAAAACAAAAAACAAAACAAAAAAAAACTAGTACAGCCCCTTTTCATACACTCCAGTTGGGGAAATCCTTGTAAAAAAGAATCTATTGCTCAACTCAAGCCTACAGTTAACCCTAGCGACAGCTCCTAGATCTAATGAAGTTCAAGGAAAACAAGAGTAACAAGAGCTATAGTAGTCAAGCAATTCATGGACCTTGAAGAATAGGGGAATAAATGGTATGTTGTGATATAATACTGACAGCTAAGACTTACTGAGTACTTAGCCTGTGCAAACACTGTAGTAAGCTCTTTAGATGAAGAATCACATTAGATCCTCCCAAAAACCCAATGAGATGGGAATAAGAATATGATGATGATTTTACAGATAAGGAATGTTAAGTACCTTGCCTGCAGTCACACAGCAGGTAAATGGAGGGGCTGGAAGTCATCTCTACAGCTAGGCTCTTAACCATTCTGGTATCTCAGCAGAACCCCTCTCCCTTGATAAAAATCTACTTTGTAATTAATAAATAAATTACGTGTTGAAGGAACTCCTCTACCCTATGCTTATAAAAGCATTGTGGTCAGGGTGGAATATCCTTTGCCCATTGGGTAGAATATTTTCCTTCACAAGAGTAGGGAACTTAGTTGTGACTGATATATTTTCTCCTTGAGAAAATCTTCCCGTAAGTAGTCTATACAAGGGGATGTTGGGTGAGGCCCTCTCTCTAGAGAGAAACTCAGGAAGTGTCCAGCCCAGAACTGGTAGGAGCAGCTGAAAAAGTAGTCTTTCCTAAAACCATGAACCTTCTTTGTGGCTAGTGGTGTTACACAAAGCAACATGGCAGCACAAGTTCCATAAAGGTGGTGCTCCATTCCCTCTGTCCAAGCATCTCACTTCCATACACCCCAAGGAAATTGGTCACTAGGAGAAAAGTGGCTAATAACTCAAAGTTGATTACAGATCTGATGGTATCAGCCAAAATACAGACACAATCTCTGCAGATCCAGTAACACAGAAATGATTTAGTAAATTAAGGAACATCTCTATATGATGATATTATTATGTGGCCCTCAAAATAAGACTGTATAGGCCTGGCACGGTAGCTCATGCCTGTAATCCCAGCACTTAGGGAGACTGAGGCAGGTAGAGCACTTGAGCCCAGGAGCTCGAGACCAGCCTGGGAAACACAGCAAGACTTTGCCTCTACAAAAATATTAAAAAATTAGCCAGGTGTGATAGTGTGCACCTGTAGTCCCAGCTACTTGGGAGACTGAGGTGGGAGAATCACTTGAGCCCAGGAGGCAGAAGTTTGTAGTGAGCTGGGATCATGCCATTATACTCCAGCCTGGGTGACAGAGTAAGATCCCGTCTTAAAACACACACACACACACACACACACACACACACACACACACACACAACTGTGTAACTATAGAGCAATATTTGTACTATTTTAAAGAAAAAAACGCAAAATTCAACATGGCATGTATTTGAAGATGGTAACGGTTAAAACAATGTATACAAGCAACAAAAACTAAAAAATAATAACTAAAAATAGTTGGGTTAGAGTAGTGGGATGGTAGGTGATCTTTTCTCTCCAAATATTTAAAAAATTATATTGTTGCATGATATACTACATTTAGAGGGGAGGCATTCAGGCTCCTTGATAGCACTCCAGTTTAAGAATCATTTGCAGTCTCCACAAAATTATACTACTGTTTGTTAAACGAAATTCTTTCCTTGAAGCATTCCCCCATCAATTTTGCCAATGTTAGCTTACATTATGCAGGACAAGAGCAATATCAAGTTACTTAACATGATTAGTGAAATCTGAGGGAGGAGGAGGGAGGGTGGAGAAGGAACAGTCAAAGGCACTTAAACTACTAACAAAAAAAGTACTGTGGCTTGTACATAAAACCATTATTGGCCTCCATAAGGCATTATCAGTCCAATAATACATTTCTGTTTTAGACTTTTAAAGAAGTGTACTTGAAACCAGAACAGGCCTTGAATTTCAAATACATACAACTAAAGGAATGCTGCAGTGGGAGAATTAAGGCCAACTGAAATTGGCCTTTTGTCTAGGATGCATTCTTTAGACTTAAGAAAAAGGCAGAGTCTGGTTTAGCTGTGGATAAATTTGAAAGTAAAATCCGAGGTTTGCAGAATTACCCACACACCCAGAGAGAGAAGGCCAATGCAGATTTCTGTGATACAGTTTCCAAGTAAAATAGCCATTCTGTGACCTGACTGTACCTCTAGCTCGAAGGAAGCAAACAAAAAAATTGTTAGCAGGATGTCCTGAGAATACAGATAGTGACAGTTCAAGTGGCTGTCTACACATGCTCACAGGGTCAACAGCAGGAAAGAAACAAGAATGTTAAACTTATGTCCCAACAGATTAAACTGCCTCCCAGTAATACATGCCACCTACCAAAGTCCCTCTCCAAGTTTCATACTGACAGAGTGGTCATCTCAGCTTAGTGTAGCAAACCTAGGTTTTCTAGGTTTTGATAACTATGTGTGACTGTCTCTTTCACCCCTAAGGGGGTCACTATTAGATGAGGCACTGTCCTGGGAAAGTTGAAAGGTACGTAAAGGTCAGGGTCTCTGGTTATATGAACAGGCCTCTGGATTCATGCAAGGGTAGAATTACTTTTAATTTTTGTCTTATCTGGTCTCTGGTACCTGCATTAGATAAATGTGCTAAGTGTGTGTTCCAAGCATCCAGGATCACAAAATTTTGAGGCATTCGTTCCAAGTTAAATATCAGGCCAGGCATGGTGGCTCACACCTATTATCCCCGCACTTTGGGAGGCGAAGGCAGTTAGATCACCTGAGGTCAGGAGTTCAAGACCAGCCTGGCTAACATGGCGAAACCTCATCTCTACTAAAAATAGAAAAATTAGCCAGGCGTGGTGGCCCACACCTGTAATCCCAGCTATTCTGGAGGCCGAGGCACAAGAATCGCTTGAACTTGGGAGGCAGATGCTGTAGTGAGCTGAGATCGTGCCACTGCACTCCAGCCTGCGTGACAGAGCGAGAATCTTGTCTCAAAAAATAAAAAATCAAACCAAATCAAATAAAAAGTTATCAAACATTTACAATAAAGTACCAAGCTAAGTCACTTTGGGCCCATGTTTCCCCCTCCAATAAGATGAAACTTTTTCTTTTGGTAAAGATCACACTAAATTCACTTCATTACCCATTAACATACATTGTGACCTGCAGTTTGAATACTTCTGCAGACCCTTATAATTCTGATGATTCCTAATTCTAACATTCTTTCTGTCTGATCTGTGTGATCTCAAGGAATCAGCTCTGTATGTAAAAGTATAAAGAAATAACTTCCCTCATTTAAAAGGTTAATTGGATAACCAGTGTAGAGACAAGTAACTTATAAATTCAAAGCTTTTCATTTTGCTCATATTTTGCTCTATGTTCATAGAAACTGTCTTTCAACTAAAACATGCATAAGAACACAAAAACTAAACCAACTAGGCTAAATCTTCATCCTGTATGTTTCTTTGCAAGAAGGCAATTTGGTTCTAATATTTGAGTTTAATAAAAAACAAACAAAATCTATCCTAAACAGAGGTACCTAAAGAAGGTAATTCTGTCCAACAGGTAGAAGCTGCTGGGAAAAAACAGTCCTTAGAAAAGAGTTACAGATTTTAGTCCACTGTTTCTCTCTACCTTTAAAAGCCATTTCCCTCATCTGCTCAAATTAATTTTTCCTAATGAATTGAGTTAATCCTCCTTTTTTGAAACAGAAATCTTTCCTGTAAGTATTACCTGAGAAGTAGTTCACCCTACAGTGTAAGATGAGTCACCAGCACACAGAACAAGTGCTGAACAATCCACTTGGCCAAACAAATCACACTGGGGGCAATCTGAGGATCACACCGTCCTGAAACAAGAATGGCTGCTCCTGGTCCCCAAGGATGGCCCACTGATCAGGAGAGCCTGCTGCCGGGCTGCTCTGATTTGGTCTCACTTGCCCTGCAAGCAACAAATCCTTCTCATTCCCAAGTCTTTATTCTTCCAATCAGCAGAGGGGCTGCTCGCTCCTAAAACTGAACTCGACCAGAAGAGCTATACTAACAAGTGCCTTAGACCCAGAGGAAAGGATGATGCTTCAGCACGTGTCATGTTAAAGGGGCAGTTTATCCTATATGTACCTTCAACCTCACTCTACCCTTTTTAAAAAAATCAAGTACAAATTATTCTGATGTGCTATTAAGACACTGCACTGCTTGTAGGCCACACAGTTCCAAGGAATTTGTTTTTCTTTACCAAGAAATTATATATACCTTTTACATAGTTTTGATAAGAAGATTATTTACCACCCTCAAGGAAAAGGAGAGTAGGAAGTCAAAATCATTTCTTCCATTTCTACATGTACCGCTCAGATGCGTGGGCTATTCAGCTAACTTTGCAAATTAGCTTCCAACACCTACCAACCTGCATCTCCCTATTTCTTGGTCTTTTGTTTTTGCATCTTTTAGGAGTATGATACAAGCCCCAAGGTTTTTTAAATGAAACTAAATGTTAAACTATAAACGATGGGCTGATCACCCACTGAACTAAACTTGCTTTCATTACCAGGATTTCGTATCATTAGGAAATGGTTCCCAATGAAACTATACATTTTCACATAGTCATCCCTGCTTCAAAAATCACTAAATTTAGATTATCATTCTATTCTCTAGTATCCTGTTTATGAAGATTGTGTGCCACTCTGAGCTTTCCTCCCATTTTGTTATTTTTATAATGTATAAAATCTTTATGGAAATAAAAAAAGTCATGTTTTATAATGGAAGGGGAGGAAGCAAGACTTGCTGTCTCAAGTTGAATGATGAAGAAATAAAAAATAAAAATAAATTTAAAAAAAGACTTACTGTCACTAAAAGGCTGCGGTAAGCTCCAGTCCCAAATACTGGGGAGGCTGAGACAGGAGGATTGCTTGAGCTTGGGAGATCAGGCTGCAGTGAGGTGTGATCACACCACTGCACTACAGCCTAGGGGACAGAGCAAGACTCTGTCTCAAAAAACAAAAACAAAAAATGGGCAAAGGACATGAATAGACATAAAAATGACCAGCAGGTATATAAAAAAAAATTCAACATCACTAACCTTCAGGAAAATGCAATTTAAAACCATAATGACATATCATCTTATCCCAGTTAGAATGGCCATTAAAAACACCAAAACAAACAAACAAAACCCCTATGTTGGCGAGGACGTGGAAAAAAGGTAACTCTACACATCGTTGGTAGGAATCTAAATTAGTACAGTCGCTGTGAAAAAGAGTATGGAGATCTCTCAAAAAACTAAAATAGATTCATCATACAATCCAGCAATTCCACTATCCCACTACTGGGTATTTCTCCAAACGAAAGGAAATCAGTATATAAAAGGGATGCCTGCACCCCCATGTTTACTGCAGCACTATTCCCAATAGCAAAGATATGCAGTTAACCTATGTGTCCATCAACAGATAAATGGATAAAGAAGATGTAGTATATATACAAATGGAATACTATTTGACCATAACAAACAATAAAATCAAGTCATTTGCAATGACATGGATAGAACTGGATGTCACTATGTTAACTGAAATAAAGCAGGCATAGAAAGAACAATATCTTATGTTCTCACTCATATGTGGGAGCTAAAAATGTTGAGGTAGAAAGTGGAATGACAGATACTAGAGACTGGGAAGAGTATGTAGGTGGGAGAGAGAGAGAATAAAGAATGGCTGGTTAACGAGTACAAACATACAATTAGAGGGAATAAGCTCTACTGTTCAGTGGCAGAGTAGGGTGACTACAGTTAATGACAATATATCGTGTATTTCAAAATAGCTTGAAGAGAGGACTAGAAATCTTCCCAACACACAGAAATGACAAATACTCGAGGTGATGGATACCCTAAATACCCTGACCTCATAATTACACATCCTATGCATGTAAGAAAATTTCACATGTACCCCATAAACATGTATAAATACAGTGTATCAATAAGAACAGAGGGGCTAATCTAATGGAGAAAGATAAAATCCTATCACTCATTTACCAAACAAATCAACAGATTTTTTTAAAGGCTAGTTTTAGTGTTGTAATTATCATTTCTTATCTTAAATCTAATATGAAGAAAGCCCATATGCTAAATCTCTTTCCTTTCTGAGGAAGGAGAAAAGCATCAAAATCAATTGAAAACCTTGAAGTTCAGCGGTCCCTCCCAAGGCAGGGTCACGCCTGCTTCCACTCAAGGTCTGCAGAAGGGGAAAGTAAGGAAGCAAAGTAGCAGGAGGCATCAGCAAGGAACTGCGGGGGACATGTGGACTAGAAGAAAAATAAACCACATCCAATACACTGGCTGTGCATCAGAATTACTTGGGAAACTTGCTATAAACACAGCAGCCAGGCTTCTGAACCCAGGAGCTTGTATTAAGGAGGAGCTCACAGGATCTTGGTATCTGCTTCTCTGGGTATCTCTGGGCATCCTGATGGAGGTTGTCTACAAACCTCACTTCCAGAAAACCTGGCTTATAATGTCATTCCTAAAGATGACAGAGCTGGTGAGATAGGTCACACTTCGAGGAGAACAAAGTAGTAGTTTCAACTGGTCTGTGGTGCGACCCAGACATTAGCCCACATGTAACACTCCCCAGGTGATTCCAATGGGCAGCCAGGGTTAACACTGCCCTGTCTGGTAACATCCGCCACATAGATAAAACCTTGCCTGTTCTCATTTAAAAAGCTCATCACTTCCTACTCCCAAGACTTGTTCAAAATCCCATTAGTCCCAGCATCCTCCATAGGATGAAGGGGGGCGGAGGAGCTGGGGTCCACGAGAAAAGTAAAGAGACCTGAGTTCTAGCCTTGGCTCAGCTACTAACTGGCTTTGAGATCTTGATTCTCAGTTTCCCCATCTCCAAAAAGGTAATGTTTGCAATAAATTCCTTTAGAATGTAAAAGTCTATGACTCACAATACCTTATATAATCATTTTTCATTCTTCTCATACTAATGTATACCTCCCTGCCTGCATTGCTTTCCCTTGGGGAAGTACCAACTCAAAATGACAGCAAGCCTTGAAATTATTAGAGGATGACAAATGACTGATACTATGAAGATGGAAGAAGTGGCATGCATATCAATAAGGCATGAAAGATGGAGGTTCAACTGGGCCTTGCTGGCATTTTTCAGTAAGTCCAAGTTTTCACTTACCATTACGGGGAAGTTTTGTTTTGGAGGAGGTGCAGAAATGGGGAGGTTACTATGTTCTTTGGTAGAGAGGAGATAATAGCTGGTAAAGAACCAGGCTGAAGAATCAAACAGCTGTGGTTTATGGTCTGAACCCTTGCACCAGACCACTCGATCTACCTTAAATCCTAAATGGAAAACAGGTAAGGGGATACTTAACCCCGCCACACAATATCAACTTGACATAGCAACCTCTGCCTCTCTTCTCACTATCGCATTCATTGTTGAGGATGTATCTTTGAGAATTAATACTGGATGACATAATATTTCATTCAAGTCCGAGTGATCAACAGAAGTTCACTTCCTTGGAAGCACGGACTTCTTTTCCTTAGCAGAGTACCAGGCACAGAGCAGATGTATGCTGAAGTGAACTGAAGGAATCTGTGTTCTCTGGCATAGAATCTTGATCCACATAAAGCCTTCCTGAATACCACCAGTACAGGATTGGATTGGCTCTTAGCTACACCTACTGTAGTTCTTATTTCTGTATACCTGTGGGTGGAAATGGAGGATAAACCTCTCTTCGCTTTTCCTCATAGTCCACTACCCTTAACTTGGAACAGAAACCATTTAGTGAGACATAATAAGCATAGACTCTTGAGACTGTAGCTCCATATTCAACTCCTAGCTGTGTTATTTTGTAGCTGGATGACCTTGAGCTACTTCTCCAACTTTTTTAGAGTCTTCATCTGTGAAACAGGAATGAATAATCCTAACCATCTCTAGATCTTAGACAAGAATGAAATGAGAGCATATACAAAGCTCTGAGCACTCCGAAGGCACTCAACAAATGGTAGCTCCTTTTCTTCTTCCAAATGCTTTGAAACCCACAACTGGGAGAAGTCTTCAGATGAAGTTATATTCCTGGCCCTAACAGAAAGAAGTTACAAATGGGTGAACAAAGAAGCCTGTAATTGGGCTTTCCACAGGTCAAAGAGAGCTAAAGAAAGCCACTAATTCACTTATCAAAGATTCCTGGAAGGCAGTAATAATGGCTTTGGGCAGCAGCACTTACGTACTTTCAGATGGATGACCCAGGTCAATACCCCTCTCTCAATTACCAGTCCCCTGAGGCGTCCCAGCGCCTGCACACAAAAGCTCTCCTCCTGGCTAGCCTAGGAAGGAGAAAACACCTTCTAAACAGAGGTACACACAGGAGCTAAGAAGTGAAAAGGGTTTTAAAGGGGCCTTATCAACTTATAAAGCAATTCGTTCAAATTTTACTGGCAGGATGCAACTTCAGTTAAAAAAAAAAACTATGTATATAAAGATTCTTGCACAATTAGAGAAACGTAAGCATTTTGATGCTTTTAAAATTATGTTTAAATCTATTATATTTTCTAAATATTATCCAAATAAACATAAAAATGCTTTTAAAACAAATAAGGAGGCCATATCAGAGAAAAGATAGATTTATTTTGCTTTTTTGTTGTAACTCTCCAATGGAAAAGGCATGTAAAAAACTACATTCCTCACGGAGAACAACAGAACTGGAGGAGAACGTAAACCGTTACAACCAAGTAGAAGATAATACCAGTCACATTTTTTTGCAGAAGTAAAGGTACTGATAATGACCGGACTTCATCAGCGGCTCCAAGAACAGATTCTATGACAGAGTGATCAAGGAAAGAACCAAGTTTCAAAAAGGCAAGCCTCTTTAAGGGAAGAGTATGAGAAAGATTCAGCCCAGTTCCATGAATGGATGCTTTGCCCTGACAAAAGATGTCACAAAAAGAACCCTGCGGGCCTGACCTCTAGGTCTGGCATTGCTGCTAATAAATTATGATGTTCCTGGGCACAGCAAACTCCTAGAGCTTCGTTCCTCATTTGTTTAAAAAAGAAGGCTGGGGGGCACTGGGCCGCTCCAGCTGTAACAATCTCTTCCATTTCCTCTAAGTTCACAAAGTGATTCCATATACATTCTGCTACTGTGACAAAAGCTACATTAGTCTCCATTTTATAAAGGATAAATGATTTACCCCAGATCACACTGTAAACAAGTGCTAACAAGGACTGTAACTCTTAACTATGAATTCAAAATTTAGGCTTTTCTTCTACTGTAGCCAATCATGGACTACGAAGAACCAGCTTGCTAAGCCATGTGATGGTCTATGCTACTGACAGGTATCCTCAGACAAAAAAGCTGGCATTTGTGTCCTGTAGGCTGATCCCAGGGTCTTCTGTGACAGTACCTCAGCCACAGCTGAGACAATCTGGAGTAAATACTTAGCCCGAATTCTGACCAAATGGATTTGTGATTGGGATTTGCAGGCCAAACGTGAACTGAGAGCCAAGACTGCAAACACACACACACACACACACACACACACACACACACACACACTCTCTCTCTCTCTCTCTCTCTCTCTCTCTCTCCTCTAACAAAAAAGCTCCATGGCAGCATGAGAGACCCTAAACTATGAGAAGGTGGAAAGTGTGAGTCAACAGAAATTAAGGAACAGAAATAAAGGGACAAGGAGAGCAGTGCACTCACAGTGCCAGGAGCGGTCTTGGCAGACACAGAAAACTAAGTGAACTCAATGGCAGACGATGGAAGGACTCTGCCTGCTGCTGAGGGAGGTCAGTCCCTGGGGTCCCTTGTCCATGTGCAGCCTAGCTGACTCACAATAGGTACGGCTTTGACAGCGTAACCCCACCCTCACCCGTCCACATCAGAATCACATGTGTGTGCTTTTCAATGCAGGCACCGAGGGCCCCCCATCCCAGACTCTCCAGATCAGAATCTCCTAGTTGATTACGATGCATGCTCTAGCTGAGGACCACAGGCCACGGTAACCTGAGTGAGACTGGAGAGAAAGCAGCTGCCAAACAGCGTCAGCGAGAAAGGGGAACCAGTCTGCCCCATCCAGTCTGGCCATTCACCTAAAAGATGGTTTCCTGTAGCAGCCACTTGGTAACGAGGACAACGGCTATAGGCAACAGGAGAAAAACACCAATAACTATAAGCCATACTAGTTCTTCATATCCAGTGAATTTAAGACAACAAAAGATGAAGCAGATGAAGTTGAGAGGAAAGAACCAGAAAGTTCAGTAGAAAAAATACAAATTCAAAATATGAATTCCATTTTTACCACATGAAAAATGTTTAGACAATCCCATCTTTAAAAATGTAAGCAAAAACAAACATTGAAAACTCCTAAAGACAAGCACAAAGTGACACAGAGTTCTCATGACAGAAACAAAAAATAAGTGTCATAATAGTCTAAATCTAACAGGGCACCAAGAAGTCTAAAGAGTGGGAATAAAGGAAGTACAGATATAGAAATGGCTTTCAAATGCCTTAGGAAACACCACCAGCAAGCAGCCATTAGCTCCAATTGGGAAATGATTTCTGTAAGATTTCTCAAAAGAGTTTACAAATTTGTCCCCAGATTACATAAATGTCTTTGCCACTCATATTGTGTCTGTTGACGAAGGGCTGTAGGCGTTTGTGGGCCCATCACATGGACGTAGCAGGACAGTTTTCAGACTGCCAGTGGAGTTCACAGAGATGTAGAGAGTGGCAGGGAGCCTCTCGGGAGGACCTCATCTGGGTAGAGCTCAAGGGAGCAAATAAATTCTTAGCCATGAAAGGAAGAAATCCAAAGTAGTATGGTTCTCAGCGAGGCTGAAGATTTATTTCCCTGTGCCATGACAAGAGACCTAATAAGTGTGTTGAAAACCAGAAAAAAAAAAAAAAATCAAAGGGCCTTATAAAAGTTATGTAAATTAGTACCAATATCCCTCAAACCATGAGTTCTTTAACTCTCTATGATGTTAGACAGCATAAAGGGAATGAGCAATGTAAACACTTACTGCTGTGTTACACACGCTTTTCATTGTAGTAACATGAGCATTTCAAGGTATTGAGTCCAGATCTTTAGGATGGACACGACCAACCACAGAAAGCTGTAGTCACATCCCATAATCTAGACATATTTTATTAAATTAAAAGGGTGTGGCAGGTTAAGTCCACCACTCCTGTGCTAAATGAAAAAAAAAAGAAAAAGAAAATATGACCCTACCTAAAAATGAACTGCACTTTTTGTTGACATCAACAGCGTCAGGGTGGAAACAAAGAAATTACCCAGAGACTCACTGGCTTCTGTTTCATTAGAAACACATGAAGACAATATATGCCAATAAGAAAACATTCTTTGCAAAAGTCTTCCATGCAAATAAGCCTTTCTCTTTTTTTCCTTGATGCATCATCAAGTTTTGCAGCTAAGAGTGCAAATATTGGACTGGGACATACGATAAAACAGTCGAGAGACATTGGACGAAAAAAACTCTAATTAATTCCTGGGATATTTTATCCATATGCATTAAATATCCTTTCTAAATATAAATACGCATGGGTGAAACAGAAGAGAGGGGGAGCTGTTGTTTCTGGGCCACCCAACATCTACTCACCGTACCCAGTAACCACTCTGGGGGCAGAACCAGAATTCAAATCCATGGCTTTTACCTCTTACTTTTAAGTCTTTTCATAAAGGCCCTCACAATTAGAGAGTGTTAGGCATGTTTACAAAGCCCTTCCTCATCCATTAGTTCATTCAAAACAATCCTTACAGACAAGCAAGGCAGGAACCCTCAAACCCATTTCACAGATGAGGAAGCTGAAGTAGAAAGTGTTATTGAAAGTGATACCCTAATAAGGTATCGAAAGCCATGTCTACCACGGGACAGAACAAATCCTGGTCCCTCTGCTTGGCAGGTAAAAGCAAAATCTCCAAAATCAAGCCCTTGATTCACAATGAGACAGAGAGGGGAAAAAAAATGAACAGAAGTACACGAATCCTACACCTTCCTCTGAACTTTGTGGTTGCTATAGCCTAAAAGTACACGGGGGAGGCACAGGAAATTACTCTTTCCTCATGTAAGGTCTGAATCATACACCCAGCACTAGGGGTTCTGAAGTCACCCACACCTTCTGCTGAAATCTGCTTCTCTGCCAGATCCATGGCTGTCCCACATGGAGTCTTGAATATGGCAACGAGGGAATGTGAGGACTGGCTCACAAACCGCAGTGGATGTTAATGGCAGATGTTAGAAATCCACTTCTGCAGAGATAGTTAAGCATATTTTTAAATGGAGTGGGGGGAATGCAAATCATAAAAGCAGCATAGTGCAGTGAAAATAAATTTGCTTTTGAAACAAGCGCAGGGTTCAAATTCCAGCTTGGGTGCTTATCAGCTGTGTGATCTCAAACAAGAAACTAACCTCTTTCAGCTTTAGTTCCTTCATCTATAAAACAAATAGACTTGACTAGATAATTTCTAGATCTTTCTCTATTGTAAAAATATTGTATAATTTCTATACTACAGATGAGAAAGAGTTAGCAATGTAGTAGTTGACAGAGAAGGAGAAAAAAGAGAAGTGAAGGCAGGGAGGAAAGAACATAGAGCGTTAAGCAGGAAACCGGTCCACTAAAATAGTTAGGGGCGTCCATAACTAAAGCGACCCTGAGCTATTTACAACCTTTTGCCTCTCTTGAACCAATAATCAATATAAAACCTACAACTAAAAAGAGGAGATGGGAACTAACTTTTATAAACATCAACTATGTGCCAGGTTAGAAACCTGAGTCTGTGTCTCATTCAGCAACTTTGTACTGTTTAAGAATACCTCAAACTGGCACTTACATGTTCCTTATTTTATTTGGTCATCAAAAAGAGATAGGCAGAGGTAGTGTTCTTGACTATTTTGCTGACAAGGAAACCATGGTTCAGAGGGATCAAGGGGCCTTTAAAACACATCACAAGGCCAGTAAGTAGCCCAGCTGGAACTGAACAAAGATGATTTTACCAGACCAGTGCTTGCTCATATTCCTCGCTGTCCCTTTTCTACCTTTACTTCTCATATGGAGTATGGATTTCAGGAGAATCTAGCAGGATAAAATGGTAGCTGACCTCTGGCCTAGAATACAAGTTTTTAAAAGTGGTGTGTGATATATTCAATTGTGATTATATGTCCCAAGAAACTGGGCATTTTGTGGATAAAGTCTACTTGTGATAATGGTTATGGAATCTTTTGACAACTAGTCCTCACAAATCAGCACAACTCCTGGGAGGCATCCTTGACACACAGTCTGCCACAGTAGAGAGCAGTCAACCATGTCAGCATTTTCAGAATCCAGACTAGAACTTTCTTAGAGCATGATTCATATAATTTAATAATCCTACTGGACTCTTCCAGCTTTGAGCTGTAGCATTATCCAAATCAACAAAAGGCAATAGAAAAGAGGGAGAGCAATACATGCTCATCAGCGATTCTATTAGAGAGTGAAAATTTGTAATAAAATAGTCAGAATTATCCAGTTACTTAAAATTCAGAACAATCAGTTATTGGGGCTGGGAAGAGTGCCAAAAGTGAATTTAATTTTCTATGTTAGAATTTAACACTTCAGTTTTTATTGAAATTTAAAAATAAACAAGGAAATGATAATTTTATTGGTTCATTCTTCTGCTTGGTCATTAATAGCACCATTTCATTTAACCATAACCAAGAATCCATGTCAGTGATTTGTCTAACAGTCACTGATCTGTCTAAAAATGGGTGAGTAAATATGTTTACAGATTCACTTTTTCCAAATAACATGTAACAACCAACATGCTGTTTTTCCAAATAACAAATAGGTTTAGAGTACATATGTATATGTACTCAAAAAACATTATACTTGGTGGCTGTGTTGTGTGGTAGAAGATAGCAGAGGTTTGGGGGCAGATAACCTGGGGCTGTATGACACTGAACAAGGTTATTTCATCTAGATAAACTCAATTACCTTATCTGTAAAACTGGAAATGATATGTACCCCCTCACAAAGGATGCTGGGAGAAATAAATAAACCTACAACTCAATAAAATTAGTATTAGAGATCCGTGGATCAACATAAACAATGTTTCCCTATCACTTATAGCTTTCTCCATTGCTTTTAAGTTTTTACAAATCTCTCTATGGTCAATGACATCATTTCTTGATTTTGTCCATAAAGACTGACATATGCTTATTAACTAATTTGAAAACTTACTACTGGGAGAGAGGGAATACCCTCCTTGGTCCTTGATTTTTTTAATCATGACAGGGCTTTCTACCTTCTAAGAACAGGGGTTTATATCTCCAAGTCTAGGTACTGTAAATCTACAACTAAGTACTGGTCCAGATTTTCAGGCTAAAAAACTTATCCAAAGTGTAAAAAATAGTTTTTTTGGGGGGGTTAAAAAAACAAACAACTTAATTTATTCTGTTTTGCAACATATCTATATGGTGATATGTGGGGAACCCAGGAATCAACATACACAATCATGGCATGTGAACTCATTTTCCTCTAAGAAACTCTGCATCTTATATTACATTGGTGCAAAAGTAATTGTGGCTTTTGCCATTTAAAAGTAATGGAGGCTGGGCGCGGTGGCTCACGCCTGTAATCCCAGCACTTCGAGAAAACAAGGCAGGCAGATCACGAGGTCAGGAGTTCGAGACCCACCTGGCCAACATAGTGAAACCCCATCTCTACTAAAAATACAAAAAGTTAGCGGGGCAAGGTGGCGGGTGCCTGTAATCCCAGCTACTCGGGAGACTTGAGGCAGGAGAATAACTTGAACCCGGGAGGTGGAGGTTGCAGTGAGCCAAGATCATGACCGATTACACTCCAGTCCAGGCGACAGTGCAAGACTCTGCCTCGAAAAAAAAAAAAAAAGGAATGGCATGGCAAAAATCGCAATTACTCTTGCACCAACCAAATATATATGTTCTACATTTTGCAGTATCTTTTAATTAGAATCCAATTTGATTTAATCACACTGTCAAAGCAGAAGTGTCTAAAATCCTGCAAGTATACCATGTTTTAGGGATCTAATAATCTATATCTGGGAAACCACTATTTCCCTACTTATTTTGCCAAATAGGAAAAAATAAAGAAACATAAAATATATTGTGACTCCACACTTGCAGATGTTTTAGTCAAAACTACAAATCGCTTTTGCATTTGTATATTAATTCCTCCTTTTAGAAATGGCTTAATTATTAGTCTATTGGTAAAAACAAATCAAAATATTTTTGAAATTTCATCTGAAACTGCTTAAGGTTCACCAATTGCAATACGACTGTTACCATCTGCACTCCACGTGGATACTCATTATTAATCATGATGTGTGAATGTAACTGCAAGCACTTAATAAGATCCCCTTTTGGCAAACTGAAAGGCCTTTCAGCTCTGGCATGTGTACATCAACCATGGCATTCAAGCCACAATATCAAAACCAATCACTGATTTGGCAATTACCCAACAAAGTATCCACATTATTGGGGAAAATATATTTTTAGAAAGCTGTTATCCCTACTCTCATAAAAATTACACAAATAATTTGAAATAGAGTGTGGTGGGGGTAGACAACTAAATGAACAAGAACCCAAAGGATCATAAACTGAAATAGTTACTGGGGTCAGGAAGATAATATTAATGAGAGAAGCAAGGTTGGCCTATTATAACAAGGAGTGGGTTTCGCTGCGGCAAAGTTACAACAACCTTCATCATTTAAGTAAAACAGCCACTAATTGAATAGCTTTAGCTGGCTTTTGCCAATTGGGAAAGGGGATGCACTATTATTAAATGGTCTATGTTCTTCAAACAAGCCAGAAATCCAATATTTATGTGAAATTTCCTGAAATACAAATAACAGCAACTAGGCAAATTTGGTGGAGCAAACAAAACCTTCATGGGATGGATTTGGCAAGTGGGCCACTACGTTGTGAGCTCTGCAGTAACTACTGTTGGAGAGAGGAAAAATATATCCACACCAGCTGGAAAAGTAAGGCCCTCTTTGTAGAGAGCATGGCATCTGGACTTAGCCTTAAAAGAAGGCAGGATGCCAGGAAACAAACAAACAAACAAACAAACAAAAACCAAAAAAACACTGGGTACAGTGGTTCACGCCTGTAATCCCAGCACTTTGGGAGGCTGAGGCGGGTGGATCACGAGGTCAAGAGATCGAGACCATCCTGGCAACATGGTGAAACCTCGTCTCTACTAAAAATACAAAAAGTAGCTGCGCATGGTGGCATGCGCGCCTGTAGTCCCAGCTACTCAGGAGGCTGAGGCAGGAGAATCACTTGAACCCAGGAGGCAGAGGCTGCAGTGAGAGGAGATCACGTCACTGCACCACTCCAGCCTGGTGACAGAACAAGACTCCATCACAGAAAGAAAAAAAAAAAAAAAAAAAAAAAAAAAGAAGGCAGGATGCAGACAGCTAAAGAAGGCCAAACAAAGGCAGGGATGTGTGGGGAACAGTGTTTCAGAATGGAAAGAGACTAACTTGATAAGAACAGAAAGTTGTAGTTGAGACTGGATACATGAGGAAGGGTCAGATAATAGGATGCCTTAAAACCAGGTCTAGAAAATCAGATTTGGTTGATGGGCAAAGTAGAATCACTGTCAGTAGATGTCTAAATTGAAAAGCCATGATAATGTCCAATGAAGGGTAAGGGCCTAAAAAAATGGTGCCATTTCAGGACATGCAATCAGAAACTCATCAGATGTAGGAAATCCCCAGAATCTGTGAGGAACTAATCTAGATGGCCTAAGAGTGGGTATTGCACTGACTGTATCCACAAAAACCTTGTGGAGGACTGGGTATGTGATGAGGACAGCTTTTTGTTAGACTCATCATCATCACATCCGCCTTAAATTTCCAGTTCACTGGCACGGAGGACAGAGGTTCTAATGGACAAAACCCATCCCTGAGAAGAGATTAAAATGGCCAACCGAATGTGTAGGGCGTCTTGAAAATTTGGGGGCCCTAAAGAACAAATCCCTTTTAAAAACAAAATTCTATCCATAAAACCTGGAAATTTAGTAATAATGATCCAAGATCTCAAAACATTGGAGCAATAAAAGTAGGAAAATGAAAACTGGACAAACAACCATTCTAGACAGTAGTCAAAACGATAAATTGTATATATAAATGGATTCAAGTGACTATAGTGTAATTTAGCCACAAAGTATGAGGTTCAAATGAACCCCCATAAAGGCAAAAACGGGAGTCAAATTGTAGTAACTCAACTTTTCTCTAAAGGTGAGGGAAAACCCATGAAAATTTTTAAGCAGGGGAAAGTGAGCTATGAGGGCTGGGCTGAAAATAAACTAAAAGGGATGCGCCCAGTACAGCCAGGATTTATGAAGATAAGCGTCACCACTCAACAAGACCAATGGCTTCCTTTGGTTTGGGAACCAGTGACAATGAACCACAGAGACCACATGCAGACTGTGATGTAGGATGCAGCCACTGGGAGGGAGGGGTAATTTAGCAATGCAGCTGTTAAGTTTATCTCTGTAATCACTGACAAAGCATGACAGCTTTGCACAGAAGAAAAAAACATCTTTCCTAATATTCCCTCCCCCCATAAGAATACTGGATCTCCTCATGGGGTAGTAAAACCAATCATTCCTTTTACACTCTACACACACACACACACACACACACACACACACACACACCATACTGAGAGAGAGAGAGAAAGAGAGAGAGAGACAGAGAGACATACACTCATGAGTGGGTGGCTGCCCACAAAGATTGGTCCTAATGCCTGTGAAACAGGAACTGGAAAACCTCTCCCATCCACACCCTATTTAAGACCTAAGAAAGTAAAGGCCAGTCTCTAATAAAGATGGTCCTAGTGGTTCCTTATAATTTGAGTCTTCCTTGACAGCAACACTTTGGAGTGAATTAGTTCAGAGAACACCAGACCTAAGAGAAAAGGAAGACTTGGCAACCCACATTCATTTTCCTACAGCAAGCATGAAAAAAAAGTATTAGTAAAATAAATATTAAGATATACCAGTAATGACTTTAAATAGTTGACCTTCCTTGCAGAACTTTCAGAAACATACACAAATAAAAATGGAATACTCAAGGAGTTGTAAACCACCAAGTTGGAAAGAAAAAAAAACAAAAAACAAAACTGACTTGGTGCCAGCCTACAGGTACTAGTGAACACAGAATTTCATGAATGAAGAGAATTTTATGTATGTCGGCCAAAACAAAATGATCTTATCACTAGAAAAAATTTTATGGTCTAAATAAAACCAAGGAAAAACATAATTATGATCATATTTATCTATTCAGGAGGTATCTTTTTAAAAAATTTGTTTTAATTACTGAAATGAAGAGAGTCGTCATATATGTAGCTTCAAAAATATTCAGCCAATTGTAACTCTGACATCTTTGGAAAGTTAAACACAACAGGTTGGTTTTGTTTTTCTGAAAGCTCTGGGAAAGCATCCATGATTAGTGTCAACCTGGCATTCAAATTTAGCTGGAATAAGGCTGTTACCAGTTTTTGTCTTCTATAGGCAATAGCCAGACTTTCTGTAAAAAATATGAAATATTTGTTTATGCATATCACCGTGGAAAGTTTTCCGCCTCTGGTTTCTGATGTAACTTTATCACGTTCTGTTCCTGCTGAGCGAGTACCAACAATGTTCCAATACTGATTAAAAATAAATAAAAGCAAAATAATGAGCCAAGGCTTTACTGGAACAGATATCATAAATAATTTGCTACCTGTCTTAACTTAGAAAATCACTGCCTGCTAACAAGTTTCTGATATATCTATTATTTTTAGCCACTTACTGAAAACCTACTATGTGCCAGGTATGGTACTAGAAAATAACAGGTGTTATCTCCCTCAATCCTCACAACAAATTTGCCAGGCAGAATTATTTGCTATTTTCTAAATGAAGAAAAGAAGGCTCAGGGCACAGTAATCTGCTCAAGTTCTCACAGTATCAAATGGCAGAGTAGGTTTTAGACACCAGGACCACCTGAAGTACATTGCACTGTTTCTTATAAAACACTAGAAATAGGCTTTGGCGAAAACTGGGCCATAACAAAAACCTGCTGCAAAATGAACTTACAAAGTTATTCTCAATTAACTAAAAACAAAGCTAGCATTTATTTCACTGATGTTTATCTCACTGCGTATATGACATTCTACTTCCATTCACAGTTTAAGTCCATCACTTACTTTGATATAAAATAAAAACACTTCACAAAATCGGGAGTCACAGCAGCTAGAGAACTCCTTCATGTACTGATGGAGTTGTAGTTACAGAGGGTGTCTGAAGGCCAGAATTCCTGAGTTTCTAATCCTGCTTGAGCAACTTACTTAATACTTGTATGCTCTGGTTCCTTCCTCTATACAGTGAGCTTTGCGGTGAGGGTTTAATGAGTTAAACCATGTAAAGCACTAAGAACAGTGCCTGGTGCACAGGAAGTACCCAATAAGGGTTACCCATCATCATCTTCATGCTCATCACACCAGGACTGGGGAAAATGATCAAGATTCACAGCATCCGACATGTTTACTGAGCTTTAAAAAGTGTGCAACTGCCCAAACGAATGCACAAATGAGCAAACAACTTTAACACCTTTGTGCTTATCATTATGAAATGATGAGAAGCAAAAGTTCACACCCACAGGGAACATTTATCTAGACATCAGTTTATAAACAAGGTAAGATATGCTAATGGTATAAGGAAACACCTCATAGCAGGGAGCGATTCAGATGAAGAAGGCCCGTAGGGGGTCAAAAAGGCGAATGAGCACAATTTGAGGGAAGACTTCTTGGTGGCCAAGGAGGGAGACCTTGAAGAGTACTGCTCAGAGAGGAGCAGTTAGAGCATTTTTAGTAATGGGGCCAGAAGGAACACAGGGAAATTGACTGTTAAGCAGAATTATCTGACTCTAATTGAACAAAGCTGACTACATATCACCAAGAGTTCAAGGACTGAACTTTACACATTTTTGTATATTGCCTGTCCAAAGCACAGTGCCTGGAACTAGCAAATAATAGTTAGATGGATGAAAGTATAGAAGGATGACAGGACAGCTTGATGGATGGATGTTGGGGGATAATAAAAGATAAGATAGGGTAGGTAAGGTTACTTCAGATTAGGAAGAGCTTGAACAAAGGGACAATGCAGTATAGATGATGGCACCATGCACTTACTCATCAGTCACACCCTCCTTTATGAATATTGTCTTTGTTCTACCCATCCATCCACCCATTCACCCACTGACCCCCTCATCCATCCATTTTTGAGAAGTAAACTGATTTTTGGGGGGAGGCCTAGTTAGGCTAAATTTCTCAGACCATGGGAAACACAGTTCAATGCGATGATGGGGACATAAAGCCTAACCCACAAAGCCTAACAGCCAAGGAAGGCGAGTTCTGTGGGCAAATGCCTCAAACCCTCTGCATTTGAATTTCTCCTCTGCAAAATGCGTAAGCCCTATCTCACAAGTTTGGGTGCAAACTATCAGACACAGATTATGTCAAAGGCCATAATTACATATTTAATAGAACATTATTATAGCAACTATTTGTGCCCTTTAACATAGGGAACGCTCAGAGGGCTGTGTTTGGGTTTTGTCACCTCTATACCCCTAGCCCTTCCCACTCAGTCTAGCATATAGCAGAGACCCTGGGAAGGTTTGGTAAACTGACTTAACATTTCAAACACATACCCTCTTGCCCTGTTAGGTCCCTACCCCAGCCTATCTCTTCCCCAGGCTTGTCCTTTCTAGTCACCTCCACGCACAGTCAACCAAGCACCCATGCAGGGTGAGGCCATCCCAAAGCGCTTTCAAACTGTGCTCTAGTCCGACTCCTGCATCCATGCTGCGTGGAACTCTTCTCCCCTGGCAGGAGCTCCAGCTACACGCATCAAGCAATCAGTGCTAGGTGCTCCTGCTAATTAATGCAAATATGGGAAGCTTATCTCCTCAGCCATGCTGGAAGCTGCTTGAGGCTTTTCATCTGTGGCTTTTTTCTGATAAAGCTGAGGCTTTTAATCTATTTCTAACCTTTCTGGTTCCAGTATTTGACTTCGAGGGCACCATTCCTCAATTTGGGTCCCCAGAACTCACTCCTTAGGGTAATTCCATTCTTTTACAAGAGCTGATATTAAAAAAAAAAAAAATTCCTTGTTGAAACAACTGTTAATAAAGAGGATATCTTTGAGAATATAAACCTCCCTGCAAATGCTTATCAGGACATGTTTTATTTGGAGGCGCAGTGTCCTACCTGCAGCTGTGCATTTACAGAGCACTGCCAGCTCTTACACATTAACTCTAAGAGGGAAAAGGGCATTCAGAAGTCTGGACTGCATATCCATTAAACAAATGTGTTAATCACCTTCAAGACCCTAAGCAGGGCAGTGTAGAGGACCCAGAGACAAATGTGAAGGAGACTCTGTCCTCCAAGAATTTAAAATGTACTAGGCAAGGGCACTATGGGAAGAAGATGGCATCTGTACTATGGTAAAACCACTGTGGAAGCACAGGTAATCTGCCCCAGTAATCTGGTCAATGCAAGATGTTCACAGCAGCATTACTTATAGAAGGAAAGAAGGGAGGGAAGGACAAATAACAATGTCCAATGATGGGAGATGGTTAAGCAAATTATGATAAATTCACAGAATGAAACTGTGTATAACCATTAAAAATTATACTTACCAAGGCTGGGCGCGGTGGCTCATGCTTGTAATCCCAGCACTTTGGGAGGCCAAGGCAGGTGGATCACGAGGTCGGGAGACCGAGACCACCCTGGCTAACACAGTGAAACCTTGTCTCTACTAAAAATACAAAAAATTAGCTGGGCGTGGTGGCACACGCCTGTAGTCCCAGGTACTCGGGAAGCTGAGGCAGGAGAATCACTTGAACCCGGGAGGCATAGGTTGCAGTGAGCCAAGTTGGTGCCACGGCACTCCAGCCTGGGCGACAGAGCAAGACTCCATCTCAAAACAAAAAACAAAAACAAACAAAAAAAAAAACTATACTTACCAAGACTATGTAAATAACATGGGAAAATGGGTATGTTATAATGAATAAGAAGGCGTCAGACTAACACTATTAAACAAAAACATGCACAGAAAAAGCATCAGTGTGTTCACAGTAAGAATGTGGCCATTTTTTCCTTCTTCCTATGTTTTGTATTTTCCAAAGTATGTGTGTTACTTTTACATGAGAATATTCTTTAAAATTTATTTTTAAACAGCGTATTCAAAGGGCACAAGAATATCATATATTCAAATTTTAGAGAATACCCCAAATCCTTAGGGAGGCAGCTACCTTGCAGACTGGTCCAAACTTTAAGAATGGAAAAGACTGGGGAGGCGAAGACTGGAAGGCTTCATACTTTAAAATGATGGCCCTAAGTCAGCTGTTTATAACTTAGCACATACCATTCTCGAAGAAAGGATGTTATAAAGAGTGGTTATATTCCCAGGGTAGCCCATACAGCCAGGTAAACTCTCAAATCACCTGAAGTATCTTACTTGTATCCACAATCCTTTAGCTGGGGCTGGCTGTTTTAGAATTCATACTTTTGTAGATTTCAGAAAGAAATTACAGTATACTTATTGTTTATTATACAACATACCCCACAGGGACTAGTGTAGAACTCCATTATCAGATTCTGGTAACACAGTTTTTAAATATCCAGTACGTTTCTAGTTTAGCTTCTAAAAGCCTCATGAAACAAAATTTCATGTCAAAACTCTTAACATTTGGAATTCAGAACAGCAAATAACAGTGGACCTATAATTGCACGTACCCCATTGTACATGGTCATTTATCTAAGCGCTCTTCCTGGTACTCGACAGTTGGCAACGGCCCGAGAGGTGTCATATTCATCTTTGTATCTCCAATACTAGCACAGCAATAGCAACATAAAAGGGTGGTCCATAAATATCTGCAGAATGAATAAATGAAATATAATACTGAATCTATTTGCCAGCCACTTCATACTCCTCACAGCCCTCTGCACTTCTCTTAAGGCTCGCATATTCTACTTTGGATTAGATGTCATATAACTGTGCTACTCCGCCTCCTCACATTCCTTCCAACTTTAAGTCCTTCAAGGGCAGGGATGGTTCAGGTGAAACAGCAAGGCCTACAACAGTAGCCCATATTCCCTCACATGAAATGTTCAGAACTCGTTAAGCAAAGACACCAGATTCTAACTTGGGATGCCCAGAATACTTTCTCTAACCCTTACCTAGAGATCCAAGATTCCTCTTTTCTAACTGTAGGATCCAAACCTTCCTGGAAAGAGGAGTGACCCTGAACCAGGGCTATTATGGTGCCTGAGTCTAGCCTAGTCGACATGGGGATGTGTGCCTGATTTCATAAAGAACCCCTTAAATCCTTCCAGCCTTCCCTCATTCCAGTGGTGGTCATTCTTCTCAGGCTGCAGTCACATTTATAAAGCTTTTCAAAATGCCAAACCACCTCTACCAATTGCAAATCACTTGCTGAACTTTATCTGTGGACTATTTCCTTGCAGATGCTCTGAGGCATGACAAATCCTTAACAGGATAATGATGATACTCCTCCTTCCTCTCCTCATGCCTGGTACTACAGGATCAATTTTAGTACCGTATCACACAGACTTTCCCCTCCTTGCTTTGATATGCTTTAAAGCCACTGAGATGTGGCTTGGGTTAAAGGGAGTAAGGATTTTAAGGGTTCATGCATTCAATGTGCCATTCCAATGAAGACCTTCACAAGTAGGAGCTACTCCTCTTCTAAAACCAAATAATGCTTTACAGGCTAAGGAACAGAAAAGACGAGTTGCCAAGTTATACCATTTCAGGAATCCAGTTATCTTGACTTTTCCCCTGAGGCTTGCCTCTGCTGCAGCTAAAAATGAATCTGCTCAGATTCTTGTATATATTCACATACCCCTCCAGCCAAAAAATGAAGAAAACTGGTATGTAAATGGAAACATTACAGAACACTCTTAGAATGTGAATGTCAAATTCTCCTAGTGTCGAAAAATCTCAGAGATAAAACCAGGTTTGACACCCAAAGAAAAATGCTGGAGCCAGAAATAGACACTTGCTAAAGTATACATTCTAAGCATATTAATTCCAGGAAAAATAATTCTGTAAGACCTAGGCCAGACAGCTGCTTGTTCATCTGCCCCTCATCCTTGCCTCCACATGTCCTTGGGACTTACTGTCCTCACTAAGGGGAAAGGTCTGCTGAAAGTCATCTCCTGCCACTTCCCTCTGAGATGCCTCAAGAAAGAAAAACAGAAGGTGTGTGATGGAGACACTGACAAAACAATAATACTTATTACCTTCCTATCTCCCTCAGGGTTTCGGTGAGAAGAGAGATGAGGGGAGGAGGGAAAAGAAGAGGGGAAAAGGAAGGGGAAGAGGAGGCTGATAAGTTTGACGAGTGAGTGAGAAAGTAAAGGGACATAAATGAGTGGACTGAATAAATATGTTTCATACATACCTTGAAAAAGGCAACCAAAGTCCCCATTCACATAGCAAGGAGAGAGATTCACTCTTGCTTATATTTCCAGGCATGAATTATTTATTTCATTAGATCCCAAGATGCCATATGTTAAAGTTCTCCAAACTGTGGAAACTTGACAACTCTTCGGCTCCCTAAAACGCCATTTATTACATTTCACTGCTTACGAGGGGACACTGAGGAAAGGTAATGTGCACGTATTCCGTAAAAACTGCAGCTGCGCCTGATGCTTGTCTATTCACTGTGAGGGACCAGACCATCCTCAAGCCCCAAGTGAGCCTCCCTTTCTTTAAAATGCTTTCCTAAAAGCTGCTGGAGAGGAGCTGAACTGAGAACTGAACTCGAAACTGAAGAATTTGAGTTTTATTTCCTACCCTTTAGCTTCCTGCCCCTACTACCCTTTTGGATGCTATTAAAAATCTATAAAGAGCAGACTATAGGGAAAAAGAAAAGAAAGGCAAAAAACAAAGTCTGAATCATGCATACACGCATTCATTCACTTAACATGTATGAAGGACCAACACATGCCAGACAATGGGGCTACAATGGTGAAGAAGACTCTTTCTAGATCCTCAGGAATCTTACAGCCTTGTCTGCGCATGTGGGTAATAAGATGTGCAGTTAAGATGGTGTGATCAGCTTTGTTAACAGAAGTATGAATAAAATATGAATGAGGAACCAATTATCTGCCTGCCCCCCAATCCCATCCCAGAGGGAAGGCTTTACAAAGCAGGGGTCCTTTGAGTTGGGCTTTACAGAAGAGGAAGTGAATGATTAGTAAACCAAGGGTAGGAGGAGGGAAATGGCTTGCTCTTCCAGGCTCTGAATCAGAAACAACCACGAAACTTTCCAAGTTTATTGTTCAAGAGGTGATTATTGCAGAACGCCATTCCTGGTCCAGATTATTCTCTACTATAATTGTCTCACGTTCCCTGTTGTGCACCTACACAAATGCAATGGCAGAAATGGAGGATTTCTCTCATATCTCAATGTGGAAAATTTAGATGGTGAAAAGGAAAAAAAAAGCAAGCTCCCAACTTCTTGGAATTTTAAGACCTCAGTTCAAAACTGCTACTGATTTTACTGTGTGACTCTAGGCATGTCACATAACCTCTCTGTGCTTCAGTTTTATTACCTGTAAAGCAGAGATGAGATGATCTCACAAGACTGTTCTGTGAACAGAGAAAAGGATCTATATAAAAACATTTTAAAACTCGAATGTACTATTATTTTCATCGGCAATCATGCCACCTTTATTCAGTTAGCAGCTCAGTCTGGGAAGCCACTGCTCAAGATACTTGGCAAGTATTAAACAGTGAGAAAATCAGCCCTAATTGGCAGCCCTGCTTAACGACTGACATTCAAATGACTCCAGAAAAATACTCTTGTTCCTAAGCTTAAAGTCTACAGAATTGCCCTTTCTTTTCCAAAGCTTGCTTTTCACACTGCACATAAATATCTGGGGATCTCTTTAAAATACAGATTCTGATTCAGCAGGTCTGACGAGGAGGCTCAGATTCAGCATTCTGAAGATGCTCCCAGGTCATACTGATGCTGCTGGTCCCCATTCCCCAGTGTGAGTAGCAAAAAATGGATTCACCAAGGCTTTCCAAATCAATAAGTGGTTGCCCCACCAGGTAAGACTGGATTCAATCACCCAACTGAGGCAGCATTTTAATTTCTGGCTCTTTTCTAACTTCCAACATCCATCGCTCATGCCCCAGCAAACCACTTCCTGAAACCAAACTGCCTCATGACATATTAAATCAGCCTTCAGTCACAGAGGTGACAAGACGTGCTCAGGCTCAACCCAGCTTAGAATGACAGTACAAGGTCCAATTCTGACAGCAGGGCCAAAAGTAGTAAGTAAGGATTCCCCCACCCCCACCACAATCAGCCCCAGAGCTGGCTGGAGGGATTTCCAAATCAGCTTTGCACACTATAGCCTCAAGGGTCACCATCTACCACTCAACAATGGGTCATTTTCTTTAGATTATTTTCACAAATGACCATCTATCTCATGAGGCTACAAATGTTTCTTGTGTGAAGGACCCCATGTCCCCTATTGTCCAGCACAAGGCTAGGTGCTCAAATATCTGTAAAAAATAAGTACAAAGGGAGAAAAGAAATCAATGACTCACCAACATTTACTGAATGTGCACCATGTGCCTTGCAATGGCCTGGCTGCTGAGGGAGCAACAATGAATAAAACAGACTTTCCTCCTGCCACTAATGCAATTTGAGCCTCTATGTAAGAGCCAAATACTCTGCTAATGTTTTACCTACATTATCACACTTCTCAATTCTCACAATAATCTTACGTAATAGGTATTATACCCACATTTTGCAGATGAGAAAATGGGACAAAACAAGCAACGTTCCATACGAAGAAACAATGGCTGGTATACTAAGTCTTCTCCGTTAATCAACCAGAGAGAGAGGGCATTTCCATCCAATAACCAAAATGAACTATAGCCTTTCAACCACTTTCACCACAAGAACAGTTCTGTGACTTGGAACTAGTTCTCGATGTACTCATAAGACTTTCGAGGTTACTTACATGAAGTATTTGGTAATGAGTTCTGAATGAGGGTAATGCCACGGAGCGTCAGAAAGGTGACACTGATTTCCCCTGGTGTACAGTCACCTCCTCTGTATCCCATAAAGCCCAGCCTTCACTCTGGCCATTCAACATATACAGGTGAGAAGTGTGATACAGTAGAAATAACATGAGCTGGACAGACCTGGGTTTGAATCCCAGATCGACTACATGTCCAGCTGCACAGTGACCTTTAACTCTCTCTGCACCTACACAATGGGGACAGCAATAGCACCTTCATGCAGTCAGAAAGATGAATGAGATAATACATCTAAAGTATGTTTAAGTGTCCAACACACAGTGGACTTACACAAATCTAAGTTCTCTTCTCCCTTACTGGGGTTACTGCTTTGCTCCTGCAGTGGGAAAAGCATCAAGAGTCACAAGTCTTTCTCTTGGCTAATGAAAACAGAGAATTATTTTAACTCCAGTAAAGTCAACAAAAGGCCAATTCTAGCAGCCATTTAAAGTCACAGTCCAATTACTGAGGCAAATTACAAATGACTCTTTGGTTTAACTTGGAAGAAAACAGAAGCCATTAAAAAGATAGTAAGATGCCTTCTTTTTAAAATTAACATGTCTGGAAGTAAAAAAGATGAACAAAGCCAATTTACAGGAATGTGGACAGGGTTGTTGGATTAACAGCGAGAGGAATAATAAAAATGTCCTAGGCTGGGAGCAGTGGTTCACATCTGTAATCCCAGTGCTTTGGGAGGCTGAGGTGGGAGGATTGCTTGAGGCCAGGAGTTCAAGACCAGCCTGGGCAATATAGCGCAACCCAGTCTCTACAAAATAATAAATAAATGAATAAACATTAAAAATTTAGCCAGGTGTGGTGGCATGCACCTGGAGTCCTAGCTACTTGGGAGGCTGAGAAAGGAGAATCACTTGAGCTCAGAAGTTCAAGGCTACAGTGAGCCATGATCACACCACTGCACTCCAGCCTAGGCAACAGAGCAAGACTGTCTCACAAAGAAAAGTCCTAAATTCTCTCCCAGATAAGTTTAAAACTCTGAAGATAGTAACTCTTTTTTTTTTTTCTTCAAAGACTATCACATTGATTAGCCAGGAGCCACCAATGGAAAGAGCAGTAGTTCCTGAATCAAGACAGAGAGCTAGGTTCAAGTCAGTTCTGGCACTTACTGGCTGTATGACAAAAATCCTTCACTTCACTTTCCACAGCTGTAAAACAGGGATACGGGATAATAATACCTAGTTATTGTGAGGTTTATATGAGATAATGTTTATGAAACATCTAGCAAAAAGTAAGCACACAATGTAGCTGTTAATTACATGTGACTGATGCTGGAAGGCCTTAACCCAGGAGCAGAAAAGCTTTGCAGAAAGCTTTTACCATAAGCTGCAACTGTATGATGTGCATGAGGTGGACTTAATGCTGGGCTCTAACTTGGGCTGCCACTGGTTTCAGAAAGGTTCCTAAAAATAGCATGAAGCTGTGGCACAAGATTTTTTTTTTCCTATCAATCCCTAACTAGGATTCATGGAGATATCAGAAATCTTTTTGGACCAGATCTTAGCTATGCTACATTTCAAAGTTAAATCTTAAGTATAGGAGCTGCGCTATATTAAAAAGGAAACAAAAAAATTTATGATATCCCATCATCTTTGCCTCTCAAAGCCCCTTCCTTTTAGCACCCAGAATGCCACCCAATTAAAGGGATGTCTAGATTCTTGTGTAATGAGTAAAAAGCCTGCCTTGCTCACCTCTGAAACCCCAGCCAAGTGGAATTTACTGGGAACTGGTCACACTTGTCAGCTGCATAGTGACCTTTAACTCTCTCTGCACCTAGCTCATCACTGTTCAGAAGAAACAGAGACCTAGGGAGGCCCGACCTTCCTTATGAGTCTTGCTTAGGGTACTAGCTTCTGAAAGGACAAGACAGTCCCCACTCTGGGGATGATGTTTCTTGCTAAACAGAGGTTTACCTGGTTGAACACCAGAAAAAGTAGATGTTTGCATTTGGGTGCTTCTCTGTATGAAGGACAGGTATTCTCTGTTCATGAGAGTCACCTCAGCTCCACGAAAACCTTGTTCAACAAAGGCACACAGAGCTCGGGCCACTGGAGGAAGCAGCAAGCACCCTGATGTCATGCTTACTCCAGGGCAAAACTCTGTGGAGGGATTGGTAAGCAGGGGTCCCTGTGCTATTTAAATTATCTCCACCTGCTACTTCCCTTTTTTTTTTTTTTTTTCCCATTTGCTAAGCCCATGTTTTGCCCTGCTGAGGAGCAGCTAGAGATTTATCATTCATTACATGATACTTCCTTCTGGCCCTCACATATTTAACCTCCTTCAACCTCAGATCCTGCATCAAGGAAGAATTCACAGCTCTGTGCCACAGAATTAATTTCTTCTGGCTTTTCCCCCTTTCTTTTTAACCATTCATCCAGCTCTACAGAGCACAAGGCCGACTACAGAATTAGTTTAAAAGAAAAAAAAAAAATTAAGCTACTTTCCAAGCAGGTAAAATTTGCTTTTACATATTTTCTATCTCTTTCTCTGCTTCAGGCCCTTGTAAACATCTAAGGCTGAAGCCCTCTCCCTGGCCAGGGGTTCTTATTTACTTTTTCACAGTCTGGTAGCTTTCAAGTTTAACTGTCTTTTTTGGGGGGCTAAGTGGATGAGAGAGGTAAGAGTTCCCACCTATTAGAAGGGCAGAGACAAAGAATCCCACACTCCTGAAATTTCATTAAAAAACTGATACCAGGGCAACTGATGGTAGACAGCTGTGTGGGGGGTTAAATCTATGGTTTGGGAAACTGTAGTAAAAGGACAGCGAATAATAATCTAATTTAAGCATAGTTACCATCAACTATGGGCCAGGCGCTGCACTGGTTTTTAAAAAATATATTATCTTTTAAAATCTGAAGTCTAATTGTGGTTGTCCCACTGCCTGTGGGAGATTAGTTCGTCTCCCCCCATGCATCAAAATCTGTGTATACTCAAGTCCCGTAGTCGGCCCTGCAGAACCTGAGGGTACAGAAAGTCAACCTTCCTTATAAGTAGGTTTTGCATCCTGCAAATACTGCATTTTCAATCCACGTTTGGCTGAAGAAAATCCACATATAAGTGGACCAGCACAGTTCACACCTGTGGCTGTTCAAGGGTCAACTAAGTATGACTGCTCCTATTTCACTGATGAGAAAATGAAGGCCTTGCATGCCCAGTGGCCAAGAAGCAGACCTGGGACTCAAACCCAATCTGATTCCACAGCCCAGGCTTCCACCTGCTGGCCTGTAATCTACAGAAGTGCAGGACGACTATCTCCCATCACAATAAAACCCCCAGAACCTCTCAGAGTCCTACTGCTCCCTGCCACTCACCAAGTGGCTTAAGAAGGGGGAATTTAGGTTCTGAGTCCACTGCTGTCAGAGACAAAGAAAACAAAGCGGGGGGGCGGGGAGCAGAGGTAGAGCTGGAAGACAATGTTCACACTGTTCCTTCTGGAGAGGCCCATTGCCTTAAAGGAAGGGTGCACCCAAAATCAGCCTTGATTTATTTAACTGCCACATTTTAGACTAACTCACTGCTGCTGAAAAGGAGTGGGAAAAGTAAAACTGGCAAAGTGACATGCTCTTGTAGCTAAATTGGCCAGAGAGGCCATTGTCTGGCCCAAAGAATCACATAACTGGGAGCTGAAACATCTGGGTTCCAGTCCCAATTCTCTGTGGGAGTCCAGGCAAATCACTTCCCTTCTTTGAATCCCCATGTCTTCATTGCTAAACATGGGTGTTGGATGGGATAAAACTTAAGGAATCATTCTGCTCTAACATTTTTGGCCTCTAGGGTGCAAAATAAATGACAAATAGCTAGTTGACAAGTATGGATACTGCACAACCAATCCAACACTTTAGCCCAGTGTCTGGGAGCCAAGGGAAGCATGAGAAACCTGTAATGGTGTCCATATCCACAAACATGCTTTGATTAGTAGGAAGCTAATACACATCTTTTCAACATGATGTACAACATAGATGAAGACTCCAAATGGCAGACAGGCAGGACAAGCCCTCATTTTCAAGGGTTGAAAATCACTCCTGCCCTGAGACAGAAGGCATGGGTTAAATATTTCCTGAATCCCTATCTTTGCTAGCTCCATCCCATCTCCTCTTCGAGGCCAGGCCACCAATAGCTCTCACTGGGTCATGTCTACAAACACTGTTACCTTTCATTTATGCTTTCCCTCTCCAATCCATTCTCCACACTGCAGTCACAATGGTCCTTCTAAAAAGCAAATCAGAGCATGCCAATCCTTTGCTTCAAACCCTAAAGGCTTTCCATGCCTTTCCAAGATAAGCCCCCCATCTTTCCAGGCTCATTACCGTTCTTGTTCCCCATTATCCTTTAGCTATAACATACATCTTTTACTTCCTCAAAAGTGGCAGGTTCTCTCCCACCTCTATCCCTCTGATCTCAGTTGAGGTGCCACTTCCTCTGGACATCCTTCTTTGACTCGGGAGACAAGGCTGGGTGCCCTGCCATGGTCTCCCAGAACCTCTGCACTAACTCCATCACAGCACTGACCACACTCCACTGTAAACTCCTGTTTATTCATATGTCTGCCCGACCAGATTACAGGTATTAGGGCGGCAGAAAACACATCTGTCTTGTAGTCAATTGCATCCTAGCAGCTAGCAAAGTGCTTGGAACATAGCATGTACTTTCGAAACACAAATAAACAAACATCCTTATTAACGAAATGAATGGCCTCTTACCTAAGAGGACTGTGGAAAGTGGGTAAAGAAGACAAGCTAAATGGGGAGGTGAAAAAAGGGAAGGAATAAGCTGGATGCCCGTGTGTCCGTGCCTCTGCAGGTCTGCCCAGAGGCTAGGATGAGTACACAAGCGGATAACAGTGGCAACGACAGAGGCTGTGAAGCGTTCAAGGGCAAGCTGTGCCCTGTGCTTTGTGCAGATGTGCCCACTCTACATTCTGTGGAGCCCAGGGAAACTGAAAAAAACAGTTACTTATGTTTCTAATGTTTGGAGATGTTGGCAACAGAACACTGTTTTAATGCTACACGTATGCACAGGGAATACAAAAGGTAAAAAAGTAGGTCACAAATAAACTCAGCAATACTAGTAACTGGACATCACTAACAAATTGTGTCTACTGCCGTCTTGGTTGTATGCCCAACACTATATGGCACAGTACCTTTCTCATCCTCATCCCCTTTTTAAAGGATGCATCTCCATGCAGGCTGTCAGCTAGGAAACGATGATATACATGTTTAGTTGCTATACTATTGAGATGGATTCTGCTATCATTCTCCATAAATTGTGACAAGATAGAGAGACTAAGTGTTGCAATTCAACAGTAAGGAAAAATGCAAAATAATTTAGAATTTAAAGAAACAGAGAGATCAAGAAGACAAAAATCAGCAGAAACTTTCCAGCACAGAGTTAAGTGAGTTCAAAATCCAAAGGAATAACAACAAAGGCAATTCAGAGGAGAAAAATAAATTCCTATAAAAATATATTTTAAAACATTACATTTCAAGATCAGAAATAATGTGCTTCAGAGAAACAATGAAAAACATCAAGATAAAATAGTATAAATAGATGAGGTGGCTATTTTCTTCATACAAATCTTCGTGGTGGACTGGAAAACCACTAAGGGATGGAGGGACTGTGAAATGAGCCACATATGCAGGATATGGAAGTTAATTAAACAAGGAGTCAGGCAGTTTCTTGAAAAGCAATTTAGCCAAAACAAAAGACGAAAAACAAACAAGCTATTAACACATACAGTTTCTTGGCCAAACAAGAAGTAAAAGAAAAATACACACACACACACACACACACACACACACACACACACACAGAGAGAGAGAGAGAGAGAGAGAGAGAGAGAGAGCGAGCGAGCGAGCAGTCAATACAAAAGGCTTCTAAGGTCCCAGAATTTCACAGTGATCAGGCCATGAGAATGGGGAACAACAGATAAGGCTTTCAACCTTAAGTGTGGTAATTTAAAATCAAACCAAACAAGACATCTAAATGAATTCACTCTGTCACATGTTTCTTCTTTTAATAAGAGGATAATATTTTTACACTACTGCTGTTTTTTAATTTTTTCAAGGTAAAAACTCTCTGCCTTGTGTAGCTGGTATAACCATATTGTGGAAGTTCTCAGTTCTAGCAGCACACTGGAATCACCTGGCAGCTTTAAAACACTGCTGCCTAGACCCCTCCCCCAGAGTTTCTGATTTAATTGTCTAGGATGTGGCCTAGATTTTTAAGAGTTTCTAGCATGATTCTAACACACAGCCAAGGTAGAGAACCACAGTCACATCATTTCTTAGGCTAATAGTTCTCAACAGATAATGAAGTTGAAAGAACCTGAACTGGATTGGGAGATCAGAAAGCTGCACATTAATTTCTAAAAATAAAACATCTTTTTCTGCTTTATTACCTCCCTCCTTTCTAAACAACTGGATTCTTGAAAGCCCAGCACTGGGCTGGCTTCCTTTGGCCAAGAAAGAAGGAAGGAGACATCATCCAAATCTTTATCTGCTGCTCTCTGGACCAAGTTTCAGCAAAAGCACATCTGTCACAATGATGATTAATCTCTAAGAAGGGGGGCTCCCTGCACTTAAGGACCAGCAGAGGCCCTCCCTCATTGCCATCCTATGTCTGGAAGGCACATATTGCTATCGCTAAATCAAAACCTAGGCTGACAAAGCCATAATGGGGCTTCTTGGTGGAGAAATTCATTCCCTATGATGCATTTAAGGAGATGATGCCAAAAAGTCCATTAGTTCAGATGGTGTATGGGGACCCAGCATAAGCAGAGGACATGAGAAATAGTACTTTATATTTTATCCAGACTATCCTAAAGATAAGTGGCTGGCATAACCCATTAGGCTACCTTCCCCCACCTCTTAACTATTAAATGACATGTTGTACCAATGCCTGCTCTTTGAGAAAACCTCCTGCTTTCTTTATGTACACTGAACATGGCAGCCTCCTTTATTCCACCCACAAACAAAACAGTGTGTTCTGAGAAACGATGGAAATCCTGAGGTGACTCTAATCCACATACACTGCTGCTCCTTCTGTTACCTAGTAGCATTTTAATGTAAATTGTGTTCTAGAATGCTCTAAAGGCATGGACTTCTGTAGCATGTTGTGTTCTCTGCCTTGTGCTTGGCATATAGCTGCACTCCATATATAGTGGTTGAATGAATGAAAAAAGTCTGCCTATCTGAATAATCATGGCAGTGGTGTTTTTTTCTTGCTCTATTTCTTTATATATTGATTAAATATAAATCACATGTTCACTACCCAAAAAACCCCAATTGTCCTTAAACTCTAGCAACCAGAAATAACTAATGTAACCAGAAATATATCCTACAATATTTCCTTATAGGTACATAAAATGGGATCATCCTTTCTGTGTTGTTTTATATCATGCTGTTTTCCAGTTAATACAACACGACTGTCTTTCCATGTCAACAGATATGCATATGCATTGTTGTTGAGAGTATCTATTCGTAGATTTCATTAATGTTTACCACTAAGGATGTCTCATTCTTTCTGCAATTCTAAGTAAAGCTTGCATACAGGATAATCTTCAAAGAAGTAGAATGACTGGGTCAGAGTTGTAATGAGAAGACTGTAACCTCCACGATGGCAGGGGTGTCCCCAAAATCTAGAGCCCAGAGCCTGCTACTTGGTAAGTACTCAACTACTAATATTCTCTGTGCTTTAAGAGTTAGCATTCCAAAAGGAGAGAAAGACAGGTAAATAGATAATCTGCCTACAGCTATAGTCTAACATTAGGTATAATATCTGCATGCATGCAAAGACTCATACATTCTCTCATTTGCACAAATATTTGAAAAACCATGTACAACTTTTCACCTTAATCAGTAAAAAGGCATTGATTGTCCAGTCTTTTATAAGAAAATTCTTGAAAGATTAAATAAACACAATGGAAACCAGCCAGGGCTGCTAAAAGAATAAATATTTTAGAAGGGGGTGAGTATGTCTATGGTGTGTACTGGAGGTTAAGGGGCTCGTTTTTTCACAGACACAGAAAATGTGGCACTGTGAACAGCTATCTCAAAGGCAGAAAGAGATGAGAGAGAAATGCTAAAAATGAAGAGGCAAAACTCCAAACAAATAAAAATTCTGGCTTTTAAACCAACACGGCCAGCTGTTCTTCATGGCAAACAGGAAGAACAGATAGAGAGGGCAGGCCTCTAATGGGCACTGAAAAGAACAACCAAGTTCTTTATCCAGATCAGCTGCCATCTGCTGGGAGCACTAGATTAATGGCCATAGAAAGAAGGCCAAAGGTGGCAGCCAAGCCCTGGAGAGACACCAGCTGAGGGGGAGGGGCACGTGGGGACATCTCAAGTTTCATTAGCTTCATTAAACAAACGGTTCTCTGGAGAAAAGAGGCTTTTGGTTCTGGGGCTAGGAGGAGCTGAATCACCAGAGGACATGTACCAATGTACCTTTATCTTCTGGTGCAATCACTTCTAAGGGGAGAAAACTATGAAGAAATAAGAACTCCAGAAGACAATCAGATGGAAAGTTCTTCTTCCTGTGGAAAGATCGTGTCTTCTCCTTCTTTGCTGTTTCTACAACATTGTAAGACCTGGTATGTACTCAAGAGAACTGAAATAAAAACAATTACAAGAAATTTAAGTCACCACGGGAAAAAAAAGAGTACTCTGGTTTTTGTTTGGTTAAAAACCAAAGAATCCATACCTAAGGCAGAAGGGAAAACCACAAACACCTGGAGGTGCCTGTGTATGCTGAGCCTGGAGACAGAGGCTCCAGGTCTGAATCCTGGCTTTGGCCATTTACTAGCAGAATGACAGGAAGCATGCTAACATCTTAGACTGTTTCTTCAGCTACAAAATGGAATTTGTATTACACCTTGCTCCTGGGGTTGCTGTAAGGCTGAGATTCTCCAACTATTCTAGCACAGCAAAACTATAAGTGTATGCCTAAAATACTTTCTTTATACTATTTAAGATATATTTAGACTAGGGCTTTCTCAACCTCAAGCATTACTGATATTCTGAACTGGATGACTCTTTGTTGCGGGGGTCTCCTGTGTACTGCAGGGTGTTTAGTAGCATCTTTGCCCTCTGTCAACTAATTGCCAGTATCCCCTCTACCACTTAGTTGGTGACCAAAAAATGTTTCCAGAGAAGTAATCAAGATGTCCTTCATTACCTGAAAGGATAAACAAACTGTAGTGCTTCTGGACAATGGAATATTATTTTTATATTATTATATAAAAAGAAATGACCTATCAAGCTGGGAAAAGACATGGAGGAACCTTAAATGCGTACTGCTAAGTGAAAAAAGTCAATCTGAAAAGGCTACATACTTTACTTTATGACTCTGACTATATGACATTCTGAAAAAGGCAAAACTATGTAGACAGCAAAAAGATCAGTGGTTGCCAGGGGTTTAGGATGAGGGAAGGAGAGACGACTAGGTGGACCACAGGAGATTTTTAGTGCTGCTAAAACTACTCTGATACAGTAACAGAGGATACATATCATCGCACATTTGTCAAATCCCTAGAATGTACAACATAGAGTGAACTACACTATGAACTTACATTAGTGTGGCACCCTTGTCATGGTTAATGAATCAGTATCAATACATTATTATTAACTAATGTAAGATGTTATTACCTAATTATTAACTAATGGAAGATGTTAACAATAGGGAAAACCACAGTGGCAATGGTAGCAAAATGAGACGGTACATAAGAACTCTGGACTTTTGGCTCGATTTTTCTGTAAATTTAAAACTGCTCTTTAAAAAAAAACTCTACAAATTGAATCATTCCATCTCCACTGAGAAACATGGATTAATGGAGTAGTCTTTTTTGCCTTTTTGGCTTAAAAAAAGAAACGGCTCCTAGATCTTATGTTAGAACTGATTATATATTATTTTTTTATACTGCCCGGAAAAGAACGCCTTGTATATTTTATGTTTCTGTTCCAGTTCTAAGTAGATATGAACACCTAATATCCAAAGAGTCATCTTTGAAAGTCTGACACATTCACCCTAAAAAAAGGAACATCATTTCCCCCCTCAATTGTTCTCTAAGTCTTCTATTGTAATACTAATATATTGAAAGAATAAAGATAAAAACAGTTTTAACCTATGAACCTGGTCAAGTCTAGCAGAGGCTCAAAGCCAACCTTCACGCATCTGCACTCCCTGAAACACGCTGTCCAATTTACGTTTACACAACCAATAGTCTTCTATGCATCTGCCCACCCCAGTGACAGTGGTTGTATGTGACAATCTCATGTTTAATTTCAACCTTGTTCAAATGTGTGATGTTTTCAATTTTACACAGGAAGTACATCACCAACTAAATGATGATCTCACCTAAACTACTTACTTCAACAGCCTCTTAACTGGGCACCCTCTTTCCACCTCATACTCTCACAATCTATTTTCCAGAGCAGCCAGAGGGATCCGTTTTAAGTGTAAATATGGTAATTCAGTGCTGCTTGTCTTTCTCAAAATTACAAAACAAAACAAACAAATGGAAAACCCAAAACAACAAAACTCCAAAGACTCCCTATTATTTAGAGTAAAAGCCAAAGTCTTGACAGCAGTCAGCAGGCCATGCATAATCTGGCTCCTGCCACCTTTCCAACCTCTTCTTCCTCACACGCTCTACACCTTGGCCACATGACCTCCTTTTGTTGTTTCGTGAATGTGTCAGGCATGAACCTACCTGAGGACCTTCGTGCTGTCGGACCCCCACAGCTAAACTCCATCACAACTTAAGTTTGCTCATGAAGTCTCCCCTCCTGCTACCACACTGCCCAACAATCATTCTCTCTTGTATCTCCTCTCTTTTTGTCTTCATAGCACCTACTGACACCTAACATACTGTTTATTTCTTGACTGCCTGTCCCCACTAAAAAACAAATTCAATGCACATACTTCTTAGTCTCTTTCTCATTGTTCTATCCATAGTGCTTAGACAATTCCTGCCACATTGTAGGTACTCAATTAATGAAAGATTCGTTCACTGTTTTTGGAACGGACTCTTGCTCTGTTGCCCAGGCTGGAGTCCAGTGGTGCGATCTCGGCTCACCGCAAGCTTCAGCTCACCACAACCTCCGCCTCCCGGGTTCAAGCGATTCTCTTGCCTCAGCCTCCTAAGTAGCTGGGATTACAGGCGCCCACCACCATGTCTGGCTAATTTTTGTATTTTTAGTAGAGGGGGTGTTTCACCATGTTGGCCAGGCTGGTCAGGTTCTGGTCAGAACTCCTGATCTCAGGTGATCCTCCTCCCTCGGCCTCCCAAAGTGCTGAGATTACAGGCATGAGCTACCACTCCCAGCCTATTCATTCATTTTTATATCCATCACTTAACCATCTCCATTTTATAAATCGAGAAAACTAAAGACCAGATCAGTTACACTAGCCTTAAGTCAGAAATAGAAAGTGATCTGACCCTTAAGCAACTCCAAAACTGGACCACTCAAATGGACTTTACTACCAGCTGTTTCACTGGCACCCCCTCAAGGCTCTAAGAGAGGTATCTTAAGGATTAGTGCCAAGAACTTCACATCACTATTTAAGCTCTTAGGTTAGATCTCCTTACTCCTATTCATCACTTCTTCCCCCAGACAATATTCACTCAATGTCCCTTACTTACAGTTCCAACATCATCAGGGCAAGTCATGACTTGTTATGATTAACTAGGATTCTGGGATCATAAAGTCCTCAGTCCAAATTTATTCAGCCACCAACTATGAGACCTTCAGCAAGAAGGTTAACTAGTTAAGCCATAAATTTTTCATATAAAGAATGGTGATAGTAATACTAACCTCACGGGTTTCTTAGAGAGATTCAGGGAAAATTATGTATAGAAACACCTTGATACTGCAGGCAATCTAGCAGAGTAGGCACTTAGAAGGTGTTACCTTTCACTACAAGTATTATCATTTAGCAAGTCATTCACTCACTCAAATATTTCCTGACTTCTATTTAGCAAGTCACTGTAAATGCACATAAGTGACTTCTTTCCAGTCACTTGGATTAATAGCTCCTTTTTAAATGTCCCTCTCCCCACACTGACAACCCCTTTAGTCTTTGATAAATGTTTTTTTAAAGCCACAAAATCAATTCAAAGGCAAAGAGAATACCTTATCCATTGACATTAACATAAAGCCCCCAAGGATCCACATGATCAATTGGTCAAAGGTCTAAGTAGAGCTGGTTCTTTGTTTCCTCTCAAACTTTTTACTGGAGAGACTAAGGGACAGATGTTAATAACCTTAGGGCACAAGCGGAACAAACTCAGCTCTCTGCATAAGGTTAAATTAGCAGATGTAAGGATGAAAGGAGCTAGGAAGCCATTTCATTCATATATTTAGGGTAAACTTTAAGTAAATACCAATGGACCACATAAATTCTTCAGCTATACTCACAATGCTCGGACCATGTAACTTAACATGTATTTGTATTCCCCATCTCTCTGTCTTATCTCTATGGTGCTTTTCTCCTCCAATTAAAAATTTAAGTATTTCAGGCCAGAGACCTCAGAGCCTAACAAACTAGAAACATGTTTCCTTCACTCCACCCAGGTCTGAGTGTCTGTACTAGCTCCCTCAGTATGGAGCACTTGTGCCTGGCCAACTCTTCTCATTCTGGCTCCTTCTGACATCTCAGGATGCAGCTCAAATATAATTTCCTTAAAGAGATACCTCTGGGCAATCCTTACTAAGTTTTTTCCACCCTCGCTCTATCAAGTCACCCTATTTGTGTTCTCCATAAAAGTTATCAGTACCTGAACTTAATTTTACATTTTTTTGCTTTATCTGTCTCCCTCTACAATGTACCCTCTATGAAGAAGGGAATTCTGTCTGTGCTTTTTCCATTGCTGTAATCCCCAACACCCAGAACAATTACTATAAAACAGTAAGTGCTCCATTTGATATTTCTTGAATAAGTGAATATAATTAAGTATTCAGGAAATAATATTTAACTATAAGTCACAGATTTTTATCTGATCCTGTGGCAAAAAATAAAGAGGGACTCAAAATGGGAACTGTTAATCTATAATATGTACAACCTATGGCAAGGGGCCCACAGATTTAGGTCTAAGCCACGCCAAGTAGACTAGGGATGGTTGTTCCTCCTCCAGTGATTCAAATGGGTCTAGCAATCCAGAGCAAAGTGGTAAAATTTTACCTGCCACCTGCCTCTAGTTTTTCTCTTACTTTTTTCTCCCCAACACCCAACAGGTAACCACCTTTCTATGAGAGAAAGATACACATCATCTGCATAGTGCTGGACAATTTAAATGTTTCCCTTCCACCTCTCAAGTGATCATCTAACAGCTTGGTGAGGTAGGAGTAACAGCGATAAGCACCTCCATTTCCCAATTCCCACGCTCTAATTTGCCAATGAGAAAACCAAAAGCCTGCGGAAAGTCAAAACACTAGTCCAAAGTCACAAAGGAGTAACCGGTGATGGCGGAGCTTGAAATCAGGAATTTCTGGCTCCAAATTTCTTACTCCTTCTACTATGGTTAAGTTGCCTTTCCTAATATATAAAATGGATTTTTAACTTTAGTGTTAAAATACACTTGAGAGAAATAATGTTTGCACAGCCTCAGCAAGCAGCTTCCTTCCTCAAAAGTTGTCTCCATTTCCTGACATAGAATTAATTTAGGAAATGCTTACATTTTAAAACCCATAGTCAATTTGCTTCTAGCAAAACATTCTTGAATTTATAATGTTATCACAAGCTCCTTCAATTATTATAGAAATATTTTAAATGCACATAACTATCCATCTTAGTGATAAATTTTATAAGTTATGACTTCAAAAGTCTACTCCAAACTTAGATTCTATAAGCTAAGATTTTCACAGTTGTCCAATTCAAAATATACTTGAGTGTTTTCTCCCACTGGATTATAAAAATAAGATTCTCAACTCCAAACTCGAAAATAACCCAACCCCATGTTATGATCAAAATAAGAAACCTGAATACAGGCAGACAGGGGTGAACTACTCAATATATAAAATTTAAATCAAACAGACTAAAATCAAGTTGTACATTTTTTATTCTGTATGTATGTCTGTATACAAAAATAATTCAGTCCTTTAGAATAAGATACGGATGTTCTTTTTAAAATAATTGTAGTATCTTAAGCAAAAATTGAGTAAGTGTAACTAAGATCTTTTGATAAAACAATAGTTTATAGTCAAATTAACATTAGCATCAAGGAAGAAAGCAATTAACATTAGCATCAGGAAGGGAATCCCAAACATGGAGAATCCGGAAATCATTTTTAAAGTTTTTTCAACAATAGATTTAATTTTTCAACATCTATATTTTTGACAGACATAAAACATAATTTCAACTCCCTCAGTACATATCAACTAATAAGAAATGGGCCTGTAGAATGATGATGAAGAGGCAAGGCATGGTGGCTTACACCTGTAATCCCACCACTTTGGGAGGCCGAGGCAGGTGGGTCATTTGAGGTCATGAGTTCAAGACCAGCCTGGCCAACATGGTAAAACCTGGTCTCTACTAAAAATACAAAAATTAGCTGGGCACGGTGGTGTGCGCCTCAAAAAAAAGAATGACAATGAAGAGTCTACAACTATCACGGGCAGTTGAGGGAAAGGGAGCCAGTTGGTATTTTAAATTTGCCTGATGCTCCACACCACAAATGACTTACACGCATAATAAAAGAGGTGAGAGTTGACCAGGGTAGCCTTAGATTTTCAGTACTTCACCAAACATGTCCTGAAGCACCTATCCATCAAAGAGTGGGCTAGGCAGGGGGATTATCCATTTGATAATATCTGGAGTGCCTACTATTTTAAAAAGCACAATGCTTGCTTTGGGGCATAGTCCCTTTTTACGAAATTCAGTCTTGGGAGTCAAATGGTGGACACAGAGAGACAGGTGAGCAATTAATTTCAACAGAATGAATAAGTACTAAGACAGAGGTACACAATTTCCTATAAAACAACAGAGGAGAAAAACTAACTCATCCTGACTAACAGAGAGGTGATGGGTGGCAAGGTATCAGAGAAGACTTTGGGTGCTATGACACTTAGACTAAGTCCTCAACAATGGGCAGAATCAATGAGATGAACAAGTAGATAGCTGGGCTGACATGAATGGACACATCATAAGATGAGGCACGGTATGCAACTGCTGCTGCAGATGAGGCAAGATAAGCAGTGAGGCAAGACAGAGGCGTGACCAGGACGGCCTTGTGGGCTGCACCACCACATGCGGCTCTCACCACAGAAGCAAAGGGCAGCCACCGAGGAGTGCTATGCAGAGGGTAGCACAAAGAAGACAGTTCTGATATTGAGATGCATTTGGAATTTCCTGATATTTCATTCATGGCTAGGGGAAAATGAGAAAACTCAATGCAAACAGAGATTGGCTCTAAAGGAAGAACAGATTTTGGTTCCTCTAAAACTGGACTTTTAATCACAAGCTGTACTGCCAGGTGAACTCCCAACCATGTCCACAAAAATCAAAGACTGACCAAGCAAATTTCCTAGGTTTAGTTGAAAATCTGTCAAAATCCAGAACTCAGCATGAGTCTTTAGACATATTTTTATGATGTTAACACTATGGTAATTTCAGTAATAGCAGACAATAAAAAAACAGAGGCTCTTTTCTAAATCGTAATATCCCAATCGTCCAGTTTCTATAGTAGAAATTCCCAGTTCTACCATACATTAACCATACCGACCTGGCATACTTGCCTATGATTTCTTTGTCTCAGCTTCCTCATCTACAAAATGGGGCTAATACAGTTTTTTTTGGGGGGGGGAGGGGGGTGAGGGGAGGGGAGGAGATAAAGATAGAGGGATTAAATGGTAGAACAAATATGAAAGAGCTTTATAATTCTCTACAAATAATAGAAATAACCATTGTTATGGGCTCAGACAACAGAATTATGAAGTAGAAAATTATGAGGAAGAAGTAGCTTCAATGCATTAATTAAAATTAAAAGGACTGTTTTAACTAAGTGATAAGTTAGCCAAGACCACTTATTTTTAACAGCATAAAACCACCTATCAACCTCTCCTTGACCCCAGGAGTCATCAAGCAAATACTCGGAAAGATAGGGGTGAAGAGTCTAAACTTCATGGTGATAGATGTGTCATGAAGTGAATTAAACCACAAAGGCAATTAAGTCATAAAAGCAACAGCAGTGATAGTAACTAGACAGAAGGCTCAGAGGATCATCCCTGAAAAGATTTCATTAACTAAACCACAAAGTCCTGCTGAAAAACATATCAGCAATCTAGTTAAAAATGGGTCACACTATTTATAGAGTCAATCACCAAATCACATATTCTCTAGTTAAAAAAAAAAAAAGTCTGAAAACTTTATTGAGCAAGCATGTTAAACAGTACTACTTCATGCCCACCAAAGGAAATAGTCTTTAAATTCTGCCCAAACTTGACAGAAAATTTTCTGAATGGGCTCAATGCAGGAACAATTCCATTTCCCTATATATTTGAGCTTTACTATAAATAAACAAGCTTAACATGATGCCAACATAATGTTTAAGTTACACTTTGAGAACCCACTGTACAAGTTTGGGACTCAAGACCAACCTGGGCCAGTATCTACTAAGGCGGCAGTGTTTCTCTGATGAAGCTCCTCTTTAGCTCTATTGTGAAGGAGGCTTTATTTGTTAGGCTCAGCAAGGGCTCCCACAGTGGGGAGGACAGCCATTCTATGAGAACGCAGTCCAGGGCAGGTTGTCAGAAATGTGTGCAAAAGGAACAAATTGCAGGCCTGGAAAATGAAGCACATTTGCTGTTCTGACTACAAGTGACAAGTGCAATGCACCAAAATGCCATCTGTAGTTATCTGAGTGGTGGAATCATGGGTCATTTTAAAATTCTCTTCTCTGTATTTTGCTCAATTTTCAAGTTTTCCCCAATGGCCATATTTTATAAAACTAAGAAAAGGTATCCAAATAGGTGGTAATTTTGAAAAGTAGAGAAATTTACGTCTAAAATAACAATAGCCTATGCTGTCTCATAGAGACAATCTCTACTGGCATTGTATTCTATCTTTTCCTAGTCTTTTTTCAGTGCACATGCATCTTTTTCACTCGTTAAGCCAGTACTTAAAAAGGGCAAAATAGGGTCCAGTGTGGTGGCTCACGCCTGTAATCCCAGCACTTTGGGAGGCCAAGGCGGGAGGATCACCTGAGGTTGGAAGTTCGAGACAAGCCTGACCAGCATGGAGAAACCCTGTCTCTACTAAAAATACAAAATTAGCTGGGCATGGTGGCACATGCCTGTAATCCCAGCTACTCGGGAGGCTGAGGCAAGAGAATCGCTTGAACCCGGGAGGCGGAGGTTGCAGTGAACCGAGATCGCGCCACTGCACTCCAGCCTGGGCAACAAGAGCGAAACTCCGTCTCAAAAAAAAAAAAAAGGCAAAATAAGTGATATAGGTTACTTATAATTATAGAAAGCAAAGATTTTAGGCTAAATAATAATAGTATGTCAAGCTAGATGGTTAAAAATCTACTTTTAAGTAAACAAAAACAACTCAAAAAAAAATAGTAATTTGAATACGATCCATAATGATTTATTAATTGTACTCCTTCTAAATGAGAAGATCCGAATTCAGCCTAGAACATGTAGGTGCAAATATACTCTTGTTCACCTCATTAAATTCTAAATGAACACCAACCACTGTAAATATGTGGATCACTTGAGCCCAGGAGTTCAAAACCAGCCTGGATAACATAGCAAGACCCAGTCTCTCCAAAAAAAATACAAAAATTAGCTGGGTGTGGTGGTGTGCTCCTGTAGTCTCATCTATCAAGAAACTGAGGTGGGAGAATCACTTGAGCCTGGGAGGTCGACGCTGTAGTGAGCTGTGATCACGCCACTGCCCTCCAGCCTGGGTGACAGAGTAGGACCCTGTCTTTAAAAAAAAAAAAAAAAAGTACCATGCCTAAAAGAGCTGGCTACCATCCACCATCCCTGCAGCTGAACCCCTGGCCTTGAGCACTGATGGCACCTTTGAAAGGGAGCTTGAACACAAACCAGACGAGAGCTAAATCTAACACACTTAAGCAAAATACAATATCACTAAAAGGAGGGGAAAAAAAACCCATTAGGAATTCTGGTTTTAAAAAAAATACTGCAACCCGTAGCAACTCCAGGGGGCCTTCTCTCCCTTTTGATAGTGAATGTCCTCTGCATTAGGGACATTTCCAGGCCCAAGGCATACACAGGCATTATCTCACTGAACCAACCATTACAGGTGGGTACTATTATAATTTCTATTTATAGGTAAGGAAAACAAGGCTAAAGGAAATTAAATCAAGATAGCACAACTTTTATGTTCCAATGTGGGGATCTGAACTGATCTTTCTGATTCTAAAGCCCATGTTCAACCACTGTAGTAACAAAGCCTAGCACAGAAATTTTCCCCCCTAGAAATAGTTGCTTAGCTTGTTCTACCATTTAGTCATACCCTAGCATTCTGGATTTGGTTTTGCCAATGTGATTTTCAACCAAACAAGATGAGGGAATAAGCACGTGAGAAAGACATCAAATGAAGGCCAAAAGGTGTCCCCTCATCTACAACTGATCCAATGACAGCAGAGTGACAGCTCATTAAATTAAAAAATGACTTGGCAAATGAAAGCAATCATAGCATGCACATACCTGTTCATGAAAGAACACAAGTGAACTGTTGGGTTTTTAATACTTTAGGTTTTCATGGAAGAATCATAAGTACATTTTCACATAACCAAGTGCTTATGTTCTCCTAGTTTAGTTTCTGAGAACAAATGGAAGGAGGTGGTGGATGGGCTGAACAATGGGGCAAATGAAATATACTGATAAGCAAAAATCCCTAAAGCCTGCAGATAATTTCTAAGCAATTCTGGTGGGTCCCTAAAATAAAACATATCCTCTGCCTTCAACAAAATAAAATAACATAACCGTTTAAAAAAAAAAAAAACTTTTAAAAGGTCCACTTCTTTTCCTCATCTTTGCAGCTCTCACTCTCAATGAGATCACGTATAAATTGAGTCCTCCTTCCAAATCTCTTACCTTAGAAAGGAAACTGCTATTTTGCTGTGCAATAATAGGTCAGAGAAGAAAACTGTTTTAAATAATGCCTTCATGCAAATTTACTGTAGGGTTATCTGCCGAGTAACAGACTACCCTTGTGGGATTCTCAAATTACAGTTATATTGCCCAACTAGGGGAGCTGCAGTTTGAAAATGAGAAACTTCTTTTGGCAGTGGAACACATAATCAACGTCCTCACAGAAAAGCAGACGTTTCAGCTACAGAAAATAAAAAATAAAATTAAATTAACTTCACTGCCTAAAACCATCAGCCCCAGGATATTCAAAAATCTTATGAATTTTTATCTCAGACATGATCCACATTCTGCATGAACTAAAAAACTCATGACTTTATACTATCAGTTCTGATATTTTAACAGTCTTTACTGGGGGAAAGGGAATGAATCCCCCAGTGTAAAGCAGCAGCCTGTCTGCAGTCAATGCCACTGCACTCGACACCACGTCCCATGCTCTTCTCCTCTCCCCACTTCAGCTCAGCCCTGCAGACTGCTGGCTTCCCTCACACACAATTTGCTGCAGTCCACCCCTAGGCTGGCAAGCAGCCCACCAATCACTCAGTGTGACAGGAAGTCAATCTGAATATAGAAGTACTGCATGTAAATGGACATTATAAATGAAAGTCTAGAATGCGTCACCTTCAATTTGGTCAGAAAAGGCCATTTTTAAGAAAACAATCATGCAAGGCTCTCACTTGGGGTCAAAAAGGTAAGCTTCCTCCCCCCACTTACACCCCACATATTAATTCTACTGGAGGGGCAACAACTTTCATACTGTGACATCCCTGACTTTATTTTTTAACCTTCATACCACTTTTTATGATGCTCTCAAAACATATTGAAATGATGAGGAGGAGGAAGAAAAGGGTGGAACATTTGTTAAGCACCAGCTGTATTGCTAGGCATGGCACTGAGCTCCTTTTATACAGCAGTTTATTTAATCTTGAAACATTACAAAGTGGGTATCATCATGCCCATGTTACAGATGAGAGGGAACTGAGGTTTGCAGAGGTAACAAATTGTCCAAAAACTACCTGTTTCTACCCCAATTTCACAATGAGGAGTTGAAGGCCCAGAAATACTAAGTGCTGTATCAAGGATAACAGAGTTAATACCCACACTAGGAAACACAGATTGCCAGGCCTGTTCAGTACCAATGCCTGGGCAGGCTTTCCAAACCACAGCATGCTGCGCTTCCCAGTGGCACCTGCAAGGTGGGGACCTGCAAAAACGTGCTTCACAGGGTCAGGATGGAACTGCTGTGGCATCTACATGCTCTAACTGGTGCAAACGAAAGGGAGCTAAGCCACAGATACTAAACATTAAACAATCCAAGACTGGTTTAGATGTGGTCGGGATGTGCAGACAACTACTTCAGCCACAGCAGACTGACCACTTTAATTAGATCTTGTTCAGGCCAATAATTAACATTCATTTGCTTACTCTGAACTTCTGAACTTTAAGAGAGAGAGAGAAAAAGTGGGTTCCAACCCCAGGTCTTCCACAAGTTAGCTGGGTGACCTTTCTGAATTTCGGTTACCGATTTGTAAATAAGTAACAACTACTGTCTGCTCCCGTCACAATTTTACTATGACAATTAGTGGAGAAAATGTGACAAGAGCCTCTATTAAACCACAAAACACTACAGCAACAGAAATAATAATACATATCAAAAAGTAAAAACAAGCAAAAAATACTACATATCAATTGGGCAGGGAGAGTTCACAAGGAAAATAGTAGGCAGTCCCAAATCATGGTGGTGGCATGGGAGGGGATCATTCTAGGATTTACAAAAAGAAGAAGAAACAAAACCAAAAAAAGTCTATGAATACTCCACAAACTGGTACATTCTTTGTATATAACCAAGAGAGATCATATAACATAATGATCATGCCCTGTCAGGGATGAGAGTTGAGATCCAGAAAGAGAAAAATGAAACTGGGTCCCAGGAAATAAGAGCTAGGAACAGGGGGTCTAAGGCAGGGGTAAGTCTCAAAACCAGGACTATCCACTAATAATGTTCAGAATTGCAACAAATAGGAAGAAAAACCCTACACATTGAGCAGAGCATAAGGAAGAGGCTCCTCTTCCTTTCTCTAAGGAGAAGAGGCGAGTCTGAATTAGGCTGAGCCAAGAAATAGACCACTTGTTGCTTCCCAGCTGTGCTCCCATGAGGTGTCTGGAGTGCCTCCATTAGCAGGGTCCCCTGCTTCCCAAGTTCAATGACAGATATGCCCCCTAGCAATATCTGGTCTACCCAGCTGCAATTTTAAATGGAATGACTATTACAGTGTATGGCGTACAGAGGAAATTGGAAAATGCAAAAGAAAAAAAGCAACACTGAGCACCCAAACCAATTCACAACACTTCTGCCCATCCATCATTCCCATTCTCCCTAACTTCCAAGTGCTAGCTTCCTTTTTTCTTGGTAATACAGCTACTAGCCTAGGCCTAGATATAAATCCCACTTATCTACTCCCTCTACCTGGTTTCATGGCTCATCTTCCCACTGGCATTGGCCACTCCCTTCGCCTGTGCCCTTCGGGTCCCTTCTCTGCAGAGGACCAACTCATCATCTATTCCATGGCTAGGAGAGAAAAGCACTTCCGTCTTTTCAGCTTAAAAGGTATTCCCTTTCCTCAAGACCTATTCTCAAAGAATGCTGTCCCTTTTCTACTGTCTGTTCCCATCCACAAGTTCACCTGTGACCACTATTATGCCATCTTCATACCAGTCTCCTCTTCTGAGGGCTATGCCAACCATCTTTCTCTACTGAGCTCCAGGACACTAATACTTCAATAACTTTTCCATCTAATCACAATTCTTTCTACTGCAACATCACTCTCAGCAGTTTTGGTATCCATATTGGTAAACATCAACTTCTCCACCTCCTCACTTCACTAAGCTTTATCTCTTTTCTACTCCAAGTATTCCTGATGTGGCCTTGTGACAGACACTGCTGATGTGCTGCCCCAACATCCATTCTCCCCATCTCCTTAGTACTAGAATCCTGGTTTTTACCAGAATATTTTGAAAATACAAGTTTCCATTTCCTAGCCTCTCTTACAGTCAAATGTGGTCAATAAATACTAGTGTTATTTATATGGGTTCTGGAAAAGAAGTGGCTCAGCTGGGAAAGCCCAATTTTGCCCTTCCATTTTAGATTCTCCATCTCAGAAATGACAGCTGGAGCTCTGGCAGCAATCTTAAGCTGAGAGGTGACCTTGAGGATGGAAGTCATGTGCTGAGGAAGGTGAGATCAAAAGGAAGGAGGCCTGAATCCCAAAGGACGCCACAAACCTGGCATTCCAGGCCTATGTCTAAGTTCCTTTTAGAGGAGAGAGAAATAAACTATCGCATTTAAGCTTCTGTTTATTTGGGATTTTCCCCCTGTAATATGCAGCTCAATGTAAATAATTAATACTGGCCAAAGATCAACTAATGGCAAATAACAAAATGCGGTGCAGGCTCTCCAACACGACAACTCATTAAGAAGAGTCTAAAGTGACTTGAAGGCCAATGTTTCTTAACCTTATGTCAGTACAGGCTATGCTGTTGAATGTTCCAGGCCCTACTATCATTTGGTACATTATACACCTTGAGACTCATTCCTATTTTGCTTTTAGTTTCACATCATGCTTTTTTTTTTTTTTTAATCTCTACAGCTGTCTATAACAAAACTTTTTAGGAAAGTACCACAAATATGTTAAACAGAAGAAGCAAATCTCAAATAATGTGCAAAAGCTGTGAGTTTCTTCTTACATAAAACTGGTACCTAAGCAAGTGAGGGTTCATTTTATTTTTCACTCACCAATCCCCATATCATTATACAGTAACACCATACAGCCAAAACGGCCATGATATTCCTCCCTTCTCAGCCAAAATTGGGCAAGAGAGAATGACCCTTGTAGGGGAAAAGAAACCTCTACGATAAACTGAAATGCCACCATCAGGGTTTGTTGAAACTGTAGGAACAGGGTCTACGACTCACTTAGCTGCTAATGAGTTTCTATGATTCCAGATGGAGTAGTTCAAAGTAAGAAGTGAAGGGGCTGGACCTGTCTGTGAATCAGAATGAGCCCACGTCCTCCAGGAAGGTTTTTTATAGCCTCCTCTCCCAAATGGAAAAGCCAAATCCATCACTGATGCTTCCATCAGAACCTGTAGAGGTACTATCATAACACCTTCCACACAGTTTAGTGCACTTAACCTGGAAACCAGTTACCTCCATTGTGAGCTTTGAGGCCTGGGGCTCTGTTGCTACGCGTTTGTTTCACTAGTGCTAAGAGTGGAATGTAGCAGATGTTCAGCACATGATTGCTGAGTAAAAGCCATCCTTTGTGGCTGAAGTGATGAACATGGCATGGCAGGCCCTTTCCTCAAACAACTAATGAGCTGAGACCTGATACAGCAGCAAGAAGGACCCTATAATCCTGAGGAGGAGGGAGTGGAGAGGAGAGCTGAGGAAGGGCTGGTGAAGAAATGGTTGCTGCACCATTAGTCACTTTTACCAAAATAGCTAAAACAAGGAACAGGAAACTATTAGCAAATGGACGTGCAGAAAGCATCCACTGATAGAGAGTTTTTATGACAAGACAAAAAGGAATAGCACTTGTTTGATGGAATCCATGGACCAGATGTTGTTTTTTATTTTTATTCTTTCCTGAGAGAGGGTCTCACTGTAACATAGTGATGCAGTCACAGCTCATTGTAGCCTTGACCGCCCAGGCTCAAGTAATCCTCCCACCTCAGCCCCCCAAGTGGCTGGGGTTACAGGCACATACCACCATACCCAGCTCATTTTTTATTCTTTTGTAGAGACAGGGTTTCACTATGTTGCCCAGGCTGGTTTCAAATTCCTGGCTTCAAGTGATCCTCCTGCCTTGGCCTCCCAAAGTGTTGGGATTACAGGCATTAGCCACCATACCCAGCCCAGTGTTTTTATGATGAGGTGCATTAGCTGTGCCATGGAGTTAGACAGAGCTACAAGGAGGAGAACTACTATTGGCAAGCACTACTATGTGCCAGATACCATACCAGACATTTTCACGAACATCTCCTTTCATTTTCATAGCAACACAATGAGTCGGCAGGTGAAACAGCCTAGCTAAGGGCAAATGACACAGCGAATTAAAACATTTACTGTTCACTCTGCCAGCTCTCTGCATTTTTAACAGGCCATCCTGGTTAATCCCCCTCATAGCCAGTGAAGTGGTATTATCACCTCCTTTTACAGTTAGGTCCCTTTCCCAAGGCCTTAAAACTACTACGTGATAGAGTTGGGGTTCAGTCCATGTTCATCTAACTTCAAATATAGACTAGACACTTAAAAAAGCGTTTCCCCTCATCTCAGAAATAAGACATTGTCAGTGGAAATGTCAAATGGAGTGGCCAATGGAAAAAAAGATCAGCAGGACAAAGCAATGGGGCCTTCAGCTGATGGTCTCATCACTGCAACACTGCCCTACTACAGGAGAAGTGGGAAGGGAAAAAACCCATTAGAAGCAGAATTAAAAGCTAGGAGTCTGCTTTATCTGAGTAGAAATTATAAGAAAATTAAAACAATTTATTAGAACTTAAAAGCAGTCACTCCTATAATCAGCACCACTGTCAGTCTTCTGAAGCGTTTTTACAATTTTCACTTCCTCTGTAGCAATTACTGTGGTTATTTGGAGAAGAAATTGCAAGGGAGCTAGTTGAGCACCTTGGTGAAGAACACTAAGATGGCAAGGAAGCTTCTGCAGCTAGAAATAGAATGGCACCCTCATTTATGTTACTGTTGCATTGGATCACATAGCCAGAACCAGCCCCCAGCTGCTACTAATTTTAAGAGAGCCATTTCTGTTCTTTAAAAAATAAAATAAAATAAAAAAAGGAATAAAAGTATGTTGAGAAAAATTCCTGGCACTTCCCTGACAGACTGTCGTATTAGTGAATGAAGACTAAAAACCAAATGGGGAGAAAGCAGCCAGTTCAAGGGGTGGTGGGGATTGCTCCAGGCCCTGAATGAGGTAGTGTGGTACCCTTCTTGCAGGGCTATGGGAACACTGAGTGGCACAGAACAGAGCAAGTATTTACAAATCCTGTGAATGGGGAGTCAGAGCCTACCTTATCCGTGAAGATGGGACACACTGGCATCCACTGGTGGAAGCATTCTGGGAGGAACTGGGCAATGTTCAAAAGCCCTAGACCCAGCAACTCTACTTACTGAGATCCCTTCCTGGGAATCATCAAAAAGATGAACAGAGCAACGCACGTATTAAAATAGCGGAGGGATGGAAAAACCAACATCAGTAACAGGAATATGAATAAAGTAGGTGAAGCAGTAAGACAGGTACACCCACACAACAGAATATTATGTAGTCATGAAAACAGAGGGCAAAAGTTTTTAATGACATGACAAAAAAACTTTCTAGGTGAAAAAGGCAGAAAATGCAGCTGCATATATGACATTATTTTGTACACTAACTACTTCATACAATTATTTACATGTTCTATATAAAGTCTTCACTATTACTATATAATGCATAGAAAAGTACATTTTAACATATTCCTGTCTAGTTAATGCTATTAGTATTCACAAAATTAGCACACAATCTTCTTTGTACTTTTCTGTATTTTCCACATTTTTATAATGAGAAATTACTTACAATGTTCTTTAAAAAATAAAATAAAAAAGGGAAATTACTTTCATAATCAGAAAAGTCACTATATTTTAATGCAAAACCAAATTTATCATGCCTATCAAATTCACTGCCAAAATGGAATATCAATGAGCATATATGTCATGTGCCTCCAGGATTTAAGATCATAAGAAATACAGAGGGCCAGGAACAGTGGCTGTCGCCTGTAATCCCAGCACTTTGGGAGGCCGAGGTGGGAGGATTGCCTGAGCTCACGGGTTTGAGACCAGCCTGAGCGACATGACAAAACCCCATCTCTATAAAAAATACAAAAATTAGCTGGTGTGGTGGTACTTGTCTGTAGTCCCAGCTACTTGGTAGGCTGAGGTGAGAGGATGGCTTGAGCCCGGGAGGTGGAGGTTGCAGCGAGCACCACTACACTCCAGCCTAGGTGACAGAGTCAGATCTTGTCTAAAAAAAAAAGAAAAAGAATACATACATACATATGAATGAGGCCTGACACCTAGATTTAAACACTGAGAAGTCTAGGGCTGTATGAAGGAGGAAGAGTTAAAAATGAAAATTATAACCAACCTAGATGTAGCTTTCCACACAACCAGGAAGAAGTATCATTCCTCTCTAGTATCACATTAAAAAAAAATGGAGAAAATTCAGAGCTTTTCATCCTTTCTAACAGGCTACTCTGAAAGTAGAATTTACCAATGGAAAAGAGTAAAATTATCTATCCCAAACCACTGATCAGATCAGTAGACATCAACACCATTGCCCTAGTTTACTTTGCCAAAGAGTGCAACATGCCCAGTCTTCGGTTAAAGACATCAGGAACAATAAAACAAGTAAACAACTAACGGGCTAGCCACCTATCTAACTTCAAATAGAGACAACCAGAAATTTGAGAAAACCTTTTTATCTCATCCCAAATATATAAATCAAGAATGCTGGCTGAGGAAACCTAAGGATCCTTTCAATTTTGAAATTTTGTGATTCCAAGACACAATAAGTTTAATCTTTGGCATATTAAGCTATCTTTCCTGGAAGAGCAGCTAATTAAATCTTCCAAAAGGCTGTCAATCTCCTGCCCCCAAAAAAACATGGATTATAGTGAATAAGCCCCAGTGGCTACAGAGACAGGTGACTGCAAAGAAGCAGGCCTGGCATTTACAACCCACTCTATAGCCTCATTTATGGTACTCTGCCACCTCTGCAAGTACAACTGATTTCAAATTCGGCTCCATTTGACCATGTGGGCTTACACATGAGGGTCTGGTTCAGCACCAAAGATTCCAAAGGGCAAGAAGAAGCAGGCATGTGAGGGTCAATCAGTGAGTTGGGAGTTAAAATCCCTCCTCAGTCAATAGGAATGTGAACTCTGGGACCTCAATTTCTACATTTACAAAAAAGGAGAGAGATGTACTTACTAGATGGAAATCTCCAGCTTTTCCACAAAGTATCCCTTAGAAGTCAGGGGGTGCATCCTAAAGCACTCACTACTCTAACTACATAAACCTAATAAAGACTCTGTTTTATCACCAACACTTGTGCATAGTTTGCACTCCTTTGTATTTCCATGGTTGCTTAAATATAAAATGATTACTAGTCACTTAAATTGTCTAAGTTCTTCCACTCCTCCCACTCAAAATCTCTGAGTAAAACTAATATGCCAGAAAGATACCACGTTTGTCTTTTAACATCAGTTATCTCATCCCACCATCACATAAAACCCAGAGGACTACTTCCCCTAGTATGAGATTCAAGGCTCTTAATAATCATATAATTTTCTCTTTTAATTTTCTATGATAAAATGAAATAAGTGTGCAAGTGTCCAGCATTATACCTGGCATATAACAGATGGTAAAAAGATAGATGCTAAATCTCAATCTGACTTCTAGCAAATTAAACTTGCTTTGCAAAATATGCATTGCAAAGTGCTGAGCTGGGAATGCAAATCATAAATGTAATGAAGATGCTACTGTGCTGCCACGGTTCTTCATCTCTAGAGATTTTTTGTTAAGAAAAATCAGCTGGGGAGAAGACAAGAGAAGCAGCAAGTAAAACACACAAAAGCAAAATTTAAAAGTCAATAAAACAACTTCCAAAAGAAGGCTATGTAGGTATGCAGTGAAAAATTGCATAAGAAACTGAGAGATAAAAATTCATACTCAGGTTTAGTTAGAAGTCTCTCTGGAGATGAATTTTATGCCATCTGTGGTTAAAAAAAAAAAAAAATGAAAATGCTGTAACTAAACATGATTCCTTCTCTTAGATGCAAATAAATTATGGAGTTACTGCAATCTGCTGAAATCAGGTGTCTTGAGTCCCCGCTGTCTCCTACAGAGAGGTATTACATTGATCTTATCCCAAACTGCCTCATTTTACCTTGTATTTGAATCACTGGCTGCCAAATCCTTCAGGCTGCAGATGGCACATATATCTTAAGTAATTAAATACAGAACTGGGGACTAGGAATCAGATAGGGGAAGTAAACATTACTGACCTTCTAACAATTCCTTTGTACTTAATGATGAGGACTCAGTTCAATATAATGCTATCTGGATTCAGTTCGATTCAACAAATATTCATTTAGTGCTTATTATGGCAAATCCTCATGCTAGGGATTGTGAAGCATGTATAGAACACAGTCCTTACCTAAGTGAGTTTACAACCTGGTAGGAGAGACAGGATGCACATACGTATAACTAACAAAGGGCAGAATGTGGTAAGAGCAAAGAGAGATATACAAAGACCTGCAATGGAGAGCAGTGGGAAAAGATCATTTCCAGGCCAGGGAGACGCAGAAGGCTTTGAGGAGAAGGAAGTCCATGTGTCGGATGGAACTTTCTAACAAAACACCCATAGGACCAGTTCTATCCAGGCTTTGTGAAGCACTAGGCATTTGTGGAATCAAACTGGATGAGAAAAAGATCAGAATAGGCAATGCAATGAAATTATCGTGCATCTGCTGGAGTGAAGACAGTGCTCCAGTCATTACAGACAACTACTGCACAGAAATGGAAGGAAACTGTTGTTCCTAAACAAAAGCAACTGCTCCTGTTGATGGCATGGTAGTATTAAGACTCCGTTCTGGATCATCACCATGTTCCTGGGGAGGACAAGATTCCTAATGCTGAGGCAAATGGACTGCTATGCCGTTCTATTCAAGCCTGAACATTACGGACTGGACACTCATTTAGGGATGTGAGAAGGAGGGACAGAAACTCTTGATGTTTTTAAACACTAGTGTAAAGAAACAAGAGGGAACATACTTTCTTTAGCCACTTTTCTGAAAAGAACAAATAAGCCTTTAAAACTGTAACCAACACTATCAGACAAGGGAAAGGCAGCATTAAACTGACCTAGCTCTATCAGACAAATATAAGTAATTTCAAGGCACAGATTTCCACCTGCCAGTCCCCTGTCATGTTGGATAAGAAAGTGACCACATTTCCAGTGCCATCTGCAGAAGAGCTGAAAGTTCTATCTCATGTGAAAAACCGTTTTGACTCCTCCTACCTCCCTCTACTGTCTGTTCCCCCTAATTCCCATTTCCAGCCAGAATGCAGCCTCCACTCCTCTATGGTCCCATAGTCCTTTGCAGACATCACTTGCAAAGAATTTATCATACTATATTAAAATTAGGCATACTATGTATGTAAGGCCCATAACACAATGCTAGGCACTCAGCAGATCTTTGATAAACAATAAGCATCTCCCCTCTAGCCTTGAGAGACATCCTTGAGGGCATCTTTTTATCCTACTGCCTAATAGATTACCAGGCATTAAAAAAAACCACTTATCTGTAAATAAATACCCAGAAACAAAAAGATGCAGATGCAGGAGCAATTGTCCTTTCTTGCCCCATGGCTCCCAGAGCTGCCAGGGCTTCCTAACAATACTACTCCCTCAGTTATCACCCTATTCCTCCAGGGGCTCAAAATGTATTGGGCCACCCCTCTCCTTCCCTGCCAGCTCTGTTAGAAACCAACTAACCCAAACCCTCTGAGTCAATCATCAAATCAGTAGAAGCCAACTTTCTGTAAAGGGCCTGTGAGTTTCTAATCAGGAAGATCTGGACGGTTCTGGCAGGGCCTCCCTGGTCCTGCCAGAAGCATCATGACTCAACCCCACTTCTCTGGCTGGTTGGCTGTTAACCTTTACTGAGCTTCCAGAAATGTTAGGCTCACTTCTCTTTTAACAAAATGAAATGAGAAGGTAAACATCATGGGTAAGGAAACAGCAGGTCTGGGAGTATGGCCGAAACTGTCTAAGGCTGTCTTGGAAGCAGGTAGGGATGAAAAGGTTGAATATCATTAACCAACTGGAGAGCTGTATCCACTTGCAAAGAAGTAATTTTTTAAAAGGTTTAAAGATGATCTAAGTCTGACCCCTTTGCTCTACAGAAAAGGAAATTAAGGCACAGTGAGGCAAACTGACTTGGGCAAGTACTTAGAAAAAGGACATCAAATAACCAAGAACTGACAATACATGCAATGGATGACTCAGATGTGTTCAAGGGAATTAATTATATCCTAATATAACTATGCAACAATTTAGGAAGCATAATTCGTAAAATCCATTAAAATATGAGGCCTCCAAGTCTATGGATACAAGAATAGGGCTGGGAAATTTCAGTGGTACTTACAACTTCATCTGTTTTACCCAGACAGTTAAGGTTCTTGTAATGAACATTCACATGGCCCACATCTTAACCATGCACTCATTTTTTACAGCACCTCTTTTGAAAAGCAAAAGCACACCCTTGCATCCTCAGCTAGTGGCACAGTGCATGAGCATCTGGTGCAAGAAGCAGGAGAGGCTCTAGACAGTCTGCCTCGTAACCCCGAGCTCTGCAAAAGCCAAGCAAAGGTGACTGAGAACAAGGAACCCCCAAAACCCAGAACACTGGCTGCTCACCGGCAGCCCTGCTTGCAGGCCCTTCCAGAGGTGGGGTATGTCCTACCCTAACCCAAACATGCCTATACATTTAGGGACCAAAATTCCACTGACAAATTCTGGGGGGCGGAAGAGAATAGCAGCAGTAATAATTAATGTGTGAGCTTTCAACCTTTCCTTTTCTGAAAACTCAGATGAGTTCACATTTAACTCTTTCTTGGGGTCAAATATGGTAGTTTCTTTTTAACTAGGAGGAGAGCTGAACAAATTGGAGAAAGAATTCCTTTCTTTCAACGTATTCAAAAGCAAAGAGAATTCCTAAACATTTGCTCAGGTAATACAGATTTCTAGCACTGAGGCCAACTTCAAACAGTGCACAGTGAGAAAAGACCAGTGCTACACTATGCTTGCCTCGTGTGAATTTGGTAACCACACCACAAGTATCCTTGTTAAGAAAAAGACATCTGTAGCACTTATCATATTTTGTTCACTCTATAAGCAAAGTAAGAGACATCTGTTCTTAAACTATGTGATCTAAAAGTTCAAACACACCTGTCTGAATGACTAGTTGAAGATCAGCTATTGTGCTGAGGAAGGCGTTTTGGGATATACAAAGAGGAAAGCATAGCCTCTATTTACAGTTTAGTGAGACACTAATACGTAAACAACTAGTTACCATACATAGAACAGAATGAAGTGTTATAACTGTATTAATTACCACATGCTGAAATGCCAAGTGACTAAGTTAGGGCAGGGCTAAATGCTTTTCCAGCACTGTCTCTCCTACTTCTTATAAACTGCTGTTGAGATAGATGTTTTTGTTCTTATATTGTGGATGACAAAACCAAGGCTCCGAGAAGAGACCACAAAACATATGATTAGTAACAGTAATCACAAGCTTTAGGGAGTACTAAATATGCCAGAAACGGTGGTAAGTTATGCACCTTACATGAAATTTTCTATTGTCTTCACAATGATGTTTTAAGTACTATCATTATCCCCAATTCACAAATGAGAAAATGGAGAAAATTTAAGTAAACTGCCATGGCGGAGCTGGCTTAGGAACCTAGGTCTTTTTGACTCCACAGCATGTGTCCTTAACCACCGTCTATAGTTCTAAGTAGTAGAGGGTTGCTGGAAATCAGAGAAGGCTTTAAGGAGGAGGTGGCATGTGATATGCCTCACTCTCAATGCAGTGCCTCACTGCCGACTTCCCAGCGCATATCCTTACTGCTGGAGACCGACAAATGAGAGAAGTCCCAGCATGCTCACGTACAAAAGAACAGGAGTTTGCTTTTACAAGTCTACTATCATGATTACAGTACTCATGCACCGACTTGCAAAGCCTGTGAATTCACCTGCCTGCAATGTAAGGGCCACACTTTCCTACAACTTTTATAAAACATCAGTGCTGCAATAGGATCCCCAATTTAAGCACAAACAAGTTGAAATGCCTCAAGCAATTTCCACCCCAAATAAAATACAGGTTTCAATACACACCACGAACAGACTGGATGTGCTGGAATGGTAGTTGGTGCAACACTGCTGAACTCCTGTTGCAACAACTTTCATTTTTATTTCCCCTGAAAAAAGCTTAAACAGCTCGCTCCACGCTAGTCAAAGAATATTAACAGGGTGTCCATCCGGAGGCCAACAAAGAGTAGAGAAAACACCAGCAACAACAAATAAATGTAAATGTTCAAGGGTTCTACACTTTGAATGCATTAAGACAGCCAGACAGCAAATGAGCAGAAATGGATTCTTCTATGAGAATCCCAACATTTAAAAGCAAAGCATTAATTTAATGCTTCTCTCCACATTGTGTTTCCCAGCCCTGAGAACTGAAAATGACCTTATAGAATATATTCAGAGACAATCAGTGGCCTATTTCTTCAGGATCCCTTTATTTCGCAAGTCATCTTAATTTAGCCTTTCAGATTCTGGCACACCAGACCCACTGTGGTTATTCCTTCCCCTCCCCAGGTCAGTCCACATCAGAGCACCATGATTTAGATATGAATAACTGGATGAATGCCCCCAGGAGGCAGCATCTGAGTAGCTAAGGGAGCTTTCACAGAGTTGGCAGGATGATCACATGCCAAGAGCAAGGGAATTTCAATTTGCAAAGGTGTTGGTAGGGCACTCTATCTTTCTGAGCAGATGTAATGAATAATTCTCCCTGCACTCCAGTTCCTCTAAGAGTTGTCCTTGGATTTGAGTGTTGTGGCACTATGTGAACAGCTGGTGATACTATGGCCCTGTCTGTCTTCCAATGGCTCCGCTCAAATAAGTCACTCATCCTCTCCCACCAAACTGTTGTACCAAAATTGTTGGGCAAGCTGCTGCTGTTATTCCCTGAACAGCTCCAACTGGACCTCAGTGTAGGGTGTTACCAAAGCTTGGCTCCAGTGTTAGGGACCTTGTTATGGTGTGATAGCAGCTCTAGGAGCCTGAAGCTCTTCAGGAACATCTCACAGCACAGGCATGTAAGACCACAGGTGAAGATTTTATGTTACTTCTTAATTAAGTAACATGGAAGAATCTTCATTAAGACTCTCAGGTGACTCTACTGAGACGGGTAAAGAAGATTAATATAAATATTTCCTATAATCATGAAAATAAATTAAATTTCCAACAGCAGTGGAATAGCTGCTAAAGTAAGGTATATCCACATAACAGAATATTGTGCAGCCATTAAAAAGCATGGCTTGGAAATGTCCAGAATAAGCAAATCCACAGAAACAGAAAGTAGCTTAGTAAAGGATTTGGAGGAAAATGAGGAGTGACTCTGACAGTTACAGGACTTCCTTTTGCATGATAAAAATGTTCTAAAATTGACTGTGCAACTCTGAATATAGTTAAAAAACACTGCATTGTATACTTCAAATGGATGAAGTATGCTACGTGAATTAAGCACCAATAAAGCTATTTTTTAAATGATGGTTTGGTAGACTAATGACATGGAGAAATGCTCAATATAAAAGGAAATGGCAGTTTTTAAGACAGGTGATTTAACAGGATCCCACTTTTGCAAAAGAAAAATATATATATACACACTGAGTTTTATTATCTTCTACTTCTAGCACCACTACTGCAGCTGTCTAACATTTACTGAGCACTTGAACTCTGGTGGCCAGTGTCGTAAGTATTCTACATGCATTTCTCGCCTATCATCATAACAATTCTGTGAAACTGGTACTAAATGAGGAAATGACCACGACTGGTGGACAAAAAAAAAGGCTTGAGCAAGTTCACATAATTAGTATGTAGTGCCACAACAGAGTTTCAAAACCAGGGCCAAGAGACCAAAGACTATGCTCTTAACCACTGTGACAAATAATACAGTAGTCAATAGTCTTAAAAGCAGTGAAAGTGCAGGTGACAACCTTTATACTACTTTTGTTACAATAAACCTGTATTAATTTCAGGATGAGGGAGGAAAAATAAAGTAATTAAATTTTGCTGAGTAGAAGTAAGTTCTGATCATCTGCCCCCTGTGGTAGGCCCTCCACACAAACACAACACCTTGGCCACACAATACTGCACCATATTATTTTCATGAGAGATGTGGGCAGTTTTAAGACAAAAAGCTGTAAAAACCCAATTAATTAGTTATGGCTCAGTAGTTCTTTTTTTTTTTTTTTTAAGAGACAAGGTCTCCTCTGTCACACAGGTTGGAGTGCACTGGAGTACAGTGGTGTGATCATAGCTCACTGCAGCCTTGAACTCCTGGGCTCAAGCAATCCTCCCACCTCACAGCCTCCCGAGTAGCTAGGAGTACAGGCACATGCCACCATGCTCAATTAATTTTTATTTTTTTATTTTTTGTAGAGATGGTGGTCTCCCTATGTCGCTCAGGTTGGTCTCAAACTTCTGGCCTCAAGCAAGCCTCCTACCTCAGCCTCCCAAAGTGTTGGGATTACAGACATGGGTCTGTATAGATTTTTATGGTTGTTAAAAGTCAGACCTCTTAGACTAGCAGGAAATATAGGGTAACACTTCCCTTAATCAAATTTCTAATGGTCAGAATATGATATCTGCTGGAATGGTTCCACTGAAGCCTTTGTTCCCCAGAGGCACTTCATTTTACTCCTGACCAGATGGTGGGTGGCTCTTCCTCACACTGGATTTAACACTTAGGGTATGAGAGCCCTCCAACTGTTCAAAATCCAGCCTTAACCCTCAACCACTGCTGCTGCCTCATCTCTGAGTGACACAGCGGTTCACTAAGCCACTTAACTAAATAAGTTTTCCAGTTCTGTTTCCATCCTGGTCTCTGTTGCTCCTCTCAAAACATGGCATCCAGTTGTGGAACAGACATTGGGTGGGAACCTCCCTTGATGAAGATACAACAAAGCTTCAGCTTTGGCTTGGCTCTTTTCATTTAAGACTGTGAGAACTTGCACAGTTGCTACATCCTAAGTATTGCCAAAGGGTAGAGCAAAGATCCAGGATCTTGGATTTATTCATTCCATTTCCCAAGAGCTATTAAGAGGATCTTGGAGGTCAGCTGGTCCAAATCTATAGTCCTACAGACGTAGAAAGTGGCATGGGTGGGTGGCTATACAACTCGCTCAGAGTTCCACAAGTGATACTGCTCTCCTCCAGAGCTCCTGTGCAAATATGTTACTGGCTCATAATAAATGTCCAACTAAACACTTCAGGTATTCTCAAGCTAAAGTTGAGAGTATTTTACATTTTAAGAAAAAACAAAGAGCTCTGAAATAGGGACTAAACAGAAAATCACACAGATGCATTACTTCCAATAAAAATGTTTTGACCACTTATGACGTGTTGCACTTCTCTACTAGGGCAGCCTCAGATGGCACCATTCTAAGTTCTCCTTGGAGGAAAACCACATGGCTCAGTGAGAAGCCATGTTTATCAATTAACTGGAGCAACACAGTCTTATTTACTCAAATAATTTTCTAGTCAACACATCCAGCAGCCCTGAATCACCATTTCCCTCCTGTCCTGCCCCACAAAGGGAGGGATGTTTGATGTTACAGCTAGTGTCACAGCTTTCAGGGAGAGACAGTTGTAATCTAATTCCTCAATTTGTCAAACAGGACATTTTCATTACAGCTGGACCCAGCTGGAAATGAATCACTCCCACACACGTCCCCAACAAAACATAAAAGGCATTTAACAGAGAAAGACACACATGTACTGTACACAAACCCACAAAGACAGAGAGAGAGATTGCTTCATCAAACCAAACTGAGTAAGCATGAAACCGTACTACCCATCTAATGGGAGTCTCCATTCCACTTTGCATTTTCTCACCCTGGGTCTTTGCTCAAAAGGTGTCCTCTGCCTGAAATGTTCTACCCATCTATTCCTCAGGTCCAGGTCCGAAAGGACCCTGTAAGATTTCTCCAGTTGGAACCTGTCATGACCTCATGTGTGCTCTCAGAGCAATCTGAATTATCACAGCTCTGACCGGTCTATGCTATATTGCAGCTAACCTGGCACCCCACAACCACCACCCCATTCACCTGTGAACACCTTTGGGACAGAAAGCATGTCTAATTCATTCTGTTACCCTTCCCTCAGTCATCTACCAAAAACCAGGCACATAGTAGGTGCTCAAATGGCAGAATCATGTTAAACTGTACTTAACTCATGTGAGGCCTTCATGAGCATTTAAGGTTTATATTGCCAAAGGCAATTTGTCTTACGGGTAAGCTTTACGATGGATCATTGTTTCCTTTCCCAGTTTAAATGTGTGTAGGTATCTCTATGGGGAAAGGGACAGAAGACAGGGTTCTATCATTTATCTTTTGTTGCCTTCTGGAAATTTTGCCTGTTTTTACATATAATCATTCTTAAACCTATAAAAATGCCCCGAGCTGAAAATTTTAGGTGAAGCCATGAAGAATATACTGAACCCAATTCTACGATTCTCTGGGATGCTCCTGAAAGTACAAACAAACCTCCTTCCACTTCTAGCCTTTTTTTCTCAGTAGCAGATGATATGGTGTACCAAAAATGGGCTTTGGCATCAGAAAGACCTTAGCTGTCCATTGGCCAGACCAGCCTTTCCAATGCTCAGTTCCCCCAGCTGCAAAAAGGGAATAAGATTACTTCCCAAGCAGATGGACATAAAGAATAGATAGGATATAAAAAGAGCCTGGAACCTAGCAGGCACACATATTAAATGTCAGCTAATCTTAAGTGTTGTGGGCTCCAAAGTTAAGGAAAGGGGGCATGGCTATTTCGAGTGGAAAGAGCGAGTAGGGCCCTATTACCCCTTAGACCATTCTCTGGAAGGTTAGTTGACATCACAATGTCATCTTGCTCTTAGATCCATCCTTCTGAACCATGATGGAACTGCCAAGCCCAGAGCAAGAATTCCATGGAAGCAGTCTGGAGAGAGAAAGGAACACTGGCTCTGAGCATTCCTTACTAACTGTGTCAACTTGGTCAGTTTACTTCACTTCCCTGGGCATCAGCTGAAGAAAACGGGCCCAGAATGTTAAGTAAAGCAAGTCACACAGTTGCTTAGTCCACAGACTATGGAATCTGGCAGGCATGAAATCCAGCCTTACTTCCTGCCTTCCTTATTATAGTGGAGGAAGTTACTTAATTTTAGAGCCTTTTCTCATTTGTAAAAAAATAGGACGTCCACCCACATCAGGTTATCATGAGAAAAGTATTAGATAAACATGTAAAGAGTTTAGCACAGTACTGTTACCTAGTCAAGAGGTGCCAAGCCCTCAAAATCATGTAGCTAGTATTTTATTAGCAACATTAAAAATACAAGCAAAGCATTTAAAAAATACACCCCAAAATTCACAGACATATCTAGAAACACATACACACACACATGCAAACACACAATGCACATCAAGTGGGGAGAATGATCAGAATCCACAAAAGCTGAAAAATGGGGAAACTGAGGCCCAAACCCAGAGAACCATAGAGCAGATCCCCAAATATTTCTGTGTGAAGTCTCGGCCCAAGGTCTAGGTTTGCTTTCTCAGAACCACTAAATCCAGAGAGAATGATGGAATACACAAAATTACAGGGCTTACACAGAGAAGAGAAGTTATCACTATGGCTACTATTTCAAATCCAAGAGCAAGCACCTCTCTTGGAGGCCTGTTAACTTGGTTTTGGGTCACAGAGTAAACATTTCATGACCAACATCTGAAATTTTCCATTCAACTTTGAAGAAACAGTCTGATTTGATGGCACTTGTGAAGTTTACAGCTTCTGCTCTGCATCTTTCTGGTGCTTTTCAATGAAGATGTTGAGTGCTTGTTATCATTACAGGTCTACACCATATCACCAATGGCAGGGAGTATAATGAAAACTCTGTCTTTTTTCCTGCTGAAAGAGAAAACCTAATTTCACCCAGAAGCCCATCCACACCACCTGCACTTTTTGAATATTCAATCCCACTTCAAGTTAAATAACCATTTTTATGATCATTTCTGTGATTATGTCATTGTACTTTAGTTTACAGTTTCATTATTTGTACACTGTCAAATAAAAAATAATACAAAGAACATCTAATTTTACTTCAACACTTCCAAAAATTTCCTAATCTCCAACCCCAAAGTGGAATTCAACATCAATAGCAATGCTTTTGGAAATATTCCAGAATGCAAAACAACTTTTCGTTTTCTTATTAGAAACTCTGGATTTTTTCCCTCTTCTGAATGGCTGAAAGTAGAATAAAAAGGCTGCTTCCTTAGTTAATCTCAGCCTGATTTTCTTTCTACTTCTCTTATCACTTTCTTCAAGTAAAAGGATAATCTTTATTAATTTTCCAACCTGGAAGAAGCCATTAATATGTCAATGACTGATTCTAACTTGAAAGCACATGCAGCACAACAGGCACAATTTTCATTTTATTTTTGTAAAAAAAATTTTAGAAAATATTTCTATATAAAAATCTAAGAAATCTATAACAGCTAAAAAAGAAGTTTTTTTTTTTAAAGGGAAAATAATACACTGACAACTTATCTAAGGAAATTCTATTCACATTACAGAAAGAACTAGCAGCAGCAACATTCACAGTGATTCAAGCACAAAGCGGTTCAATCTTTCATATGGAAATTCTGTTTGGAGGCGAAACCGTGTCATGCTCTATTTTGGGTAAGTAGCTCTCAAAACTCAAGGGGGAATTACAATTATATATCTACTCCATACTACCTTATTATCTACTCCTTATTTCCTAAGCACCCCCAACCCTAGTCCAAATCAGTTGGATTTAAAAGGCTATTTTATAAAGAATTATAAACCAACATGTTTTAACTCTAATCATCTTTAGTTGATGGGATTACTTGAGATTTTTCATCTTTATTTCTATAGTAAAAAGGCATGGCTGGCTGGGCGCGGTGGCTCACGCCTGTCATCCCAGCACTTTGGGAGGCCGAGGTGGATGGATCACCTGAGGTCAGGAGTTCGGGACCAGCCTGACCAACATGGTGAAACCCTGTCTCTACTAAAAATATAAAAAAATTAGCCAGGCATGCTGGCACATGCCTGTAATCCCAGCTACTTGGGAGGCTGAGGCTGGAGAGTAGCTTGAACCTAGGAGGCGGAGGTTGTGGTGAGCCAAGATCGTGCCATTGCACTCCAGCCTGGCCAACCAGAGTGAAACTCCGTCTCAAAAACAAAACAAAACAAAACAAAAAACAAACGGCATGGCTGTAACAATTTTTTTAAAGTATGGCAGGGCATATTGCCATCATGAAACAGAAAGGTTCATATACAAGTCACAACACCAGAAGATTAATATTTTCGCCAATCATACAGATAAAATTATCAGACTATTAGATGCATTTATTCATTCAGTAGTATTTCTGGAGGGCCTATTATGTGACAAGCAGCATGCAGAATGGAACACCATGCCTATCCCCCAGAAGCTGAGATTACAGAAGAGACTCACAGCCATCAGGGAACCCCGTGAAGCCTCATGGGTGTTGGGCCACAGTGTGCACAGAGCAGCTGGAGCTGCAAGGACTGGGCTGCCAACTTCTAATGGGGACTGGGGAACAGGGAAAAGCAGTAGTTAGGAAGGGTCTCTTCAGAAGGTGACATCTGAGCTCAGTCCAGAAAGATGAGTAGGTGTTCATCTGGTACAGGAGGAGGCAAGGAGACGTGAAAATGCAAGAGGCTTCCAGTTTGCTTCTGCTCCTTCTGGCAGCAGCAGAAGGCAGAGGACTCTAGGTGCAGCTGTTAAGGAGAGTGGACATTATCCTATAAACCACAAAAAGTTGCTGAGGCACACATATAAAGAGGTACTCTTTGATTTTCAGGTAACAACAACAACAAAAATATCAAGCACATCAAATATGTTCCTTGGGTAACGGAAAAAGAAAAGCACATGATGAAATATTATTACAAAATGCCAGCTCTTCATTCATTTCTATTAAAGTCTTCTACAAACCTCACAGCCTCCCAAAAGTTCTACTTGTGTTTCACATAGATTCAGCTAGAGTTCAGAGACAATATATATGGTCTCTTTTTAACTTTTAAACCACAGGATGAGTAACCAAATTTGAAAAGAACTTTATGCCATGAAACAAATACAGTTATCTTCATATTATTCTACAGTTCTTCACAACCATTCTGATAGCTTAAAGCTTGCTTCTAGCTGTAGCATGTAACAGAATATACTTTTATTTAACAATTCAGAGGGAAAAAAACACAAGATGAATGAAAAGGTCTATTATATTTCAAGTGTGTAGTGATTTCCTGTTTCTTTCACACTTTTGGCAGCCATGTGCCATGTCACAGAGTACTTTTTATACTACAACATCAACAAAAATCTCTTTTCAGACTCTGGAAAAACTGGGCATCTCTCTCAAATACCAACAGCTCTCCATTTAATAATACAAAACAGCAATGTGACTAAAAATCATCATCCCACTAACAAAGTACCTTTGTCATAAATAAACCCTCCCTTTAGATTATCCAAATACATATCAGACCTCCAACCCTCCTTTCAGAATATCAAGCATCCCTCCTTGTCTTCATTGCCTTCCTGTGCTTCCTGTTCTTCTTCCCCAAATTCTCTCTGGCCACACTGCTCTGTCACTGGGTATGAGACGGATTAACGATCACTGATTTATTCTCTCCTCCCTTCAGAGTTCAGACTGGGATCCAGAGAGCTAAAGCATACTTTTTGCCTATTACTTCCTTCCCTACCACAAGCACTTACTTCCCCAGACTATTATCTCAGGCTGTATTCCCTTTCATTTTCATTTGATGACACTGATCATCTTTATCACCATGAGGATGACCATTAATTGGATGCCGATCATGCAACAGACCCTCAGCCAAGCATTTAAATAGATTGCTTCATGTAATCCTCACTGTCATTCAATAAGGTCACTTTATGACCCCTATTTTACAGAGGAGAAACCAAGGCTTGGAGAAACTGACCCACAGAGAGGTGTAGTAAACTGACAAATAGTGAGCAACATAGCCAGGATTCAGATGCAGGTCCATCAGATTAAAACTTGGTTGGTCACACTAACTTCTACTCAGAAATAGCAAAATGAATGCATGAAATTGTCCTATTATTCATGCATACTGAAATATGAAGAGATCATGATTCAAAGCCAGAAATCAACAGTGCCTAAAGAGCATACAACCACCCTAGTGGAAAAAGAGATGGAAAAAAAGAGTTGGGAGGCAGATTCTGGGCCTGACTTTCCCTTTCAACAGTTGATCAAGAGTACAGCAGCCCTGCTGAGGCTGTGTCTCCCACACCACCCCACTAAGGACTACTGGGCTCTTTGGTCAGGGAGAGATAGTCTGAGGTTAAGAAAATGTAGCTCAGGAGAAAATCCTGTGAACACAACAGGAGTAGCTACTCTGTAGGCTTGAATCTAAACAAGAGGTTAATAAAAATGATATGGAAACTTATTTCTCTTATAGTACTTCTGAGTCAGTCAAAAATAAGTTTCAGGACACTAAAAGAAAAAAGTGTGAACTCCAAGCAACTTAATGGTTATGAAGTATGATTACTGGGAAATGAAATTTCCAAGTGAGACAGGAAAAGAGAGCCCCAGAATAAGACCAGGCTGCATGCAATGAAGACTACTCAACTCCAAACTCTGTCTCATCAGCCTACCAGAGATAGACACCTGGGATTAAGATAATGCAAAACAAAGTTTCAGAAACAGCCCTGTGAAAACAATCATATCACCCAAGATAAATGTTTGCTGAATAAATTCAGTGATCAATCAACTCAAGGCAATGATTCCTGCTTCGAACTTAATAATCACAGTGGGGGAGAAGAAGGCAAAGTTACAAAAGGGCATGTGTGCGGGAGCATGTTTAAGGTTATATATACATCAATCATCCTTGCTATTCCTAGTGTGGTCAGTGAACCAGCAGCAGTGGCATCACCTGAGAATTGAAAAGAAATGCAGATTATTGGGTCCTACCCCAAACCTACCAAATTAGAATCAGCACATAATAAGCTCTCCAGGTGATTTGTATGCACATTGAAGTTTGAGAAACACATTCAAAGCAAGCTGGATAAAGACAAGGCAATAAACCAAAGGAACTAATATGTGATGAATGTCTACTATGTACCAGTTTTGGTATTAGGCACTTTACATGGGTAAAAGAAATAAAGACTAAGGCAGGATGAATGGTGTCGGCATCTATCATGTGATGCATCAAAGAGATTCAGAAAAGATGCCATACTCTTACAATCTGAGAGGAGCATGGTAAAGCCAACCAGGGGGAAAAATACTTTTTGACAGTCTTCATTTTGACATAAGTCACCGAACAGTGACAAAAAAGTACCTATTTGCATTGTCTCTAAAAGACGGTAAGCCAGATAGATGTCAGACCTAGCAGAAAAGCTAAAAAGATACTAAACTCCCAATGAAACCACCAGAGAACATTTCAAGAAACTACTTCTCCCAAACAGCTCCAGTCTCATAAACTATAAATTTATGAAAGAATAAGAGAGAAAAGGGCAAAAAATGTCTTGACCTTAGTATAAAAATAGTTTTGATCTCTCAGAACCCCTGGAAGGATCCTGGGACTTCCCACAGGGAACCCCAGACCATACTTTACATATCTTTACAATAGGGACAATCACAAATAGCTAACCCAGTCAGGACTCACATCAGAGTTTGTATGAGGAAATAAGGAAAGGCTTGGGCATCAACAGCAAGAAAATAATGCCACAGGTTGGTAAAAGGGTGAGATTAATTCAAAAATATTTTAAAAGATGTTCATGTTTTCCATGTTAAATTACATTTAAGTTTGATTTAGGATCTGCTTACTTGTAACTATCATCTTAACTCCAATTGAGTGGTGCATGCTTCAAATAAGATCATAGGAAAATCACTCTATCACTCATATTAATCAGTAATTGGGTTGATTTCCTGTACCACCAACCACCTGCATTTGATTCCTCATTGATAATCAAGGCAACTTTTTGCTTTTTTAGAAGTCTCCAGTGTAACAAAAATGAGTACACTGCAAAGAGAGCCCTGTTATAAACTGTAAATTCTGAACGCTAATTAAGCATGCTAGTCCTCTCCAAATAATCAAATCCTAACATGTCCATGATAATTAACAGAAAAAAATTGTTACATAATCCTATCAGGAAATAAAAGTTGGTTATGTATAGATGGGGGTGAAGGAAGAGGTTTCTCTCCTTCCCATGAAAATTGAAGTACTAAAGGCTAGCCAAACCTCATCCACAACTTCTCAAAGACCTTCTGTAATACATCTGTTTTCATGCATTTCTTTCCATTTTTATAAGTCTTTTACTTTCCTCTCCTCTCAACTTGAAATCTCACCCATCCACCAAAACATTCTCTTAAGTCAGAACAGAGAAGAGGCAATGGCCAGACTTGGTAGCAAACTCCCTTGATCCTAAAATCGAACCTACATATAAAATAGTGACAGCCAGTTCCCCATGGGGATGGCAATTATAGCAACTATTTCTATTGTGCATTTACTACATACCAATGTGGAGTGTAAGATGCCTAATCCATTACTTCATTTTTGCTTCACAACAATCGTTGAAATACATATTACACTCATTTTACAGAGGAAGAACAGGCTCAGAGTGGTGAAGTGGCTTGCCCTAGATCACATATTTGGGCACTGGGGGATAAGACGACCTAAGGAGCCTGTGATGCTTTACATGCATTCGTTCACCTCACCCTCACAACAGACCCATGCAATAGTACAATACAAATATTACAGTTCAGAAAAAGGTATATATTTATAGGTGATGCTGGCAGCAGATGCCTAAGTAACAGAGAAGTAAAGTAACTTGCCCAAAACTGCACAGTTAAGTGGCAGCAGCAGGCTTAACAGTACCTACCTAAATGGTGGTCATGAGGTTTACATCAGTGGATGTAGTTAACTACCTGACATACAGCAAATACTCAATAAAAATTAGCTGCTACAATTAAAGTATTCTGCATAGGGGAAGTATTCAACAAAGAACAGCCAGCAACAACAGAAGATACGTGTCAGGTAAATAAAGACAGGACTCTCCTTCCAAGAAAAGAACATTATCCTGACTACTCCCCAATAGCTTTACTGCCCACAGTCATCCCAGCAAACACTCTGCAGTATCTTTAATGACTCTAGCTAGTCATGCATCTGTGTGGAATTTTTTCCATTTCTTTTATTAACAGCAGGCAATGGGGTGTGCTGGAAAATGTACACACTGGGCTAACAGTGGCTCCGGTTCCATCACCTTCAAACTACATGACATCTGTGGGCCTGGTTTCCTCAGCTGAATGCTGAGGACAATCCCATCTCCCCTGCCACACCAATGCTCCACACAGAGAGCCAGCAGAAATTCTGACTTCCTACTGCTGCTCTGGCTGCCTTGTTGCTTCAGTGGATCACAATCCTTCTGAGGACTGTTTCCTGGGCATTTCCCCCAGAGCAGCAGTTGCTGGGCTCTTTCTGCACACTGGTTGGTCCAGAATTGGGCTGCTGGGCAGACAATCAAAATCACAAGATGGGGGCAGAGTAACAAAAGCACCTGGGCACTAATGAGCAGCTTATTCCCCACCTAAGAAGTGCAGCAGTCAGGAAGACAGCACCTGAGGAGAGAGGGGGAATGAACCCTCAAGCTCAAGGAATCCTAAGGAAACTTAAATACAGATACAGCGACTCTTCATTGGAGAGACTTTAAAAGGTCTTTGTCATGGCAAAAGCCATAGACACGAATCATCTCACCTGGACTCAACACTTAACCAGTAGCCACCCACCCTCTCTAAAGTTTCAAGCAAGGTGACTTATCTGGGCTATCGTTTCTTCACCAATATCTCAAGGTAAAATAACGTAAAGAAAAATTCTCGGTAAGAACAAATTTAAGACGCTGGAAACTTTCACACCTGTTTAAAGACCATGCTGTGGAAGAGGTGAACAAACAGTTTAGGACTTTATGGAGAGAAAATTTTAAGAATCAGCAAATTTACAAGTATCCTTGAGTACATCGATGCGGTCAGGGAGGGGAATATATTAATAGCAAGTAGAGTCGGAAGTCAGCAAAAAGAAGGAGCTATCACAAGATTCAACATGGGGTAAGTCTCCTCCACTTGAAGGCAGTGCTCTATCTGCTTGGTTTGTAGATGTTTAAAAATAGCTTCCTTCCTGACAAAATCATCTTAGGGCTCAAACACAAAAAAATCAATTACTTAAAACATAAAACACAATGCTATAATCAGGAAGTGTTTTAACCAATAAAAGCACTAACTTAAAGAGGTATGTCTGGTTCTGTGCCCTGAAGGTCAGTTGGCAGTGGCTGTAAACTCAGGACTGATGAGAAATCTCAATGATGTGGAAAATGAGATGGTTGACCTCCATGATTTCTAAGGCTCCTTCTGGCTCTAAAACTCTAAGATTACACTATTTCCCTTGAAATCCTGCAAGTCCTGAAATTCCTCCCCTTTCCCTCTTGGTCAGTCCTACAGACAGTACTTCTTCTGGACTCTCCTTATCCTCACTTCCACCATACACAGAGCCAGGCTCACCTTGCCTAAATTCTTCAAGGCTTCCGTGTGTGTACATTTGTTCATTCAAATGGGGTTCATTCTACTGGGTCGCAGGCTTTGGAGATAAACAGATGAATAAATAAGTCCTGTCCTCAAAACAATAATGCAATAGGCTTAAAACCAACATTTCGGCACAGTGGGTTCTACGTGAAGAAAAGGCTGAAAGGACTGGCTGGAGAAATAACCCCAAATAAGTCACTGTTTACCAAGGATCCCACACATCTGTGTGAAAAAGGTGTCTACAAGGCAAAGGGGAACTTTCTAGGGAATGAAAAACACCTGGGTTGTCTCTGAGAGGAAGAAGACAGGGCTCTGCAGAAGGCCTGCAGAAATTTAGCCTACAAAACAGTCAAACAAGGTTAGACCCTCAGGAAGCAACCACTGCCACTTCAGAAATAAACACAAATTAACTCACCCTGGGCAATAATTTATGTTGGGTGTGGAACAAATCACTCTGTCTCCCTTCATACTATCACTTTTCTAGGAGAAAGGGCAGAAGCAGATATTAAATATCTGATTAGTAAGTATTCATGGCATTTATACTCTTGTACCCAATGCATAAAATGTGTGTGTATACTTAAACTTTGAATTTAAAAATGTTCATTCCACATCTCCTTTTTAAAAAGGCTATAACGTCTAAGAAAGCAGTGTGACATGGAACAGTTAAGAAACTTGGTTTGAAACTTAGCTCCACCATATAACAGTTGTGCAATTTGGGCATTTATTGATCTTCTCTAAGCATTCATTCACTTCCTGTGAAATGGAGAAACTCTGCAAAGCTATTTTAAGGATAAAATTTACATAAAGAACTTAGCACACTACCAGGCTCCAAAGAGGAAGCTTAATACCTTGTGACTCTTATGATGGCTCCTGCATGCTTCTTGAGGCTGACCAATCATTGCGATGAATGACAAAATCTTTCCAAAGTCTTCAAGGGAATAAAATACTAGGTTTTTTTTTGTTTTTGTTTTTGTTTTTGTTTTTGTTTTGTCGCTGGGGGGCAGTGGTGGAGGGGTGGTTTTTTAGAGTGTTTTTTAACCGACATTAAATGTGATACAGTAACACCACGTGGCTGTGAGGGTGCTTACAGATCAAATTAAGTCACTAAGTCTAGTGACAAGATGCATTACAGCAGAAGGTAAAGTCGACACAAAACTTCCAACTGACTGCTCCAGAGTGAAACACACCTACCACCCACAGCTTGCCTGGATGGGTGCAGGGCGCCAGGAAGGCCACCCTGTTCTCAAAAATGGATGTATGGCTCAAGTGTTACAATGTCAAACTCCTATCCATGACTCACTTTGTTTTCAGTAAGCTCCATGAAGCACCCACAGTGTCTAAGCGCTTGAGTTGACTTAACCAAGCATCAGTTGTGGGATCTTGGGTAAGAACTGCAAGCAGAGCAGTTAATGGCAGAGACTTGGAGACTTGAGGGTCAGACAGATCTTTGTATAAACCTCGGTTCTTTCCCTTCGGCAGTAAAACCTGGGACAGAAAACTGCTGACTGCCAAGCCTCAGGACCCTTACTTGAAAATTAAAATATTACTAACATTACAGATTTGTTATGAGGATCAAAGGATAAAATATGTGTCAACAGCCTGGCACCTCTTAAGTAGTCTCTGTTTCCACAATCTATAAAATGGGAACCAGAGCATCACCTGATGAGGCTGGTGCAAAGATTAAATAATTCCGTGTCTTCAACTTGACTGCCCAGCCCAGTGAAGGACACGTACCAAGTGACCAAGGTTCAGTCACCAATGGTTCACGAACAGGCTTTAGGGAAGTCCTGGCACCAAAAAGAGAAACAGGAAAAGCATTTATTTATATAATTATTTATTAACAAATAAGAGGTAAAAGAGCAGCAAGAAACGAGAGTCAAACTAGGAGACTCTTGGCATTGTTTTCTAAGGGTTCACTGGACCGAGAGATGGGAAGAGACAGCCAGCTACCCTGTAAGGTGTGACAGGATCTCCATGCCCAACACCTAAAACTAACTTCAGCATAAGTTGCTGTAATGCCTCATCAGGCATTTATACCTTTGAGTGAAACATGGGAGAGATTTCCTTCCAAGAGTTAGCTGAAAGCAGACTTTGGAAAGGAAAGTGTCGGTCCTGAGCCAGGGCATTCACGGTGAGGTGGAAAAGAGAATGTCCTGAGACCCCAAGGGCAATCAAGAAGTCTTAGGGGGTGAGGAGGATGAAGAAGGCAAATTGGCAAGGGTGGCACTCATCATGTAAGACCACAGACCTCAGAGACACAAACTCCAGCTTCCCCTGACTGCACATCCTCGTCAAGTCACTCCTTCCCTCAGTTTTCTCATCTGTAAAATGAAGTTAATATTGTTTACTTTCCAGATTTTCTCCTCAGAACATCCAGTAACAGAGGCCTTCTGTAAAATACCGTGGGTAAAGTACTCAGCATGAAACCCAGCACATTCTACCAAGAGTGGACCTTGACTTAACAGATGTCCATTCTAAGCTGAAATCCACAGGGAAAGATGCTCCAGATAGCTGCTATTTGGCCCCCTAGGGAAGCAGAGGCCCAATATACCCAGAAGCAATTTCCAAACACTGAGGAGGGCCTCTCTGAAACTTCTGGAACTGAGAAAGCACCATCCTAAGAAAAACAAAAGCGGCTGTTACAAACACAAAACGTAACAAACTCACATGACAAAGTGATGGGGTTCCCTAGCCAAAGGACAGCTCAAGGACAAAATGTGAAATATAACTTGACTTTTAAAAAAGATGCCAACTCTCAGAAACAAGTTAAAGTTGCTTTTGGCACCTTCTCCTCCTCCTCTTCTCCTTCCCCTCAAGTTGCTCCAAGAACCTGGTTGCCCCCCACCCTACACCCCTCCAGGCACATCTAACTTCTACCCCTCTCTCCAAGATACTTCCCACCCTACTTCTCTGCCAAGTGTTAAGTGGGAAGCAACCAAACTAATTCACAACCATGTGTGAACGAAGGGGCAGTACAGGTTGGGTCTGTGAAAGATACTTACTAAGCCAAAAAGGTTTTCAGCTGGAGAAATGTCCTGTGACTTAGTCATGGGAGGTTAAAATGTTCAGGCAAGGAAGAATGGAGGCACTACCTGGGGTCAGGCAACAGGCAGGCTAGAAGCTGGCCATGTCTGGTCTTTAACCATTTCCCCTTTTCATAGTGAATGCTATTTATTTATTTCTGAGCCCAAGAGAGAGGCCTTAACAAACTTATTTCCATGGTAAGCAGGAATTTCAGACAAGAGGCTGTATGGGGCAGATAGAGAAGTCACTACTAAGGCGGATACGGGCTGATAAGGCAGAGCTACTCACCACCCCCTAACACTGAGATGACACTGGCTTTCAGTCTGCTAAGCAGAGAGTTTGAAAACACCCACACTCACTCCTTTTTCCCTTCACTACTCCTACTCGCTTGATGTAACTTATAATGCACCAACACACACAAGGGCAACAGCACATTCAGAGCCCAGTTTTTTCTTTTGGAGAAACTTAAATCGAGACCTCAAAGCTGTCCCTCTGTGGAGAAAAGCACTTTCCTAGGCTGCCCAGGGCTGGAACAAGGCAAAGACCACCATTCTGGTGAAACAAGCTGGCAATATGACAAATATATAAGAAATTTATTAATATGCCTGGCCTTTGAGCCTCTAACTCCAACTCTAGGAATCTATCAACACTAGAGCAGAATATGACAGATATACACAAATATTCACCGCTCCAAGGTGAACAACAGGTCCTCCCTTTGGTGAAACTGCTAAGCCAACTGTACAAAACACACAATTGGGAGCAACTTAAGGGAGGGAGGGAAACATTTAATACAATGACATGCCTTTTTAAATATTATTGAAGACTTTTTAATGAAGTGGAAATGTTCATGATGTGTTAAATGAAAATAAGCAGGACAGAGATGTATCTGAGCAAAATACTTGAAGTGACAGTAGCGGCTACCTCTGGTTAGTGGGCTTATGGATGACTTTTAAATTTTCTTCTTTTATACTTGTCCTCATTTTCTACAAAGGGAATAGGTTCTTCTTATTCTTTAGTAAGAGGAAATTATTAATAACAAAAGTCTGTTAAGAGTAGACTGTAGCTTACGTTAAATGACAGTGCAGGGTTGCAGTCAACACTATCCATACTATGGGAAACTACGGGATAAACCACCACTTTCTTTGGCAAATGAATTACAATGAAAAAAAGAGGGAGGAATCCACAGATTAAAAGAAATTTGAAATATGTCCATGAATTTCAACATACAGATCTCATACAGATCCGTTTAAATAAACCATTTTTTTTTAAAGAGACAACCAGGGAAATTTGAACAGCGACTGAATATTTAATGACACCGAGGAAGTGTTTTTTTCAGACGAGAAAACATATTATGGTTCAGGTTTATTTTTTTCAAGTCCTTATCTTTTAGAAGTACATACTGAAGTATTTACGGATGAAATGAAATACCTGATATTGCTTCAAAAAATCAGGGGAAGGAGGCAGAAATGAAAAAAAGATTGGCCAAAAGCAGACAATTGTTGAAACTGAATGATAGTTACATGTCGCTCTGCTATTGCATGTGCAAAAATTTAAGTTAACAGCAAGCAAACTGGCTGGGCACAGTTGCTCATGCCTGTAATCCCAACATTTTGGGAGGCTGAAGCGAGATCACTTGAGCCCAGGAGATAGAACCTGCAGTAAGTAAGCATGATTATGTCACTGCATTCCAGCCTGGGCAGCAGGGTGAGATTGCGTCTCTTAAAAAAACAAACAAACAAACAAACAAAAAACAACAAAGAAAAACTGCCCAAAGTAAAAAACCACTTGGAGGACTGAGCTACTAGCGCAAAACAGACTATAAAAGGTATGGGGGAGGTGGGGAGGAAGGAGAATCTAATAATGCAAAGTATCATGAAATTATCCAATAATAAAACCCGTATGTTTTAGTCCTAAAGGTATTGTTTTAGTTACAAATTACTTGACAAAACATCTCCAGCATAGGTCTGTCTCTTTCAAAGTGAAGGGGGAGACTGGTTGGCAGAACTGAACTCAAGCCTCATCATGCTTTTTCAGTCAAATGACCTTTGAGAAATTATTTTTAACTTTTTGAGCCCGTTTCCTCATCTGTCAAATGAGAAAATAGTGGCTTTGTTGCCTAACAAAGTGTTGTGTGGACGAAATGAGAATATATTATAACAGAGCGCAGAAATGCTGGAGAGTAAACTCAGGGCACCAACTGCTCATAAAATCATATGATTCACTACTTACCATCCATAAAGAAAAATCTGAGAGGTCAATACTTTTTGAAAATACCAATTCTCTCATTAATCCCTTTCATACCATATTGTGACTGGCTGCCCCAGATGCATGATGTAAATTATCTAGATTTAAATGCCTCCCCGTCAACTCGAAAGAAACAAGTCAGGAGGGAAAAATGCTTTCCTTTTCCACTGGCAGATGCATGTCTTGTTTGTGTCTCTGTATGTGTGTTTGTTTCCACCAAGAAAGTAAATGCTAACCAGATTCTCTTCCGTTTACTTGCACTTTGCAGCTAAATCACTAATACCAAAGCAAGGCAGGGTGGCAGTGGGGAGGTGGGGGCTATGGAGCCAGGCAAACCCAGATTTGATTCCCACCTCCCTCAGGTACTAGCAGGGTAATGTGAGAGTTTGAAACAGCCTATGTAAAGTACTCAGTACAGGCTGGGCACAGGTGGCTCATGCCTATAATCCCACCACTTTTGAGAGGCCAAGAAAGCCAAGGCAGGCCAATCACTTAAGCTCAGGAGTTGAAGACTAGCCTGGGCAACATCACAAAAAAGTACTCAGTACAGAGCTGGTACTCAAAAAGTGACAGCCAACTCTGTGACTAGTATTACTAGGCCAACAGAGGACTGCAGGTTGCAGACACCAAAAGGACAGACTAGGAATCTGGCTTTAGCATTCAGGTCTGCTAAGCATCTGCAGCACAACCTTCAAGAAATTTAGTAACTGTGGGTTTTTCCAACTGCTCTATGCAATTGGTAGGCATATATATAAAGCCCAGAGAGGTAGACTTAACCGTATTTGGAAAACTTTTTACCAGGTCTGCCTTCAAGATTTATAAATCAAATGTAGTTTTGCTACAATCTTCATAATTTTACTCAAATATCTGAATGCTAACTACATTAAAAACAAAACAAGTTTAAAAACCTAGGGTTAAAAAGTGAGGGGGGATGTCCCTGAGGTACTTACAATCTACTAAAAGTGAAGACATACGTGAACATGAATAAGAACACAACTTAGCTCACCAGCCTATCATTGACAAAATTATCCCAAAATCAGGAAGAAAAAAATCCTACTTCCATGGCCATCCGGTTGGTATTTAATACACTGTCAGGAAGTTCTTCTGAGTCTAACCTACATATCTCATGTCTCAGCAGAAGCCTATTTCCTGTTTGTTCTTTTTCATTAGCATTGCATGCATATCTGCATTTTTTTTCTTGAGGATGAGTCTGAGTAGAAAGAGCATAAATTGAGTTGAATCCTTTCTAAACCTAGTTCATCATCTGTGAAATGAAGAAACAGCACCCACCCCACAGGGCTGTTGGGAGGATTATATGAGACGATATGGGTAGGGCAATCAGCACAGTTCCCGGCATAGAGTAGGTTCTTAACAGCAATGTTCGCAGATTCTGAATTTGTTCAAACTCTTACACACAAAATGCAGAAGCCTTGGGATGTGACAGCACTGACTTGGCACCAGTTTATTTATTGGGAGGCAGTGTATTCACTTGCCTTGCTATGAAAAATATTACTATTATTAAAGCAGCAGCAGCTGCTGGGCCAGCAGTGAGTGCTTATTTTGATTTGTACTTTGTGGAAATAAGGAGTATCTAATTTTATGTAAATGCTATTAATGTGAATAAACATTACAAGGAAAAGGAAATGGGCATCATAAAAAATGATTAATGCAACATAAAGGAAGGCTCCCCATGTTTCAAAACAATGAAGACAATTTTATTTCGTATGTAACTGGGCAGTGAAGAAGCCGTTCAATGGAAGTAAAGCCATTAGTCCTCACTGGACCTTTAAGCAGGCTCTGTTATTTAACACTGAGGAAAAACCAATTAAACCAGAAATTTTCCGAAGACAGCCAAGTTGCCCTGCCTGGTCTTCCATCCATCCTGGATATCTACGGAAAGATTATTCAAGGAGCACCATGCCATCACTTTGGATTTAGTGGCAATGGGATGTTTCTTTTCTGGCCATACCCTATGTGGAATGTTGATTTTTCCTGACCACATCAGCAAAGCTAAAACTAGGCAGCACAGTGCTCTGACCACAGTCCTTCCAAGTATCCCAAATGAGTACAGAGCAGAAAGGATCAAGGGGAGGTGACACTTGCAGAGGGAAGGGCAGAGAAACTAACATCTTCCAAGCGTCACTGAGTGCCAGGCATCTGCCTCCCTTATATTCCTACTGATTCTCCCAACAGCTGTGAAGTACCATCATTTACATTTAACTGTCATGTCAATGAAAAATGAAGATGAGGCCAGAAGAACTGAATCTAGTCCCAGCTTTGCTGTGTGATCTGGGTATAAACGGTGTGCTTCCCTATCCTCCTACTCTCCTCTGAGGACCACCATCACCCCCAGGCTGAAGACGAAGACTTAGCCCCACCCATCACATAACCCCCTCATCCTGGCCAAAGCTGACTGGAGCAAGGGTGGTCTCCTGACCCAAGTGGAGCCAATCCAATCCTCCTTCCCAGATATCCTCGCCTCAGAATCAGGCAGACACCAATGTGGTGTAGGGCACTGGAGCTGGGAATAATTTGGTGCGAGCTGCCTTCATCTACCATTTGCCCAAAAGAGAAGACCCTCATTCTTGCCCCTCATGTTCCATAAAATATCTCCCATGAATCCTTCCAATAAGTCCCCATTTTGCTTTAACCAATGTATTTCATTTTGCTGGGGAAGGGGAAGGGACCTCTTACAATAAAACAGCCTAACACACTTGGGGTTTCTAGGCCTCAGCTTCCTCATCCATAAAAAGAGGAGTTGGACTAGATGGTCTCTGAGGCCTTTTCCAGTTCTACAGAATGTGCGTCATAATAACATAGTCCTCACTATACTTACAGCCCACTGCGTGCTGGGTGCTATACCAGGCACTGGAGACAAGGCCATTCTGACCCTAGCCTTTGGGTACAATGCTACAGAAATGCAAGGTATCCAGGCTATTTTAATAATAGAGCTAAGAAGAGCTTACATTTTCCTCCACCCAAAACGCATCTGGCAGGGAAAGGGGTGGCCTAGATTGACTTAGCCAACTCTGCTTTCTATAATAGTTGGTGCCAAAATGCAGTCGTCTTTTGGGCTTTACCTCCTTGGCATATGAGGTTCTGATTTTATTTTCCCAGCTTTTGAGTGGCTAAATTAGGTGCTGTCTTATCAAGGGGACACATATTCCAGTTCTTTGGGGGAAAATTATACCATAGCTTGGCATTAAAATTCAGTTCTTACACAACTGACCACAAACAGCACCATGACAGAGGGCTGTTCAGACAGGGCTGTGGGCTGGAAAGAGCCTACTGTGAACTCCTGGATTCTGTTAAGACCAAGTAGAGTCAAGTGCCTCCTGATCTTGACCTAACTCCTGCCCACAAATAATTAAAACTCGTTTTACTGACACTGAAAACAAGCTATGAAGCACACAGAAATGAAAATTCAAGGAGAGATCTCTTTTGCTTTAAGGCTCCTGCCTCCTAACCAAAATAGAATTTCTTGTGGTCTCAGTGCTTCAAACTGTAATCAGTAAAGCACCTAACCTAGCTGCCATGCTCTGTACCAGTCAGGGCCAAGGCATAAATGTTTCACCTCCCCACAAATGACCACAATCAATTATGCAGGTACATAATAAATACCTGCATTTATTATGTAACAGAGAAAACAGCTCATTACCCCAAAGCCCCAGCAAGAATCAGAAGGGGCAGCTTTCACACACCAATGGAGAGGACTCGACGAGTGGGGTGTAGAAGAAGGCAGAAAGATTATAGCAGTGACACAAGGAAGCATGGGCAATGAGGTTGCACTGGTAGAGCCCATCAGGCTGGCCTGGGTCAAAGTGGGCAGCACTGGTCACTGGTTCCCTTACTTCAGAGAGTACAGAGCCCACTAAGGGCTGATTATACAGTTACACTGAGTTGACAGTCTGCTTCAGATCAAATTGGCTATGACCATGACCCACAATGGTCAAAGTGTTTGGTGTTGCCCTAGTCCTCTCCTTAGTCCCATCTGTGCCTCCCCAGTCCGGGTCCCTGAAGTATACACATCTGACTTCATTTCTCTGTCATCTGACCTCATCACTGACCCTTCAGAAATGAGTCTACCAAGTCTCATCTTCTCAGTTACACATGCAATTGTCTAATGCAATAATACAATAATACAGGGCAATAGCAACAAGGATAATAAGAACAATCATTTATAGAGCACTTAGCACACCAGGCACTGTTGTAAGCACTTTACAGATACTGACTCACTGAGAGGTAGGTACTTATCCCCATGAGGAAAGTAGGACACAGTAAGGCTCAGTAACTTGCCCAACACACGCTAGAAGTAATAGGGATACAATTAACCTTGGCAAGAGAATTTCACCCTCCTCAACCCAAGTGTTGCCACTGGTCCTCAGTAGAGAGCAGTCCTACCTATCTAACTCTCCATGAAGGAATGCTTCTAGCCTCATTTGCCTCCCCTTCTTCCCTGCCTCACAGGAGAGCTGAGTAGTCAGACCTTGACACCCATAGGGACATACTTTACTGACACATAAAGTCATTTGATGAGTGCCTCCCATGCATTGCCTCCTTTAATACTCAAAAAGCAATGTCATTTATTTATCAAATGGGGAAACAGAGGCTTAGACATGAAGTGTAGCCCCAAACCTTACTCATGTTTAAGTAATACATGTGGGAATGGCCAAGACCCAGATCTGGTTTTAGTCCCCAAATGACTAGGTTACATATATGGAAACCATCTCTCTGAGGCTCCCTGGACAAACAGACAATGAAGGCAAAGGTCTGGGTAGTGTTTGAACATCCAACACCACAAATGGCTTCTAATGAAAGGCTGCTAGCCTAACATCAGGGAAAGCTACTGCGGCCTCGCACAGTGTGTCTTCTGAGACCAGGACTTAATGACAGCAGACTGGGCTAGCAAGATCCAGTTCCAAACTTAAGGTTTACTCTCCACTCTTTCCACCTAGAAGCAAGTTACATGGAGTGGTACTGGGGAGGACTCCCAGACTGTGAATTGCCAGTCCCCACAACCCTGTTAAACAGCAGAGTGCAAAAATCCCTGGGTTGGGCAGCCCTGAATTCAAATCCCTGCATGGTTTCTGTCTCATCTTTGGGCCTCAGTCTCCACCTCTCAAAGCAATGAGGACTAAACTAGATCTGGTGGGTCCCATCATTCATGAGGTTCCTCCCGTGGAGATACAAAGCCCTTCTAGGAAGCCAATCACCTCAATGAGGTAACACTTTGCTTTCCCACTTTATAACTGGCAATCCAAGCATCTGATCAGCAGAAGATGATTCGTCCTACACCACTGAGCTGATGCATTTCAGCCAAAATCAAACACATTTGGCATGAGAGTTATGCCAAACTAAGTTACTAGCAGTGTCCACTAATTTTTCCACAAAGTGGCTACAGACCCCCATCACAGCTTTCATGAGCCTTTTGGAGATCAGGCTTTCAGGTTGGCAAACGCCAGAGTAGATATTCTCCAAGGTCGCTTTTACTTGGACACTTGGCAATTCCCTGAATAACTAACACCCAGCAAAAACTCAGGGCTCTTGTACAGCCAGGAAGCTGGAAGCAGACAGCCAGACAGCCCTGAAGAAACTGCAACTGAGAGTAGTGGTTCTTTAGCCAGGGCTCTGGGCAGCTCATAGGCAAATCAGGTTGGGTCAACAGTCCCAGACTAAGCATGCCAGGGTGGAGCTGGAAGCAACAGGGTCATTTTCACATCTGCCCAGTCCAAGGAGGATTGCTTGCAGCACTGTCTTTGATCACAAAAGGCAGAGATTTACTGAGGGGTCCAGCAAGAGGTCTCAGAAGAACAGAGAAAAGCAACTATCTTTTCATTTTTCTTCCCTCTCCCAAACTCTTTCTCTCTAGCACTAGAAACCAAATAGAGGTAAAAAGATAATTAATAGATGCCTTTCTCACGGGTCCTGCAAGACAAAACAAACTGGCAGACAGGAAGCATAAAAGACAGTGAAATACAGAAGAAACGGAATGGGTTTTCAATGCAGATTCTGCATTCAGAGCCCAAGTCTACCATTTACCACTGTGTGATCTTGGACAAGTTATTTAATGTCTGTGAGCCTTTATGTATTCATATGTAAAGCAATAATAAGAATGCTACTAGAATAAGCTTTTATTAGATGATAGGTGTAAAAAATGTTTTTTTTAAATCCAAAGATATATATATAAGGTGTGTTAGGCAGTTCTTGTGTTGTTATAAAGGAATATCTGAGACTGGGTAATTTATAAAGAAAGGAAATTCTGCAGGCTGTACAAGCATGGCGCTGGTATCTGCTTGGCTTCTGCGGATGCCTCAGGGAGTGTTTAGTCATGGCAGGAGGAGAAGTGGGAGCAGGCACATCACATGGCGAAAGCAGGGGCGAGAGAGAGAGAAAAGTGGAGACCCAAACTTTTAAAACACTGGATCTCAAGAGAACTAATTGAGCAAGAACTCACTTATCACCAAGGGGATGATGATGCTAAACCATTCATGAGGCATCCGCCCCCACGATCCAATCACATCCCACCAAGCCCCACCTCCGACACTGGGGACTATGTTTCAACTTGAGATTTGGAGGGGACAAAAATCCAAACCATATCAGGACCAAAAGCATTAGCATGGAATATCTGGCTAACAGGCTTGTGCCTTGTTTTAGAAAGAGCATGAGTTCCAACATATACAATTTCCTTCTCCCTTTGATTCTACAGACAGATATATTCACTCACTGACCTTTGCTGGTTTCATCCAGACAAAACCTCATCCTAAGTACCTCCAGACTGGGTCAAAAGCCTGGGCACAGAGCCTTGACTTGTGTGTGGGAGAGAAACATTATGGGAAGGTTTGTTTGCCTTTTGTTGTATTATCTTCAAGAGGTCAGAGACAGACCCAAACATACTTTCTCTACATTAAGCAAAAGTATAAATCTTGATTTTAGCTAAATCCTTCCTAAGGGTTTTTTTTTTTTTTTTTTAAGACTACAATCTCCTTGGGGGTAATTAATGGGCTCCTTAAGTTTAGCACCTGCAATATAAAGAAGCACTTCCTATTAAGTTTACCAGCTTTTAAAATTTAAGAGGTAATGCACTTGCATTCTTGAGCAAGGGGAGCTGACGAACAAGATCAGACGTCAAACCCTGACCACAGAAATCCTATGCGTAAGATTTCACAGAAAATCACTTAAGGACCTAACAGTATTTATCAAAGACTGATGAGCTCTATCATCAGCATGGCAGACACCCAAAAGGACATAGATAAAGGCTGAAACTTAAATGGAAGGTGAGGGAACACACACAGAAGTCTGACTGGCCTGCATGAGGACTTGACAGTAATGCGATTAATCACAAATCTGATACTGGTTGTATGACCTGGGCAGAATACTTACTGGCTGTACGACCTAGCTGGACAAAATACTTAACTGCTGTAATCCTGAATTTCTTCATCTATAAAATGGAGCCATTGATGATAGTAGGGTGAAAAAAGGTATTAAATAATAGTATGTATAGGGTTTGCATGTAGTAGGAATGTTACTGTTATGAGATAGAGCTTGATACTGAATCTACATTCTGTATCTTCATTCATTTCATCAAACATTTCTATATCTTCAGAAATAACTGAACACACCAGGTGAATACATTAAGAAAAGCCTCTAATGCCAGACCCAAACTTGATTTCCAGTTTCCATAAGAAAACTTTTAGGCTGCATTTTTTGAGGGCAGGGTTCTTCTTCATTGTATCCCTGGGCCTAGCACACTGCTGGGCACATAGGAGGCACTGAACAATCTGTATATTGACTACATGGTAATTTGAGTGATTTCACTTGTATTCCTAGGATGAATGTTCTATACTATTTCCCTCCCCTATGAACTGCCCCTTTCTACCCTGTTAAAGAGTTTTAGCCTTATTTCTTTATTTCTTAAAGACCACTAGCTTCTCCATAATACAATCTGGATAACCCCAATACCTCAGTAGGACTTGGAAAATGACTTGTATATAGCAGGGCCTCCCCAAAAATGTGTTGAACAAATGCTGTTCACGGATTATACTCAAATGAGTTCCCACATTTAAATCTGAAAACTCATATCCAAATCTTCGAAAGTACAGGGAAAAAATAGTATATTTAAGTATCACTATTAAGAACTCTGAAATATAAACATGAAGAAACACTAAGCCTCCAAGGAACTTAGGCACCTTTTTTAATCAGACCAAAACTTGAAGGTGCAATGACAGCAAAGTCTCCTATGTTCCCTATAAAGCCACTGAAATATGTTTTTGTAGACATTTAGAATACCTATTTTATGTCTCAACTGTTTTAAGATTTCTAAACTCTGGGCCAGGCGTGGTGGCTCATGCCTGTAATCCCAGCACTTTGGAAGGCTAAGGCAGGCAGATCACTTGAGGTCGGGAGTTTGAGACCAGCCTGGCCAACATGATGAAACTGCGTCTCTATTAGAAATACAAAAATTAGCCAGGCATGGCGGTGTGCACCTGTAGTCCCAGCTGCCCCAGGAGGCAGAGGTGAGAGAATTGCTTGAACCTGGGAGGCAGAGGTTGCAGTGAGCTGAGATCGCACCACTGCACTGCAGCCTCGGCGACAGAGTGAGAGAGCCTGTTTCACGGAGAGAAGGGAGTGAGATTTTTTTTTTTTGAGACGGAGTCTTGCTCTGTCGCCCAGGCTGGAGTGCAGTGGCGTGATCCTGGCTCACTGCAAGCTCCGTCTCCCGGGTTCATGCCATTCTCCTGCCTCAGCCTCCTAAGTAGCTGGGACTACAAGGCGCCTGACAACACGCCCAGCTAATTTTTTTTTGTATTTTTAGTAGAGATGGGGTTTCACTGTGTTAGCCAGGATGGTCTCGATCTCCTGGCCTCGTGTTCTGCCCACCTCGGCCTCCCAAAGTGCTGGGATTACAGGCCTGAGCCACCGCGCCCAGCCGGGAGGGAGATTTTTAAATTCCATTTTATTTACTAGCCACTTGACCTTAGAGAGAAATCATTTCATCTCTCTGGGCCTCAATTTCCTTCTCTATAAAATGGAAACGATAAATGTTCCTCTTTCAGAGAGCTCATATGAGAGGTAAATGTAAGCATTCATGCCATGTGTCGACAGCAGGCCTGGTATGGAGCAGCTGCTCAATAAATGAGCAGAACTTGCCTCCTTCATTGTCACCAAATTAAAATGTGGCCCAATATAAAATAACCAAGTAGACTTCCATTTATCATGTTGGACTCTCTCTCTGACAAAGGTACTAAGTATTAGCCACTCTAAGTCTTTAAATAGAGGGTCCCTTCTACTGTCTGGGTCACAGCAGTCCTAAAATGCCTGCCTGCTCCCGTTTAGGGAAAACGCTTATGCTCTCCTAGTCACTTACTCATAACTTAAAAATTGTCAAGAGTAAAATGGCACACATCAGTGTGCTTTCACTGCTGAATAAGTAAAACACTGGCTTTTTGCTTGGAAAACACTCACACGCCAGGATGAAACCTTGGCAGAACACCAGCTCATCCATTCCTGCCTCCCCAAGGTAGCCACTCATTGTGTGCCAGCCAAACCGTGAACCCCTGAGCCATGTGTGACCCTTCGCCCCAAAAGGTAAAGCCCAGAAGTAAACCAGAAGTAAACTCCTCTTTGCCTCTTCTTACCATTTTTGAGACGTAGCCTCACTCTGTCGCCTAACCTGGTGTGCAGTGGTGCGATCTTGGCTCATTGTAACCTCGGCCTCCCGGGTTCATATGATTCTCCTGCCTCAGCCTCCCAAGAAGCTGCGACTACAGGCATGCGCCATCATGCCTGGCTAATTTTTTAGTAGAGATGGGGTTTCCCTATCTTGGCCAGGCTGGTCTCGAACTCCTGACCTCAAGTGATCCACCTGCCTCAGCCTCCCAAAGTGCTGGGATTACAGGTATGACCCACCACGCCCAGCCTTCTTACCATATATTTCTCATCTACTTCCAAGAGTGCTCATCACAGAGATTTAACTAAAAGCATCAACATCTGCACAACACACCACAATCTCTACCAAGGAGACATAGTAAAAGAAAGAGTATGGATTAATTTGGGGCTCCAATCTTGGAGATCTAACAGTTTTTCAGTTGCGCTCTATGTATGTGCATTAGTGATCTAAAGAGCAAAAAAAGGTCATCAACAGGAAGGTACTTACTAGAACTAGGAAAATGTTTTTTTTAAATGAGAATTCCAAGTTACCCAAATTAATTCCTATTCCGGAGTTTCCATATCACCAAAAAGTACCCAAAAGTTCTCTTCCTAAGAATAACCACAAAATAACACAAGCCACATTCTTAAAGTTTCCAAATATCTCAGTTGTGAAGCATATGCCAACAAGATTTTGTGGTATGCCCCCAAATTTTTTCTTATATTGAGTGTGGTAATGTTAAGTCCCATATTTTTAAAGAACTGAATTGTGACCCACCTAAGATATTTATAATAATGCACTACTTCCACATATGTAAGCATGGGGGAAAAATTAAAATTCAACTATGGTGGCTATCCTTCAGTAAAAAAACCTAAAGCATACTTTTCACATCTATGCAAAAAGTAACCACTCAAGAGAGTGCAACCTCAAGAATTAAAATATGCCGACCGGAGACAATGTTTTCCTGGCCAATACCTTCCTCAAGTTCAGAATAAAAATTGTAAAATTATTGTGCCATCCTGAAACATTGCTATATTTTTGAGAACATGGGTATCATCAATGTACTCTAACATGACACTGAACTTCTAGCCTGGTTCCAAGTTCCTAAGTGACTACACTTGCATTATAGTTAACTCTATTTTTCTACCTAATCTTACAACAGTATTTCTCATAAAAAAAAATATTTGCTTTTAAATTTATTAACCTTAAACTAACATCAACAGCAACTGCATGTAATTTAACATTAACCCTCTACTACAGGGTTGCTGGAAAATATGCTCGCATACCTCTACAAACAGCATCACCGAATACTTAATCTTATCACACCCTTCACAAACAGAATACAGCAACACTATCTAAATGTGCAGGAAGAGAACGTTAAAATAACTGGCAGCTCTATTAGGAGGCACTGAAAAACTTATCTAGAAGGAAAATAACCACTCAGTCTAATCAATGTCACATCCTTAGAAGTATATACAATTAGTACAGAAAGGGGATGCAAAATGCTCCTGTATCAACATGTTTCAATTTATTACAATTAAGTGAAAGACAGACCCATGATGGGGTTCAATGCCTGGCAATTCTGTTTAATCCCAGACGAGTATAACAGACTGGCAGTTCACAAAGACAAAAAAAAAGAAAAAAGAAAAGAAAAAATCCATTTACCTCTGGTTTTCAAACAAACCTAGTTAGGTGGTATTTCTCCATTCACTTCACAATTCAGTCCCATCACCCAATACTGACTCCAGAGAGAACTCTGGAAGTATGCCGGAATGACACATTCAGTCATAGCACCAAGCAGGCCAGATGGGACCCAGCACTAACAGAAGTCTCTCTCCTCCTAAAATTTGGGATCCCTCTACTTCTGAATCCCAGTTCTACGTGTGTGGAAACATGAGTATCAAAGCTCATTTCAAGATGAGTCGGCCCACAGAAGCCCAAGCTTCCCCATATTACAGAGGTCCGTCCTTGGGGTGGGGGGCTTACATCAGAAAGAGCTCCCCAAACCTCACCTAAACCAGCCACAGCATAACCCACCCAGGGAAAACCATCTCCCTTCCTACTTTCCACCCAATGGTGCCATTTTCAGTTGAAATACGTTTGCCTTGTTTGAAGGGGAGGGATGCTTTATGGCACTTATTGATGATGCTGAGTTCCTGGGCAAATATCCTATTTTTATCGTGGCCCCAGAGGCTTCTGCTGCTCCTTGGCTTTCAGGTTCCTCTTTGCCCATACCACTCTCTCATTAACTCACTGAAAATCCTAAAGAAAATCGATTTGGCCTTGGCCCTGCCCCCCACCCCCCACCAGCAACGCTTTCCTGAAGGGTCCAGGTAAGAGGAGCTGTCTGACTGTCGCCTCGGGCCTCCCTTCTCCGTGTCTGGTCAGCTCAAGCAGGCTGCACCGGCCTCCGATCTCCTTGTCCAGCCTCGGAGTGCCCTGCGGGCAGGTCCTGCTGGCGCAGCAGCCCTAAGCCCTACCAAACCCTCCGGGTTAGGGAAGCCGGGTGGAAACCTATGTGCACAGATCTCTTTCCATCTGGGCTTCAGGCACCAGAGACTAACAGGGAGGACTCCTGGAGTGGATACAGTCCCAGCCTGAGTTCTCTCTGGGTCCTCTGGGATTTTTCCAACGGCCCTCGTCTCCGCAGCTACGCCTGCCTGGTCCAGTCGGGCCGCTGAGGGGTGCGTTCACTGCCCATCTCCTAGTCCCTTGCTGGTGACCTTGGCTGCACTACTTCGCCTCTGGGCCCTCGGTGGCCTGACGCCACCTACCTCGAGGGTTACAGGAGGGTCACGAAGATGTGGAAGCGCCGAACAGTGCATGCCAGGGACAGGACTTCCATCTTCTGTCCTCCCTGGAGTGTCCACAGCTCGCTCAGTCCTCTCCCACCTCCAGTCCCCAGGCCTTTCAACCCGCAAGACCCAGAAAGGGCGAGGAGATGGGGAAGGCGCCGCCCGTCCGAAGTCCCTTATTCACCCGGCGGCTCCCTGAGGGGGTGTGGCGCCCCCGGCCCCCGCGTCCCCTTCCTCCCAGCTCGGAGAGGAGATCCTCCAGCTGCGCGGCGGCAGCGGCGAGCGTGGACGGCGGGGGTCCCGGCCCGACCTACCTCCTCCAGCAGCGTGACGGTGTTCCTGCAGTTGTGCAGCCGCGTGGTGAAGCTGGACGTGGTGGGCGAGTTGTAGTCCTCGGTGGTCTCGGCGATGAACTCCGAGACAGAGATCTGGTCCGGCATCCTGCCGGGAGGGACGAGACACAAGCGGGGGCGGGGGGTGAGTCACGGCGCAGGCTCCCGGGGCCGCGGGCCGCCCGGAGGCTCATGAACCCCGGCGCGCAGCCCGCCACCCGCCGCCCGGCCTGGCGCGCGGCTCCCGTCCCCGGCAGCGGCGAGAGGGAGGGAAGGAGGCGGGCGAAGGCAGGCGGCGGCGGCGCTGGCGGGGCTCGGCGCGGGGCCCTTCAAACTCCAAGCCGCGCGCGAGGCAGGGGGCTCTCCGGGACCCGCCTCCCTCTGCTCATGCCGGCGGCGGCAGCTCCTCAGCGGCGGGGGAGGGGACGCGGCTGCGCGCGGGGTCTTCGCGGGGGTCTGGGCTCCGGCCGGCCGCTGGGGCGTGCGCGGGCTGGGCGGCTGGGGCGCCCGGCGCTGCCTCCTCAGACGCGCTGACAGGCGGCGGCGCGGGCCTGACTGACTGAGCGCACACTCCCGCGGCGGGCGGGCGGGCGGGCGGCGCTCGCGCTGCAGTCACGGGGCCAAACAAGGAAGTGCTCTGCGCACGCGCGCCGCCCCCAGCCCCGCCCCCCCGGTCCCTCCCCGCCCGCGCCCCGCCCCCGGCCCGGCCCCCGCCCCGCCCCGCCCCCGCTCGCGCACAGCCCCTGGGGCCTGGCTCCGAAGCTGCCGCTCCCGACCCCGGCTGCGCGGCACGGGGGCTCCGGAAGCCCGAGTCCCTGGTTCGCCCCCGGAGCGGTTACTTCAGCGAGCTCGTTGCGCGAGCGTTTTGCAAGAAGGGGGCCCAAAAAAGTTGTACGTGTTCTTTTTTAGTCGCGTGTGGGTGCAGGAAGTGAGGCCCCGGGAGAGCCGCCTTCTACTGCGAGGGCCGCCGACCCCGCGAAGGAAGCGCTGGGCGCAGGGGCGGCCTCCCGGGGCCCGGGCTTGCAGCTGCCCGCTCGCCCCATCTCTCTGCAGGGTGCTCCTCACCGCTTACAGGCTGGTTTTGTGCAGTTGCCTTAGGTCGCTACAATGCAGCGTGAAGACGAATGAAGGGTTTGGGGGCTTTTAAAAAAAATAATTTTCTAATCTTTCATTTGCACTTTTTTTTTTAACTTGCAGGAAAGCCGAGGGTCAGGGAATGTAAAAGGCATTGCCCGAGCTGCAAATGGTGTTCGATGCTAAGCAGATGCCAAATTTCGGTGGAAAAAGTACCACCTCACTCCTCGGCCTTGACAGATGGCTAATTTTAAAACTAGCTCAATCTACTTAGTCCGAAGAATCCATTTAATTTCTCACCATTCGCTGAGTATGAATTTGGTTTAAAAGAAGAAGAAGAAGAAAAAAAAAGCTAGGCCTTTGGGAAGGGCCACAGGATTGGTACCTGTAATTCAAGCCAGGAGAGCCTTTGATAGCCTTAGGATGGAAGGCTGAGCCTGTCCTCTGCGACACACACCCACCGCGCCCTACCCCTCACCCCCGGGATTGGGCTTCTGCCATCTTGCACTGTTTTTTTTTTTTTTTTGAGACGGAGTCTCGCTCTGTCGCCCAGGCCGGACTGCGGACTGCAGTGGCGCAATCTCGGCTCACTGCAAGCTCCGCTTCCCGGGTTCACGCCATTCTCCTGCCTCAGCCTCCCGAGTAGCTGGGACTACAGGCGCCCGCCACCGCGCCCGGCTAATTTTTTGTATTTTTAGTAGAGACGGTGTTTTACCTTGTTAGCCAGGATGGTCTCGATCTCCTGACCTCATGATCCACCCGCCTCGGCCTCCCAAAGTGCTGGGATTACAGGCGTGAGCCACCGCGCCCGGCCCATCTTGCACTGTTAAGCCTCACATCCGTTCTCTGGTTCTTACCCCTGACTACAAGGGAGTGCCCCAAAGCAGGGATCTTGTCTTAGCCTTGGGCCTGCTACACAGAAGTAGCAGAGTGGCTGTCAAAATACAGCACCTCATTAACTCTCAAATATTTACTAAGCACTATGTGCCCTGGAGATTGAGTAATGCCAAGGCCCCTGCTCTCATGAAGCTTACCTTCTAGGACAGAACTAGACAACTCACAAATACATAAAGTGGAGTAAATATAAAGTAAGAAAGTGAAGGAGTCGCTATAGTATAAAGAATCTGCAGAGAAGGCTTTGCTGACAAGGTGACATCTTGAGAAAAGAATGACAAGAGTAAGTCACCCAGATAATCCTGTTGTCTATGGCATCTTGGGCCCTCAGCTGCCTCACATGAAAGCAAAAGATAAGGACACCAACCCCAGGACCTGGCTGTTATGTTGAGTTCACTGATGATGGAAGAGAAAGTGCTTTGTGCACAGGAAAGCCATTAGAAAAGTGTGAGATGTTCACCTCCCTCTATTGGCTGTACTGAACCTGCACTGTGCCTCCAGCGAGATGCTCATCAATGTCCTCTAAGAGGCCATGCTTCAGCTAACAAGGGTTCCAGCTAATTAAAGGGAAATTTTGTAAGGGGAATGTCCATAAATAAATATTCTTCCCTGGCAAAGGGAAGTTGAGAAGTCAACTTCAAAACACATTCTTTAAAAAATTAGTAAATAAATAAACAGGCACCCACTTTGTCCTCATTAGCACTTTAAAAGCTTGGTTTGGGACACACCAAGTTTGAAGTTCAGAGGAGACAGCCAGATGATGATAGCAGACAGCTGAAGATCCATACCTGGAGGTCACTTGCTCATGTGCCATAGTTGACAGAACATGGTCTTTTGAAGTATGAGCTACCCAGGAGAAAATCCTACCATCCTTCCCCACATACTAACCAAGTCACTCTGCATCTGGAAAATTCTGTGACTTGGAACAAATATGGCCCATGCTAGTTGAGCTAATTAAGCTCTCTGAGACTCAGTTACCCCATGGAGCACTGACAACACACGGCACTTAGGCTTCACTCCAAGAAGGCCTTCCTTCCTCTAGGCTGGAAACAATTTCAGACTTGGATTCTTGCATTTATTTTGTTCTCCCATCTATTCCAGGTAGTCGTCTAGCACCTGTCACCTCCACTGAGGTGGTGGTTCCTTCCATCTTCTTCATCTGGCATTATAGTAAAGACTCAATAAATATGAGCTGTTATTAAAAGCCAAAAGTCAGTGTTTAATTGCCTCAATTCCAAGAGGCCCTGGGTTCCAGAGTTTTCCCTCCTAGTAACTGATGCTGTCATCTTGGGCCTTAGTGCTATCCTTTGTAAAATAAAGGAGTGAGTGTGTCAAAATGACCACAGATTCCTCCCAGCAGGAGCCGACTTGTGTATACAGTCAGCTCTGGAGATGCAAAGAAGAAAGATTATTACAACAAGCTAAGCTAACTGCAATGGTAGACAGCTGGGGATTTCTTTCTTGACTGAATTCACCAAAGACTCCAAACTGCTGCCATCAATTGCTGTTTCAGTTTCATTTGAAGATTATGTTATGTATCTGCTCCTCCCCCATCTCCTTTGGCCAAGAAAGGAATATGCTCACAATGAGATATTGTGCTTTGGTAAGTATATACCTCCTCAGACTGGTCTGCAATTACAATTTCAAAGGTTCACACCTCTACTCACCATTTCTGGGCCATAATCCTCTTTAAATTTGAAACCATGCCTCAGTGAAAACCATCTGCACCTCTCATTTTCTCAAATACTCTGAAAATCATTCCTGGATATCTGAAAGCAAATAGAGACTGACATGGGCAAAACGTAAATGCTGGATTTCTTTGTGTGGAGCTGCCCCGAAATATACACCATCCTCCCCAAAGCCAGGAAAAATGTGCGCACACACATATTTGTGTGCACCTGGCTTTATATAAAGCAAGCATCATCTCTGTTGTCGCCATTATAATAAGACTGTTCAGCACTCTTGTCCTCCTCATGCCTGCCTCTTACTCTGAGCACTGCTGACTGAGGTTTCTAACACCATGATTATGGCAGGATGCACTTTGTCGCCTTGAAAAAAAGGCAGCAGGAACAGTGGTGGCTTATTCTTCTGAACAGCAATGGCGCTAACGACCCACTTGCCATCAGGGAATTGGCTCTCAGTTACATTTCCAGTTGCAGACCTCACTCTCATCCATCTGTCTTATAACCAAGGGGGGATGCATTTGCAAGATGACTGACCAGAAACCAGAGGTGGGGGAGTGTGGGTGGGGAGTCAGAGGTGCTCTGTGGGCCCAAGAAACCACAAGGAGCTTTGATCCACAGTGTTAGCCAGCGACAGCATTCATCACAGGCTCCCGATGCCCTCATGGAATGACGACAATGGCTAAAGTGGGAAGGGAACACACTTTTTATTACATGGACCTGAGCTTAAAACTCTACTTTCTTGTTTATTCACCTTCTTTTCTAAACTATGTTTCAGATTATTGTGTGAAATAAAATGAGAAAATATGGATAAGTAGGCTGATGCATAGTGAATAATCAACCAATGTGAATTCCCTTTGAACTCCCCTTTTCTGTGAAAGATGACTATAAATACATCTGCTTTCATTCCACGACTCAGATATCTCTAAATTAGTCACTAGGAGGAGGAAAAAAGAGGGAGCGGGGAAGGCTGCACAGTAATTCCCGAAGTCTGGGATCTCAGATTTGGGAATAAACAGTCTTCAGAGACCTCGCTTATTTTCAAAGTATCCTTTGTTAGGTCAGATGCATTAGTGATGGCTTGGATTTTGGAGGTAAATAAATAGTATCTAGAGTCAAACTGGCTGCATACCAATCAAGATGAGAAGTAAGTTAAGACCAACTCACTAAAATAAAATAAAATAGCCTATTTTCATGCAACATAGTCCCTGTAAAGAAGGATAATCTGAGCAAAACAACTTCTAGGGGATGATAGCATGGGGCATTTCTTTTGCAGGAGCATGAATTATGGGCTGATTCTCACATAAAAAAGATAGGCTCCCGTCTCTGCCATGAAGAAGCTACTAGACCTTGTTAAAGTATTTCTCCTCTCTGAGTCTCAGTTTTCATATCTATAAAATGGGGGCAATGACAACCCCTATCTCAGTGTTCTGAGAATTCAACGAGCTAAGGTATATAAAGTGCTTAGCAGGGTCTCAGACATCCTAAGTAGACAATTATTTTTCCGATATTATGGGAACTTTGAAAACCTTATCTGGAGATATAACTTATGATATTCTTGCCGGGTGCAGTGACACACACCTGTCATCCCAACTACTTGGGAGGCTGAGGTGGGAGGACTGCTTGAGCCCAGGAGTTTGAGAGCAGTCTGGACAACATGGCGAGACTGCATCTCATTTTTTTTAATAAAAAATAAAATAAATTCTGATATTCTTGCAAAAACAAAATATTCACCATGACCTGCTACGTACCAGACACTTTGCTAAGTATAGAATTTAGAATACATTTATCCTTCTTTAAGCCTCATGACAACTTTATAAAGTAAGTATATTTATCCCAAACTTACCAGAGAAACCTAAGGCTGCTGGGGTATAGAATATGACTTTCTCAGTTTCCATCTGGAGTCAGGTACTGCATTGGTGGTTATATATGTAATGTCTGAATTCATTCATATAACAGTCCTGAGATGCAAGTATTACAATAATGGAAACTGAGACACAATAAAATCTCACTGCAAGTTAATGTCCCTGAGCCTGGCAGACTCTAAATCCAATGCTTTTTCTGCTGCCTGCAAAATTGGTCTCTTTACTGTATTCTGTATAGGGCTACTTTGTTAGATACAGTATTTTTCCCAGCCCAGGCAACCAAAGGAAGTATCTGTATTTCACCTGACAACTTATGAATTCATTTTCTACCAACTTAATGAAGTGGTGGAGGAAAGGAAAGTGCTGAAGGAGCAGGATGGAGGGAGGGGGCTGTACTTGATTCCATCTTTTACACTTAGGCTCATGTTCCCATAGTCTACATAAACTGCTTTTTTCATGTTCTTTGTATGAGTGCTTCCCAATTGCACTCGTGCAATTTCAGGTAATAATAATAATTAAAAAAAGCCAATTCTAGTCCCAAATGTACTTAATTCAATTTAAATACTCCAAGCAAAACCACTAGAGTTTTCTCAGTAAAGAGAAGAACATGGTTTGTTTGGAGACAAAAAACTACTCTGGTTCTACCTCCCTGTTCCTCTGATGGAAGTAGGAAGAAAAGAGGCAGAATGGTGGGAACCTAGAAGAAATGTAGCATAAATATCAACTGAATGAACTCAGGGATGTATTTCTGTTTAGTCCTATGAAAGAATAATTGTGCTTAGTATTATGCGCCCTGTATTATCCTGAGTCATTGCAGGCGCAACCTCACTTAATACTTGCAGCAACAATATAAAGCAGGTACTGTATTATTCCCCATGTTATATGCATGGGAAACCTGAAGCTTAGAGGTTACCTGTCAAGTAGTGGAGCAGGACTCAAGCAATCTGATTTCATAGCCCATGTGATCAGCCACCATGCTCTGTTGGCTTATCAAAGACAATGGATGAGTCCACAGCCCCAGGATGCTTTTTCTGTTGGGGTATATGTGCGTGTGTTTTCCTTCTGGGGAACTCATTACAAGCCCAATTCAAATGCAAGCTTGACTGGTCTAGAGAGCAGCTCCTTGCCCCATTCCTCCAGGTGGGATTAATCTTCATGTGGGTATCCACAGTCAGCTTCTCTCACTCTGCCTTAAGCAACTGGAGGATATTGGCACCATTCAGAGGAGAAACTGAGAACTTCCTCAGCAACAAATAGCTCTGTTAGCAGAAGGGCTTGGCTCTGACTCATCTCTCACTTGGGCTCAGGAGTTTGAGGCTGCCGTGAGCTATGATTGCACCACTGCACCTCAGCACTCCAGCCTGGACAACAGAGCAATCCAGTCTCAAAAAATAAATAAATAAAATAAAACACAAAAAACAAATGCCAAACAAACAAACACCTTGTATCTTCCAAGTGAGTATCCTATACCGCAAAGTCCCAGACTATCAATCCCTGACAGCATTCAGGGACTAAATCCTACCCATGTCTGTATCACCTACATCCCCCAGCAACTAAAGCAAGGACAGAAGATTCCTGGAGCCCCAGGCTTGGCCTTTTACAAGCACCATCTCCTGAAATCTTCCTAGTAACCTAGTGAGGTAGTGTGTTTTCTGCAAGAGAACTCAGAGATAAGCACAATTTGCTCAAGGTTAACAGTTAATAAGTGGAAAAATGCTATTCAGTCAGTCTGAATCCAAACCCTGTAGGCTTTTTCTTCTCTAGGAAAGCACTGCCTAGTTGGGGTCCCTTGTGGGCCCCCATAAATGTGTTTTGAATTGAACTGGCTCCCTTTTATGAGCTACATCATTTCTAATACAAGTAAAACAACCTCCAATGAAGAAAAAAATCATGGTGTTTTATGGGAGTCCTAAAAACTTGCGATCTATAGGAACGAGGGATTTAAAATCTTGCTTATTTCTGATAAAGTCACATTAACCTGAAAAATGAGAAAAACTTACAATACACCCAGGTTTCTTTGATGAATTTAAGTTGAGTTCATCACCTTTAATGATGCCCAACTTCTGTGCTATATCAAGAATGAGAACGTTCCTCTTTTATGGCCCTTTTCAATGGTATCATTTTCCAGGGTACCATTTTCCAAATATTTATATTTATCCAACTAGACTGTGACCTACCTAAGACCAGGGAGGGTTTCTATTTGCTATTATGGCCCCAAAGTGCCAAGTGTTTAAGAGATACTTACTGAATAGAAGGAAGACTGAATGAATGAATGAACAAACATTTATAGGGGGAAGGGTATGAGAGGAATTGAGAGAGGAGAAATGGAGAGATCCAGAAGAGAGTAAGATCCACAGAAGTGATCCCGGTTTTTAGAGTCGCTGTCATTATTTTACATCACTATAAGCCATAAGAGCCAGCGAGAATTTTAAGGATAACATGCTTTCCAAACTTTTCATTTTTTGGATAAGGAAACTGATTCCCAAGCAGTTAGGTGACTTGCCCAGTGTTCCCTGACAGATTTGTGGGAACTGAGCCAAATGCCAAGTATCCTGGTTCCCAAGGGTTTCCCACTCCACCTTTCCCAGTTATATTTCAAGGATAGGATTAAAGACCTTCAGAAACTCCCGTCTACAACAGATTATGTTGTCTTTGCATCACAGAATCAAGGAATGCCTATGCACAATTGCCTACTATTTAAAAATTGTAACAGTATAAAGTTTGGCACACCATCACTTAACTGACACTCCTAATTTGGGGCAAGAGGACTGTGCCCCACAGTACTCACCTAGTTGTACTGTTTTTCTAAGCCACCCACCCTTTACCCAGAGAAGCTTCCCAGCACATGCAGAGTGTAGGTCAAATTTCTCCTTTTCTCAAGTCCAGTTGCCTATTGTGATTGACACAGTTCCTCCTCCCTTGGTCATTTTCAGAGATGAGATCATTGCCTCCTGAGTCTCTGACAACATTTTCCCCTGGGTACAGAGGTATTAGGAGGGAACCAGTCAGTTCAGTTCTAATCCACAAACAGTTATTAAGCAGCTTTATAACCTTTCTAGGGGCTAAGAGTGTGCGATCTGGATTCAGATTACCTGGGGTTCAATCTCAGTGCTGCCATTTAACAGGATTTGTTACCTTAGGCAAGTTATTTAATTTAAATTACTTTATTGTTAAAAGGAAGATGATGATAAGCCCTCTCTCTCAAGGTTGTGGTAAGATTGAAATGAGATAATCTGTGCAAATGCTTAGCACAGTGCCTGGTATATAGTAAGTGATCAATAAACATTAGCTACTAATACCACTATTTGCATTCTAAACAGGTACTATGCTAGATTCCTTTTTTTTTTTTTTTTTTTTTTGAGACAGAGTCTTTCTCTGTCACCCCAGGCTGGAGTGCAGTGGCACAATCCCGGCTCACTGCAACCTCCACCTCCCAGGTTCAAGCGATTCTCCTACCTCAGCCTCCTGAGAAGCTGAGACCACAGGTGTGCGCCACCACACCCAGCTAATTTTTGTATTTTTAGTAGAGACGGGGTTTCACCATGCTGGCCAGGATGGTCTCGATCTCTTGACCTCATGATCTGCCTGTCTCGGCCTCCCAAAGTGCTGGGATTACAGGTGTGAGCCACCACACCCGGCCGCTAGATACTTTAAGAGCCAAAAATAAATTTTAAAACATAAGAGACAACCTCTGTCATCAAGGAGCTCATATGTAGGCAGAGATACTGGTTTTCAGCACAAGTGATGGAATATTCAAATAATTCAAACAGAAAATAAAGGTGTATTTTAAAAGTGACCAATGAATGTAAAGTCCAAGTAAAAGTAATTTGATGTAACGCTCTCTCTCTGATTTGCCCACAGCCCAGCTAGATCTATTTTTATGAGCACTTTTCAAAGCCACTGAGGCTCTGAAATACTACTCCAAAAGAAACATTTGATAAATGGTAGCTATTTGTGACTTTTGCACCAAGATGTTTGTGACATGGAATGCCAGGGAGGTAGGCTCCTTTTCCTCAGCCAAATAATTTCACCTCCCTCGGCCTCATTTTCCTTGTGGTTAAAATCAGCACCTTGGGGCACAGGCTCTCAGAGGTCCCTTGGCAATGGCATCCTATAGCTCAATAAATGCTTTTTTGACATCAGTGTGACTACCAACTCCAAACACAAAGAGGTCCCCAGCTCTGCTTCAAAACGCTAAGAACTGTCTGGAGGTCTTCCGTCTGGGTTGGGGCCCCCGTTAAAGATACCCTATATTACATGAATCTGTCACAGTATTCTCTTGTTGCTTTTCAAAAATATGATTTCGCCTGCAATGTATTTGAACCCACATAACAATGAGCTGTATCATAACAGGATTTTTCCATAACCATGTCAAATGTAGGGCATTGCTCCACTTGAAACAGGAAAACTGCCCGCCCACTGCAGAGTTTTCTTCTTAACATATGCTATTTAGTTAACGTCCTTTTTCAAGTGTGAGCATTTGAATCACACTAGGGGCTCTAATTCAGAAAAAAAAACAAGTCTCTACAATTGCTAGCAAACCTTCTGAGACAGCATCCAGCTTCTGTTCCCTAATATTTTCTGGTTTTTTGTTTTTAAAAAATTAGGTTTTTTGCTCTGGCCTTAGAGGTTGAGAGGCATTATACAAACAAATTTATAAAATTGCTATATTTACATAGACAGCAGAGAACTTATTTTCAATATCATATTATTTTCATGAATATTATTTTCAATATCATGGGGGGTTTTGTGTGAATAAACTACTTTTCTCCCGATGTTTGGGTTTAAGAATTAACTTTCACTTACTCCCAACTAATTTTAACATCTTGAAATTATCAGCAGTTCAGACAGACTTTTAGCATACTGACTACATTGTCTGTCTCTCCTACATCCCCTTCTTGTAGGAACTACTCCTCCCTGACTCCAGGTAATTTTCTAGACTGTCAGTCATGTCTCTACTTTCCCAACTAAAGGGCTGGACCCAGGCTGTCCAATCAGAGTATTCCAGAATCCTGATAACAGCAATGATGGGTACTAGAACAGGCATTTAACTCAAGCATGGCCAACCAGAATCCTTCATGGAGGACTGATATAGATGCTAGGATACAGAGGAATATGCCTTTTCTCTCTAAGACTTAGTAGGCCTTCAGCTACTGGTGACCATCTTTGCCACACATCAGAGAGCTGGCCTAAGAATGATCATAACCAAAAGATGGCAAGAGATGCGGGAGAGTCGTGGTGACCTCATTTGAACCACTGGATCCACAAAAATCTATCCCATGCCTAATGTTAGTCCAACCCTTGGACTTCCTAGTAATGTGAGCAACTGTACTTCTTTTTTAGTGTAAGCTAGTCTGAGTTGGGTTTCTACCACTAATACTAAAAAAGCCCTGGCTAATCTTTTCCTGGGTTCCAGTACCATCTTCACAGTTACTAGATGTGTTATGTTAGGCAAGCTGTTCACTGCCTTAGGGCCTCAGCTTCCTCATCCGTAAAATGGGGATAATGATATTTACGTCAAAGGATTGTTATACAGAATCAATTAGATAATACACATAACAGAATGGGAGAAAATAGTTTCAAATCGTATACAGGTTGAGTATTCCTTATCTGAAATGCTTGGGACCAGAAGTGTTTCAGATATTTTTTTTTATTTCTGGAATGTTTACATATACATAATGAGACACCTTGGGGATGGAGCCCAAGACTAAACACAGAATTCACTTATGTTACATATAAACCTTATACACATAGCCTGAAGGTAATCTTATACTATATTTTTAATGATTTTGAGCAGGAAACAAAGTTTGTATACAATGAAATATCAGAAAGCAAAAGTGTCAGCATCTCATGTTGGCATTCAAAAAGTTTTGGATTTGGGAGAATTTCACATTTGGGATTTTCAGATTGGGAATGCTCAACTTGTATTTGATAAAGGCCTAGTATTCAAAATATATAAACTTTTGCAACCCAACAATAAAGAGATAAATAACTAATTTAAAAGTGGACAAAGGGGTTAAATAGACATTTCTCCAAAGATATACAAGTGGATAATAAGCACATGAAAAGATGCTGAACATCACTAAACATTAGGAAAATGCAAATCAAAAACACAATGAAATGCCACTTTGCACCCACTAGGATGGCTGTAATAAAAAAGATGGAAATTGACAAGTATTGTCAAGGATGTGAAGAAACTGGAACCCACCACATTGCTGGTAGGAATGTAAAATGGTGGAGTAGCTTTGAAAGACAATTTGGCAACTCCTCAAAAGGTTAAACCAAGTGTTATCATCTGACCCAGCAACTGCTTACTATTGTGGACTGAATGCATGTGTCCCACCCAAATTCACATGTTGAAATCCTAACCCAATGTGATGGTATTACAACGTGACACTTTTGAGAGGTAATTAAGTCATGAGGGTGGAGCCCTCATGAATGGGAACAGTGCCTTATAAAAGAGACCCCAGGCCGGGCACAGTGGCTCACGCCTGTAATCCCAGCACTTTGGGAGGCTGAGGTGGGGAGATCACCTGAGATCAGGAGTTCAAGACCAGCCTGGCCATCATGGCAAAACCCCGTCTCTACCAAAAATACAAAAAATTACCCAAGCATGGTGGCGCACACATATAATCCTAGCTACTCAGGAGGCTGAGGCAGGAGAATAGCTTGAACCCAGGAGGCGGAGGTTGCAGTCAGCTGAGATCACACCGTTGCATTCCAGCCTGGGGGGTGACAGAGCAAGACCCCATCTCAAAAACAAACAAACAAACAAAAAAAACAGAGAGCAGCTCTCTAGCTATTTTTCAGCCATATAAGGACACAATGAGAGGTCAGCAGCCTGCAAGGGAAGAGGGCCTCACCAGAATCCAACCATGCTGGTACCCTGATCTCAGACTTCCAGCTTTCAGAACTGAGAGAAATACATTTGTTGTTTGTAAGCCATCCAGTCTAGGGTAATTTGTTATAGCAGCCCAAACTGACTAAGACACTCCTAGGTATATACACAAGAGAAATGAAAACATATGTGCACATAAAACCTTGTACACCAATGTTCACAGCAGCATCATTCTTAACATTCAAAAAAATGGAAACAGCTCAAACGTTCATGAACAAACAAATGGATAAACAAAATGTGGTATATCCATACAATGGAATATTATTCAGCCATAAAGAGTAATAAAGTACTGGCACATGCTACAACATGGATGAAACTTGGAAACATTATGCTAAGTCAAAAGTCAGATACAAAAGACCACATACTGTATGATACCTTAAAGGTCCAGACTAGGCAAATCTATAGAGACAGAAAGCAGATTAGTGGTTATCAGGGGCTGTGGGGGAAGTGGTAATGTGCAATGACTACCAGTGGGTACAGGGTTTCTTGTGAGGAGTGACAAAAATGTTCTGGAAATAGACAATGGTGATAGTTCTATCATTTTGTGAATACACTAAAAACCACTGAATTGTATATCTTAAAAGTGCAAATTTTATATGAATTATCTCAATTTTAAAATAACCACTATGGTGGTGAAGATGGAAGGCATACCTTACCTGTTAATAACAACTAGAATGACGATGATTTAGTATCTACTATATACAAGGCAATTTATTTATGATTTTCTTTAACCCTCACTGCAACCCTACAAAGTAGCTATTATTCTCCTCATGTTTAATAGATAGGAAATTGAGACTCAGAGAGGTTAAGTGCTAGACCTAGGGTGCTGAAATGAGTAAGTGGTAGAGTTAAGATTCAAACAGAAGTCTATCTAATTTCAAAGTTCAAGCCCTTTGCACTAAACCGCACTCTCTGTACAAATGGTACTCTGCTGATGTGGCAGGACTACCAGTTATGTACCTGCTATGTAGTCCCCGTTTCTTCACTAACAGAGCCCCAGTTTGATTCGGGGCAGCAATGTGTTTAGCTAAAAGACTCATCTTCCAGCCTCCCTTACAGCTAAGGTGGCTATATGGCTAAATCTAGCCAGTGAGATGTAAGCAGAAATGCTATGTAGGAGTTTTGGTAAAGTGCCTTAAAAAGGGCTAACACAGCTGGAAGAGGACTCCTGTTATCCTTCCCTTCTTATTGCATCTTGCTGCCTACTGTAATGTGGTTGTGACGGCTGACACTCCAGCAACCATTTGGGATCCTAAAGCAATATGATAAAGAGAGTAGAACCAGGGAAACAGAAAAGGCTTGGGCTCCTGATAACCATGGAGGCACTGACTAGCTTTGAACTACCTCCAGACTTCTCTGGTCAGAGAGGGAAAACAAACAAACAAACATAATTGCTAATGTTATTTGGGTTTTTGTTTGTACAGAGTTGAAATCTAATCCTAATTTATATAATGGGCCCATGAAAATGCTGAACCAACTAAGAATATATGAAAACGGCTTATCTCAGAAGTGGTCAAATGAGAAGCATTCTACCAGAGTCATTTTCCCAACTAGTCCTCTGTGTTTGGGATTGTATATTTAAGAGGCTTAGGGATCCTACTGAATTCTTCTGAAGACATGCAACAGGCCTATTTTGTGGCATTATAGAATCACTGAAAAGACTGGTCTCAATTCACCAAGTACAGGCATTACATTTTATAAGCACTTAAATTTCATCTCAGAAATTGTTTCAGAGATACAGTCACAGAGGAGCCAACAGGCTCCCACAGAATGGATTTCTGAAGAAGCAAATTTATTTACACAACCCTTGCACAATTTGGCTAAGGGAGAGGAGACAAGGCAGATTCCACACAGGAAGGAAGATGATAAAGCTCAAAGACTTCTTTGCTTTAAAATCAATGTTCTGCCCAATCTCTCCAGAGCAATCATTTAAAATTCCACAATAATGTTCCCTGCCAAAGAGACAAACAGCAATGGGCTTGCCACAGCTGAAACAGAACCCCAGGTTTGCTGTTAATTTGTTTACATAAAATAGATGTGATACCTACCAGTGTATTATCTATACCCCAACAGCAGGTTGATACAGTACTGTTTGGTAAAGAGTGGCTTTTCTTTGGTTTTCCTTCTTTCTCATCAGGGTTCTTTAGAATTCAAGCCACAATGACATAAGTGAGGATGAAACATTTGCAGGAAGAAAAGATTTTTCCACAGTTTTTTTCTGTAGCTTGATATATCTAATTTTGTATGCACTATGGATGGCTAGAGCTGGTAACCCAAATATTCCTTATGAGGGCAAAAATTCTGGTTTTATTTTCTGTTACAGGCTGTTGCCTGAGAGAGAATTCAGATTGAAATGTATTACAGTCCTTTCTCCAGGACTTGGCTGGAATTTTTACCCCACTCTTTCCTTTTCTGAGAGAGCACACTCATGCATATGGACACATGGACACATACACAGACATATAGACACACATACACAGACACACACGCATACACAAATACACAGGCATATACACACACAGACATACACACATACGCACAGACATACACAGACACAGACACACATACACACAGACACACACACACATACACACATACAGACCCACACACAGACACAGACATAAGCACACACAGACACCCCCCCACACACACAGAAATACATATACACACACACACACACACACACACACACACACACACACAGAGTCTCATCTTTTCTGGAAAACAAGAGCCAGAAAAAAAAAAAAACCATGTAAATCTCTAGACAGACACATTCATTATGAATGGCTTTTTTTTGCATACAAAACCTATGGATTTTAATCACAGGTGCACCCTCTGAGCTTTCACTTGCTCCCATTTTCTCTTACCATACTCAAAATTCTAACAAGTTTGGTGAGCTAGTTTTTAGACCTTCAACAAACTGAACACAGCAGTTATGCTGGGAATAGTGAAAAGGGGCTACAAGGAAGGGAGGAAAATGTACCACCACAAACTAGAAATTTACTAATACACCATTCCACAAAAAATAAATTCTAAATACATGGGCCTGCTAATTAGTGAAAAACACTCTACTCAACCGATCCCAACCTCAAATAAGTGATATTCAAAATAATAAACTTGGCCAGGTGCAGTGGCTCACGCCTGTTATCCCAGCACTTTGGGAGGCCAAGGAGGGTGGATCACCTGAGTTTGGGAGTTTGAGACCAGCCTGGCCAACATGGTGAAACCCTGTCCCTACAAAAAATACAAAAACAGCCAGGCATGGTGGCATGCACCTGTAATCCAGCTACTTGGGAGGCTGAGGCAGGAGAATTGCTTGAACCCAGGAGGCAGAGGTTGCAGTGAGCCGAGATCGTGCCACTGCACTCCAGCCTGGGTGACAGAGTGAGATGGAGTCTCCAGAAAAAAAAAAAAAAAAAAAAAAGATAAACCTGTGTAATAAAAAAAGGTTTTAGGCATGATGCTATATTCAAGATACCATGCTGGATGCAGATCTTTATAAGAGTTTCCAATCAAATCAGCAAAGATAATATAAAATTAAAAAATATTTGGTGCTCAAAGGCCTTGGAGAAAGTGTAACTCCCTTTAAAAAAAAAAAAAAAAAAAAAAGCAGCCATGTCCAAGCTAAGCACAGAACTTAGAAGTCAAAAGACCTGCAATCAAATCCTTGCCCTACTATTTACAGATTGCATGACATTGGGCAAAAGAATCAACTTAGACATACTTTCCTCATCTCTAAAATGAGGCTAATGACAGCAACTTCAGAGGCTGTTATAAACATTAAATAAGATATGTGAGAGTACAACATATGTAGCCCATAAATGTTCTTTCAATCCAAAGAACTGAGATTTTACTACGTATGTGAATCTTCATTGTTTTCCATGAAGCTAATACTAAAAATATTATTTCTCTGATGATGTTAATTAAAATAAAAGGATAGGGCTGGGACCAGTGGCTCACACCTGTAATTCCAGCACCTTGGGAGTCCAAGGCAGGAGGATTGCTTGAGCCCAAAAGTTCAAGACTAGGCCGGGCGCGGTGGCGCACGCCTGTAATCCCAGCACTTTGGGAGGCCGAGGCATTTAGTTAGGGTCAAGCTTTGGTCTAGGTGGCTATATTATTTTGTATAATTGCTTTTTAACAAGCTTACATACTTGTCGACTTTAATAAAATGCAAGTTTTGCCCAGCTCAGCGAACTGGCATCATCATCACTTGCTTCCCGATGGGGAAGCAGCACAGATGTTAAAGTTGCGCTGAGCAAGTGTGTCTGAATCCTGACCTGTACCATGGTTGCAGCTTCCACAGGAGGTGCCCAACCTCCTAGTCCTGGAAAAGGTCAGGAGCCCAGTGCATCCAGCTTCTTTTCACACAAAGAGGATAACAGAGCTGCAATGATTTATCCCTTAAGGATAGTGGTGTCGCTGTTCACAGAGCCCCCAAACACAAGACATCCAAGACTACCTCCAAGGTAACATGTGAAAGAGGATTCCACAAAAAGAATCATTTGTGGGCCCCCTTCAGGAATCTGCCTCTTAGCAAAGTCAGCTTTGGGATCTTAGCCTAACTGGACTCATCACTGGCTGCCTCACCTCGTCCACTTGCACATTTATGGCTCCGGTTTCCTAACTGCTCCATATTGCCACTCTCAGCCTGGGGCTACTTAAGACAGCTGCCTTCCCTGGTGGGCACTTGGGGATCAGCAGGCGCAAAGAACCTAGGCCAGTGTCAGGGATGGTTTATGGTTATTGTCTTGTGCTTAGTCGCAGGGCTCTAAACCCTTGGATCCCCCAGGCGTTAGGAGGATAATGCGCCCTCCCTGGTTAATATTCTATTGGCCACTGCAGGAATGGGCCATGGAGAGTGAGACCCTGGAGAACTGCTGGGAAGAGAGGCCCAAGGGGTCTGGCTATGGTTAGGGGTGGGGGAGCAGCAGAGGAAAAAAAAAAAGTAATGCAAGCAAAATGAGCTGGGCATAGTGGCTCATGCCTGTAATCCCAGCAATTGGAGAGGCTGAGGCTGAAGGACTGCTTGAGCCCAGGAGTTCGAGGTTACAGTGAGCTATGATTGTGCCACTGCTCTCCAGTATAAGTTGGACTCTCGAGGGAAAAAAAAAAAAAGGTCTCCTCCCTCTGGTTTCACTGGAAAGTGCTTTGAAATGTGTTAATAGAAAGTTTAGGCAAGTGAAGTCCTACCAGCAAGAAATGGAGGGCAAAGAAGGGAGTTCCCATGACTGCCCACCTGCCTTCACTCAACCTCTACTCCTTTGTTTTTTTAAATCTCCTTTAATTCTTACACTATCCTGTGAGTGGCATAAGATGTTCCCCACCTTATGCACAAGGAAATTGAGGCACAGAGAGGTTAAATACTAAAAAGCATGATTTCAAAGCCAGGACTGTTTTCTACATCAGCTGTCTACAGCCATACCTTTGCTGATGTGCCTGAGAAATGAATAATAAACAGGAAAACATACATTTCCATGTGATCTGATGTCCTGAGGAGTAGTGGGGAAGGCGGGGAGTTAATTTACCTCTACCCCTGCCTCTTCAGAGACATAAATACACATTGGCACGCCATACACAAATTAACAACAACAACAAAAAGACATAATCAATTTGGAATTAGAGCTTCCAGGAAATGTGGGCTCCCAGATGCACATACTACAGTAATTCAGGTTGTTTCTCTCCTCTCTCTCTGGTTGGGAGCTATTCTGATACTTTCCATTTGGAAGCACAGATAGGGCCTCCTAACCACAAGGCGTGGAGATGTGGTCACAAGGCTGGGCTGGGTGCTCCACCCTGAATGCCAGAGCATCCTGCTGGGTCCACACAGCCAGGGCCTGGTGGAATCCGCATCCAGGCTGCTTTTCTTTCCTTTATCTCAGGAATTCAGGCAAAGGCTATAGGACAAGGCCCAGTCATCTCAGTAATTGTGGCTGTATGCAGCTGGAGCAAGAAGAGCATGGCATTTATACTTGCTTCCTTAAAAACAAAACAAAAAGGCCTGGCACGGTGGCTCACGCCTGTAATCCCAACACTTTGGGAGGCCGAGGTGGGTGGATCATGAGGTCAGGAGTGCCAGACCAGCCTGGCCAACATGGTGAAACCCCGTCGCTACTAAAAATACAAAAATTAGCTGGCCATGATGGCGCGTGCCTGTAGTCCCAGCTACTCGGGAGGCTGAGGCAAGAGAATCGCTTGAACCAGGGAGTCAGGGGTTGCAGTGAGCCAAGATTGCGCCACAGCACTCCAGCCTGGCAACAGAGCAAGACTCTGTCTCAAAATAAATAAATAAATAAATAAAATAAATTAGCTGGGTGTGGTGGCAGGCGCTTGTAATCCCACATACTTGGGAGGCTGAGGCAGGAGAATCGTTTGAAGCCGGGAGGCAGAGGTTGCGGTGAGATGAGATCGCACCATTGCACTCCAGCCTCAGCAACAAGAGCAAAACTCCATCTCAAAAAAAAAAAAAAAAAAAAAAAAAAAGTCTTGCTCTCCAGTTTCACATCCAAGTTGAAATGGGGCAAGAGATGTGAAAAGTTTTGCGAGAACCACAGAAAAGAATCAGATCATCTCAGAGTTGAATGGACTTTGCCATCATCTTCCCCATGACAAACCTCACAAATAGCATGGACAGACAAACACACATACATCACTTAGAATTCCTGAGCCCAGGAATGGAAAACCAAATATCATATGTTCTCACTCAAAAGTGGGAGCTAAGCTATGAGGATGCACAGGCATAGGAAGGATACAGTGAACTTTGGGGACTCAGGGGGAAAGGGTAGGAAGGGGGTGAGGAATAAAAGACTACAAATTGGGTTCAGTGTATACTGCTCACACAAGGTGATGGGTGCACCAAAAGCTCACAAATCACCACTAAATACCTTATTCAAGTAACCAAACACCACCTGTTCCCCAAAAATTAAATTAAAAAAAAAGAATTCCTGAGACCATGTGTGATCGACAAGCAGACATTGCAGAAGGGGTGTTTTGTACTGAAGATCAGTCCCTTGTTGTTTATTCATTTGACACGCACTGACCAAGCGCCTCCTGCCTGCTGGCCTCTGTGCTGAGTACCGGGATGTAAACGTGAGCAATACAGGGCCCCAGCTCTCAAGGAGCCTATGGTCAATCAGAGTATGCAGATGGCCTGCCAGGCCCACTCTGTACCCTCCTTCTCCTGCTGACCTGCTCCAGACACATCTCAGGGCTCCTCCACCCTCTGGCTTCTACCTGGATTCAGGCAAAGGCATGTGGTAAAATGCAGCCAGCAGAAAGTCAGAGGAGGGGAGTGCTCCCCTGCTCTCCAGGCTCCAGCCCTCCCGGCTGTGTCTCAGGGTGCTCTCCACACAGCCTCTCTGGCTCCTGCTTCCCAGAGGCCTCCTCTCTCTCACCCCTTCAGACCTTTGAGGATCTGGGTGCCCGACTAATCTCTATGGTCCCCCTGCCCACTGCCCACACTTCTCTCTTATTAAACTCTCTTCGGATTACCCTATTTCCAGTGTGCTGTCTGTTTCCTCCTGGGACCCTGACTGATACAGGGAGACAGCCATGTAAACAGACAGTTACAACATAATGCAGAACAGTAAAAGATAATGTTGTTTCCCAGTGAGGTAAAAGAGCTCTGGAATCTGATTGCTTGGGTTGTACATCCTTGCTCTACTACTGACTATCTCTGTTAACCTCTTAATCCTCAGTTTGCACTTTTGAAATATGCGGTTAATAGTAGTGCCTACTTAATAGGGTGGCCATGAGGATTAAACGAGAGTGCCTCAATGCTGACAAATATTAGCAGGGATTCCTATATAGTTAATGGTGCAATTCCTTTAATAAAGCAAGTGACTGATGAATGATGGAAGCACTAAAAGAAATAGATACTGGGACACAGAAGAAGGGACAAGGCAATGGTAAAGAGGAAATCAGGAAGGACTTCACGGCGAAGGTGACACTGAGCTGCCTCCTGAAGGAGGTTAACTAGCAGGATGGCTGGCAAAGGATGGTCCAGGCACGAGTACAGCAGGTGCAAGTGCACGGAGGCTTGACACGCACATAGATGTGGAGTGGTGCAAATAGCTCAGTGCAATGAAAACAAATAACACGTGCAGGGAGGGATTGGAGCTGAGGTCAGACGGGTAGGCAAGGGTGGCCGAGGAAGACCTTGGATGTCATGTCAAGGAATTTGGTTGTTGCTTTAAAAGTGAGGGAGAGTTTCTAAGACGGCAATGGACACGAACAGTTTTGATGCTGAGAAGGTTCAGTCTGGCTGCAATGTTGGGCCTGCCCTGGGCACCGCATGAACACACAGTAGGTGCCCTGCAGATGTCTGTCAAATGCATATTAGCAGTTCTAGACAGCAAGATCTGTCACCTCCCTACTTCCTTCCAATAAATGTGCACACATATAACATGCCATGATCTGGGCAACTCACAGTCACAGGCCTTTCCACATGTTTTCTCATCTGATCTCATTAATATTATGAGATCATTGTGGTATCATAAAAAATAGATTTGGTCTTTGTCCTTGACTTCTGGCACAGAACTCTTGCAGCCTCCTGAGTGGTAAGAGTGTCTTCTGTACGCTAATGAGACGGCCAAAAAGATGTCTGGGGGAAGAAGAAGGACTAAAGATAGAGCTCAATCACCAATGGTCAATGATCTAATCAATCATGCCTATGTAATGAAACCTCCATAAAAACCCCTAAACCACAGAGATCAAGGAGCTTCTAGTGGGTGAGCACAGCCATGTTCCGGGAAGGTGGCACGTCCCGAGAGGGCATGGAGACTGTACCACCGCCCCCTCCCCCATACCTGGCCCTAGCATCGCTTCTATTGGGCTGTCCCTGAGTTGTATCCTTTATAATAAACCAGTAATAGTAAGTATTTTCCTGAGTTCTGACGAGATCAAGCGTGTTCAGGGTGGTATGGCTGTAGATGTATTTTCCTGAGTTCTGTGAGTTCTAGCCAATCATCACACTTGAGAAGGAAATTGTGGAAACCTCTCAATTTATAGCTGGTTGGTCAGACACACGCAGCCTCTGGGAATTGTGACTGGCATCTGAAGTGGGAGCTGTTCTATGGGACTGAGCCCACAGAATTGTGGGGGTTGCCCTAATTCCAGACAGTTAGGGTCAGAATTAAATTCAGTTGTTGAACATGTAGTTCGGGTAGGAAAATTGGAGAATTGCTTGGTATAGAGAAAACCCCAAACATTTGGAGTCAGAAGTGGTGTCAGAAAGAAGACATTGCACCTGGAAACACTCTACTTCACCAGAGATGCTGGACGCTGCCTGTGCCATTCCTGCTGAGACACTCCCCGGGCCCTACTGCCACAGTGACACAAGAGGCCAGTGCTCATCAGGGTGGCTCTGCCCTCACTAACTCAGTGGCTGATTCAACTGTCCCTCTGGGTGTGGCAGCTAGAGGCACTAGGGACCAGCCAGACACCACGCCCTGAGCCTGGCACACTCATGTCACTGCTCCTTGTCCTCAGGCTCAAGGTCTAGAGGCTGCAGGAGACTGGCCAGGATCCCCCTGCGACCTCACCCTACTCCCCACCCCTGACAGTGGGCAGCTAGCCTGCACCAGACATGTGCTGGAGGGACAGGCCCTCTCCTCCTACTAAGCACCTACCTGTTGGGCACCCCAGGTCTCAGGTTGGGTTCCCCCAGAAGCCCAGCCTGGAAGGAGGATCTGAGTACAAGGAGTCTATTTGGGAAGTGATCCCAACTAGATGAATGGGGAAATAAAACAGCGGCAGAAAGGAAGCCAACAATGGGTGTACTGCAGAGCAGGTTACCACTGAAGGTGACCTTCGGGAGATGCTAGAGAACACACCTCAGAGCTGTGCACCTGAGAAGCAGGATGATGGAGTGTGTATTCTCCAACTCTGCTCCTTCCTTGGCTGAGGGCTGCTCCTGGGGAGTGAACTCCCAGCACTTCTGACCTGCCCTGCATGCAGCCTGAGCATGCCAAAGAAACCCTCAGGAGCAGCAGCCTGAGGGTTTGCAGGGTGCAGGGTGCAGGGAACCAGGGTGCGCCAAGGGGACCCAGGGGGAGCACCAATGTGGTGCCTGAGGACTCCACCAACCGGCTGGGGTCACTGTCCTCAAGGAGGAGCACAGACAAGTCAAGAGGTGACTATAACCCATGAAGGTAAAAGCAATGGCTGAAGGTGCTTGAAGGGCAGTGCTGGCCAACAGAAATATAACCCAGTGCAACCCATGCATGGAGTTTCAAATTGTCAGCAGCCACAGGAAAAAAGTTAAAAGGAACACATGAAATTAATTTAATTTTTTTAGAGACAGGGTCTCACTGTGTCATGCAGGCTGACGTGCAGTCATGAGCTTATTGCAGCCTCAACCTCCTGGGCTCAAGTGATCTTTCGCCTCAGATTCCTGAGTAGCTGGGAGTACAGTTGCGCACCACTACACCTGGCTACTTTATTTATTTATTTATTGAGACAGGGTCTCTCTCTCTTGTCCAGGCTGGAGTGCAGTGGCGTGATCCTGGCTCACTGAAACCTCGCCTCCCGGGTTCAAGTGACTCTCCCACTTCAGCCTCCCAGGTAGCTGGGACTACAGGTATGCAATACCACACCTGGCTAATTTTTGTATTTTTTTGGTAGACATGGGATTTTGCCATGTCGTCCAGGCTGGTCTTGAACTCCGGACCTCAAGTGATCCACCTGCCTCAGCCTCCCAAAGTGTTGGGATTACAGGGATGAGCCACTGCGCTCAGCCCCAGCTACTTTTTAAATATCTTTTGTAGAGAGGAGGTCTCACTGTGTTGCGCAGGTTGGTCTTAAACTCCTGGTCTCAAGCAGTCCTCCACCTTGGCCTCCCAAAGGGCTGGGATTACAGCTATGAGCCACCTTGCCTGGCCCAATTTTAATAACATATGTCATTTAACCCAATATATTCAAAATACTATCATTTCAACATGGATTGAAAGAAAAATTATTAATGAGACAGAGTTTTTCATACAAAGTCTTTGAAAACATATATTTTAGACTTATAGGACATCTCCATTCAGACTAGCCATATTTTAAGTTCTTAGTAGCTACTTGAAGTGGCTACTGTATTAGATGACACAGTTTGAGCACCAAAAGAGAATGGAGAATTGTGCACCTAAGGGACAGGATGACGCCTGGCTTGGAGAATGCGTCCTCCAAGCTAGAAAAGAATCACTACGGTGGCTTCTCAAGGCACTTAGAATAAAATCTACTCCCATGACTTAGTCTAAAGGCCTTATATGACCAGGCCACTGTCCATCTCCCTGACCTCACTTTCCAAACCTTTGTCCTCTCTTCTCACTACAGCCCTGCTTTTTGTCATTTCTGGAACACACCCCCCTGAGGGCCTTTGCACGTGCTGTTCCCCTCAGCTGGAATGCCCTGCACGCAGGCCTCTGCATGCTTGTTCCTTGTCACTCTCCAGGTCTTATTCCACAGGGTCCCTCCTTCCTGACCACTCTCCTCCCACCCTAATCCCCATCTCTTGTTCTCCCTTTACCCGTGTTTATTTTCTTAAGGTACACACCATCAGAAATTACCTTGTTCAGGCCGAGCATGGTGGCTCAAGCCTGTAATCCCAGCACTTTGGGAGGCCGAGGCGGGCAGATCACGAGGTCAGGAGATCAAGACCATCCTGGCTAACACGGTGAAACCCCGTCTCTACTAAAAATATAAAAAATTAGCTGGGCGTGGTGGCAGGCGCCTGTAGTCCCAGCTACTCGGGAGGCTGAGGCAGGAGAATGGTGTGAACCCAGGAGGCGGAGCTTGCAGTGAGCCGAGATTGCGCCACTGCACTCCAGCATGAGTGACAGAGCGAGATTCTGTCTCAAAAAAAAAAAAAAAAAAAAAAAAGAAATTAAAGATATCACCTTGTTCATTAATATTATTTATTGATTTTATTGTCTCTCCCACTGTCCCCGAATCTCCAGCTTCTAGACCAATGCTCAGAAAAATACAAGGTGCTTAATAAAGATGTGTTGAATAAGTAACAAGTAACTGCTCTGATAAAGGAGAAGCAGAACAGGGAGGAAGGACCAAACTCACTCTGACACAGGCACTGTCATGTATTCTCATTTGTATCCCCAGCACGCAGTGCTACCACCCAATAGATGCTTGTTCAAAAATGGAAAATCAATCCCAGCACTTTGGGAAACTGAGGTGGGCGGATCACTTGAGGCCAGGAGTTTGAGACCAGCCTGGCCAACATGGTGAAACCTCATTTCTATTAAAAATACAAAAATTAGCTGGGCATGGCGGCACACCTGTAATCCCAGCTACTCAGGAGGCTGAGGCAGGAGAATTGCTTGAACATGGGAGGTGGAGGTTGCAGTGAGCTGAGATTGCGCACCACTGCACTTCAACCTGGGCGACAGAGCAAGACTGTCTCCAAAAAAAAAGAAAAGAAAAGCAATTAATGATAGGGAAATGGGGCGGGAGGGGAGGGGTAAAGCTTTCACTTTAGCCAGAGAAAGCTTCATTGAAGAGTTGGGTCTCAGGGATGCATGGGAGTGTGCAGAGTGGATAAGGAAGTCCCAGCAGAGAGAACAGCATGTGCAAAGGCACAGAGGCACAGAAGAGCATGGTATATGTTGCTAATACACACTGACGGTCTTCCCTCTCTCCTGGTTTCCCCTCTCTCAAAACAAGGGCTTGCAAGGCTCTATTCGATCTTCTGCCTGGAAATGACATCTTACCTTCAATCTGGTCCCCATTCCCTTTTTGCCAAACCTCCCTGCAAGGCAGGCAGACTGCTCACTTCTCAGAATTCTCCCCCAAAGGATTCCCCAGGCTCCAGCCCCTGGGAGGAGTGCTTCCTGCCTGGTAGCATATGCCTGCAGCCAGTGAGCGTGGGTGCATGTCCACATCCCAGACTTTTTGTCGAAAATAAATTCTTTAGAGTGGACTACAAGCCAGGAGTCTGTAAGCACAGAACCAGTAGAGACCATCAAGGGGAGAAAGCCTGCCTGAAAATGAGGCCATCTGAGAGGACAGCAGAGCCCAGAGGATCGACTATGAACCAGGCACAGTGCAGAGGACCTACTATATACCATGCACCAGGTACAGAGTGCTAAGCTCTCTCATGAACTGCCTTGTTTAATCTTCACTGCAGTGGCGTGTGGGATCTAATATTATTCCCAGATGAGGAAACGAGGGTCACAGGGATTCGTGGCTTGTCCAAGGCCACACAGCAGGGAGATGTTAGATGGGGGATAATAATGTTTATTATGTTTATGTTTATCTTAATGTTTATGTATGTAGTATCACAACAGAAGACAGAGGCCTGACCACACCAGTGGCATCCCTGGATCCAGGAGAGCCCTGAAGCCAGCACTAGCCTTGGATTTTTCTTTCTTTTCTACCACTTGACACTAAAAGACACCTAACTGATACAGAAGAGCACCAGCCCATTTCTCCCACAGAGGTGAAAGGACTTGCCCATGTCTCCCTCCCCAGCAGTCTGGGTGCTGTAAGAAGGACCCAGGTCTCCTGGCTCCTTTCCAGAACTGGCCACCTGCCCTTCCTACGGTTCATGGTGAAGACTGCCCTTTGTAACGCAGGTCACACTCACCTGAACTCTTATTCTAATGCTTGCATAGGGGAAGCCAGAGTCCTGTAGGATTAAATGTGCTACTGAGATGGCAAGTCAACATCCCACCCTTGCATGGCTCCAGGTCCTCTTTATAACCAAAGGAGATTATGGCAACCCAAGGACAAGACGACCTTCTGAGATGAGATGGAATGACCTCAAGTTACCAGCAGGGAAGGGCCTCGCTGATTAAAATAAAGCACAAACCACTTTCCCCTCCACCATGAGAGAGACCTGCTAGAAGGGGTTATTACACCTTTTCAGATGCAACATCAAAGCTGTCATTGCTATGTAATTTACAGCCTGGTCTGCATACAAGCATCCATTCTGTGTTAGTATGTGCCACCCTCCCCCTCTTCTTACTCAGAGAACCCCACTGCTGGGCAGGGGGCAGAAAGTGGGACATTGGGAGTCAGAAGACGTGGGATTCAGGGAGGATAGTGTGTTTTTTTCAGACGGAGTCTCACTTTGTCTCCCAAGCTGGAGTGCAATGGCGCTATCTTGGCTCACTGCAACCTCCCCCTCGCCGGTTCAAGTGATTCTTGAGCCTTGGCCTCCCGAGTAGCTGGGATTACACAGGCGCCCGCCACCATGCCCGGCTAATGTTTTGTATTTTTAGTAGAGATGGGGTTTCACCATGTTGCCCAGGCTGATCTTGAACTCCTGACCTCAGGTGATCCACTGATAGTGTCTTTTATTATCTGGGGAATGTTGGGCAAGTTACCCTGTCACACTTCACATCCCTCAATGACTCCCCATTGTCCTGTAATTTGTTCTTTCAACAAACATTTACTGACTGTCCACTACATCCTCCAAGCTATGCACTGTGGTGAGCAAGGCCGAGATGACCCCCGCCCTCCTGGAAGTTATAATCTAGTGAGAGAGGCAGAGACTGAACATAAATAAAAGCGAGACAGTGTCCCACGTACATACACACACCATGGCTCTATGGAGGCCGGGGCTTGAGGTCCAAATATTGTCTTTGATCTAACAGGATGAGCTTGAACAAGGAGCTACAAGAGGGGAATGGGAAACATCACCTCCTTCTACTACACAGACATGGCCTGGAGCAATCCCAGAGGCAGAAGGCACGTTGCTAGCTGGTGGTCGCTTGAGGTTCATTTAAAAGAGCCAAGGCAGGCCGGGTGTGGTGGCTCACGCCTGTAATCCCAGCAGTTTGGGAGGCTGAGGTGGGCGGATCACTTGAGGTCAGGAGTTCCAGACCAGCCTGGCCAACATGGTGAAACCCCGTCTCCACTAAAATAAATAAATAAATAAAATAGAGCCAAAGCAGAACAGAGACTTGAGTGTGTCTAATTCCCTCAGCCCCAGAGTTGGTGAATTAAGAGCCAACCGTGGGGCACCTTAGAGTTAGGGCGGGCCTTGTGAGGCCCAAAGCCTCCTCTCCATGGGGAGATGCTGGGTGCTAGAGATTCCTTTCCCAATTTTGTGGCTCAGCGCCCGAGGTGGGGGCGTGCCCAAGAGAGTCTCAGCTTTTCCGACCCGTTACATGGGGATGTTTTCTCAGTTACCAGGTGGGTAGGAATCTCAACTGGTCTCTGACTCTCTCAGAGGGAAGTGATTGGTGAATGGATGTTTATTTGGTGTGTCCACGAGTGGAGGGAGAGTCAGGAGCTTCTCTTCTGCCATGTTGCTGACATCACTCTCCCAACAGAGGCTCTTCAACAGCCCGCTAAGGAAGCTGATTCGAACTTGAGCTACTAACTCTCCCTACATCCAGTTACTTGGTTAGAGGGGTGGGCATTTGCGGTTTTACTTCCCGAGCACCCAGTACTCCTGCCGGTGAATGCATTTCAAATTCCCACTGGGGAGTCCCCCCACATCCTTTGGTTCCTGTGGGTCTCACTTTCAACCTCTCCCTGAAGTCTGGGAATGATCAGGTGACATGGGCTTGTCCAATCAGAATAGTCCATGGCCTTGTCCACAGTGACTGGTACAGGGCTGACCACGTGACCCAAGATAGACCAACGGGAATCAATCCAGAGATTTTGCAAAATCTTCTGGGAAGAAGAGCTCTCTACCTGGTGGGGTCTTTAAACCGGTGGCTTTAGGACCGATGCTTCTGGAAACCATACTTGGAGAACCTGAGAATACAGCCAGTGGAGGAGAAAGCACTAGAGAGGAAGGGGGCGAGAGATTCAGTGGTGATGCAGAGAAAAGGGAGAGACCAAATCTAGGAATCCAGTCATTTCTGGGGCCAGGTTTTACCCCTGGACTCCTCTCTTACCTAAGCCAGTACATTCCCTTCTTGCTTAAGGCAACCTGAATTGGGTTTCTATCACCCAAAACTAAAACTGTGCTGACCACGGAGGTAACACGTTCCATTGCCGAGTCCATAGCTTGAAGCTCTGCCTGCCCCCGCTCCCACACCCTGTCCTGATGAAAAAACACAGCTGGGCACAGCAAATTCAGACTGTGGCCTCAGCCCACAGGGCTGTCGACACAGGGCTAAGCGCTGCGCTCTCCACCCTGTAGATACACAATCGCCACGCGTCGCTTTACTGGTGAAAACTCCATTTCCAGTCTCCTCTTACCAAACTCACATTGTTTGGGAACTTCTGACAACTGTACCTCACTCTGCAGAAACAGTTAGAAGCGGACTCACCTCTGCCGTGGTCTGTGGCTCGGGAGTCTAACAGTCAATTATCTCGCTGCTGATGAAAAGGCAGGAGCGATGAAGACTTAGGGAGCTCACTGCAGCCAGTCGTGCTAATGACCTGTCTGCAGTAACTTTGTAAACCTCCACTTTTAGGTTCATGGCTCAGCCAAAAACTGTCACTCCACACTTCAGCTTGGCAAGCATGTTTGCACCGTGGAAGTGACGTCCTTGTTGCCGTGGTTACCAACGCTCAAGAAAACCTTTGTAGCTGTTTATAAGCACCAAACCCCAAATATTTGCAGAGAACCCCTTTCAGGAGCTTGTGGCACTATGGTGACTCACAAAAAGTTATCCCACGTTTTGTTCTTTATTTTCTTAAAAACAGAGAAAATTGTTCTCTCCTCAAATCTGTAAAATGCATTAGCTCACAGTTTCCATTTTAAACCGAAATCAAACCTGCTTTCATATGAATTGGGTATCCAAGGCTGCTGTTTTTCTTAAGAGAATCTCAGTAAATCCTAACACTCTGGATGACCCAGGAAGAAGAAATGTGAAAATGGAGACCAAGGCCCATTAAAAAACCCAGGTCCGGCGAAAGTGGTGGCTCACACCTGTAATCCCGGCATTTGGGGAGGCCGAGGTGGGCAGATCACTTGAGATCAGGAGTTTGAGACCAGGCTGGGTAACATGGCAAAACCTCGTCCCTACTCAAAATACAAAAATTAGCTGAGCATGGTGGCGCTCGCCTGTAATCCCACTTACTTGGGAGGCTGAGGCAGGAGAATCACTTGGACCCAGGAGGTGGAGGTTGCAATGAGCCAAGATTACACCACTGCACTCCAGCCTGGGTGACAGAGTGAGACTCCATCAAGAAAGAAAAAAAAAAAAAAGCACAGGTCCCAACCAATTTTTTAACTACTTGTATACATATATCAAAATTGTCTAATGTACCACTACACTCCAGCCTGGATGACAGAGCGAGACTCCATCTCAGAAAAAAAAAAAAAAAGCCCAAGTCCCAACCAACTTTTTAACCACTTGTATATATATATGAAAATTGTCTAGTCCATGAAAGGATTCTACAAATAACAGGCCTAGAATTGGTATTTTATGCTCATGGTTGACTTAGCAGCAGCCATTGATTTTATTTCAACAACAATACATATTTACTGAACATCTATGTACCAGACTCTGTGCCTGGCACTGGAGTAACTTTAGCAGATGAGCAGCCATCAGTGACCTTGTCCATTAGGAGCTTATAGTCTGGTGGGGGTGGCAGACATACACAAGAGAACAAACAATTCCAGATTGTTACAACTGCTAGGAAGAAAACATACGGGGAGCAACCAAAGAGAATAAAGGCTAGAGTGGCTAGGAAGATCTGTCTGAGGACATAGCATTTAAGCTGAGACTTCAGGATGTGACGACCATGGAGTGGGGGACAGGAGGTACAGGGACAAGGCCCTGGAGGCAGAAGAAGAGCATGAAGCAGGGTCCTGAGACAGGATAGCACTTGCTGAGTGTGAGGAACAGAACGGAGGCCAATGTGCTGAAGCCTCTTGGGGAAACGGGGTGGAGGCAGAGGAGGGTACAGAGATAGGCAGGGGCTAGATCATGCTAGTCTTTGTAGGCCACGGTAAGAAATCTGAATTTCATTCTAAGTAAAATGGGCAGGGGTCTTGGAGATCAGCGGTGGCTGTAAGCAGGGGTGCAGCATGAGCTGCAAGAGGAGTGAGGAGAATAATCCATGTTGGACATATTAAGTTTGAGAGGCCTGCTAGACTTCCAAATGGGGATATTAATTAGGCATTTCAGATCATCAAGTCTGGAACTCAGAGGACAGATTCAGCTGGAGATAAAATTTGTAAGCATATAATATAATTTGCATGTCTGTATAATTTGCATGCAGACATCTTCAAAAATATTTAGAGGTAAGTTGGAGCAAGGGGTGCCCAACTGAGAGACTGAGAGGGTAGAGTCACAAGAAGAAATCCAAGCCGGCTTGGTGTCATAGAAGCCAAAAGAAAACCGTGTTTTTAGAGGAAGGGAGTGATCAACTGGGTCAGATGATTCGCAGAAGCTGAGTTGACTTACAGATTAATTCCAAAGCTTTGAGATTTAGAGCTAGGGCTTGGGGGAGGGGATGAAAGGATCATCTTAACAGGCTTTCCTTAGAGCCTGGGGATAATATAGTAGCACACGGAGTAAAAGTGAAAACTGCAGGCTCCAGGGCCAGACTCCCTGCAGCCAAGTTCCACTTCTGCCACTGACCAGCAATGTGGCCTTAAATAATTTTCCAAACCTCTGTGAGCTTTAGTTTGTCTTTACAATGGAAATAACAATACTATCTACTCACAGGATTGTTGTAAGGATTGAATGAGTTAATAAACAGCAAGTGCTTAGAAGAAAGGGCCTGGCTCACGTTAAATGCTCTGTGAGCATTAGCTATTAGTATTGTTGTTGCTGCTGTTGTTGTTGTTACAATAATGAATACTTAGTGCCAAGTGCTGGGTTTTACATGTATTGTCTCAGGTAGAAGCTACTGTTATACCCATTTTGCAGATAAGGAAACTTGCCTAGCACCACCCAGTAAGCTCTAGGGTGGAGACTGCCTTCCTGCCAGGTCAGACAGCCTGTTTTTAATCACTACTCTGCAGTTCCGCCATGTGATGCCAAGATGGCTGGTTAAAGTCCAGGACAAGGGAAAAAATGGCTGACTAATGCACTAATTGTGTTTCTGCTTCAACCTGCATTTCCAGAGGTGCCTGTTGGTCTGTAATTGGTTCTGGCATGTTTATAGGTATTACAAAACCAAATCTTATTTTGCATTTCACAGGATTTAAGATGAATAAAGTGATGTGGTTGTGCTAGGTTAGAGTTGTACAAATTATACTCCAAGAAACCCCAGTTCCTTCCCCAGAGAGGGTAGAGTGTGATCCCCTAACGTGTATAAAGTTCTGGTACCAGCCAGAACTACCTAAGCTGGAACAACTCTACTCTCTGTTCTATACACTGAGCTCTTTAGCTTTCTTTTTATTTATTTATTTTTTTCCTGAGACAGGGTCTCCTTCCGTTGCCTAGGCTGGAGTGCAGTGGCACAGTCACGGCTCACTGCGGCCTCAACTTTCCAGGCTCAAGCAATCCTTCCACCTCAGCCTCCCAACTACCTGGGACTATAGGTGTGTGCTACTATGCCCAGCTAAATTTTTTTTTCGTAGAGACAGGGTCCCATTATGTTGCCCAGGCTTTAAGCTTTCATTTGAAGAAAATATTCTGAGGATACAAAAGCTTGAAAACCACAAGACTTGGCATTTCTCAAACTACGTCTGCATCAGAATCACCTGTGGTGGTTGTTAAAATGCAGGTTCCTTGACCCTACTACAACTTAAAGAATTAGAAACACTAAAGGGAGGGCCTGAGAATCTGATTTTTAACAGCTCCCCAGGTGACCCACATGCATATTCAAGCATGAGAACCAGGAAAGAATGCTCACTATTACCTCGCTTTACCTCTCTGTCTCACACAGTAGCCACTACCTATAGCTAACTTCAATTTAAACATAAATTCCCTAAAATTATATGAACTTTATAAGTTTCTCAGTTGTACGAAGCACATTTTAAGTGCTCAAAAGCCACATGTGGCAGACACAGAATATTTCCATTTCATAGAAAGTTCTACTGGAAAGTCTACAAGTCCCTTCCAGCCTAAACAATCTAGGAATCTCAGACTGCCTGAATGATGTACTCATGTGTTTTATACTAAGGCACCAAACTCAGTCAAGATTTCCCGGAATCTTCAACTGTATTTAAGGCATAATATGCTATTAGGAATATATGATTACACCTACCATACTGGACTGAAATTACCTGTTAGATATCTATTTCCCCTGACATACTCTGAGTGCCGTGAAGGCAGGTACCATGCATGTATTATTTAGGTCTGTATTCTCAGTGCCTAGGGCTTAAATAAATGCTTGGAGACTGTTTAATTGGGCCACACAACCTAAGTGAAATACAAAGCTGAAAATGGAATGTCCTCGCTAAAGGCATTCACCAGTTACAAGCATTCATACCTACTAGGATGGCTACTATCACAAAAACAGAAAATAACAAGTGTTGGTGACGATATGGAGACATGGGAACTCTTGTGCACTATTGGTGGGAATGTAAACTGGTACAGAATGTAAAATGGAAAACAGCCTGGCTGTTCCTCAAAAAAGTAAACATGGAATTATTGTATAATCCAGCAATTCCACTTCTGGGTATATATCCCCCGCCCCCCCAAAATTGAAAGCAGGATCTGGAGCTATTTGTATACCCATATTCATAGCAGCATAATTCATAACAACCAAAAGGTAGAAGCAAACACGTATTCATCCACGGATGACTGGATAAACAAAATATGATATGTACATACAATGGAATGTTATTTAGCCTCAAAAATGAAGGAAATTTTGATACATGGTATAATAAGGATGAACCTTGAGGACATTATGTTAAGTAAGGCAGTAACAAAAAGACAAATATTGTATGATTCCACTTATAAAAGATACCTAGAGTAGTCAAATTCATACAGACAGAAAGTAGAATGGTTATTTCCAGGGATGGGAAGGGAGAGGGAAGAGAAGGAGTTGTCATTTGATGGGTACAGAATTTCAATTTTGCAAGATGAAAAGAATTCTGGAGATGGATTTCGCGGCAATGGTTGCACAACAATGTGAACATACTTAATGCCACTGAATTGTTCTTAAAAACAGTTAACAATAGTAATTTTTATGTTATGCATACTTCACCACAATTAAAATATTTTAAAATAAAGATTTTTTAAAAAGCATTCACTACTACCAACCAGAGAAAATATATCAGTCCTCATGGCTTTGAGAAAATAGCTTTGGAAAAACTTTGGTTCTCAATCTATCCTGCTGCACCTAGGCAGGTACTAGGGGACAGGAGAGGTCAATGCCAAGGTGAGACATGCAGGCACTATCACAGGGCTGACCAATGCATGCATGGTTCCCGCCTTCAAGGCACTCAGAGTATGTCAGTGGCAATAGATATCTAACAGGTCATTTCAGTCCAATACAGTAAATGTAATAATGTATTCTTAGATAGCACATTATACCTTTTTAGAGAGAGCTCCTGTGACAATCCCAGGCCAGAGGGACCCCCTCCTGGGTTCTCTCAAACAGGAAGCACTCACAGTCCTCACACATGGTCCCCTACCAGGCTGATCACCAGAACCCCTGGAAAGGCTTCACCCTGTGGGTTCTGATTCCACATCTAGTGGTACAACAAAGACCATCTTTATTTTTGCAAAGTTGTGCAGGGGGAGCCAGACCTGGGAGCGCCTAATCTATAGCACTTACGTTCTGCCTCATGCCACTGCTTGTCCCATCTTCTCATCTGGTTTGCAGACTTCTTGAGGGGAAAGACTGTAACTTATATATCAACCTTGAGAGTCAAAATCATTTGTGGAATAGTTTTTAAGACTGCAGATGCCTGGGACTCACCACACATCTACTGAATCAGCATCTCTAAGCATCTGTTTTTTAAAAAGCCCCCAAAAGGGACTCTCATACACACTCCTAAAGGGAGACCTGCTGCCTTAGAGACTATCAGAGTGCTTGATACAGAGAAGCTGTGCAATGTTTGCTGACAGACAAAAGGAAGTCCCTTTGAATAAGACATCTAACAGGGAAAAGGGATGTGCATTCATCTGTGTTACTTATTCTAATCTTTTTCTATGAATATTCTGCACATGGTTTAGACCACATGATAAATAACTAACAATAACAATTAGTATTTAGTAAGCACCTAATATGTGCCAAGTACTATTCATGTGTTTTAGAGGTACTATCCCATTTAATTCTCAAAACAATCGTATGTATGAGGAAAGTACTGTTATCATCTCCATTTTATAGATAAGGAAGCTGAGTGTCTCAGTCCATTTGTCCTGCTCTAATGGAATAACTGAAGCTGGGTAATTAATAAAGAAAAGAGGTTTATTTGGCTCTTGGTTCTGCAGGTTGCACAAGAAGCCAGCACCTGCTTCTGTGAGGGCCTCAGGTTGCTTCAACTCGTGGCAGAAGGGGAAGGGGAGCCAGCATGTGCAGAGATCAGATGGTGAGAGAAGGAGGTGGGGGAGGGGCTGGGATCTTTTAAACAAACAGTTGTCACGGGAACTAACAGAGTGAGAACTCATTCATGAGGGATCCGCCTCCATGACCCAAACATTTCCCATCAGGCCCCACCTTCAAAATTGGGGATCACATTTCAACATGAGGTTTAGAGGGGTCAAATATCCAAACCATGGCACCGAGGCACACAGAAATTAAGTCACTTCCTCAAAAATAAACCTTTTTTTTAACATGACAGTTATATTATGAGTGTTCTCATAACTTATCTTCTTTTTAATGGCTGCATTATTTTACCCTAATTTGTTTTTCATCCTTCTGCCCCTAATTTGTTAACCCACTGCTCATTGTAGAGCAGGATTTTATCTTGTTTGTAGCGGTTTACCATTTTAAATGATGCTCCAATGGATATCTTTGTGCAAGGGCTGTTTGCCATATTCCTGAAAAACTTGCCTTAGGAAAATCATGAGGAAATGTTCTGATGGTGAACAGTGCTAAACAGTGAGCATGAGTCTTTACTGAGGGGAATGTGCTGAATGGGCCAGGGAAGCCCTTCTCCCTGGAAGGTATTAAAAGTCTTGGAATACTCCCACAAACAAGCAGCAAACATTTACTGTGGGCCTGGTACTCTTTTAAACATTTGATCCCACCTGGCCCTCACAAAGACTCCTAGGAAGGCCAAGCACAGTGGCTCATGCCTGTAGTCCCAGCACTTTGGGAGGCCAAGGCGGGCAGATCACTTGAGGTCAGGAGTTCAAGAACAGCCTGACCAACATGGTGAAACCCCATCTCCACTAAAAATACAAAAATTAGCCAGGCATGGTGGCACACACCTGTAATCCCAGCTGCTCGGGAGGCTGAGGCATGAGAATCACTTGAACCCAGGAGGCAGAGATTGCAGTGGGCCAAGATCTCACCACTGCACTCCAGACTGGGTGACAGAGCGAGACTCTGTGTTGCGGGAAGTCAGGGACCCCAAACAGAGGGACCAGCTGAAGCCGTGGCAGAAGAACATAAATTGTGAAGATTTCATGGACATTTATTAGATCCCCAAATTAATACTTTTATAATTTCTTACATCTGTCTTTACTGTAATCTCTGAACATAAATTGTGAAGATTTCATGGACACTTATCACTTCCCCAATCAATACCCTTGTGATTTCCTATGCCTGTCTTTACTTTAATCTCTTAATCTCATCATTTTCATAAGCTGAGGAGGATGTATGTCAACTCAGGACCCTGTGATGATTGCATTAACTGCACAAATTGTTTGTAGAGCATGTGTGTTTGAACAATATGAAATCTGGGCACCTTGAAAAAAGAACAGGATAACAGCAATGTTCAGGGAACAAGAGAGATAACCTTAAACTTTGACCACCGGTGAGCTGGGCGGAACAGAGCCATATTTCTCTTCTTTCAAAAGCAAATGGGAGAAATATCGCTGAATTCTTTTTCTCAGCAAGGAACATCCCTGAGAAAGAGAATGCGCCCCTGAGGGTAGGTCTCTGAAATGGCCCCCTTGGGTGTGGCCATCTTCTATGGTCGAGACTGTAGGGATGAAATAAGCCCCAGACTCCCATAGCGCTCCCAGGCTTATTAGGACAGGAAATTCCCGCCTAATAAATTTTGGTCAGACCGGTTGCTCTCAAACATGTTATCAATGACAATGGTGCCCAAAACTTTATTAGCAATTTTAATGTCGTCCCGGTCCTGTGGTCCTGTGATCTCACCCTGCCTCCATTTGCCTTGTGATATTCTATTACCTTGTAAAGTATGCGATCTCTGTGACCCACACCCTATTCGTACACTCCCTCCCCTTTTGAAAATCCCTAATAAAAACTTGCTGGTTTTGCGGCTTGTGGGGCATCACGGAACCTACCTACATGTGATGTCTCCCCAGGACACCCAGCTTTAAAATTTCTCTCTTTTGTACTCTGTCTCTTTATTTCTCAACCCGGCCAACGCTTAGGGAAAACAGAAAAGAACCTACGTGACTATCAGGGGCAGGTTCCCTGATAACTCTGTCTCAAAACAAACAAACAAACTCCTAAGGGGTACAGATGAGATGCCTGGAGGCACAGAGAGGAGGAAATGTATCCAGGCTCACATGACCAGCAAACAGCAGAACCAGGAGAGGAGCCTGGTTTAACCACTTTACCCACCAGGCCCAGCTTTCCAATCAAGGTATTCTTTCCCCATGACTCCCTCATCAACCATCAGCATAAGAAGCAAAAACTAAGGACAGTAGCAAGAAAGAGCATTTCCCATCAACCAGGGACCACACAAGAATGTCCCTGCCGCAGCACAAGAAAAACATCCGTCTCACTTCCCTGGCAAGAAATCTGGAAGCACTCACTCAGAGTAACACAGAGTTCCTGCCCTCAAGGTGCTCACCCTTTAGATGCTGAGATAAAGTGGAAAGAAAGGGAAGGCAACAACAAGGCCCACCATGCACCAGGTACTGTGGGCGCTTTCTAATATTACATACGTTTGACACGTCCTCTTGCAAAAAGTGGAGATCTTAGCCACCCCCTCATCCATGAATGTGGACTTATTTGGAAATAGGGTCTTTGCAGATATAATTAAGGTGGTGATTAAGATGAGGTCACATGGGAGAAGGGCAGTCCCGCAATCCAGTATGACTGCTGTCCTTGTAAGAGAGAAGAGAGGCACACAGGCAGAATGCCGCAGGACAACACAGGCAGGAACTGGAGTGATGAGGCTGCAAGCTGAGGAACATCAACGACTGCTGGTGACACCAGACACTACGAAGAGGCAAGGAAGGATTCTCCCCTACAGGTTTCAGAGGAAGCACGACACTGCCAACACGTTGATCTTGAACTTCTGGCCTCCAAACTGTGAGACAATACATTTCTTTTTTTTTTTGAGACAGAGTCTCACTCTGTCACACAGGCTGGAGTGCAGTGATGTGACCTCGGCTCACTGCAACCTCCACCTCCCAGGTTCAAGCGATTCTCCTGCCTCAGCCTCCCGAGGGGCTGGGATTACAGGCACCCGCCACTACGCCCAGCTAATTTTGTATTTTTAGTAGAGATGGGGTTTCACTATGTTAGCTAGGCTGATCTCGAACTCCTGATCTTAGGTAATCCGCCCGCCTCCGTCTCCCAAAGTGCTGGGATTATAGGTGTGAGCCACCGCGCCTGGCCATATTTCTGTTGTTTTAAGCCACCAAGTTTGTGGTACTTTGTCACAGCAGCCCTAGGAAACTAATGGAACATTTTCTAGTCTTTTAGCTCCATCAAAGCAGAAGCTGTTTTTGTTTCCCTTGATATCCTGGCAGCTTGCACAGACCCTGGCACTTAGTAGGTCGTCAGAAAAGTGATCAAAAAATAAAGTATACATGTAGTAAAAGGAGGAACCATGTTTTTTATCTCTACTAAGAGACTTGAGCAAATTAGATGCTCAGGAAACATTTGTAGAATGAATACGTTTTCTAAAAACAAATGAAGGATAAGCTCAAGAAGGCTTTGCCATGAGTCTTATTCATGTATTTCCCCAGGTTTGAGTGTAGGACCTGGCACACAGTCGCTGCTTAATAAATTTTAAAGGCAGGGAGGGAAAAATGAAGGGAGGGAGGAAGACAAGACCAGCATCATCACTTCCCATCTCTCAGTTTAGCCATAACCTTCCTTCCTTTATGTATTTAACTGAAGTATAGTCAATGCTGTGAAACAACCAGTTGAATTTTAAATAGACTCAATTATTTTGAAAGGATTTTCGCAGCAGAACTTGAATACTGTTTTTCTAAAACACATTTCTTTTTCTTTTACATCCAGAAATCACAAGGCTTCCTAACCCTTCCAACTATGTTAGCAATGCAGAGTTGAGAGGTCAGCCTTCTGCATTCAGCTCCAGGGACACGTTTCCCGTCCATGTGCAGCATGCATTCCTGATCCCTGCCCTGCAGCCAAAAAGGGACATCAGCTGGGCTCAGGGAAATTCAATTTGGGCTGACAGCCTGTGGCATGATAATGACAGGGCGTCTGCTTGACATTTGGAAAGGCAAAAGAGGGAGGAGGAGTCACAGAGGTTTCTCATGGGCTTGGTTGAGGAGGGTCTAAAGTTTAGGTCACTTCTTTTCTACATATGGAGAAAAACCTGAACATAAGGCCAACTGATTTCTACTGCTGGCTCAGAATTCAGCATTCAATTCCACTTCCATGTGCTGCGCTCCTGTCTCCCTTATGGTATTTGGGGTGAATAAAGGAAACGGGTCTTGTTCTTTATTCCCTTGGACTTGAGTTTTCCCAGGGATGACAACCGCATTGCTGTGGACTGTGATTTTATTCATTCATTCATTCATTCACATATTTATGAGAATTTTGTTGTTGTTGTTGTTAAGAAAGAGTCTAGTTCTGTTGCCCAGACTGGAGTGCAATGGCACGATCTCAGCTCACTGCAACCTCTGCCTCCCAGGTTCAAGCAATTCTCATGCCTCAGCCTCCCAAGCAGCTGGGACTACAGGCGCCCACCACCATACCTGGCTAATTTTTGTATTTTTAGTAGAGACAGGGTTTCGCCATGTTGGCCAGGCTGGTCTCAAACTCCTGGCCTCAGGTGATCCGCCAGCCTTCGCCTCCCAAAGTGCTAGGATTACAGGCATGAGCCACCATGCCCAGCCCGTATATTTATTTTAAATAAGAGGTCCCTGTATACACGTCTTCATAAGTGAAGTCTCTGCTCCTGTGATTCCCTTGTCTTCTACTGAACTCACAAGGGCGAGCACTTGCCTACCCCATGGAACATCAGGTAGGTTCACAACTATGACAGTGACAACAAGACAAGAAAAGCTGACCCCTTCTTAGTGCCAGTTAAGCAAAGGATGGGGGGAACTGCTTTATATTTCTTGATGTAGCCCTCCTGTGGTCAGCTTACCCACTGATGTGGGAACTTTTCCCCCATCAAAGGGGTTGGTTGAGAAGCACATCTGTGTTATTTCAGCAGATGAGCCTGTGGGGCTGGGTTAGCTTCCATGCCCCTCCTGTGGCCCCAGGGCATCCCATACTGAACCTAACCTGGTGGCTGGTAATCTGAATGGTATTTACCTCTTTCCTTTTCCTCTAGATAAGAAGCCCCATGAGGGCAGGGTCATGTCTACAGCATGGACCTTTGTATCCCAGGCATCCTAGCCAGGTTACTGGCACATAAGTAATAAGCAGTTATCAATACAAGTTAGATGAATGAATCAATCAGTCAGTCAGAGGACTAAAGGTGCTGGCCTTGTGTTACAGCTAAGAGCACAGGCTTTGGAATCAGGCGAGTGTAGGTTTCACTCATGTTCCACCACTTTTCAGCTACATGACATGTTTTTATTGACATATAAGATACATACACAAAATTATCTATGTCATAAGTGTGTCATGCAAGGAACTTTTACACTAATGAAACATCACCCAGATCAGGAAACAGCACATTAGCACAACCACAGAAACCTGCCTTATGCTTCCTTCAAGTCGCTATCCCCTACCCACCCAAGGGTAGACCATGAATGGCATCTGACAAGTTACTATCCTCTCTGACTCTTATCTTCTATTGGGAAAAATAGTACTTACTATGCTATGAGTATACAATTTAAAAATAATAATGGTATAGTAGTAATAATAGTAGAAGAGAAGTAGAAGTAGTCACAACAGTAGTAGCAGCAGCAGAAGTGACAGTAGAAGCAGTAGTGGTAATATTAGTAGAAGCAGCAGTCATGGTAAGAGTAAAAGTATTAATAGTAATAAGTAACAGAAGTAGCAGTAGTCATATCAGAAGTGGCAGTAGCAGTAGTAGTAGAAGTACTAGAGAGATACTACTAGCAATAGTAGTAGTCATAATAGCTAGAACTTATATAGCACTTACCATGTACCAGGCACTGTTCCAAGTGCTTTAGCTTAACTCAACTAGTGCTCAAAACAACCCTTGTAAGTCTATAAAACAGGAGAGAACAGGAAGAAGCCGAGGCACAGAGAAGTTAAGTAGCTTTTCAACAAGGTCACAGAACTACGAAACCATGGATCCAGAATGCAAACTCCAGCAGGCTGGCTGCAGAGCCTATCCTGTCAGCACGATCTTTCAAGAATGAGTAGTGTGGAGGAAAAGATTTGTCCTCCAATATCTGCTCTCTTCTTCTATAACAATAACTCTCAATTTGGTAAGCACACAGTCTTGCAGAATAAAGATTACACTTCCCAGCCTTCTTTGCCGCAAAATGTAGCCAGAGAACTAAATTCTGGCCAGTAGAATATAAGTAGGAACAGGAGGTGCAACTTCCAGGAAACATCCTTAAAGGATGGGACGTGCCTTTCTCTGTCTCGTTCCTTCCTCCTGCTGTTAGATGTGATGGCTAGAGCAGAAGCAGCTAAAATGGGGCTGTGAGGTGACCTTGGGAATAGAGGTTCACATGGCAAACAAACTAGAGAAAAAGCCCAGGTCTCTCACAGATTGCTGTAGAAAATCTGTGTTACTTGTACCTGAACTTTTAGGTAAGAGAGACACTTCTCTAAGCCAATGTTCTTTTAGATTTTATGTCATTGTCAGCAAAACCTAATTCTAATAATGCACTGAGTTATTGCAATTATAATTAATATCACCTGAAAAGATACCTGCAAAATGAATGCCATTTTGTGCTGGACTCTTGACTTAAAAAAAGAAAAAAACAAAATAAACATGACTTTGGGTAATCCTATAATAGAAAAATTTTGAAAATAAAAGTAAAGCTTCATTTACCCTGGAAGGCGGTATCATGTCTCGATCATATCAAAAGCCTCTCAGGTTGGCCTCTCTGCCTCCAGCCTCTCACTTCATCCACCCATTCAGGACACATTTGCTTATCTAATCATCCTTTAAAAACTATTTTCAACCTAAAAATTGAAGTAATTACAATGCCCTATGTGCCTACTTTATGTAAAACACTTTACATTTTTTCTAAACTACACAAAAAAAATCTGAAACATAAATATTACCCCTTTTTCATGGATAAGAAAACAGAAGAAACAGAGAAAGTCAGTGTCTTTTTTTTTTTTTTTTTTTGAGACAGAGTTTCGCTCTTGTTGCCCAGGCTGGAGTAGTACAATGGCGCAATCTCGGCTCACCAAAACCTCTGCCTCGCGGGTTCAAGAGATTCTCCTGCCTCAGCCTCCCAAGTAGCTGGGATTACAGGCATGTGCCACCATGCCCAGCTAATTTTGTCTTTTTTAGTACAGACAGAGTTTCTCCATGTTGCTTAGGCTGGTCTCGAACTCCCAACCTCAGGTGATCCGCCCACCTCGGCCTCCCAAAGTGCTGGGATTACAGGCGTGAGCCATCGCGCCTGGCCGAAAGCCGGTGTCTTGTGTGAGATCACACAGCAAATCAGTGCCAGGGCCAGGATTCAACCACCCCTTCTAGCACCCACACACTTTCCACTACGCGGACTTCTTAGAAACCCTGGCCCCAACAGGTCAACCCTGTGCCAGTCAGTCTGCCAGCTTTTTAAGATTCTCAGACTCTACAAGTTTTCCCGGCCTAGCTTTTCATGGTTCTTCCTGTCCAGTCTAATTTTTATCATCCTCTAACACAAACTTTCATCCACTGAGGCCAGACTCCTTAGACTCTTCATCATGTGTCCCTACACCAGGCCTCAGTATTCCCAGCTGCAAAATGGAATAAATCATATCTCTACCTCTCCCAAGAGGTAACGTGGCATAGGAAAAAAAAAAAGGCCAGGTGGGCACGGTGGCTCACGCCTGTAATCCAGCACTTTGGGAGGCCGAGGCGGGCAGATCACGAGGTCAGGAGATCAAGACCATCCTGGCTAACACGGTGAAACCCGTCTCTACTAAAAAAAAATACAAAAAAATTAGCTGGGCGTGATGGCAGGCGCCTGTAGTCCCAGCTACTTGGGAGGCTGAGGCAGGAGAATGGCGTGAAGCCGGGAGGCGGAGCTTGCAGTGAGCCGAGATAGCGCCACTGCGCTCCAGCCTGGGCAACAGAGCCAGACTCCGTCTCAAAAAAAAAAAAAAAAGGCAAGGGTCCTGCAGTAAGGGAAAATTGACTTACATCTAGCTGGGCAAGTTCTTTACCCGTAAAATGAATGTAGAAATTCTTTTTTTTCTGAGACGAAGTCTCATTCTTGACCCCCAGGCTGGAGTGCAACAGTGTGATCTTGGCCCACTGCAACCTCTGCTTCCGGGGTTCAAGTGATTCTCCCTCCTCAGCCTCCCGAGTAGCTGGGATTACAGGCGCCTGCCACCACACCCGGCTAATTTTTTGTATTTTTAGTAGAGATGGGGTTTCACCATGTTGGCCAGGCTGGTCTCGAACTCCTAACCTGAGGTGATTCTCCCGCCTCGGCCTCCCAAAGTGCCAGGATTACAGGCATGAGCCACTGCACCCAACTGAATGTAGAAATTCTTACTTGGCAGGATTGTTGGGAGGAGTAAATGAAATTTTATTTTATTGTACTTTTAATTTTTATTTTTGAGAAGGAGTCTCACTCTGTTGCCCAGGCTGGAGTGCAATGGTGCAATCTTGGCTCACTGCAACCTTTGCCTCCTGGGTTCAAGCAATTCCACTGCCTCAACCTCCCGAGTAGCTGAGATTACAGTCACATGCTACCACACCCAGCTAATTTTTGTATTTTAGTAGAGACAAGGTTTCGCCATGTTGGTCAGGCTGGTTTCGAGCTCCTGACCTCAAATGATCCACCCACCTCAGCCTCCTAAAGTGCTGGGATTACAGACGTGAGCCACCATGTCCAGCCTGAAATGTTTTTAAAGAACCTAAAACACAGTGGACTCCTATAGCACCTTATAGTGTTGCTGGTGTCACTGTTGTTGCTACTCTTGACTTCTTATAGGCACCACCACCCAGACAACTTTCCTTATAAATAAAGGCAATGGATAATGTGACAGAAAACATAGTAGGCAGTCTACACCTGTACAAATGCTAGAGATCTGTTCTCCAATAACAATCGTGCACACAGTCTCTGTTAGATTCCAGTGCTTGTGTTTGATAAAATTTTGCATTTCAACTCCCAAGAAGAATCCCGCTGTATCTCCCACGCCGAGTTTTCTGGACAGGATGGGCTAGAGATCACTCACCGATTCCATAGTGAATCTCTCGACGAAAAACTGGAGAGCCTGGAGGCTGAAGATCTCATGTCTCAGCCGTCACATCAGAAAACGACCTGGATAGGGGGCAGGACAAAAAGGGGACAAGAGTCATCCGGTGAAACTGGGCAGAAGACATTGTCTCAGACCAAGATCGGATTTCATATGGAGGCTGCACCTTTGTCAGGAATGTTCTTGCACCACAGAGTGGCTGTCCAGAAATATGAAGGAAACTACTATTTCAGCTTCCTATGGTGGGGCTGATACCTCCATCATTGAATCTCTGTGCAAGTAAGTGCTCAGGAATCCTTCTGGCATTCTATTTCTAGCTCTACGTTGGAGAGCAATTTACAAGTCATTAACTTCTCTAGACCTAGGCTCCTAAACATAAAATTAAAGTGTGCTGATGGATGCGACAGACAGACAGACAGACACCTGCAGCTGGGTGCCCACGAGAAAGCAAAAGTGTTCACCCGGCAAAGGAAACCAGTTGCAGGAAGAAGGCAGATATAGAAGAATATACATATTTCAGGACAGCCCCTCTGAACCTGGGAGAGGATTTTAATTAATTCATGCATACCAAAGCTTAATTAATTGCTGAGTGCACAGAGCACAGGAAGTCTGGGATAAAAGATGTTACATAAGGGAACAGCTTCAATATTTGCAGAATAGAGGGAAACAGAGGTGGGGATATAAAAATAAATTGAGCCAAGGGACCTCCTTGGCTTTTATCCAGTGATTCCTAGCTCAATGTGGCATCTCCATCCAGGGCGAAAAACCGAGAGACATCTCAGTTCCACCATCTCCCTCACCCCCATATCCAATCCATCCCCAATTCATGTCTACTTTACTTCCTAAAGATCTCTCCACTTATCTCTCCCCACCTCCACTGGTCCAGCTCTGGACCAAGCCTCCATCATTCTTACCTGGGCCACTGCAGCTGCCTCCTAACTGATCTCCCCTCATCACCATTTCTCCCTCTGAAATCTAGTCTTCCATGCTGAAAGCAGAATAATCTTTTGTGGGGTTTTTTTTTTTTTAATCTTTTATTACAGGGAATTGTGTACAGACATAAAAACAGAGAAGTGTATCATATACCCCCTGAACCCACCAGCCAGTCTAATCACATTAACCCATAATCATACCCACCACATCCAAACCCTCAACCTTCCTGCCCGTGCATTATTATTTTGAGGAAATTTCCAGTCATCTTATCATTTCAGTCATAAATATTACCGCATGGATTTCTAAGATAAGGTCTTTGGAAAAAAATAACACTGTAAAACCACTACCATACCTTAAAAAGATAGCAATAATTCCTTGATATCATCAAATATTCACACAGTGTTCAAATTCCTAATAGTCTCATAAATGTCAAAAATGGTGTCTTTAACAAGTGTTTTTTTTTAAAAAACCCAGATCCAAATAAGACTGACACTTAACAATTGAGTGATATGAAGAATACAATTTTGAAAACACAAATTTGATTGTGTCATCCCTCAACTCTCCACCACTAGCTTAACATCCCTCAACAGCTTCTCAGTGCTTTAGAATAAAAATCCAAATCACTGAACATGTTCTGACTCTTGTTCACCTCTCTGACCTTATCCTGTCTACCAGGCACAATGCTGTAGCCATAAGACATTTTCTTTTTCTTTTTCTTTTTTTTTTTTTTTTTGTGAGACAGTTTCACTCGTTGCCCAGACTGGAGTGCAGTGGCGCGATCTTGGCTCATTGCAACCTCCACCTCCTGGGTTCAATTGATTCTCCTCCCTCAGCCTCCCAAGTAGCTGGGATTACAGGTGTCCGCCACCACGCCCAGCTACTTTTTTGCATTTTTAGTAGAGACAGGGTTTCGCCATGTCGAGCAGGCTGGTCTCGAACTCCTGACCTCAGGTGATCTGCCCACCTTGGCCTCCCAAAGTGCTGGGATTACAGGTGTGAGCCTCTGTGCCCGGCCCATTGGACATTTTCTTAGATCCTGGAACATGCTGCAGTTGTTCCACCACAGGTCCTTTGCCCATGTTGTTCTCTCTGTCTGGAAGGCTTCCTCTCTCATCTTCAGTGCCTAGGTAACTCCTGTACTTCCTTAAATATTATATTCTCAGAGAAACTCTGCATCTTCAGATTAGATCATGGAATTTATCTCAGTTTTTAATTATGTTTCAACGTGAAGACTGATTAATATCTGCTAATTTTCTTCAATTGTAAGCCATGTGGATACAAAGATTGTGTTTGGATTTGTTTATTGGTGTATGTTGCAGCACCAACTCTACAATGCCCGGCACAACAATATTAATAAATATTTGTTGGATAAACGATCAAACCATTTCCTTCAAACTTAGATGCCAACAGCAATTGAATCTTCCTGAGCACTGAATCACAAATTTAAATTAGATGGGGAACTGACAAGCTTATCTTAAAATGCATATGGAAATGCAATGGACTCAGGATAGCCAAAACAATCTTGAAAATGAAGAACAATGTTGGACTTCTATTTCCTGACTTTGAAAGAAATCAGGACAGTGTGGTACTGGCATAAGGATAAACATATGCTATCCTTCAGAATCAAAGATCATGATCTTCCTATAATATTGACCTCCAGAACCCAACTTTACTAAGCACACGCTTATGAAAAATAAGTATCTGTTACTTGCATACATAGTCAATGCCTCTCCCAGCCTGCTCCTCAGTTTATTATTCTTTTGCTTTCCTTGCTTCACCCAAGTGGAGCAGCTGAGTTAGTATGGTAGACTGCATGAGTCTTCCCAGTTCACTTCCAACATGACTGTGAACTACACATTTCTGCCCTTTGTCATGGGACTTTGTAGTACTTCCCACTAGAGTGAATGGTGTTTACTTCCCTGTCCCACTGGATTCTGGACTGGATCACTGACTTGCTGTAGCCAATGGAATGTGGCTAGAAGTGACAGTGTGCTGTTCCCAAGTCTATTCCTCTTGCCCTCTTATGATGCACCACAAAAGGAATATGTCTCCATAGCCGCTGTCTGTTGCTGCCTTTTAGTCTGAACTCAGATCAAAGACATGTGGAGCAGATCCCAATCAACCACAAGTCCGGCATGAACCAGCCATGCAACTAGATCAGCCAAACCACAACCAACCCATAGATCCTTGAGCATGAAGATACATATCTGCTGTCAAACAAGCCTCTGAAATCCTGAGGTTTTTGCTACTCAGAAAAAACTGCCTAATTCACATGGGAATATTAATTTATGAACACCGAGTATCAATAAAGCCATGCACATAGACAGCACAAGTATGATGACCACTGACAGCTGTTCTTGCAGAATTCCCACCTCCTTGGTGCCAGTTGGACTCACACAACAATCCTGCAAGGGAGACACTGGGCCAGATTTATAGATGAAAAAATCATAACTCACAAGATATGAAATAACGTGTCCAAGACAGTGTGTGGCAGAACTAAGATCCTGACCCGGGTGGTCTAAAAAACTCCAAGCCAGGCTTCCTCTGCATAAATCATAAAAGGGTCTTGCAGATGCTGCCCCATGAGTCTGTGATGTACCAACCTACCTCCACTCTTGTCCCATTCCTTCAGTGGGTCTTCATGAGAGGCTGCTGGGGTCGGGGGGAAGGCCACTGGGCCTAACATCAAAAGTTCCAGTCCCAATTCCACCCCTATGGAGAGCTTCACCCTTGTCAGCGAGCCTCTTTAGCCCTCAGGTTTATGAAATGAGGCCACTAATCCCAGCCTGGCCTACGTCACTAGACCATCGTGAACCTTCAGAGAGATGAAGTGTGAAAGAGCTGTGTGAGGTGTGACACCATAGTCAGTTCACATTCTGCTGCCTTGACTCTGAACTAATTCGAAGTAGGTTAGCAGCTACGTCTATGTCCGTACCTCACCCACGGCACTTGGAGACCCATCTGATGCTCTGAGAATGATTTTTTATTCAAACAGAGATTATTTCTTTCTAGTCAAGAAAGTAATCTAGGTTCATCAGAAAAAATATTAAGGCATAAAATTAAAATCAATTATTATCCCAATACCTGAAGATAAATACTGTTCCTATACTAGTCAAGAAAGTAATCTAGGTTCATCAGAAAAAATATTAAGGCATAAAATTAAAATCAATTATTATCCCAATACCTGAAGATAAATACTGTTCCTATACTAAGGCGATTTCATTTCTGGGACTCTTTTCTTTCTGTTGGTTTTTTGTTGTTGTTGTTGTTAAGGGTAAAACAAAGAATACATTTCAATTACCATAATTTTCTTAGAAGCAGGGAACTACCCTGTGCCAGGGACTGCTCCTGCTGCCTAAAGACAGAGCAAAGAACAAAAGAAAAGAAAGTTCATGATCTTAAAGGACTAATATTCATTCATTCATTCATTATTCTTAAATTCCATAAACATGGGTCACCCACATCCAGTACTGGGCACTGGATGATGATGATGATAATGATGATGACAGCTTCCTTGCCAGATCCTGTACTCTAACAGTATGACTTATTAAAAGTTGGCCCCTAGAACAAACACATCTGGGTTAGAATCCAGATTATGAATCTTTGATGAGTTATTTATCCTTTCATACTTTAGTTCTTTTTTTTTTTTTTTTGAGACAGAGTCTCGCTGTGTCACCCAGGCTGGAGTGCTGGAGTGCAGTGGCGCGATCTCTGCTCACTGCAACCTCCGTCACCCAGGTTCAAGCGATTCTCCTGCCTCAGCCTCCCAAGTAGCTGGGATTACAGGCATGTGCCACCATGCCCAGCTAATTTTTTGTATTTTTAGTAGTGATGGGGTTTCATCATGTTGACCAGGATGATCTCGAACTCCTGACCTCAGGTGATCCACCTGCCTTGGCCTCTCAAAGTGCTGGGGTTACAGGAATGAGCCACTGTGCCTGCCCTAGTTCTCTCATCTTTAAAATTGGATTTCCTGTTCTGTGGAAGCTGTACTTAGAAAATTAGGGACTTAAAAGAAAATAGACCAAACTTATTTTTATGATGCTATTCCTCTTAAGCTATCTGAAGCCCAACTTGTCCAGTCCGAGCTGAAATTCCACCTCTTCTAGGAAGCTTTCTCCAATTTTCCCAGCGCAACAATCTGTCCATTTCTGAACTCTTACAGCACAGCTAGTAACCATAAGGAAAGTACCTACCTCATGCAGTCATAGCAAGAATTAATAAGAGAACATGATTAAAGCACTAAGCAAAAAATGGTTGGCTCCCCGTAACTGATGAATGCATGGGATCTAGTTGTGGTGGTAGTGATATTACTGCCTCGTTTAATCCCCATACCTATCCTAGAAGAAGCTGAAACTCAGACATTGAGGAACGTGTCCAAGGTTATTGCTTGGGCACCTCAGGCTCAATCCCACTAAGGGACCTTCTGAGAGACTGTGGAGAGCACATCTCAGAATTGCCCCACCGAAGGGAAAGGAATCTGGGGCATTTACCTGCCACCTTCCATCCCTAACTGCCCAGACACAACCAGGGCATAGTCTCAGGCTGAGATGCAGGAAGCCCTCTGTGTGAATGGGCACTGTCTGCAGTGCCTTCCGGGGAGCACTCAAAGACATGAGCAGGGGAGCGGCAGCATCTGTACATAGACGCTCAATAAATATCTGTCGAAGGAGTGAGTGAACAATGTCTGTCAACCCCCACGGTCTTCTGTACAACCTCTCATTTCCCGCTGCCACCAGCGACAGAAAGATTTAAAGCACCTGCCTGCTAAAGTGAACCAGAATTCATTACCATCAAGCATCAGATTTGTTACCACCCACGTTTCTGCTTTTCCACTGAAATTCTGTTCTACGACTTACAGTTTGTCAGTCAGGACAGGAATTCCTGATGCCATGCAGGAATCGGGGACATAAATCATTTGGTACATAAACCCTTCTTTATTGCCATTCCTCAAATAGGTGTTTTTTATTCAACAGAAGTGACTCCACGAATGTTGGGATTTGTATCCTTTTATAGAGGATGTTATAAACTCTTGAGTCATCTGCAGCTGGTTACAGCTTGGACAATTTTTTCCCCATAATATCAAACCAAGCACTTTTCCTATTTACTGATGTAATTCTTTCCTGTTCTGTGGAAGCTGTACTTAGAAAATCAGGGACCTAAAGAAAATAGACCAAATATATTTTTGTGATACGATTCCTCTTAAGCGATCAGAAGCCCAACTTGTCTAGTCCCAGTTGAAATTCCACCTCTTCCAGGAAGCTCTCTCAAACTTTCCCAGCCCAGTAATCTATCCACTTGTGAACTCTAACAGCACTGCTAATAACCATAGCAACCCCTTATTGTTGTTTTATGTGTCAACTTGACTGGGCTAAAGGATGCCCAGATAGCTGGTAAAACAGCATTTCTGGTTGTGTCTGTGAGGGTGTTTCTGCAAGAGATTAGCCTTTGAATCAGGAGACTGAGTAAGGAAGAGTACCCTTCCCAACGTGAGTGGGCATCATCCAATCCATTGAAGGCATAATATTAATAGAACAGAAAGTAGCAGGAAGGGTGAGTTTGCTCTCTGCTTGAGCTGGGACATGCATCTTCTTTTTTGGACACTGGCGCTCCTGGTTCTCAGAACTTCAAACATAGACTGGGATTTACACCATCAGTTCCCCTGGTTTTTAGACCTTCGGGCTAGGACTGAATTACACCACTGGCTTTCCTGGTTGTCCAGCTTCCAGATGGCAGATCAGCCTCCATAATCAATTCCACTTATTATAAGGGTGAGCCAATTCCCTATAATAAATATCCCCTTACATATATCCTATAAATTCTGTTTCTCTGAAGAACCCTTTTACATATCAGACCCCATCCTAGGCACATTCATTAAATCCTACAAGGAACTTTGCAAGGAACTGTGATTGTCTGAATTTTAGATAAGGAAACTGAGGCTCACCAAAGTTACATAACATTTCCCAAGTCATACAGCTGGTTAGTGGTGGCAGACTCAGAACTCAAACTTGAAAGAGCTCGATTTCAAAGCTCAGAACTTTATCTGCTGTGCTAAGCAAGGCACTATGGATCATGACCAAACACACCCCATTTGGTATCATTTCCTGATTGTTCATAGAGGTAAGTCAAATCTCCTCTCCTGGCTGGATGTGGTGGCTCATGCTTGTAATCCCAGCACTTTGGGAGGCCAAGGCGGGTGGATTACCTGAGGTCAGGAGTTCGAGACCAGCCTGGCCAACATGGTGAAACCCCATCTCTACTAAAAATACAAAAATTAGCCAGGCATGGTGGCAGGCGCCTGTAGTCCCAGCTACTTGGGAGGCTGGGGCAGGAAAATAGCTTGAACCCAGTAGGCAGAGGTTGTAGTGAGCCGAGATTGCGCCACTGCACTCCAGCCTGGGTGACAGAGTGAGACGGTGTCTCAAAAAAAAAAACAAAAAACCTCCTCTCCTGTGGTGATTCTTGAATGTAAATGCTGAGACCATTTGAATTGGTCGTGGGGATTTTGTACTAATCGCTAGGTCTTTCAGTTTCCATATCTGCTGGCAAGCAACAAGTCCTGCCTCCCTACCAACCCTGATCAGCCCTGATTTAGGCATCTGTAACCTCAGGCCAGGTAACTTTGGACTCCTGCTATTTTTCCTAATCCCTCTTCTCCCTGGCCAGCATGCATGTGTTTGAGATGGGCCCTTCTGATAACTCTATCTTCCCAGGATAATCCAATAGGCTACAGTTCAGAGAGATACAGAGGAGACCTTGCAGAAGCCCACCCCAAGAAGAAAGCCAAGAAGGGCTGAGGTATTCTCCCTGACAATGCCGAGGCTGCTGGACCTTAGCTTTGGCTCTGCCCCCAACCGCCCGCCTCATTTGTTGATTCAAATGATAACAATCAAAGATGGTTTGGGTCTTTCCTCTCCAAAGAAGAGGTCACTGTGAAGGACCCACAACCCAAAAGACCAGAACCACTGTCTTGCTGGATTATACACTCATGACAACTGTGACTGCATGTCTTATAGCCTACTCTGAGTATACTGCAGGCACTGGGCCTGACAGTGAGGAGGGTGAGTTGAGTAACACAAGGTCATTGCCCATAGAGAGCTCACAGTCTGGTGGGGCAGGGACAGGTATAGAAACAGACAGGATGAATGGTTGTCAGTGATATCATCTGGGTGTGAACACAATGTCATAGGACCTGCCTTCCAAACATCTCTTAAGTGCCTACTGCATGCTATTTTCCATTGGCTACAGCTTCCCATAGTGAGAATTATCTTCTGGGAAAATGCATCTATTCATCCACTAATATACTGAAGAAAAAATATTAAGCTAAATATCAAGGAAGTATTGGTTAGCAAAATAGACGTGGTCTCTGCTTAAGGAATAAGACCTTCGTCAAAAAACCTCACCGACAACAAGAAAAAGGGCACGTACTGGTACCATAGGACCTACCTACTATAAGCGATTAATAAATCCTCAGCATTTTAAAAAGTTACATCCTAAGAATTTTGTGACTCTTAGAATAAGTGAATGCCAGAGAAACAGCCTCGGGACCCCCAAGAAGAGAACAACGAAATAAACTTGAGAGTTCTCAAGTTTATTCTATACTCGGAGGGAGGCTAGGCTCACTAACTAGCCACGCAATCCAATCCTCATGCCAGCAGGAGCAGGCTCAACCCAGTCTGGGCCACCACAAATTATACATTTTCTTCAGGGTTCCCCTGGGAAGAAGTGCAAGTGTGGAATGTGAAATCCAAGGGAGCCTAGGGTCTGCTGTGCTGCCCATTGTGTGATCATATCTTCAAGGTCATTTCAAACAATCTTGAATTCACTCTCAGCGAGTATGCTGAGCGCAGAGCCATCTGGGCAGCTGCCCCCTCATGCTGCAGCCCAGGGCTGGGGGAATTTCCCAAGCACAGCAAAGAGGAGAGCCCTTGGGACAGAAAGACACATTCCAACACGGGCTCTCCCACCTAATTTCTGGCTGATCTTGAGTGATGAAAAATCACTTCTGGGAACCTGTGTCATCTTCTTTTTCTGTTTTTTGAGACAGAGTCTTGCTCTGTCGCCCAGGCTGGAGTGCAGTGACGTAATCTCCGCTCACTGCAACCTCCGTCTCCCGGGTTCAAGCAATTCTCCTGCCTCAGCCTCCCAAGTAGCTGGGATTACAGGCACCCACCACCATGTCCAGCTAATTTTCGTATTTTGAGTAGAGACGGGGTTTTGCCATGTTGGCCCAGGCTGGTCTCGAACTCCTGACCTCAGGTGATCCACCCACCTTGGGCCCCCAAATTGCTGGGATTACAGGCATGAGCCACTGGGCCCAGCCCTGTGTCTTCTTCTGAAAAATGGAGATTTCTGCAGACTATGATGATGCCCACACACAATGCCTTGACTCTCACAGGTCATTACAGGCCAGGTGCATCTTACTGCAAGCAACACCTGCCACTCTGCCCCAAGAGCTTGCTCTCAGCCACCAAGGCACAGGCTCGGAGTGCCAGGAAATGAATGCTTCTAGCTGTGGCCTTCAGACAAGGATGAGTGGAAATCAGGAAACAATATCCCAGCTCCTTGCCCCTTGGTTCTGACAACCTGAGAGGTCCCCAGAGGAATGAAACCCTAGTTTCCTGCCTGATAACATGCTATTCGTTGGCTCCTTCTCTTCTCTGTCTCCCTTCCTCATTCCTCCACCTGTGTTTCCTTGGATCACCTCCCAAAGAAACTATGCATGCTCCAATATTTTCTCAGTGCTGGCTTCTTGGGGAAACCACCCTAAGACAGGGATGATGATACTTTTAACAGAGTGTTGTTAGGAGGAAAAAAAGGAAGTTGTATAAGTGTAGAAATGCCAGCATAAAGCAGGTGTACAATGAACAACTGCCAGTATTATGACAGCCCAAAACTAGAAATGACATCTGCAGCCCAGGGGCCTGACTCAGCGGCTTCCCAGCAAGGCCAGCACCATAGGCATGTTTTATGTGGCTGGAAATCCTGTTGGTGTCCACTGACCACTGTCCCAGTGACAGAGAGAATACAACCAAGGCCTGGAAGTCACCTTCCAGGAGCAGCACCCCAGTGTCCCAGCCTCCACCCTGTCCAAAGAAAAGGGAACCAGGATGGAAAGGGGTCTGCATGGAAAGGAGTTTACTCCCTCGCAGGAAGCCCCCATTACCCAGTGCTCACCAGGTACCACGCAGGCCCTGTATGGGTATCGGCCACATAGCCCCTTTCAATCACGCTGAGTCTTCACCCAGCCCAGAGCAGTGAGAGGTACAGCTAGGAATGTCATCCCACTTTACAGAGGAAACAACAGCCCTTACAGGATAAATAACAATTTTAATAGAATAAATAACAACAGGTCTGATAGAGTTTGGATCTGTGTCCCAGTGCAAATTTCATACTGAATTATAATCCCCAGTATTGGAGGTGGGGCCTGGTGGGAGGTAACTGGATCATGGAGGTAGATTTCTCATTAATGATTAGCCACCATCCCCTTGTTGCTGTCCTTGCCATAGTGAGTGAGTGACTTTCCGTGAGATGTGTCGTTTAAAACTGTGTTGCGCCTTGCTCTCTCTCTTGCTCCTGCTTGGGCCATGTGACGTGCCTGTTCCCCCTTCACCTTCTACCATGATTTTAAGTTTTTTGAGGCCCCCCAGAAGCCGAGCAGATGCCAGCATCATGCTTCCTGTACAGCCTGCAGAGCCATGAGCCAATTAAACCTCTTTTCTTTATAAATTACCCAGTCTCCGATATTTCTTTATAACAATGCAAGAATGACCTAATACGAGTCTAGCAGAATAAATAACAATTTCTTTTCTTTTCTTCTTTTTTTTTTTTGAAATGGAGTCTTGCTTTGTCACCCAGACTAGAGTGCAGTGGTGCGATCCTGGCTCACTGCAACCTCCACGTCCTGGGTTCAAGTGATTCTCCTGCCTCAGCCTCCTGAGTAGCTGGGATTACAGGCACATGCCACTACACCTGGCTAATTTTTTAATAGAGATGAGGTTTCACATGTTGGCCAGGCTGGCCTCGAACTCCTGACCTTAGGTGATCCACCCACCTCGGCCTCCCAAAGTGTGAGGATTACAGGAGTGAGCCACTGTGCCCAGCCACAATTTTTAAAAATAACAAAGCTAGCATATATTGCATAGTTATTATGTGTATCTGACACTAACTACACAAGCAATAACTTCTTTAACCTTCATAACAAACCTAGGCAACAGGTATTGCTGTTTGATTTTACAGAGAAGGAAACTGAGGCAAATACAGGATGAGTATCTTGCCAGAGTTTTTACAGCTAATAAATGGAACCTAGGTCTGTCTGATTACAAAGACTTATCTTTCCTTTAAATCTCACCAGCCTTTCAGAGCAGGGCCAGCCTCAGGAGAGGTCTCTGCTGCATGTATTTCCCTTCTAGTTTTAGAACTAAAAAAAGATCTTTAACACACTAACAAGACCAGCCTCGCTCGAGCTCATTCCTAACACTTAGGAGTAGGTCCAATTAACATCAGCCCACTTGACCACACTCTTTGTAATTACCGTATTTCCTCCATTTTATGATGACCACATTTTCACATTTTAGCATTTCTGAAACAGGACGTGTCTCCTATCAATAAAATATAATGTGGCAGAACTATTTTCTCTCCCAACACTGCTATGATATCAATAATGCATCTTGAAATCAAAGACATCTCAGAATCAAAGGAAATAAAGTATATCTAAGAAATGTTCAAATCTCATCAAGATAAAGCCCAGATCAGGCCTTAGAAGACTGTAAGTTTGAAAAATGAGGAGCCTGAATCATCTCCTTCAGACTTCCCCAAAAATCCATCAAAGCATATCTGTGCCTGCATAAAGTTTCACCCCACACAGCAGCCCACTACCATCTATCTGTGGCTCTGAAATCTCATGGAATCCCTATATATCTGCATTTTTAATTTAAAAAAAGGAGATCAGTTCCTCACTTGTCAGTCCACAGATAACATCTAATGAGTGCCGATTATGTTGTTAAAATATGAAATATATATTTGACTGCATCTTCTATTTTGCCAGATTCATTCATTCATTCATTCATTCATTCATTCATTTATGTAACACTCCAACAGTTGCCTATGAGGAGCCCACCCAAGTGAGGCATTTTCCTCTGCTGTAAGGCAGACAGGTGAATCGATGATTGCTGGTACCTGCAAGAACAGAAGTTGCTATAAAGTAGAGAAAATAATACAGAGGACTGGATAGTGAGTGGCTTCATGGGGGACATAGTAGCAGCTTCTGGTTTTGAGGATGAACAGGAGTACACCAGACAGAAAGGTAGGAAGAGGGAATTCTGAATGGACAGAACAGTAGGTTCAAAGGCACAGTCTTAGAAAGACCTTTCATTGGACGAATGTTTGCTGACCCATCTGCCATGTCCAAGGCACAATGACGATACTTCCAGAATTTTAAGATAATAAATGTGTGTTGTTTCAAGCCATTAAGTCTGTGCTTCCATCTAAAACCTTGTTACCACCTATACAAACAGGCAGATTTGCATTTACAAGGTTCTTGACCTGAAAGGTGCAGAGAAGCAGAAGGAAAAAGCCAGGGTTTCAGAATTAAGGGGCAAGAGTTTGAGAGTCCTGGCTCTTCCCTCTACCAGCCTTGGACAAGCCACCTTACCTCTCTGAACCTCAGTTTTCTCATCTGTAAAACTGGCATTAATAATATTAAACTCAGGTGCCTGCTGTGAATCAGGCCTTGTGATTTCCATCCAGAAATACACACATAACTGATGCTTCTCTTGGCCAATTATTTGGCCCTCTAGCCTCAAAATATTGCAAATGTATCAGCCAAAGTACATGATCTATTTAACAATGAAATTCTTTTTTCTTGATATACGTGTCTTATTTATGAGGGTGGGAATATTGTTTGTTCACTTCTATAACTCTTTTTTTTTTTTTTTTGAGACAGGGTCTTCCTCTGTTGCCCAGATAGGAGTGCAGTGGCAAGATCTTGGTCCACTGCAACTTCACCTCCCGGGTTCAAGCAATTTTCCTGCCTCAGCGTCCTAAGTAGCCAGGATTATGGGCATACGCCACCACAGCCCAGCTAATTTTTGTACTTTTAGTAGAGACAGGATTTCACCATATTGGTCAGGCTAGTCACGAACTCCTGACCTCAGGTGATCCCCCCACCTTGGCCTCCCAAAGTGCTGGGATTACAGGCGTAAGCCACTGTGCCCGGCACACTTCCATAACTCTTAAAATGCCTAGTGCACAGCAGGTGCTCAATAAATTATCTGTTGATGAATACATTAACAGAATTAGATAAAAACAAATAAGGGAAGCATCAGGAAGACTTCTATATGCATTGTCAAAATGGGAAACTGGGGATGCCTTTTAAACTACAGGGTAATTCAGGCTGAGGCAGAAGGATAGCTTGAGGCTAGGAGTTCAAGACCAGCCTAGGCAATATAGTGAGACTTCATCTCTAAAAAAATTTAAAAACTAGTGGGGTGTGGTGGTATACACCTATAGTCCCAGCTACTCTGGAGGCTGAAGCAGGAGGATCACTTGAGCCCTGGAGATTGAGGCTGCAATGACCTATGACTGTGCCACTGCACTCCAGTCTGGGCAACACAGCAAGACAGCAAGACCCTGTCTCTTAAAAAAACAAAACAAAACAAAACAAAACAGCCAGGTGTGGTGGCTCAAGCCTGTAATCCCAGCACTTTGGGAGGCTGAGGCTGGTGGATCACCTGAGGTCAGGAGTTCAAGACCAGCCTGGCCAACATGGTGAAACCCCATTTCTACGAAAAATACAAAAATTAGCCGGGCATGGTGGCAGGTGCCTGTAATCCCACCTACTCGGGAGGCTTAGGCAGGAGAATTGCTTGAACCCAGGAGGCGGAGGTTGCAGTGAGCCAAGATCACACTCCAGCCTGGGCAACAAGAGTGAAACTCCATCTCAAAAAAAAAAAAAAAAACTACAGGAAAATATTCATGAGACCTAACACTGGCCCTTCCACTGGAAGTCCTACAACAAATTACATTTCAGCCAACCCTGACAAAGTCCTGTGACCAGGGAACACCACTGTTCCAGTCCTCAAACATCTTTCTGAAAATCCATCTCCATTTCTTAGAAATTTTACTGCCTGTAAACTTAGAAGGATCAACCAATTTCCACAAGACTCCTTTTCAAAATGAAGTTTCCCCAGAGTCTAGACTCTCTTTTTAATGAGGTTTTAAATATTTTCTATTTCAACAGCTGTTTGTCTCCCAGGCGCAGCGGGCCACACCTGGACAGGATGCTAAGCCTGGATGCAGCTGACTCACCACAGGCCCGACGCCACTCCCCGCCCCACTAGTGTCGCCAACTCCGGAGGACAAGCCGCTGATTTCAGGGTGCCCATTAGAATGGAAGGCCCTTGAAAAATCCCCAAGCAGGCAAAAGAGCATTGTAAGCAAAGCAACCCCACACTCCGTCTCTTCCTCCTCTCCAGAGAAAACTTCAGGGAAACAAGACGCCGCAGCTAGCACAGTGCCTGGCCTAGTAAATGTTTGTTGAATGAATTAATTAATGAATGCCTAAACAAACACCCTCATGCCAAGACTTTCTGGGCACACACGGTCATTTCCCATCAGAGTCAGTTCCCAGCTGCCGACCAGTCAACAACATCTAATCAGAGCCATGGATGTCCTGCAAGTCACTTGCTTTGCAACTATCTCCAAAATAGGTTATCCTGACTGTCATCTTCTGGGGGCTGCTGTAAACTAGATTTCTCTTAGAAATCAATCAAGGCTTCCCACCTTTCCGAACCCTATTTCCCCTGAATGACAGAGAACTACAAGGAATTAGTCTGAGGCAGAATGCATTAGTGCCCCAAAAGGGGCAGGAGATTTGGCTCAGCTACCTGCTTAGGCTGCCACCTAATGGAAAGTCCACTGGCTCCTCGGAGACTCTGATGCCACAGTGGTAAAACAGAAATCATAATGACCACATGCCACAACCACTGTGGGAAAGAGCATCAGACTTCCCATTCTGGTATCACGGCAGCCTGAGCTGATGGGGCAACCTTCTCTCTTCTGTTATAAACACATCAAATCTTGAATGACTATGACCCAAGTGGGATAATACATAGCCAAATGGAAGAAATAAAGGCCATAGCTCCCAGTACACACATCTGTGTACATTTGCATACACGCATATGGACACACAGAAGTGCAACCCATGTACAACTGCATACACACATACACACATGCAAAGTGCAACCCATGTACAACTGCACACATACACACAGAAGTGAAACCCATGTACAACTGCACACAGAAATACAACCCATGTACAACTGCACACACACAGAAAACAACCCACGTACAACTGCACACACACAGAAAACAACCCACGTACAACTGCACACATACAGACAGACAGATATACAACCCAAGTCCAACTGCATGCACACATACACACATACACAAATGCAATGGACTATGTGCCGCAGCAGCAGGGCTGTTCCCTGTGGGCCCATGGAAAGGATGCTGGGCGGTTCCCAGATGCCCTTCCAGGGGCCCTTCCAAAGGACTTCATGTGCTGGGTCGGGACATTCCATTGTCAGCCCGTTTCCTCTGTGGAAGCAGTTTTCTTGGCTCGCTCTGACACAAGTGATACGGGCGGAAAGAGCAGTCCCTTCTCACAGTTCAGAGATTGTTGTGAAAAGGGGTCAGGCTGGAGGGTCCGAATTTGCAGAACCCATACCTAGACATGCTTCATGAGACAGAAAACCCCACAAGTCCTGGCTTCAGGGGAAAAAAAAAAAAAAAGGAGAGGCAAATGCATGGGCTGACAAAACTGACAAGTCCAGGAAGGATGGAAATTCAGGCCTGGCTAGATTCAAGGGCTCAGAGGATGTGGTCAGGGAGAGGTTAGTCTTCATCTGTTGGCTCTGTATTTCTGTTCAGGGGAAGGATGGCATTTTCAGGCAGGATCTCACCAAAGGGGCCACTGGCTTTCAGGCTTACATCCAGACACAATTCAGCAATCCCTGCAGGAAAGCCTCGCTGTACTGGTGGTTCTAATAAAAGTCTCAGGATTGACTCTGACTGTTCATCCATCCTTGAACTAATTTCTGTGGCCAGGGGCTGGAACACTCACTGGACTAGCCAGGTATTGCTTATGTGCCCAGATGGACACGGGGAGCGGGTCAGCTCCACAAGACCCACAGACCAAGGGAGGGGAGGAGAACTTGCCCCAAGGCCACAAGGACAGAAGAGAGAGGAGAGGAAAGGAGATGGTGTAAACCATAATTTTTATCAGAGAATAAGGTAGCAATCAACTTCAGCCTTAAATAAAACAAAGAGAATAGGAGCATAAGTCTTTCTTTAATGTTTTTTTCCAACAGGTTTCTTGACTTATAATTCACATACAATTAATCACAATTTAAAGTATACAATTCAGGCCCGGCACGGTCGCACACACCTGTAATCCCAGCACTTTGGGAGGGCCAGGCGGGCGGATCATGAGGTCAGGAGTTTGAGACCAGCCTGACCAACATGGTGAAACCTCGTCTCTACTAAAAATACAAAAATTAGTCGGTCATGGTGGCATGAGCCTGTAATCCCAGCTACTCAGGAGGCTGAGGCAGGAGGATCACTTGAACTCAGGAGGCGGAGGTTGCAGTGAGCTGAGACAGCGCCACTGCACTCCAGCCTGGGTGACCTCTGTCTCAAAATAAATAAATAAATAAATAAATAAATAAATAAAATAAAGTGTACAATTCAATGGTTTTTAGCATAATTCACAGAAGTGTGCAACCATCACCTCAAAATGAAACCCCGAACCCATAAGCAGTCACTCCCCGTTCCACCCTCTACACACCCCCGGCAAAAATAACAATATAACCTCTGTTTATATAGCTTTGCCTATTTGGATAGAATCATACAATAGGTGCCAAAAAAAATAGGAGTTTTTTTTTTTTTAATTATTCTTTCTTTTGTGGCAAAATCTACAAAAAGATCTCCTTCCCTAAACTCCTAGTTGAACTCTGACCTTGTGGCTCTGATGGAGTGAAGTCTCAATCCCTGGAATCACTGCTGTGGAAGGGGCTTCAGTTCATCCCTTCAGCGACATGGGCCACAGGAATGAGAGGCTTAGGAGACCCTCCCTAAGAGGCCTGGTAAAAGGCAGAAGCTGGAAATGGTGCTGTTCAGCAGGCCTGAGCCGAACATGGCACATCAGGCCCTGCAGCCAGGGCAGGGACCCTTCCTGGAGGCCAGGGTCCCGCACGCATTGTCTCACCCCAGCCAGTGTGTGGTGGAGCAGAAAAAAACCGAGGCTTCAGTCAAACAGATGGTCCAAGGACTCCCCAAGGACACGGCGCTATGGGTTTTCTGCCCAGCATCGCTCCTCATTGCTGATTTCAACTGGGATCTCCCTTCCCATGAAGTACATGTGCCCACAGTCCCAGGTGTGGGCCTCACTGGCTTAAAACCATCCCCATCGTCTGCCACTAATTACTTTAGAAGGAATATGTAACCCAATTGGGGTCAATAAGATATGAGGCTGGAGGTTTCTGAGAAAGCCCTTTCTCTTTTGTCCAGAAGTTTCTGAAATGGGGTTTTCTCCCTTCTTTTGGATGTTATAAGAAAGATGTGAAGCTAAAAACGGCTGCAGCCGATCTCACTACCAGTCTTGGGGAGATGCCAACATAGGAAGGTCGAACCCAAAGAACTACGGGAAAAGGAAGCTGCGCAGCCACTGTGCCAGTCCCCCTCCACTGGTCCTCCCTTTTCCGTCTGACTCTGCACCCCAAATTGACCTCAGGGACTAGTGCAAGGGCTTGCTCCTCCTCTGCTACAGGGTGGTTTCAGCAACAGGGAGCCCCAGCAGAAGACAGGAGGGAGGGAGAGGGAGGCTGAGGCATCCGATCTCTTCCCTGGGGCTCCCTCTCTAGGGGTCACTGTGAAACGGCTGCTGGCCTCAATCCAAGTTTCAGCTCTGGCCAGGGCTCCTTCGCACAGCCCTCGCTGTCTCCGGTTTCCAATAACTCTTCCTCCTTGCTCCTCAAAACTAGGCACACACAGGAGCCTTGGGGCTTTGCTATCCCTGGAGCTTCCCTACATCTGCCTGCACCACCTTCTTCTTCTTTTTTTTTTTTTTAATAGAGATGGGGGTCTTGCTATGTTTACCAGGCTGGTCTCGAACTCCTGGTCTCAAGCAATCCTCCCATCTCTGCTCCGCAAAGTGCTGAGATTACAGGTGTGAGCCACCACGCCCAGCCAACCAGCTTACACCTACTTAAAGATTCCTTTATGTGGCCAAAAAGCAGGTGAGAAGATGCTTAAAGGCATTAGTCATTAGGGAAATGCAAATCAAAACCACAGTAAGATAAAACCTCACACCCACTAGGCTGGCCATAATGAAATACACACACACACACACACACACACACACACACACACACACACACAATAGCAATAACAAGTCTTGGCGAGGATGTAGAGAAACTGGAACCCTCATACATTGCTGGTGGGAGTGCAAAATGGTTCAGCTACTTTGGAAAAGTCAAAACATGGGTTATCAGATGACCCAGCACCTCCACTCCTGGCCATATACCTAGAAGAAGTGAAAATGTACATTCAAATAAATACTTGTAAATGAATGTTCATAGCAGCACTATTCACGATGGCCAGGAGGTGGAAACAACCCAAAACCTATCAGCCAAGGAATGGAATGGATAAACCAAGTGTGGTACAGCCATACAATGCAATTATTCAGCCATAAATATAAATGAAGTACTGAGGCCAGGTGCGGTGGCTCACACCTGTAATCCCAGCACTGTGGGAGGCCGAGGCAGACGGATCACCTGAGGTCAGGAGTTCGAGACTAGCCTGGCCAACATGGAGAAACCCCATCTCTACTAAAAATACAAAAATTAGCCAGGCGTAGTGGTGCACACCTGTAATCCCACTACTTGGAAGGCTGAGGCAGGAGAATCACTTGAACTCGGGAGGCAGAGGTTGCAGTGAGCCAAGATCACGCCACTGCACTCCAGCCTGGGCAAAAAGAGCAAAACTCCAACTCAAAAAAAAAAAAAAAAGTTACTTCATTCATTCCTCTTAACACAAAATTATGAGTCTTCCCTCACTGGCAATAATAATACCTACTTGGTAGAATGGGTATCGGGCTCCAATGAGGAACATACAGTATAGCCACTAAGCAGGCAGGCTCTGTTACCAGCTTGTTGGACCCGAATCTCAGCTCCATCCCTTACTAGCTGTGTGACCTTGGGCAAATTACTTCAAGCTTGCTTGTCCTCTGCCTCTCTCCTCCCCTCCTACCAGCAACAGTCTTAGTGTTCTGCATACGCTGGGTGCATAACAACAACAACAAAAAAATCACAGTGTCTAGAGTTGGGAGGGACTTTGGATCTCTCCAGACTAGGGGTTGGCAAATTATAGCCCTGGTCACAAATATCACTTTATCAGGAGTTTTGCTTCTCCAAGCCAAACATTCCCCATCCCTTCAACCAAGCCTCAGAGGACAAGATGTTGAGCCCCATTCACCATCTGTGGCAGCACTGCTAGTTCACCAAAACTCTGTTTTCTCTTCCTCCTGGGTGCATGGCTAGACTACATTTCCCAGACTCCCTTGCAGCTGGGTGTGACCATGTGTCAGACTTCTAGCTAAGGAATGAGATAGAAATGTTGCATGCCATTCTTCAGGCCAAGGTTTTTAAGAAGTGGGTGTGCTTTCTCCAGGCTCCTTCCCTCTTCTGCCAGTGGAAGCTGACAGCAACAAAGCTCCAGGGGGCAGCAGGGCCACAGAATGTAGCAGAGGCCTAGGTCTATGAGCCACCACATGGATGAGAGACTCCCACCGAACTAGAAATACACATTTTGGGCTTTTACATGAAGAAGGAAAAACATTTCTTGTGTTTGAGCCAATAAACATCGTGGGGACTATTTGTTATTGCAGCTATTATCACTATATTACTAACTAATACACCATCCCAGTCTCCTTAATATGTGTCTACTGAATTGAATTACAGAAGGTTTCATTAATTCATCCAAAAAAGGCTTCACCTGAATACCTACTATGTGAGAAATCCTGTGAGTTCCAAATAAACATAATATAAGAATATCTGCTCTCAGAAAGCCACAAAATAGTGGGGGAGACAGAGGTATGAACAAAACAGACAGTGAAATGTACAAGGTAGAGGGGGTGGGCACAAACAAGAAGGTGGTCAATTCTACCCAGAATCAGGCTGGTCAGGAACGGCCTCCTGGAAGAGGGGAATACTCCAGCTCAGAATAAGGAGCTCATCATGTAGACAAACCTTACAGGCCTTCAGAGACCAACCTGAGCCACAGTGTGGAGGCCTGAGGGGGATGGGCACATCTTCAACAACAGCTGCAGGTGGAGGAAGGGGAGGAAAGGGAAGAAGGGGGCGTGGAGATGAAGCCGATGAGGACTCTGGAGCCAGACCATCACAGTCACCTGGTGAGGGTCCAGGAGCATATAAACTGTGACTACAGAGAAACACTGATTTAATCTAATCTAGCCCTTTCCAGATGAGGCCTGACTTTCTAATTCCTTGATAGAAAAGTAAATTCCCAGGCTCGGATCACCCACGCTTCCTGGCTCCTGCTCCCTGGGCTGTGCTTGTCTCTTACACAGTGTACTTTCCCGCCTTCTCCCTTGCCTCGGGCTTCTCTGCAGTTCCTCCTAAGCTGTCTCTGTCAAGATTCCATTGTCCTTAGAAATCTAATAATCTAAACCCTTCCTTCTCTGTGCTCCCAAAACTCTCTCCCATGGATCAGCCTCTTGGAGGGGATTCACACTCCTTGAAGTAGGCCTGGAGATTAACAATCATCTTGACAAATCTTGGTTCATTTCCCATAAAGGGGACAGGAGCCAGGGAACAGCAAGAGGCTTGGTCCTGGGTTCATAGCAAGTTCTGGGTTCAAATCTCCACTGTCATTTGTGAATTCTGGGACTTGGAGCAAGCCAGTAAGCAGGCTGAAGCCTCAGTTTCCTCCACTGCTGCCTTCTATTATTCTTAACATGGAATGATAAAGATGGATCCGGAAACAACCTCAAATATCCATCTGCTTCACCTCCAACACTTTAAAGAATAGGAAATTGAGGTCCTCAGAGGTTAAGCAGCCTGAGGTCACAGTTGACGGCAAAGTCAGGTCTAGAATCCAAGTCTATGTATAAGCACAGTACCAAGTAATAGAACTAAATTGCGCCATTGGTTTCGGTCAGTTTACAACAACTATTACAATCCATATTTATACTTTTTTTTTGAGACAGAGTCTCGCTCTGTCACCCAGGCTGGAGTGCAGTGGGTCAATCTCGGCTCACTGCAACCTCCAGCTCCCAGGTTCAAGCGATTCTCCTGCATCAGCCACCTGCATAGCTGGGAAATATGTTCAACTTTAGCATTAAATTTAAAAATGCAAATAAAGAACATTTATCTTTAGTCCATCAGCTATGCAAAAATTAACATAATTGATAATGCCTGGGGCGGGCAAGAAATGTATACTTGCAAAATTGCTCATAGAAATACAGATTGGTAAACCTTTCTGGAGGGTGGCTTGGTAATATGTACAACACTTGAAAATGTGCCTACCCTTTGTCCCTGAAATTCCACCTCTGGGAATTTGTCAAAAGTAAGTATTTGGACAAGTATGTACATGCAAAAACTAGAAACAACCTAAATGTCCATTAAAAAAGAACCAGTCAAATAAATTATGATCTATCCATGGCCAGCAAAAATGATCATGTAAATCTATATTTATTCAACATGGAAGGAGAGTCCCTATATATTATATGAAGGAATAAGTTGAAAAGAATGTGTAAGATGTCACTGTTCGCAAAAACTATGTGTCTATGAGTATATCAGCATAGAGAGACAAAAGTGGTTATCTCTCATTGGCTGGATAATTATGGATGATGATTATTTGCTTCTTTATCTTTTCTTGTTCTTTCTGAATTTTCTGTTATGAGCATTTACTATGTTTACATTTGGAGGAGAAAAAGTAATTGTGCAGAAAGTACTTTAAAGGTTATCTAGGGCTGGGGGAGGAGAATTGGGAAAATGGGGGGTGACTGCTAATGAGTATGGATGGAGTTTTTTTTGAAGGGCGGTGATGAAAATGTTCTAAAATTGACTGCGGCGATGGCTGCACAACTCTGAATATATTAAAAACCACTGAATTCTGCAATTTAAATGGTGATTTGCATGGCATGTGAATTATATGTCAATAAAGCTATTACAAAAATATAATTTAAAATGGATAACAAAAGAAACTATAAAAGGCCTTGAGGTTAAAAAAAAATCAATAAATGTGAGCTGAGCTTGAAAATGGGAGAGTTGCAAAATGTCCTCACATGAGACTGCGGCTGCCCATTCTCTGGTCTATACAGGCAAACTCAGTCAACCAGAATTTCTGGAAAACACTGTCCCAGATCTCCCAGCCCAGGAGGACTCCGGCCCACCCCCAGCCTATTGGTCTGACGGCCTAGCCCCCACTCTCCTGATGCAATTATCCACATGCCTCTGCCATGTAGACAAGCCTCGGAGAGCACTCCACTTCCCAAGAGCCCTTCAGCACCGCTGATTCAAACAGTAACAGCTCTCTGACTTTGCTCTTCCCTTCAAAAAGCCCAGAGGCTACCTTGTAGGCTCAGCGTTTGTTTTTGTTTTTTTTAAACAATTTAATCTTCCCAGTGACATGCTGGGATTGGAAGAGATACTGGCTGGAAACACTGCCCTTCTCAGCAGGTGATAAAAGGGACCAGGTGCATTCATTCATTTAAAAGAGCACTTCCTGAGCATCTACCAGGTAGCAGGCCCAGAGACAGGTACTGCACTTACAAGAGTGGACAAAACAGGCCAGGCGTGGTGGCTCAGGCCTGTAATCCCAGCACTTTGGTAGGTCAAGGTGGGCGGATCACGAGGTCAGGAGATCAAGACCATCTTGGCTAACACGATGAAACCCTGTCTCTACTAAAAATACAAAAAATTAGCCGGGCATGGTGGCAGGTGCCTGTAGTTCCAGCTACTCGGGAGGCTGAGGCAGGAGAATCGCTTGAACCCGGGAGGCAGAGGTTGCAGTGAGCCGAGATCTCACCACTGCACTCCAGCCTGGGTGACAGAGCGAGATTCCGTCTCAATAAAAATAAATAAATAAATAAATAAAAAAAAGAGTGGACAAACAGTGTGGGTCAGGCCGGGCGCAATGGCTTATCCCTGTAATCCCAACACTTTGAGAGGCCGAAGTGGGCGAAATCACTTGAAATCAGGAGTTCAAGATCAGCCTGGCCAACATGGCCAAATCCCATCTCTACTAAAAATATAAAAATTAGCTGGGCATGGTAGCAGGCACCTGTAATCCCAGCTACTTGGGAGGCTGAGGAAGGAGAATCACTTGAACCTGGGAGGCAGAGGTTACAGTGAGGTGAGATTGTGCCACTGCACTCCAGCCTGGGTGACAGAGTGAGACTCCATCTCAAAATATATATATATATGTAAATAAAAATACAAAAATAAGCCATGCATGGTGTCACACAGCTGTAGTCCCAACTGTTTGGGAGGCTGAGGTATGAGAATCCTTTGAACCCGTGAGGCAGAGGTTGCAGTGAGCCGAGATCTCACCACTGCACTCCAGCCTGGGCGACAGAGCAAGACTCTGTCTCAAAAAACACAAAGAACAAAAAACAGCATGGGTCTCATGAAGCTCATGGACCAGCAGAGGGAACAGACAGACAATGAAAGATCAGAGTGACAGATGTTTTGAAAAGGTTAAGCATAAGGGGGATCCTGGGAGCACTGAAGATGGCTCCAAATTCAATCTTAGGGATCAGAGAATGACAGGCTAATCATCATAAGCATTTAAAATGCCTACAAGTTATGTCAGGCACTGGGCTAGGTTTTAAGGACACTTAAGAAAGAAGACACATTCCTGTTCTAAAGCGGCTGACAGACTAACAAACTTGATGTATAGTATCTCCAAAGTCCTCCCAATCTCCCTACAATGGCCAAGGTAGAACTGACCCAGCTTAGCCATGGTTTGGATGAGTTGAGGGAGGAAGAAGAAATCCATACTTTCAGAGTTCAGCCGTCCCCACCACTGCCGCTGCTTCCACTCTCACCAGCATTAAGCATTTGCAGACAGCAAATACTGCTTGATATGGTTTGGATCTGTGTCCCCACCCAAATCTCAGGTAGAACTGTAATTCCCAGTGTCGGAGGAGGGGCCTTGTGGGAGGTGATTGAATCATGAAAGGTGTTTCTAATGGTTTAGCACCATCCCCCTAGTGCTGTCTCATGATAAACTCTCCCGAGATCCGCTTGTTTAAAAGTGTGTGACAGCTTCCTCCTCTCTCTCTCTTTCTCCTGCTCCGCCATGTAAGATGTACCTGCTTCCCCTTCGCCTTCTACCATAATTGTAAGTTTCCTGAGGCCTCCCCAGAAGCAGAAGCCTGTACAGCCTGCAGAACCATGTGCTGATTAAACCTCTTTTCTTTATAAATTATCCAGTCTCAAGTAGTTCTTTATAGCAGTGTGAGCATAAACTAATACACTGGTTAGGAAAAAAAAAAAAAGGGTAAGCCAAGCTCATATCATTCTTCCACTCACAACCCTCCAAGAGCTGCTTTTGTCATTCAGAGCAAAAGCTAAAGTCCACAAAATGCCCAGCAAGGTTAAGCCCTCATCCCCACCCCATCAACCTTTTCCTGCACCAACTTTCTTGTCACTTACTCCACTCCAGCCACACTGGCTTCCTTGAGGTACCTTTAATGTGCCATGCATGCAGTTATCAGGGTCTCTGCATGGGGCAGGCCCTGTGCCTAGGAATCGTTTCTCCCCAAACTGCCGTGTGCTCACTCCCTCAGCTCCTTTGGGTCTTTGCTTAGTGTCACATTCTCAGGGAAAGCCTCCTTGAACACCCCATTTAACAATGCACACCCTCCCCAGCATGCCCCAGCCTCCTCTCCAGATGATTTTTCTTCCATAAGGACTATTTGTCGTCTCACACACCATCCGTTTCATGTTTGTTTGCTATCTGTTGCCCCACTGGAATGTAAAGTCCATGAGGATAGGGATTTTTCTCTGTCATGTTTGCTACTGTTGTCCCGCCCCTAGAATACCACCGGCATGCAATGTAAATGCAAACAAATATGCATGGAATAAATATCAAGGTTCCTAGCTGGAGTGTCTAGGATGAGGATACATGAGGAGTCATTACTGGGCAGAGACGGCAGAGCAGGAGTGGGTGGGAAGGGGGACTTCAGGTGCCAGGTCATGGGGAAAACAGCTTGGCCACTCTGTTCAGTGGCTATTTTTAAGCCATCCAGAGCTGAGAAGCCTTTACCTGCTTTTCTTGATATTTTAAAGAACCGGAGAGCAATGGGGACTTCATGGTTATACCTGCCAGTAAGAGTTATCATGGCCTCCCAGGAGCCACCATGTCTCACCCCTTCCTCCCAGGGACTCAGCTCCTCTTGATATTGACAGTGTGTTTACTCCTATGAAATGCAAGCCCTTCCAAAGGCCAGCTCTCTCTTCCCACCTCTGATTAATTAGGTTTCACAAGCACCAATAAGCCCTTGCCGAGAATCCCACATGTGGACAGGGTTCAGTGTAGAACAACTGACTTTTATTCAGGGCCTCTCAGATGCCACATACTTGGCCTATAAAATCCCAATTTAATCTCCACCATACTCTGCAGGGGGTATTGGCAGCGCAAGTGGAAAGGAGAGGAAACTGAGGCTCAGAAAAAAGGTGCCGAAGGTCACCAAGCAAGGGACAGAGCCAGATTCCATGAAGGACTCCAACACAGGACTATGTGATACCAGAGTTTACACTCTCTCTGTCATACCACACTATCTCTAAGACATGGAATAACTCACATTGTTCCTTTTTCATCCTTCAGAATCCGTGCTTCTCCCCTTCAGTTTGAATATCCTCTCAATGCAATGCACAGGGAGGCCAACACAACCTGGAGGTGAAGGAGGTACAGCTGAGCCCCAACAGAGGGATGTTTCTAAAGCACAACTCACAAATCTCATCTTCCTGGTGGCAGGATTAAGACCTACCTTCTTCTCAATTTCAATCTAGTCTCTGCTCACTGTGCCCCTGTATCTTAAGCCCCTGGCTCCCATCCCTTCCACATCCTACCACATCAACCTCTTCTCCAATCCTTCTCCAAGTCTCTACACTTGGCCACAAAGCACCCGCCCCACCATTGTCTACATGGTGACTCATGGGCCACCATCTGAGAGAACTTTGGGGATTCCCTTTTCCCACACAGTCATGCAGTGAATCAAACGTCACTTCACCTCTTGAGGAACTGTCCCTCTTCAGTGTCCATCTCACTCTCTAGACTGGGAATATTTACTTTGAATCACCTGCTCCTAGTATAATACCAACGAAGTTCCCAAAAAATGCCACTGGAGGCATGTCTAAAATATAAAATTGGAAGGAATATTCATGCCAGTGCTCGCTAAATTAAAGCCACAGGACTATCTACAGTCAGACACATGTGGCCACCTTCTGGGTGAGTCTTTAGGCCAAATGCCAAATCACCACCACCATCACCATCATCATCATCACCACCACCACCATCATTATCACCATCATCATCACCACCACCACCACCATCTTCATCACCATCACCATCACCACCATCAGCAGTGGCAGCAGCACCACTATCATCACCATCATATAACTACCACCATCATCACCACCATCATCATCATCAACTCCATCATCACCACTATCACCATCATCATCACCACCACCACCACCACTGTCATCATCACCACCATCATCACCATCCCCCCACCATCATCATCACCATCAGAACTACCACCATCATCATCACTACCACCATCATCATCATCACTACCAACATCACCACCATCAGCAGCACCATTATCATCCCCATTACCACCATCATCATATCATCATCACCATCACCACCACCACCACCATCATTATCATTGCATTAATTTTCTAGGGCTGTCATTAAAAAGTACCAAAATTGGATGGCTTAAAAGAACAGAAATTTATTCTCTCACAATTCAGGAGGCTAGAATTCCAAAATCAATATATCAGCAGGGCCACACCCTCTCCGGTTCTTCTCAGAGAGAATCCTTCCTTGCCTCTTCCTGGCTTGTGGTGGTTGCCAGAAATCCTTTATGTTCCCTGAATTGTAGCTGCATCACTGCAGTCACAGGGGTGTCTTCTCCCTGTGTGCCTTGACATCGTCTTCCCTCTGTGCATATCTGCCTCTAGGTCCTAATTTCCTTTATAAGGACACCAGTCATTTTGGATCCAGGCTCGCCCTAATGACTTCATTTTAATTTTTGTTTCCTCTGTGGAGAGCTTATTTGTAAATAAAAACACAATCTGAGGTTTTGGGGGTTAGTACTTCAAGATATCTTTTGAAGGGACACAATTCAACCTGTAACAGTCATCTTCATCACCACTGTCATCAGGATAGCTAACATTTCCTCTCCCCCTAGTTCCATGTGCCAGGCACCACTCTCACTGTTCTCCATGTCTCACTTTAGATAGTTCTCTTGACAAAACCTATGAGGCAAAAGTCTTATTCTCTCCATTTGACAGGTAACAAAACTAAGGCTCAAAGAGGTTTGAAACTTGCTTACAGTCAGCAAGTAGCCAGTAAAAAGCCAAGTTAGGACCCACACCTAAGTCCAGGATCCAAACTCTTACCAGCCATCCATACCACAGAAGCAGCGTTGTTTCTGGTGTATGATTACCCTCTGTAGACTCTGTTTCAGGTCCCATGTGATTACCATCTGCAAACACTTAACACTATTACTTTCTTCAAGCTGGAAGTTTAAAATATCACTACTGAACTTAACTTACCCCAACCAACTTTCAACTTGTTCCAGAAGGAGAACACCCCCACTCCCCCGCAACACACACACGTTCTGTCCATTAAGATTCTTTGGGAAAAATGAGTTTTGAAGAATAACGCATGTATACTTCGCTGACTAATTCATGTGGCCCTGCTTATGCAAACTCCTCAATTTGTTGTTCTCTATAATAGCTGCCTGGAGGGCAGCCTCCACTCATTTCATGATGATACATCCCAGAGCCTGGGCAACGTGCCCCAGTAGATGGCTCCTGATTGCCCAGGAAGTTACAAGGTGGCCAATGGAAAGATCATCGGCTTGAAGTCAGGAAGCCTGAGACTAAGTCTTAGCTTCCGTTTCCTCCTCCAAATGAACTCCCCTGAGCACCAGGGCCCCGATCCTTCTGGACCTCAAAGACAACTCAAAAAAGCTTCTCGAATTTAGCAAAAGAGAGATTGTCAAACTCTCAGCTAAAAAGGAACAAAGGAATAATTCATTCATCAAACATGAATTAAGCATCTGGTCTACTACAGGATGGGCAGTTTGCTAAGTGGATATGAAGGACTCACCAAGATGAATAAAATGGCAAGGAGGAAAGAAAACCTGTGTGTTTGTACGTACGTATGTGTTAGGATGGCACTTTAATGTATTTTTTTACTCACTCATCCCTCAGTAAGGCAAGTTATCTCCATTTCACAGCTGAAGAAATGAAGGTTTGGCAAGTTGGGTGACTTGTCTAAAGGCGTTCAGTGGGTAAGCAGAGAGCCAGGGCTGACCCTCGGTCTGAGCAGTTGAAACGTCCAGCTGCTTTCCTCTGACCCTGACCACCTGGGCATGGGGATGGAGACTGAAGCTTGTTAAGCAGGAAGGTGACCCAATCTGAAGTTTTAAGGAGATTTCCCTGAGGCAGCTCAGAGGATGGGCTGAGGGCAGTGAGGTAGGAGAGGGTTGGATGATTCCAGAGAAACCACCCAGAACACTGACCCGAGGCAGGAACTGTGGGATGGACAGAAGGGGCTGGACTGCAGACACTGGGAAGGTGTATTCAGAATTGGTTTGGGTTGGAAGAAGAGCAAGAAAGAAAGACAATGAGTGACAGGCGTGAAGGGAGTCTTCTCTCTTCTCAAGCTCAGACCTAGAAAGCAAGGACTTCGGGAAAAACATGTCACAGCTCCACTTCCTGTTCCACTTAAGGAGCAGCCAAAGTGCTGCAGCTGTGGGAGGAGAAGACCGGAGAGAAGGGAGGACATAGACTTGCGCCTCCCTCAGATAGTTTCCCACTGAAGCCAGGAACTGACCACTCTAAGGGACGCACACACTAGAAGAATCAGGAGGCTGAGGAGGTGACAATGTTTTGAGACATAGACATGACTCAGCCTTGCCAACTGGCCAGAAATCAGTGTCATGGCTCTCTCTCTTCCCCATCCCCCCTCCAAATGATCCCCATGCCAGCCAATCCTACTGCCTCCCCATCTTCCCTCCCAGACTCCTGTAAGAGCATCAGAGCTGGCCTTCCTGCTTCCAGACCCTGGCATCAACCACCTAATCTATTCAGTCCAATGTAGCCAGAGTCACCTTTCCAACAGGCAAGTATCACATGACCCCCCTGCCTTAAGCCTTCAGTGGTTCCTCAGCGGCTTCAAGATAAAGTTCAAGCTCCAGGATATGGCTCCTGCCTCCTGCTCTGACCTCAACACATCCTACCTCAAACGTTAGGTTCCAACCATAACGAACCACTTGTAATTTCCAGCACATACTGTGCTATTGGTACCATTCACATCCTTGCTGAGGCTCCCTACACCTAGAATTTCCTTCCCTTCCTTCCATTCTTTACTGGCTGGTTCCTATTCGTTATTTAAGATTCGGCTCAAGGATTACACCTTGTAACAAGTCTTCTCTGACCCTCCCTGCAAGGTGGAGTCAGGCACCTCTTCCTAAGTGCCCATTACATGTTATGTTCCTGCAGGACCACACTAAACATGCTGGCTCATAATTATCTGGACATGTCTGGCCCCCATTCATATGAGAGGTTCCAGGATAGCAGAGTATGCAGCACAACAGCTGGCAAATGGTAGGCACTTAATACAGAAAGACAGAGACAGAAGGGGAAGAGTAGGGAGAGGTGAAGGAGGAAGAAGACGAGGAAAGGAGGAAAGGGAGGAGTAGGAGGGGGAAAGGGGGAAGATAAGGAGGGGGAAATGGCGAGGAGGAAGAGAGGAAGGGAGAGGAGGAGGAGGAAAGGAGGAAGGAGGAGGAGGGGGAAGAAGGGGAAGGGGAGGAAAGAAGGAGAGGGAGGAGAAAGGGGAAAATGGGGAGGAGAAGGAGGGGGAAAATGAGGTGGGGGAAGAGAGAGGAGGAAAGGAGGAGGGGGAGGGGGAAGGGGGAGGAAAGGGAAGAGGGGGAGAGGGAAGAGGAGGAAAGGAGGAAGATGGGGGAACAGAGGCAGGAGGAGGGGAGGAGGGGAAAGGGGGAGAAGGGAGAGAGGGAGGAAGGGAGGTTGAGAAGAGGACGACAAATGTTACGGGTACTCAAAGAAGAAAATAATCACAATAGTAAAGACTGGGAAAGGCTTTTCAGAGATGGTGCACCTGAGCCATGCTTTAAATAATAAGTTGGGTTTTTGGCAGATGGGGAAGGTAGGGAAAGGGCATTTTGGATGATGGGAACAGCAAGACTGTGAAAGTATAAAGGTTCTTCATTTTGGAAGAGAATTCAAACAGGGTGGTTGGCTAAAGCCTAGGGTGAATGAGGAAAGTGTAGTGAACCCAGAATCTTCTAGATGCCATGTGAGTTGTTCATCCCACTGTGCATTCATTAAGGTGTTTTTTAGTTACAAATAACAGAAAACTCCCATCAGAATAGTCTAAAGGTAGGTGCTTGGTGTCTCATTCCTTCCATTTTTCTGCTCTGACACCCTCAACACATCCTCCCTAAGCTAGGCTCCCTCATGGTCCCAAGATGGCTGCCACGGTTCCAGGTATCACATGCTAACCCCAGTACGTCCCACAAAAGAAGAGGGGCTTTTTCTTCCTACATGTCTCTTTTTAAGATGCAGAAAAATCTTTCTTCACCCCCACTGCCAGGCAATTTCCCTTCATATTTCACTGGCCAGAGCTCTGTCAGTTGCCCACACCTAACCCAATCACTGCCAAGGGGAATAGGACCCAGTGATTCACCCACTGGAGGGTGGACATCTGAAGATCAATGTCCTGCCAGCAAAAGAGAAGGGGAAAAGATGTTGGGTAAGCAACCACTGTCTGCTACACCTGGTCGCTCACTCGCCCCCGCAGTATGCTGCTCAACAGAGTGTAGACTGCAAATATCCCACATCTCCACCCTGCTGCCATTCTATTTTAGGGCTGAGGAAGTAACTGTCCTACGAGAGGAAACTTGCTAACAGCTATTATGGGAAGGTCTATAAACGACACCATAGTTTGCTTTTCTAGATCAGGAGTTCTGTATCAGTGGAGGCATAGGAAGTAGCAGGGATGACTGCATTTCAGACAGAAGCCCCAAATGCCATTTTATTTTAACTAAGAGTTTCACCTTTCTCCTTGAACACATTTTCCTTAGACCTCCCCAAAAATAGCCAGCACATTCCTACCACAAAGCCTTCGATCCAGCTATTCTCAGCCTTGAATACCCTTCCCTTCTCTCCTCACTTAGGGAAATCCTGCCTATCTTGGAAGAGTAAAGCCCAGACACCTCTTTCACAAAGCTTTCTCTGACTACCCCACTGGGAGGACTCTCTCCCTTCCCTATACAGCTATGACTGTTCCTTGGTAACTCTCCCATGCTGTTGAGTGACACTGGTGCCAAATTATTAACAGTTACATATCTTTCTCTTCTATTCAACTGGAAGGTATTCTAGCAGGTGGACTTTGATTTTTCATCTTCATATCCTAAGTGCTTGGCATATAGCAGGATATGCAGGGAAATCTGTGCAATGAAAACTCTTAAAAGTGAATTCACTCTTTCATGCTTCTTCTCCCTACTGATCATGCAAATGAGAATTCTTATCTCATTTTGAAACCCACTAATTTTTGTTTAGTACCAGTTACGTGCCAGGCACTCGCTTAGCCACTTTCCTTATATATTGCTTTATTTGACACCCTTAAAAAACTGTGAGAGTTTTCACAATTTACAGACTAGAAAACTAAAGCTTAGGCAGGCTAAGAGAAAGGCTAAAAGCAGACTCTTCCAAGGCCACATGAAGAATTAAGGCGTGGAATTAAAATTCAAGTCTGTAGAGGCAATATTGTATCGTGGTCAAGAGTATGGGTATTGAACACAGATCGCCTTGCTTAAAATCTTGCCAATTACAAGGGCCAAGCATGGTGGCTCACACCTGCAATTCCAGCACTATGGAAGGCCAAGGCAGGTGGATCACTTGAGTCCAGGAGTTCGAGACCAACTTGGGCAACACAGCAAAACCCCATCTCTACTAAAAATACAAAAATTAACTGTGCCTGGTGGCGCACACCTGTGGCCCCAGCTATTAGGGAGGCTGAGGTGGGAGGATCACTTGAACCTGGGAGGATTACTTGAACCTGGGATTGCAAGGATGCAGTGAGCTGCCATAGCGCCACTGCACTACAGCCTGGGAGACAGAGTGAGACCTTGTCTCAAAAAAGAAAAAAAAAATCTTGCCACTTACTAACTATATGACCTCAGGGAAGTTAGCTAGGCTCTGCGTATTTCAGGTTCGTCGTATATAAAATGGGAGTTAGAAATAGCGCCTATTTCATAGGGTTATTATGAGGATTAAATGAGCTCATAGAGGAAAACTGCTTACAACAGTAATGACACATATTAACGAGCAATACATAATAGCTATCACTATTGATTCCAAGTCCAGTGGTTTTCCCACAGCATCATGACAAATGCTCCTACCCTCCACCCGCCAAGTCACCTTAGGCAGGAAAGAATGACCTAGCCAAAGGACAGCCCACTGGAGGGGTCATGAGAACCACTGGCCAGAGGAGGAGCCGCAAAGAACAGTGGGTCAAAGATCACAAACGCAATGACATGCAAAAATTCCATCCCAGAACGGCTCTCTGTGACGGCTCGGCCCATATTGATGAGGTCCTGAGGGAACTTCTAGGGGAAAGGATATCACATGAGACAGGAAGCAGGTCAGCTCCCCAGTGCCCAAATACTGACCATACACCGAACAATAGCCCCTTAGCTCGAACAAGCTTTGAAGACCTGAAATGCTTACAGCCCATCCCCTGAAAACCCAGTGCCCACAGTGATTACAGGGCGAGGTGAAGGAAGTTCCCAAGGCAAGATGGCTGCTAGAAGGCACGTTGGCTGCTGGAAGGCACGCTGTCCCATCGGCCTTGAAGACAAGACTGACCCCTTACCCCTCCGAGGCTCCTACACTTCCATACTCATTATCGCGCTGTAACCTGGCGGGGAGGGTGACTCAGGACAGAAGCTACCATCCCCTTTACGCAGGTGGGGAACTGAGGTCCACAGAGGATAAATGGCTACTATTTGAGGTCACATAACTAGTCAGTATCCATTCCAAACTAGAATTCAGGACTTCTGAGTCTCAATTCAGTGATATTCTTCAGCATCTTAGTAAGTCTTTTGCGTCAGCATGCGTATTCTTCAAGCACATGCATTTTCTTTCTTTCTTCTGAAATGTTTATTGTCTTCCCTGTGCTAGACTTGGTGCTAGGCACTAGGGATTACAGAAATGATCAGGGCCCTACCACTGCCCTTGCACCTCCAGCAGGCACTGCAGCAGGTGAATGCACAGGACGCACTCAGTAAGTGCTTGCTGATATGAATCCAATTGTCTCATTACTAATGTTCTGTTACAGATTTCAGTTCTTTCTCCAAAAAGGCAATTTTTACATTTTTATAAATGTTCTTTCTTTTCCTGGTCTGAAAAAGAAGACTGAATATTAAGCTAGCTGGTTGCAACTTGGTGTCTCCCAGAATTAGAGGAGAACTGAGACCCCTTTATAAAATCAGGACCCTCAAAGAGATCAAAATCTAAATGATTTGATCTCTAAAATGAGGGCCTGAATTATTCCTCCCATCAGCCCAGAGAAATGGCAAGAAAGCAGGATCTGAGTAAGGAAAAAAGGCTTCCGTGCAGATTTTAAAGCCTCTGGGTGTGACTGTGGAATCCACCATACACCATTGGTCTGGGGTCAAAATATGGGCCCAGAAGCTCCCATAGAAACTTTTCCAGGACCCAGGAAACACTTAGGGCCTTTGCTGAAGCATAATACTGCTCTGTGGAGACATCTCTGCTACCCAAGATAGGTGGGGCTCTCCTGGGGCATGAGCCACTAAGCCCCCAAACCAGAAGACACAACAAATGGGAGAACTGGCTCCTCTAGAACGAACCTAGAGCAATGTGAAAGAGAACATTAGTATATTTAAAATGAAGATATAAAACACAAAACAGAAACCCTAAGGAAAGAAAAGGACCCAAGGATGGAAGGGCAGGCTGAACTGAAAGAGAACTAAGAATTTCTAAAAGTAAAATGTATAGTCATTAAAATTATAAACTCTCACCTGTAATCCTAGTACTTTGGAAGGCTGAGACAGGAGGTCCGCTTGAAACTAGGAGTTTGGTTTCTTTTGAGACATGGTCTTGTTCTGCCACCCAGGCTGGAGTGCAGTGGCACAATCTTGGTTCACTGCAGCCTCGACCTCCCTGGGCTCAAACAATCCTCCCACGTCAGCCTCCCGAGTAGCTGGGACTACAGGAGTGCACCACCATGTCTGGCTAATTTTTGTTATTTGTTTTTTGTTATTTTTGGAGAGGTGAGGTTTCACCATGTTGCCGAAGCTGGTCTCAAACTCCCGAGGCTCAAGCAATCCACCCGCCTTGGCCTCCCAAAGTGTTGGGCTTACATGCATGAGCCAGTGCACCTGGCCATTGAAGCCAGAAGTTTGAGACCATCCAAATATAAAAAATGAATAACCAGGCAAGGTGGCTCATGCTGGTAATCCCAGCAACTTGGGAGGCTGAGGCAGGAAGATCACTTGAGCCCTGGATTAGAGGCTGCAGTGTGCTATATTTGTGCCACTGCACTCCAGCTGGGGCAACACAGCAAGATCCTATCACTTAAAATAATAATAATATAAAAAATTAGGCTGGGAGTGGTGGCTTACTGTGATCCCAGCACTCTGGGAGGCTGAGGCAGGCGGATTACCTAAGGTCAGGAGTTCAAGACTAGCCTGGCCAACATGGTGAAACCCCATCTCTACAAAATACAAAAATTAGCCAGGCGTGGTGGAACATGCCTGTAATCCCAGCTACTCAGGAGGCTAAGGCAGGAGAATCACTTGAACCCGGGAGGGAGCAGTTGCAGTGAGCCAAAATCACACCACTGCACTCCAGCCTAGGCGACAGAGCAAGATTTCATCTCAAAAAAAAAAAAAAAAAAATTAAAAATTAAAACTCGATGAAAAAAGTTCAACAAATGTGGTAACACAGCTAAGCAGCTGAAGCCAATATACCTGACTCAGCCCCCTTGTTCAGTGCCTGTCATTTGCTGGGCACTGTGCTGGGCACAAAGGGCCAAGAGGAATAACATAGAGTCCCAGTTCCCAATCCCCTTCAAGATGCCCCAGCTCACAGGTGAGGAACTATATGAGCAAACACATTTCCCTGCAAGACAGCTGTAATAACGGCTACCATCTACGAGACCCTTGTGCTGGCTGCTTTTCTTACATTATCTCAGTTAAGTCAGTATGGTCAGTGCAAAAGAGAAGGACAGGTGGTGACTACAGTAGACCCCAGAATCTTCTGGTTTTCCCACCCACCGACCATTCCACTGAGCCATCCTGCATCCCCCAAGGTCTCAGGAGAGAACAACTATAATGGAATGCCTGGGCACCCTTTTTACATTTCTACTCAAAAGGAAATTATTTAGATAGATAGACTAACTACAATGAAATAGGCACACAGTGTTGTTACACACAGGACAAGTTTTTACAGAGGCAGAAGCCTTGACCAAAAATTCATGATTGGTTTTGAAAGAGGAAATGTCAACATCCCCCAGAAGCCGCGGGTGGGCGCTGTCTTGACGCCCTTCTTCCTGTTGTGCCCACGGCTGATCCTCCCCAGCTGGCTTCTGCGTAACTCCCACCACAGCTGGGGAAGTACTGACAGGCACTCTTCTTTATCCCAAACCAGGCTCCAACCAGGATCCCGCCACTGGAGGGACATACTTACTTTTGTTTTCCTAACTCTGTGCACCTTCGCACTTCCTGACTTAGGGCAGTGAAGGAAGAGGAAACACCAAAAATATTACAAGACAAGCTTAGTTTGTGGCATTTCCAAGAGATGGGAGCTGAAGGGGCTGGCAGGGTGACCCCAGGCAGCAGACGCCCTCAGTCGCTTTGTAACTCAGCTCGTCGGTGGCCAAGAGAGCTCATGTGCCTCTCCAAAGTGCTTAAGGTCTCAAGAAACCGTCTGTTTCTGGGGAGGATCTGGGACAGGAGCCCATTTTCTCTAAATAACTGAGAGGACTTCAGAAATCTGGTATTAATTACCCCTCGCAGCAACGTGGCTACACAGCACATCATGGTGTGTTTCCTTTACTCTCAGAAGATGGGGCCACCAGTGCGCCAGGCCCTCCAGTTGCTTCTTCCCCTAAGGACTCAGACGGATCTGTCCTAATCGAACCACACACTCCCTCCTGACCTCTCCTGGGGCCAATGGCCTGCTCTGGGAACAGGGCTGGCTGAGGTTAGGGACCTGGCTGCAGCTTTGGAACAAGGTTTTAGCCATACAAAAGGAACAACTGTAGGGATGCGTGCTGTGCTAGGAAATGGACTGGGGGCAGACTCTGAAGTCAGAGGACCCAGCTCACACCCTGCCCATCCCTTCCTGGGAGAGGACTTGGGGTACGAGGCGGGGAGCTGGTAGAGGGTTTGCATGGGTTGGTAAATTTAATTTTTTTCAAGAGGCTGGGTGAGAAATTAGTGTCCCTGGGTTGAAAGTGAACAATCGGGCCGACAGCTGAAGAATGCACAGTGAAATAAATCCTCAACTCCAACTCTCCACGGAGGCCTGGCACAGAGAAGAGCTCTGACGAAGGAGTGACTGTGAGGACACAGTGGAGGCTGACTCCCACAAGTGCATCACTACAGCCACGGTAAGATGTCCCTGACCCTCTCTTCCCCATGGGTTAGGAACCTCTCCCCAGAGCTCCCGTAACACCCTTCTTTCCCAGGCTGCAAAGATATCCTCATCCTAATCCCCAGGACCTGGGAACACATTAGGTTCCATGAGTTACATGGCAATGGAAAATGAAGGTTGCAGATGGAATCAAGGTTGCTAAGCTGTTGACCTTAAAATAGGGAGAGTAGCCTAGATTATACAGGTGGCCCAGTGGAATCACTTTAAGGGTCCTTCAAGGTGGAAGAAGATGCCAGAAGGGAGAATCAGAGAGATGGAAGCTTGAGAAGGATTAAGACCAACACTGCCGGCTTTGGAGGTGGAAGAAGGAAACCACAAGCCAAGATATGCAAGTGGCCTCCTGATACTGGAAAAGACAAGGAAACAAATTCTTCCCAGCGCTGCCAGGAGTAACATCCTCTGCTAACACCTTGATTTCAGCCCAGTGAGATCCATTCTAGACTTCTGACCTCCAGAACTGTAAGATAGTAAACTTGTATGATGTAAACCACTAAGTTTGGAGTAATTTGTTACCGCAGCAATAAGAAACTAATACACTATCATTATGCTTACCCTAATGTAATGCAATTTTTATTTATATGTCTATCACCCCCATCAATAATAATAATAATAGCTAACATTTGTCGAATTTACCCTTACTGTGAGCACTTATTATCTGGTAAGGCCAGCACCAAGTGTTTCATTCACATAAGATATTAAAAAAAAAAGGGTAACTTCAGTTGAACACACAATGAAGGTAAACACAGGGACTTAAGAGTAGGGGAGGGAGTTAAAAGCATCTTCGAGGAGATAAAGACACAGGTGCTTTTTAAAGATGAGTAGCAATTAGCCTGGGAGAGAGGAAGAGCATCCCCCGCAGGGGGAAGAACGTAAGCAGACACTCAGGGAAATGAAACACAGGGCATGTGCCGGCAAGCACTCTGGCAGCTCCACAGCAGGCTGGTAATAATGTCTCTAGCCTGTAAGTCTCCTCGGAGGTCCAGGCCTCCTGCCTGCCTGAAATCTCCACAGGATGCCTCCTAGACATCTCAAATTTAGGATGGCTGATACAGAACTTGATTTTCTCCATGAGCATAATCCTCCTAGTCTTCCTGTCTCCCACAACAACGCCACCATACACCCAGCTGTTCAAGCCAGAACCCCAGGAGTCACCCTTGAGTCCTTTCCCTTGCCTCATTCCAATGTAATCTATCACCAGATCTCATCAATGCTATCTCCAAGATCTAAGTAGGCTCCTCCCACTTCTCTCTACCTCCATTGCTGCTGTCCAGTTCTAAGCCACCATCCTCTTTCCTCCTAAGTGGTCTTCCTGCTTCTACACTTTGCCCCCTATGATCCATCCACTTTTCATAAAAGCAGTCAAAGCAATCTCAAAAATGTCCATCAGGCTGGCCATGGTCGCTCACCTGAGGTCAGGAGTTTGAGACCATCCTGATCAACACGGCGAAACCCCGTCTCTACTAAAAATATAAAAATTAGCCAGGTGTGGTGGTGCATGCCTATCATCCCAGCTACTCAGGAGGCTGAGGCAGGAGAATCACCTGAACCCAGGAGGCAGAGGTTGCAGTGAGCTGAGATCATGCCACTGCACTCCAGACTGGGCAACAGACCTAGACTCTGTCAAAAAAAAAAAAAAAAGAGTCAATCAGATATCACTGCTGAGCTTAAACTCACCAAAGCTTCCCTTTGTACTGGGTGGAGGGACTCTCCCCAGCATGGCTTAGAATCGGCTGTGTGATCTCGTCCCTGCTTCCCTCTCAAACCTCACCTTGCGCCATTCCCCCCATCTCTCCCTTACACTCTAGCCCTGCCTTCCCTCACTCCTTGGAATACACCAAGCTCTTTTGTGCATAGTCAACTTTGCACATTCCCATCCCTCTGCCTGGAAGGCCCTCCCCTGCAATCTCTCTGCCTGGCCAGTTCCTTCTCCATTTTCCAATCTCAGAAAGGCTTTCCCTTCCAAAACTAGGACCAACTTGTGCCACCAGCCCCTACTTTGGTCCCAGGTTTGTTTCCTTGATAACAAGGAATCACTCATCTGTTAGAGGTTGTTTCTTCTGCTTCTTCCTTGTTGCTCATCTCCTCCAGAGGAATGCAAGCTCCAGAAGGGCAGTGCCAGGTCTATTTCGTCCACCACTGTATCATCAGGACTCCACACAGGGCTTAGCATGGCGCAGGTGCTCAATGCATGGTTGTTCAATTGATGAATTAAAAGAGAAAGTGTGAGGCTGACATTGAAAGATGAGGCTGGAAATAGAAGGCCTTGAGAACAGGGTCCTATTCATCTTTGCAGGACTGGCACCTCCCACAGGGAAGCCACTTAGCAAATGTTTCACTGGATGCATGAAAGAAAAACTCGATTCCAGATAAATCTGAGATGTGCTGTCCTTTCTGGGCAAGGCTCCCCAAGAAGTTTCCGCTCCTCCTTAGGACTTCTTAGGAGGTAACATGTCTAGGGCATACAGCAAGTGCTTAATAAATGGGGTGACTGTTACTATTGCTCACGTGGGGATCACTCATGCAGTCTCCTAGAAAAGACCTTCCGGAGCCCATGCCAGATACAGCAGTGGTTGGGTGAAAAAACGGCAGGGAAAAATGAGAACCGAGCAGCAGGATCCAAATACGGCTGAGACCTAGGTGGGGAAATGGCAGGAACAACACTGTCCTAGCTAACTGGGGTTCCCTTCTTTCCTCTAGACTTCAGTCACCTAGGTGCAGCATGGAGATGCCAGCTGGGACGTGAGTCTTCACAAGGGAGGGCTCAATCTGAATGCACACATTCATCTTTGGGCCTGCCAGGCTTGCACTGATTTTGAAAATCTGGCTCGCTGTGGCTGGTGAGGACTGGGGAGGTGTAGAGAATTTCAATTTCCCTCACCAAATGGCAAGCTTGCGAAAAGTCCTTTCTCTCCAACATTATCACATACTAAAAATGAAAAACCAGCCATTCAGAGCTCTCATGAGAAAAATAGATGGGCTGCTTAGCTCACAAGAAACAGGAGGGCTGAAAATCAAGTCTAGAGAACATCAGAGGGTACATTATGTGCTAAGATACTGCCCTTTTTTGGACCTGGGAGTTTCTATTTTGCACAAAAGAATGGGATAGGGAAAGTAATTCCCCGTATAATAAGCCACTCATTTTATACTTCAAATCCATTTGGTAGCTGAATCTCCAAATCCACTTAGTGGCGTTAGGTGATTTTTGTTTTTTTTAACTCCCTATCTCAAAATATGCAGTTTGAAATAAGTGCATATCTCAAAAATAGCAGCATTAACAGGACAGAAGAGAAGGCACTAAAGTGGTGAAGGCTGTGACGCAAAGAAGACGTTTCCAAATCTGTTTCATGGCTAACAGATCAAAATCTAACACAGAAGGGGCATGGGACTGAGCCTGAAGAAGTGGAAACTACTCCTGGCCATGTGATCTTGGGCAAGTCAGGTCACCTTTCTGGGCCTTCTCTGAAGGGGGTGAATCAGTTGTTCTCAAAGATCTTTTTCTTTCCAAACTGTTCACTGGGTGTTTCCAGAAGACCCGCATTTTCTTAAAGCTATCTGGCCGCGCTACAATTGCAAAACAGAAAGGCTTTGGGATGAAGGTTGCAATACAGATAACCCTGGCCTAAAAACTGATAAGCTTTTACAATCCCAAAACATTACTCAGCAATCCAGGTCCTGATGTCATCCCAGAATCAATCACGCCAAGATAACCTAACAGAGTAGACAGGGGAAAATGCGAGAGAAAGTTCTTTTGCTTTCCTGACGAGTACAGGTAAAGTTGAGGTCAAGTTAACGATGATGGTCTGCAGTTGACCATCCTTCTCCCTGAGCTACTGGAAAACCACATTATTAAAGGAAACTGCTTTAGAAGTGCCCAAGATGAACCTCTTGGGATGTATCAAACCGCAGAAAACCGGACACCGGCAAGTTTCTTTTTTCTTTGAAACTTCATGTCGCTCTCAGAAAACGCAGCAGGTCCCAAAATGGTACAAGCAGAAAACACAAGCCACTTCACGGTCCGCCCAGGAGCCAACCCCAAGCTCCAAGTAGGACTCCCCCCACCCCCTTCCCTTTCGTTTCTCTTCTTTTGCTTTAGGCAAGTGGCCTGGGGCCTGCCAAGCAGCGCCGGGTCCGGGTAGGGGCCGGGGGCCGCGGGGAACTTTCCTCGGCTGCACCAGAGACAATGCCGGGAGGGCGCCCCATCGGCGGGGTCCGGGCCGCCAAGCACGTCGTCCCGGGCCCTCCCCCGGAGGGGGACGCGAAACCCCCCAGGGCGGGCCCCGTCCCCGGCCCCACTGCAGGGGCCCCCTCTCCCGAGCTGGAGGCGAGGAGACCTCCCCCCCCCACCGGGCGGCCTCGCCCGGCCCCGCAGAGCCTGGCCGCGCGTCCCGCACACGCCCCAGCCCAGGGCCGGCGCCCTCCCCGCGGAGAAGGACACCCCGCTGCGAGAGGAGCCGGGAGCCCGCCCCGCGCCCCGTCCCGGCGCCCTTCTTCGCGCGAGAGACTGGGCAGGGGGCGCCCGCGACTGTGGGCGACTCCGCCCGGCCCCGCCGAGCGCGCCCGAGCGCCCCGCAACTCACCGGGACCTGGCGGGCCGCTGGGCATTATTCCATCGCGGGTTCGGCCGGGCGCTCGCGGCTCTCGGGTGGGAAAGCGAACTGCGACCGGGAAGCGCCGGCTGGGCGGGAGGCGCGGGCCCGGGGCTGCCCAGCGCACAGTGCTCGCCCGCGGCAGCGGCCAGGCCAGGCGAGGCGCGGGAGCCGAGCGCGGCGCAGGAAGGGGCGGGCGACCATGTGCCGAGGGGGAGGAGGCCGCGGCGACGCGAGCGGCTCGCACGATCCCGCTCGGCGGCGGAGGGCGCGGGTTTCAGGAAATCCAAACACTTCGACAGGAAATCGGAATCCTGACTAAGCATTCCCGGCCCCGAGCCGCTCCGCGCCGGGGGCTCCCGCCTCGCTTAACCCTTGGCCCGCCGGCAGCCACGAGGGGGGCGTGGGAGGGGCCCCAGACCTCGGCCGGGGTCGGGCGTCCTTCGCCTTCCGCCCCATGCCCCGGCCGGCCGGCCTCCTCCCCGCCTGAGGTGGAAGGGGTGGGATTTATCCACAGAAAACCCTGGACGCGGAAGGTGCCTTTCTAAGGCCGGGACAGCGGCAAAGGACGTGCCTGTCTTCCATCTGCAGAGGATGGACCTGCACTGTCCTGGCCGTTACCCCTATTTTCAGTAAAGGAATGATTTCACCAGGCTGCCCCCTTTCACCACTTCCTCTCTGCTCTTATAATTTTATTTTTGCCCAGTGCCAAGGGAACAGGACCTTCCCAGTCAGGATAGTATAGGAACAGTATGGAGAGTAATTGTGTGGGCTGCAGGCTCTGTGTCCGGTTGGAATATGGCCTTTTTTCTACTCATGTTACCTTGAGTAACTCGCTCAACTTTCCTGAGCCTCAGTTTCCATTTATGAAATGGATGTTAATTCCACCCTCATAGGTTTGATCTGGAAGCTGAATGTTTAGACAGGGACTGGCACATTGGAAACGCCCAAATAAATGATAGCCATGCTTGTCCTTATTATTACCATTAAAAGACATCAGAGAAAGGAGGATTTTAATTTGTGGGATGTATATTGTGCATATCTATGTCTACTTTCAAAGTCAGAGACAGTAGTCTTTCTTTAGAACTTAATTTCCCTCCTAATCATTGGGTGATTGTTTTTCTTTGCAGCATTTCAGAAACGGCTCTCTGCAGAGGAAATGGTTAGTGGCTGTGGCAGACCCCCTTCTGGTGAAATCCGAAACAGAAAACCTCACAAAATTTGGGATTTTGCTCCTAATCTGAGAGTCTGGGTGTAGTGGGGAGTGGGGGTTGTTAAACAGTCTGGAGCGGATTTACAAAGTTTGGGAAAACCAAAATCAATCTCTGACTGGGCAGAGAGGTCGGGCAGCCAATGAGTGATTCATTGTGGTTTCCCACGGAAATGCCACATTTCGGGGGTGTCTACCTGGAGGATGCAGCTTGGTGGTTTTGCTGTAAGTGTTTCAGATTCCTTTGAAACCCAATCAGACTTTGAAGAGGGAACAACATGCTCATGAGCGAAAACAGAAGCCTGAAATGAACCTGCTGGGAACTGAAAGTTGGGTACCAGCTCGTTTACTCCAAGTAAGGAACAGATACCAGTTTTAGACCCAGCATTGTTCCTTTTCTGCAATTCTCTCTCCGTGGCCAGAAGCAGTAGGACAGCTCTGAGCTGGGCACCAGGAGTCCCAGGGTCCTGCTCCAGGCCCACTGTAGCTGCCGTCCCCTCTGCCTGGAAGAACCCTTGTATGGCTGTTCTTGGCACGCAGCTCACAGCCCAGAAGTCAGCTCCGCAGATAGGTTTTCCCCAACCATGTGATCTGCTTGTCTCTGGCACCTACACCCCACCTCCACCTCTCCCAAACATAGCGCATCCTGTTTGATTGCTTCATAGCCCTTGTCACTGTTTAATGTAGCCTACATGATTGGTTGCTTATTTTTTATCTGCCCCCCACTCTCCCCACTGCATGGGTAAACTGCATTACAGCAGTACCTTTGCCTGTTTCCTTAGAACAGTGCTGGCCCATATGAGACCATCGATAAACACGTGTTGAATAAATGAAAGAAGCAAACAAACTAGAGTTGCAGATGGGACCTCTGCCTGAGGTAGGGTGGTTCACTCGGTCCCGCAGCTCCCTGTGGCTTCCTCTTTGGTGGAGAGATTCAAAAGGGAACGCCCAGTGCGGTGGAAGGAGCACCAGATGGCTCTATTAGTGCTTCTGGAAAACTAAAACTATAAGTAGGCCAGGCGCGGTGGCTCACGCCTGTAATCCCAGCACTTTGGGAGGCCGAGCAGGTAGATCACCTAAGGTCAGGAGTTTGAGACCAGTCTGGCCAACATGGTGAAACCCCGTGTCTACTAAAAATACAAAAAATTGCCGGGCGTGGTGGTGGGCACCTGTAATCCCAGCTTCTCCAGAGGCTGAGGCAGGAGAATCGCTTGAACCCGGGAGGCAGAGGTTGCAGTGAGCTGAGATCATGCCATTGCATCCCAGACAGGGTGACAGAGTGAGACTCCGTCTCAAAAAAAAAAAAAAAAAAAAAAAAAAAAAAAACCTAAGTAATTAAGACTGTCAAATGAGGTAACTATAGTCTCATTGGTATAGTCCCAGTTAATTACTCCCTCCTTTGTGCTTCCTTGGCATTTCTGTTTAAAGAATATATTTGTCATATTGTATACTCACTAGATGACTGTTCTCCTAAATCAGATGGAGGAAAGGAGTCCACATTTGTTGACCACTTGCTCTGAGTGGGTCCCTGAGCAAGGTGAACTTGAATTCATTTTAAGGCATCGGTTAAGTGCCTGTAATGTGCTAAAAAAATCTGGGCCCTACATGTGCAATGATGAAAAAGAACTATTCTTGCTAAGAAAGACAGGAAAGCTCTATCTAGTAAGCAGAGAGATAAGTACTCTTATAGAGTCATGTCCAGGGTATCCAGGGCTATTCAGAACATTGAAGGTGGAGTAGGGTGGAGATAAGTTGGAAAATGCTTCCAAGAAGTGGGTGCTCTTGAACGAACTTTCAAGGAGGAGATGGGACCTATGTAGCTAGATAAGGGGGCACAGGCCTGCCAACCAGAGTAACAAGCGTGAGTGTTAGTGATGCTCGGCTCCATGTCCCCTGGGCCCACCTCTGAGCTCACCGGCAGCTGCAATGAGCTGCCCTCTGTACAGAGAAACTGTCTATCCAAAGCAGGCCCCCTTTCTCCTCTCTACCAGGAGGCTTTCTCAAGGGCTGTGGGATCTTGCCTAGCCTGGAAGTTTCCAACAGCCCTGGGTCAGTCCTTAACCAAACAGTGGATGAATGTGTCAGCCTCCCCTTCCCTAAGGAAGATCAATTCTCAAATGCTCTCAAGGCAGTTCCTCAGAGGAATTCCCCAGTAGGAATGAGTCCAGTTGCCCCCAGCAGTCACTCCCTCATTAAGTCACTCTTTGATTTTGCCTCTTCTCCCTTCCTTGCCTTACTTTCTCACTTCCTTATTTGTTCTTGGGATCCCAAATAAAGTAACTGCACCCATCTCCTTGTCTCAAGGTATACTTCTGGGGAAACCCAATCCAGAGTAGTGTTCATGCATATATTCACAGATACTGGCTGGGCACTCCCAAGTGCCTGAGTAAAGACTGAGCATGAACACATAATATATGTGGGTGACTCTACCAGGTTCAGCATGATCTGAGAACATGATGCATGTTCAGACATGGAAAACAATGAGACTAAAAAGCCTTACACCATCTTGCAGTTGAGGAAACTGAGGCACAGGAGTGTTGAGTAACTTGCCCAAGGCCAACCACTAGTGAGTAGAGGAGTGTATTAGTCCATTTTCAGGCTTCTGATAAAGACATACGTGAGACTGGGAAATTTACAAAAGAAAGACATTTAATTGGACTTACAGTTCCACGCAGCTGGGGAAGCCTTACAATCACAGCAGAAGACAAGGAGGAGCAAGTCATGTCTTACGTGGATGGCAGCAGGCAAAGAGAGAGAGAGTTTGTGCAGGGGAATGCATATGGGAATTCAAGATGAAATTTGGGTGGGGACACAGCCAAACCATATCAAGGAGCATTGGAGTCCAGGCTCTTCACCACCCTGCACTGTCTTTCTTGCCAGTTCAAGCTGTTGGGAGAGTGAATAATGAGAAGAAGAGAACCAGAGGAGAACCAGGGGGCATGGGAAGAAATTGCTTTTACAAGGAAGGAATGAGCAACATTCACAAATGTCACAGGAAATTTCATCAAGAAAGGACCAGAAAGCAAGTGTTCATTTCATTTGACAATGAGAAGGCTGATAACTTTTACCAGAGCTGTCTCGATGGAGTGGAGGGATTGGAAGCCAGATTGCGGTGGGTTGAGGACGGAGTGGGAGACAGTAAGCGTGGACAACTCTTTTCAGAAATGTAGCTGTCTAGCAAGTGGGAGGTAAGGGTAGAGGCTTCTTTAAAAATGTGTGGGCAGGCAAGCATCTGGGTTGGTAGGTGAGGTTGAGAGGAAGGGATGGTTCATTGATAGAACAGGTACTGAGGATGAGAGGAGATGGGAACTAGAGTGGGTTGGGGGCACGAACCCTGGACTGGAAGAGGCCACCTTGTCTGCTGAAGGAGAGGGCCGAAGGGCAAGGTGCAGAACTCTAAAGTTCCACCATGAACATCCTGAAGTCACAGACCAGGAGCTAGGTGGGTATCTTGAGTTTAGACCCCTGAGTTTAATTCCTTATGAAAATCATGCTCTGGGCTAGGCAAGGTGGCTCATGCCTGTAATCCCAACACTTTGGGAGACCCAAAGCAAGGGAATCATTTGAGCCCTGGAGTTTGAGACCAGCCTGGGCAAAATGGCAAGACCCCATCTCTACAAAAAAATTTAAAATTAGCCAGACATAGTAGTATGTGCTTCTAGTTCCAGCAACTTGGGAAGCTGAGGTGGGAGGATCCCTTGAGGTGGGAGGATCGCTTGAGCCTGGAGGTCAAGGCCTGCTGTGAGCCATGATTGCATCAGTGCACTCCAGCCTTAGCAACAGAGCGAGGCCCTATCTCAAAAGAAAAAAAAATGCTCTGGATGATCAAACGTAGATGAATAAAAAGTGACTTCAGCCTAATGACTGGAAAAGAGATGCATGAGAAGCTATTTTGTCCCAAGTAAGTTAGTGAAGTAGGAAGGCAAGGATGAGCAGGAGAGACTTGGGAGATTCAACAAACACAGCTTGTTGGCTGGTGGTGGGGCACACACAAGGAGGGGACAATGGTGCTCACCTGTAAGGAGGAGGAGGGTGGTATTTTTAACCATGACAAAGAGTGAGGGATAGGAAGGTTTTGAGGAGGAAGATAATGAGTTCCTGTTTGTGCTTTCTGCAGAGAAGGGAGTAGGTGGTGGGTAAGAATGCGAGGCTTTGCTAGGCTGGGGAGGGGGCTGGGCTTGAGTGGGGGTGGGCAGGAGGGAGGCAGAGGGACCTGCTCAGTTGGTGAGTGGGGGAGTTAGCATCTGAAAAGATAGCACCCTTCACTAGCTTCTCACAGTCTTGCGTCATCTGGATTTTTCTAGTGCACGGTTTCTCATTCTTGGCAATATTAACATGTTGGACCGGATGATTCCTTGTTGTAGCCGGCTTCTGGCGCTTTGTAAGAGTAGCCGGCTTCTGGCGCTTTGTTAGAGTAGCTGGCTTCTGGCGCTTTGTAAGATGTTCAACAGCAGCCTCCCCTCGGGGAGGTTCGGCTTCTACCCACTGGATGCCAGCAGCAACCCTCCAGTTGGGAAAACCAAACACATCTCCAGGCATTGCAAAATGTTCCCTGGAAAGCAAAATTGCCCCCAGTTGAGACCTCTGTTCTCTCAGCTTTTCCTTACATCACTTGAAAATTGTTGATTAAAAGGTGAGCCGTTTGATAACCTTTTTTAGCAAAAGCACTTGTGTCCAGTTCGAAATCCTGGCTCCACCACTTCTCTGGTTCATAACCTTGAGTGACGTTCTTGCCTTCTCTTGGTTTCTTTTTCTTTTTTTTTTTAATCTGTAAAATGGAGTTTTTGAGAGGATTGAATGAAGTAATCCATGTAAAGCATCGGGCTCAGTACAGGATGCCTGGTCAGTGTTCAATCATTGCTGGCTATCTTTATTAGTATTTTAGTGGTATTTAGGCACTGGTGATGTATCCAGACCACATTTGGAAATTTGGACCTGGAGATACAGACCTCACACATGTATCACAGACAAGAGGGCACACTCGAGGCTGTGGATATCTATACATGGTCTGGAGAGAAAGTAGACAGGAAGAAGAAGAGAGGCCATGTAGACAGGGAACTAGGTGTAGCTTTTCATCTAACCAACATTAAGTGGCAGCCCTGACCTTTGGGCAGTGGGAAGCATGGTCACTGATTGTCTTCTTGTGGAATGGGAACAACGTTGATGCTGGAGTTAGTTGAGTGCACACCTTGGAGTCAGGTGCTGTGCCCATGTTAATGCTCACTACAAGGCTATGAATTAGGCACTCTTTATTGTGCTCATTTTATAGATAAAGAAACTGACACATAGAGAAGTATGATGGTGAAGGAGGGTGAGTTCAGCAAGGTAGGGTAGGAGAAAGGGCCTTTCACACAGAGAGGGGCCACATGAGGAAAGGCAGAGGCCCAGAACAACCTTGGAACAAAGAATGAGAGAGGTACAAAGGGTTGGAAGGCAAGACATGGATGGCATCCACTCTAGGGGCATCCCTGGCAGTGCCATGTCCAGCCATATTGGAGCCCAAGGCAAAAGGGAAAGTCAGTCATACTGATTCTGTCTGTATTTATTTATTTATTTGAGACAGAGTCCTGCTCTGTCACCCAGGCTGGAGTGCAGTGGCGTGATCTTGGCTCACTGCAACCTCCACCTCCTGGGTTCAAGCGATTCTCTTGCCTCAGCCTCCCGAGTAGCTAGGATTACAGGCCCACACCACCATGCCTGGCTAATTTTTTTGTATTTTTTTAGTAGAGACAGGGTTTCTCCATGTTGGCCAGGCTGGTCTCAAACTCCCGACCTCAGGTGATCCGCCCACCTCTGCCTCCCAAAGTGCTGGGATTATAGGTGTGAGCCACCACACGGGGCCCTGATTCTGTCTTTATTTAAAATTTTAGTATTTTGTTCATCTTGGAACTTTTACATTCATTTTTCTTTTTTAACAATTGCACTAAAATATTCTTTATCTTGACTGAATTTGTTGGCACTCACTTGGATGGACTGAACAGAATGCCAAACTCTTCTAGCCTTCTCAGCCTTGCTGCTTACGAGGCAAATTCCAGCCTGGGTCACTCCCTTGTCCCTTAGCCAGGAGAAGACAAGGATCCTGATCCCAGCCCCACAGGACAAGAGCCAATGGAAGAGAGGTAATTCCATGGAAAACCAAGGGCTTTCAAAAAGAGAAAATGGATCTGGGCACCTAAAACCTAACCAATCTATCTACTACAAGAAGTTCCTCTTTGGGCCATCCAAAGATCCTTGATGGCGGGAAGAAAGCATTCCAGGGGTGCTGAGGAGAGGAAGAAAGGAGAGAGTGGGAAGTGGGGTCGGCACATGGAACATACACAGCCAGGTGGTTAAGAACCTGTGCTACATCGTCATAGGAAAAATAAAAACAAAAACAAAACAAAAGCAAAACAAAATAAAAGAACCTGTGCTGCAGTGGAGAAGGCTGAGTTTTAGCTCAAACACCTACTAGCAGTGTCATTTTACCTAGTAACAACGGGGTAAGCCTCAGTTTCCTGGCTATAAAATGGGGATAAAAGTACCCATCTCATAAAGTTGTTGAGAGGATTAAATGAATTTAGTCATGTAAAAGTGCCTGAGCATAATAAGTATTCATCACTTTTTTCCTTTGTGTTTATTTATTTATTTATTTATTTATTTTTTTGAGACGAAATCTCGCTCTGTTGCCTAGGCTGGAGTGCAGTGGCCTGATACTGGCTCATTGCAGCCTCCGCCTCCCAGGTCAAGCAATTCCCCTGCCTCAGCCTCCTGAGTAGCTAAGATTACAGGTGCCCACCACCATGCCCGGCTACTTTTTTGTATTTTTAATAGAGACGGGGTTTCACCATGTTGACCAAGCTGGTCTCAAACTCCTGACCTCGGGTGATCCACCCACCTCAGCCTCCCAAAGTGCTGGGATTACAGGCATGAGCCACCATGCCTGGCCATTTTCTTCCTTTTTTAAGAACTATGGTATCAGCATTTAAAAATTTATTATTTTTCAAGCTGAGTAATGAAGGTGAGAGAGATGGAATAGTAACATGAGGCTTAGGAAGATCCCAGGGAAGGTTTGTTTTGTTTTTCTCCCAGTTGGGAGAGCAAGAGAAGGGTCCAGTGGAGAGGGAAAAACAGAGGCATGTGGTAAGCAGAGTCTCCGCTGAGTTGGGAATACCATATATATCCTCAAATTGAGCTCATCCATTCCAATTGAATGATTGGATCAGGTTTGCACATGCTGCTGGCAGTGTGGTCAGAATAAAGCCAGGGTCACTGAGTGCCAGGGCAGTTTTTCTCCCTGAAAACCTGGCCACGGTACTATACCCAATCAGTGTAAATCCTGGAGTCACTCCTCGTGCCCAGGTCATAAGGATGTGAGATATGATGAGATCTTTCCCATTACACTGTTAATGAAGCCCCACTCAGCTAAAACACACCCTGAAGGGGCCCTGTAAGATAAACACTCTGGCATTTCCTCTAGAGTTGCTGAATATCAGGGAAAATGCTTTCCGTTCTTAGGTTATTAATTCTGAAAGCTTCATTTCCAGCTATAATGGACCTTGGTGATAAAAGGGTCAGATAAATGGGTCACAGCAACAATCTCTTAAGAAAGTAAGGTCTGCTTTTTTTGTGTGTGGAATTAATAAGGGCCTCACCCTCTTCACCTGGGAACCCCAGGAGGTCCAAAGCAAGCCTTCCCTGACCTTTTGGGGTGAAGTCCCCCACTCCGTGTTTCCATAGAACCTTGAGATCAATGCTGACAAGCCTTAACCACCATGCACAGTCTCTCCCCTATAGTTTCTGAGGGCAGAGATTCTCTTATTTGCCTCTGTATCCCCAGCATCTATCAGAGTACAAGGCACACAGTGTGTCAACTCATGTCTCATGAATGAACTTACATGCTTTACAAAACATCATCACAAACCAGCTGTTGGAAAAAAGAACCCTGTCATTTCCTGAATTAGCAAAGTTCAGAGCTGGCTTTTCCAGCAGGTATGTTGTTCTGAAACTGACCAAATAGTCTCATAGACAGTTTCTTCTGATAAACATTTGAAAGTTACCCTTCTGGTCTTAAACCTTGAAACTCACCAGATCCAGACAATGAGATGCCAGGCCCCTCATTCATCATGATTGCTTCCTTACTCCTCCCCAGTTCCTGTTTTCTCATACGTAGTTGCATTTCTCCCTTCCCATATAAACCCCTAATTTTAGTCAGTTAGAGAGATGAATTTGAGACTGATCTCCCATCTCCTCCACTGCAGCACCTGATTGAAGCCTTCTTCCTTGACAGTACTCATCTCAGTCATTGACTTTCTATGTGGCGAGCAGCAGGACCTACACCGAAACCCTGGTGTTTCAGTAACAGTTCAGGGTGGAAACAACCATGTGTGTTAACAACAGTAATGATGTTGACAATGTACAGTAACTAAAAGTTGAGTACTTACTGTATACCTGCCATTGTTCCAATGATTCTAATGGCACTATGTGTGTTAATAACAGTAATGATGCTGACAATGAGCAATAACTAAAATTTGAGTACTTACTGTATGCCTGGCACTGTTCTAATGATTCTGATGGCACTTTCTACTGATGATCTCATTTAATCTCAAAATAAACCTATAAGGTAAGCTACTAATATGTACATTTTACAGACGAGGAAACTGAGGCTCAGAAAGGTTACACACAGGGTATTTGTGTTTGGCAATTACCTTCAGGCTCTCTTGCTGCAAACTGAGCTCCAGGGGCCAAAATAAGGCATGGAATTTGCCAACTTTAAATCTAAGGGATATTTTAGTGTGTCTGAGCCATAGATTTATACTGTGAAATAACAGGTCCCTCTAGTCTGGGCCTACTGTTTCAGAAAAAGTGGAAAATACTCCCCCGGTGGTTTTGTAAATAGTCCTTAATTGAACTCAGCATTGGTATCATTACCACCAAGTTCTGCAATTAACCAGCCTGAAGATTGCTTGCTAGGTTGCAGCTACAGAGATATTTACATATCCATGTTTTTACTGTAGGCAAGACTTCCAGCATGTAAATTGCTTATCCAGCCATAATCATAGCTGCTAGGAAGCTGCCTGGGGCCATTTCAGGGGAATGAGGAAGGGAAAGGATTCCCCTAAAGCCAGCTGTTGCTATCTCAGAATAACAACACTAACAATCAAGAACTAACATATGTACAGTCCTTTAAAAATTACAAAACACATTCTCATACAGTGACTCGTGTCCATTTTTAATTTCTGTAATAGTAGGGAGGAGAGGACTGCTGTGAGGGTCATTATTTTAAAGAAGAATCCCCAAACCCCTGTTTCCTCCAGGGCAATATTGTTGTCTTTGATTCAATAAATATTCAGTGAGCACCAACTATGTGCAAGGAACTGTACTAGGTGCTGGAATGTAATGGTGAACACAATAGACACTGTCCCTGGGCTCATGAAGCTTATAGTCTAAGTGGGGAGAAAGACCTTAACCAAATCATGCATACAAATAAATATAAAATTGTAACTACTGCAGTGCCACCAGAGAGGTAAAAATTGCAATGGGATCCTAAAATAGAGAGATTTAATCAAGATCAGGAAAAACTTTTCTGAGCTGTGATAATTAGGAGTTAACTAGGCAAAGAAAGAAAAAAGAGCATTTCATGAACAGGCAACAGCATGTGTAAAGAACCAACACATGTCTAGAACTAAGAGCATGTGTAAAGTCTCTAGAACCAAAGGAAGTTATCATTTCTGCCAAATGACCAACCTATTTTCTGCCATATTTTATTGGCTGAGGCCTTTTTAAAAAAGCATCATTAGAATATAGAATCTTAGAAATGGAAGGGATTTTTCAGGGTGCTGTAGTCCAGGTAACAAACAGTAGGTGCATAGCTGATTTTTGAATGAATGGAGTGTCAAAGGAGGTGTATCAGTTAGTTTTTGCTGAATAACAAACTATCCCCAAACTAAGTGGCTTAAACAACCATCCAGCCCTTCATTCTGTGGATTGGTGATTTGGATGGAATCAGCTGGGTAGCTTTCATCTGCTCTAAACTGGGTTTATTTATATACTTACGGACATCCCCCAGGTCAGTCAAAATGGTGTATCACTTTTTTCTGTGATTGCTAATCTTCCAGCAGGTTAGACTAGGTTTGTTGATACAGCAGCAGGGTTCTGAGAGAAGCAAAAGAGGTTGCTAGGCCTTTTATTGCCTCAGGTTCAGGACTCTCACAACCTCATTTCTGCCATATTCTGTTGGCTGAGGCTTTTTTTTTTTTTTTTTTTTTTTAATGATCAATAGAATATAGAATCTGAGAGATGGAAGGGATTTTTCAGGGCGCTCTAGTCCAGGTAACAAACAGTAGGTGCATAGCTGAATGAATGGAAAGATGAACACACCACACATGCCCATCTTCAGCAGTTCCAGCCCGTGGAATGTAGCGCTAATGGGCTGGACTGGTTTCTCTACCTTGAGTTTATTTTTAATTTCACATCCTTGCCCCCATCCACAGTGAGGTCAGAGAGGTGTATCTAAAATGTCAACCTCACCTTACAACCTTCAATGTTTCCCCAGTGCCTGCCAAGCCTATTTGTCATCAAAATCACCAGGATAGGCTGTTTTAAATACTGACTTTGTGCTGGGCTCAGTGGCTTAGGCCTGTAATCCCAGCACTTTGAGAGGCCGAGTTGGGAGGGTCACTTGAGGCCAGGAGTTCAAGACCAGCCTGGGCAACATAGCAAGACGGTGTCTCTACAAAAAAATAAAAAATACAGACTCCTGTCCCCCATCCTAGATTCACTGAATCAGAATTTTTGGGATCAATATTTTTAAAAGCTGTCCCAAGGAGTTAGATCCAGCAACCGATCCAGCTTTTGGGTACCAGTGGGCTGCCAGGCAGTCAGATTCAAGTTTTGCAAAGAAGGTTTTCTAGCATTATTGATCTCATCAGCTCAGACACTTGCCTTCTTAAAAAAAACTCATACTCCTCCCTCTGCACTACCCCCAGAACTGATGTCTTCCTTCATTGTGAACCCAATATATCCTGTAGAGACTTTAAAAAATCATATTGTTATTCAAAATGCATTATTAAAATTGGTATACATATTTGCCACACTCCCACTCCCCGCCCCAGCCCTTTTCCCACTCCAAGTAGATTGTCAGGTCCTTGAGGGTCATATTCATTATATTAACTTCAGTGCTTACTGGAGGTCTCAGTGCAAAATTGATCCAATGAACCCAAGTGTTCATTGACGGATGAATGGATAAACAAAATGTGGTATGTACACAAAATGCAGTATTATTCAGCCTTAAAAAGGAAGGAAATTCTAACGCATACCTCAATAGAAATGACCCTTGAGAACATTACGCTAAGTGAAAAAAGCCAGTCATGAAATAATCTATGATTCCACTTATATGAGATACTTTGAGCAGTCAAATTCAGAGACAGAAAGTAGAATGGTGGTTGCTAGGGGCTAGGAGGAAAGGGAGTAAGGTTGTTTAATGGGTGCAGAGTTTCAGTTTTGCAAGATGAAAATAATTCTGGAGATGGATGGTGGTGATGGTTGTACAACAATATGAATGTCCTTAATACCACAACTTTTAAGTACATTTAAATATGGTTAGGATGGTCAATTTTATGTTATGTGTATTTTCCCACAATTAAATTTTTTTTTAAAGTTGAACTGCTGAAAGTATAGATGGCCACCAGGCAGTTATTGAATGCCTCCAGGCTTGGGATATTTCCTGACACATGACTTTGCCAGAGACCAGCTCATGAGTTTGATTATAACTTGGATTCTTTAAGATAATGGCTCTGCACTTATTCCATGAGCCACTGATGAGTGCCAGTCAGCTGAGGTTAGGCCAGCGCTGCTAGCTCCCGGCCGTCTCTGCCTGGCTCCTGAGGCTTGGCCCCTCTCCCATTTTCTGCTCCAGTCCTGTTGTGGTCTCGGCACTGTTCTTGCTTGCAGACTTGGTGTAGCTCTGCCTCGGTGGCTGTCTCTGTTCCCAGCTTCCCACAGCTCATTGACCCTGCCCCAGGCAGACCCAGGGGACTCAACCCCAGCTCATGTCAGCCTCCTTGGAAGAAGAAACCAGATAAAAGTTCTGTTTCTTTCTTTTCTTTTTCCTTCCTTCCTTCCTTCCTTCCTTCCTTCCTTCCTTCCTTCCTTCCTTCCTTCCTTCCTTCCTTTCTCTTTCTTTTCTTTCCTTCCTTCCTTCCTTCCTTTTTCTTCCTTCCTTCCTTTTTTTTTTTTTTTTTAATCAAAGTCTCACTCTGTCACCCAGGCTGGAGTGCAGTGGCGCGATCTCAGCTCATTGGAACCGCTGCCTCTCAGGTGCAAGCAATTCTCCTCCCTCAGCCTCCTGAGTAGCTGGGATAACAGGCGTGTGCCACCATGCCTGGCTATTTTTTGTGTGTTTTTAGTAGAGACGGGGTTTCACCATGCTGGCCAGGCTGGTCTCCAACTCCTGACCTCAGGTGATCCGCCCCCCTCAGCCTCCTAAAGTGCTGGGATTATAGGCATGAGCCACCGCGCCCATCCTGAAGATGCTTTCTTAAATAGAGCCAAGGCTCCTGTGCTTATAATGCTCTATGGTTCAGATCCTACCTGCTGGAGTAACGCAGGACAAGTCCCATCCCTTTCCCATACAGCATCTCTGCAAAAATTCAAGCATTCAAACACAGCTCTGATGATCCTCCCCGAGTCTCCCAGATCTTGTTTCTCGGATAACAGACTTCTAGATCCTTCCCCCTACCCAGTTGCCCTTGCCTGACCCCATGAGAGTTGTTTCATGTCCTCTTGAAACATGGCCCTCAGAAGTCAGTAAATTCTCCAGATGGCATCTGACCAGTGCAGAGAAGGCCAGGATTATTATTTCCACTACATGGACCCCAATGTGCTGGCTCTTGAAATGAATCCAGATAGCCGTTATGTTTTTAAACTTGACTATAAACTCAAAGTCTGCTTGTTTAACCACACACTTTATACGTCAGCTGAAAGTGAAATCAAACCGATGTACTTGAAACTTCAGATTGTCTAAGATCTCTAATTGCAGTACACATTGAGCAGCCACTGAGCCATTTCCATTGTTTTAATATCTTTCCATTAATTTGTCTGAAAAGTTAACTAATTTGCATATGAAGCCACAGCATCTCTGGCTGTCACCCCATTTACAGGCATGACTCAAATTTCACAGGCTGGTTGCCCTCACTTGCCTGAGCAGGATGTCACCTCCCTCCCTGCAGGATCTGACCCAGTTATTTCAGGGATCTCCAAGGGGATCTCCTGTGGGTTCTAAACAAACCCCTAAGGTTCATCTACTCCAGCTTCTTCGTGACCATCGGCTGCCCTTGAAGCCCTCCCACCAGGTACCTGCAGCGTTCTGCCACAAGAACGAGAACACGGCATCCCTGCCATGGATCCCTTAGAGCCTCTAAAGCTCTTTTCCAAACCTAGCACCCCCTTGTCCCAGGCCCCTCAGTGGTTCTGTTTGCACCTTTGTCTTTCAGAGTCTCTGCTGCTGCCAGACAGTCCCCTTTCTGCAGGGATGGCCACAAGGAATGCTTCAAGGGGCTCCTCTTCCCTCTATTTTTATCAGTCACCCCCAAATCAAATCAAAACGTAGTATGTAAAGTATGACTAGAAACATCTTTAGAATTCTTTGCCATTTTTGATGTCTAACACACAAACTAAGCAAAAGATGTGATTGTCATGCTCACATAGCTCTGACACCCGGGAAGTCATCTAGCACATTTCCCGTGCCCTCCTCCCGCCCCATTCTGTCCAGATGATAAGGCTGAGACCCAACAGGAGAAGTTACTTAAACAGAAAGATCATGTTAAAACGTTAAAACCAGGAATAAATCCCAGTCTCCTGTGATCCCCAGGAAATCAAAGGAAAAAATTCTTTCCTAACAAAACGAATCACCTTCATGATATTTATCTGGAAACCACAAGATACTTTTTTTAAGTGAATGAGAAATTATATTTTGTGATAAACACCTAGCAAGCAGTTCATCCAACCTGTTACTCACCCTTTGCCCCAATCTTTTACTATCCCTTTCCATCACCTACCAACTATGTTTTAGTTAGGAAAAGATTGACAAAATCCAGCAGTGATATTGCTGGAAAACATGAAGTTGATTTTTTTTCTTAACTGTAAGTTGAACAAGTTTGTTCTTGAGGGCAAATGCTAAAAAAAAGATAAGCACGTGAATCTCTTATTTTTCTGACATTGAAAGCTGATTTTCCTTTCCTATTAGATTTGCTATTTTCTCTGTATGTAGTCTCTGACCCAGGCTTTTCTTTGAATCATGGAAAAATTATTACTCCTATCTGTGCCTCAGTTTCCTCATATGTAGAATGGACTTTCATGGTGCCTCCAATGATTGCTAAGTGAAAAATGGTACCCAGCAAGCAGGTGACAAGCGTTCCATCCATTCATGTACTCATCACAGGTTTATGGATCCAATAAATATTTACTGAGTACCAACTATGTGACAGGCACTGTTCTTGGTGCTTAGAGTACCTCAGTGAACAAAATTAAACAAAAAAGACAAAAATCCCTGCCCATGTGGAGCCTACATTCTGGTGGGGAAACAATAAACATAAAAATTAGCGACTAGGCACAGTGGCTCACACCTGTAATCCCACCCAGCACTTTGGGAGGCCGAGGCGGGCAGATCACCTGAGGTCAGGAGTTCAAGACCAGCCTGGCCAATGTGGTAAAACCTTGTCTCTACTAAAAGTACAAAAATTAGCTGGGTGTGATGGTGTGCTCCTGTAATCCCAGCTACTCTGGAGACTGAGGCAGGAGAATTGCTTGAACCCCAGAGGTGGAGGTTGCAGTGAGTCGAGATTGCACCACTGCACTCCAGCCTAGGCAACAGAGCGAGACTCCATCTCAAAAAAAAAAAAAGCAAATAACCTAATATATTGGAGGTAATGAGGTCTGATGAGGTCTACAGTGTAGAAAAACACAGCACAGCAGGTAAGGGGAGGTCAGAGAAACTAGGGTGGGGTGGGGTAGAACCAAGACTGCTGTTTTTGAAAATTGCAGTAAAATATACACAACATAAAATTTAAGTGTACATTTCAGTGGCATTAGGCATTCAAATTGTTGTGCATAATCCCAGCTACTCAGGAGGCTGAGGCAGGAGAATCACGTGAACCCAGGAGGCGGAGGTGCAATGAGCTGAGATCGTACCATTTCACTCCAGCCTGGGCAACAAGAGTGAGTCTCTGTCTCAAAAAAAAAAAAAAAATTGTTGTGCAACTGTCACTAACATTTGTCTCTGGAACCTTTTTTGTTTTGAGATGGAGTCTTGCTCTGTCGCCCAGGCTTGAGTGCAGTGGCGAGATCTTGGATCACTGAACCTCCACCTCCGGGGCTCAGACAGTTCTTCTGCCTCAGCCTCCCGAGTAGCTGGGATTAGAGGCATGTGCCACCATGTCCAGCTAATTTTTGTATTTTTACAAAACAAAAAAAAGTTTTTGTATTTTTACAAAACCAAAAAATTGTTCTGTATTTTTACAAAACAAAAAAAAATTTTTGTATTTTTACAAAACAATTTTTTTTTGTATTTTTATAAAATACAATTTTTTTTTTTTTTTTTTTTTTTTTTTTTTTTTTTAAGATGGGGTTTCACCATGTTGGCCAGACTGGTCTTGCATCCCTGACCTCAGGTGATCTGCCTGCCTCGGACTCCCAAAGTGCCCGGATTACAGGCATGAGCCACCATATCCGGCCCAGAACCTTTTTGTCATGTCAATTTGAAACTCTGTACTGATCAAACAACAACTCTCCATTCCTTCTCCCACCCCAGTCCCTGGCAACCACCATTCTACCTTGTCTCTCTGTGAATGTGACTACACTAGGGTACCTCATGTAAGTGGAGAGGGAGTTTCTGGGATTCACTGTTTATTGCCAGCAACCAGCATAGCACTCAGTAGAGGCTCAATAGGTAATGAGTATTGTGGACTGATGTGGACCACCTCTAGGAAAACTATCCTATAGACCTTATTAAACTAAAACTTCTGCACAGCAAAGGAAATAATCAACAGAGTAAAGAGACAGCCTACAGAATGGCAGGAAATATTTGCGAGCCATTCATCTGACAAGAAACTAATATCTAGAATATACAAGGAACTCAAACAACTCAACAGCAAAACAAAACAAAACAAAAAATCCAAATCTTGTTAAAAAGTGGGCAAAGGACCTGAATGTGGACATTTCTCAAAAGAAGACATACAGATGGCCAACTTGGTATATGAAAAAATGCTCAACACCACTGATCATCAGGGAAACGCAAATAAAAACCATAATGAGATAGCATCTCACTCTTGTTAGAATGGCTACTGTTGACAAGACAAAAATATAATAAATGTTAGTGAGGATGCAGAGAAAAGGGAATTCTTATACACTGTTGGTGGAAATGTAAATTAGTAGAGCCATTATGGAAAACAGTACAGAGGTTTCTCAAAAAACTAAAAATAGAATGACCATACGATCCAGCAATCCCACTTCTGAGTATTTATCCAAAGAAAAAGAAATCAGTATATCAAAGGAATACCTGCATCTCCATGTTTACTGCAGTACTAGTCACAATAGCCAAGCTATGAAATCAACAGGAGTGTCCATTAACAGATGATTAAAGAAAATGTGGTATATATACACAATGGAATATTATTCTGCCATAAAATTGAAATTCTATCATTTGCAGCAACATGGATAGACTTGGAAGTCATTAAGTGAAATAAGCCAGGTGCAGAAAGACAGATCTCCCATGTTCTCATATGTGGGAGCTACAAAAGTTGATCTCAAGAAACTAGAGAGTAGAATGATGGTTAACAGAGGCTGAGATGAGGGAGTAAGGATGAAGAGAGTTTGGTTAATGGATCCAAACATACAGAGAAGGTATTAGTTTTTGCGTGCAATACCACGGTAGGGTGACTTTAATTAACAATAGCTTACTGTATATTTCTTTTCTTTTCTTTTTTTTTTAAGACAGAGTCTTGCTCTCTCGCCCAGGCTGGAGTGCAGTGGCGCAATCTCGGCTCACTGCAAGCTCCACCTCCTAGGTTCACACCATTCTCCTGCCTCAGCCTCCCAAGTAGCTGGGACTAGAGGCGCCCGCCACCACGCCCGGCTAACTTTTTGTATTTTTAGTAGAGATGGGGTTTCACTGTGTTAGCCAGGCTGGTCTCGATCTCCTGACCTCGTGATCTGCCTGCCTCGGCCTCCCGAAGTGCTGGGATTACATGCATGAGCCACCATGCCCGGCCTATAAATCTAATTTTTAAAAAGTGGATCAAAGGAAAATAGTCTATGATAATTGACTATTGTGATATGTGAATAGAACAAGAATCTTGAAGATTAATATGCTGTAGCTGGCATTTGCCTAATTTTTTGATGCTGGATATCTGAGCCTCACCTTGATTGGGGGCAACATTCCAGATGTGAGTGAGTCTTCCTGGAAGGCAGCATCCCTTCATCTTATAGAAGCCGACAAAGTCAGCCTTTCTTTGCTCCATGGCTACTAGGTGGGGCGAGAGACTTAGTCTGGACCTATTGAGTGCTCCCAGGATTTCACATGTACAGTGAGATGCAGGGACAGGGAATATTATCTACAGTGGTTGCCAGAGATTCAAAAGTCCATCAACAAAAATCTATGACAGTAAAACATATACCTACCTTATGACCCAGTAATTCTACTGGAATTGCTATACTTAAGAAAAATTAGTGAATATGTCTACCAAAAGACAGGTCTAAGCATTTTTATAGCAGCATAACTTACCACAACCAAAAACTAAATGTAACTCAAAGGTTCATTAAAAGGAGAATGGATAAAACATTTTGGTAAATTATACATCAGAGTACTACACAATAATAATAATAATAATAATAATAATAATAATAATAATAATAACTATGAGGCCAGGTGCAGTGGCTCACTCCTGTAATCCCAGCAGTTCAGGATGCCAAGGTGGGCAGATTGCCTGAGGTCGGGAGTTCGAGACCAGGCTGACCAACATGGAGAAACCCCGTTTCTACTAAAAATGGAAAAAATAGCTAGGCATGGTGGCACTTGCCTGTAATCCCAGCTACTCAGGAGGCTGAGGCAGGAGAATCGCTTGAATCCAGGAGGCGGAGGTTGTGGTGAGCCGAGATCACGCCACTGCACTCCAGCCTGGGCAACAAGAGTGAAACTCTGTCTCGAAAAAAAAAAAAAGAACTATGAACAATACTGCAAGTAACCACATGGACAAATCTCACAGATATAATGAGAGAGAGAGAGAGAGAGAGAGAGAGAGAGAGAGAAAGAGAGAGAGAAACCCTAGGCACAAAAGAGAAAGCCTAGGCATAAAAGAGTATATACAGAGTAGATATTGTTTGGCTCTATCTACGTGAAGTTCAACAACAGGTAAAACTAATCAATAGTAATAGAAGTCAGAAAAACCTGGATGTGGTGGTTGTGCGCCAGTAGTCCCAGCGACTTGGGAGGCTGAGACAGCAGAATCCCTTGAGATTGTGCCACTGCACTCCAGCCTGGGCAACAGAGTGAGACTCTGTCTCAAAAAGAAGTGACTGCTTTTAGGGGGAATCCTTTGTCAACTGGGAGAGGGCATAAGAAAGCCCTCTGAGGTGTTAGAAATACTGTATATTTTGAACAGAGTGGTGGTTACATAGGCATAGATGTATTTGAGATGCGCACATGAGATTTGTGCCCTTAGCGCTATATAAATTATATCTCAACTAAAAAGAAAACAAAGCCCAGTAGCCGAAGTAGTGTCCGGAGTTGGCAGCCCTGGTGTCTGCGCTCTAATTAGACTATTGCTGTGACAAGCTCTTGGCTGTGTTCTCAGCTTCCCAGCTTGGTCCCCGGTGCTGTGGGAGCCAGGTTTTCTAGCCTACTTCTTCATCCCTGAGCAGCCTGCTTGCTATCCTGCCAATAAATTCTTTTTATACTCATGTTAGCCCAAGTCAGTCTCTGCTGTTTGCAGTCAAGTACCCTAACAGGCATACTAGCACATAACAGAGGACTAAATGACTGCTGGAAACCCCCCAGCTCTGACCTTGGGCCGTGACACCCACGTAGGATTCCCCCCGGTATCTAAGCAGCTCCTTGAAAAGCTGGCGGGCTTAAAGATGCTTTCAAATTGGAAGATGTCACTGCATGGTCGCCATCTCAGCCATAATATAAACATGAAAAAATCAAACCGGGGGCTGATGTTTCCCAAGAAGACCACTTTAATGCTTTTAAAAAATATATTAAATTATTTCCATTTTTTTCCTTTGTCTCTGGCAACCCCACTCTGTTGGCGACCTCAACCCTTTCTTAGCGTGTAACCTCTGGAAAGTAGGATCAAATAAAACAACAAACGTGATTGTGCTTTGTAAATTGTACAGAACCAAGATACAGGAAAGGCATTATTATTAGGTTAAAAAAGGCAAAGGAAATTGGTGTGTGAAATGCTCAGCTGGTTTGAAACATTAAAAGCATTTAAAACCATGCTTTACAAGGCTGCCTAATTGCAAAAGCTATAAACTGTCTTGAGAAAACAACCATAAAAAAGCATGACATTTCAAAATGTAATACAAGTCAGGACCAACTATCTCCTGATGGTTATTGTAGCAGAATTGTTATTTTGGTTTAATGGGACACTTACAAAATACAATTAGATCTTTAGACTGGCAGAATAAAAGCACATAATGAAATGAAGATAGCAGGTATATTGGAAGATAATGTTACATAAGGAGATTATTTTGGTGAACTTTATTTGAATCAGGATGATTCATAATTGTATAATTAGATACTTCAATTTAAACATGAAATGCAGTAAATTACGCAAGTAGCAAACAGAGCATCTCTCCCTGGTAGTTTTCAATGAGATATATTAATGTGACATGGACATTGGGTTTTTTGTTTCTGTTTTTTTTTTTCAGACAACAAATTGTGATTAGTTGATAGCCTGGTGTCTGCAAACATTTCCTCTTAGGTTGAAACATGAGCATTCAGGGTACCAGTTCTTTCTCCTGTGTTCACACATCATTCCCTGAAGCCTGGGTCCCCTGGAGAGCTCTTGTACCATCCCAGCCTGGATGTTCCCAGGTGGCCCCATCAGCAGTGCGTTATGGGAGCTGTTCACAGAATTGCAGGGAGGGCCTTTGCCTGCAGACTTCCTTGCCTTCTGACCCTCTGTTTGCCAGTGGTGTTGGTGCTGAAATCTCAGACTGATGATTTGATTCTGGAATCAGACTGGCTTTCCTGTCCCTTCCTCCTGCCATCTTGGTTCAGCTGTTTCAGTCAGGACCTGCCTGGGGCAAGGGCACATTGGTCACATACGAGGTGACTAATTCATTCATTGAAAATTAGACATTCAGGTACACTTTTATAAACTGGACAGCTCATCTTCCTTATAATGTCTCAGTTGAGACTCATTCACCCTAAGATTAGACATTGTTTTCAGTATCTTTGCAGCCCTTTTATGCAAGTGAGAAAGTACAGAAGATGACCACTCGCCTGAGACCTTGTGGCTAGTGGCAAAAAAGGGATCAAACTCGGGTTCAGCGTTGCTTAGATAATTTGGTCCCTGTGCAAAATGAAAACATGCAACTTCCTGTTCAAAAATTATTGTTAATTTCAAGATGCCGACAGCATGAAACCAAGCTTGGGCCTGATGCATGCCTACATAAATCGCATGTCCATCAAGCCAGCCCTGCTCAGTCGGTTGTATTCCAAATGCCAACTCCTTCAAGGATGGCATTGGTCTTTCAAGGTGTACCTTTCTTTCTTGCCTGAGTTCTAAACCAGTTGAGAAAACCAAAACTGTCAGGCCAATAGTGATAAAAAATGCCAGCTTTCTTTTGGATAAAGGCAAGGCTTTATTTTGGATTGTAACATGTGGTGCCTGGCCACACTGGGCTGCCTAATTCTGAACCCAGAATGACAGATTTGTCCCCAGTGGCTCTAGAAAAGGAGAAACCTCTGCCAGAAGAGACAGAGCCTTTCCTGCTAAGCTGCCAGCATGGCAGTAGCAGGCAAAGCTAGCTCTCCACAGACAGTGGATCCCAAAGAGGAAGAGAAAAAGGAGGAGCTCTCGCCTACTTATCTCAGTTCCTGTTCCCCAGACTCAGGAGTCAGAGATGTCACGTATTCTCTCCAGGGGAGGAGAAACTGAGGAGGCAGTAGAGCCTACGTGTGTCTTGTTGGGGATTATTCCCGAATGTGACTGGCTCTTCTACAATAACTCTCCTTGTACTCACACGCTTGTTTAATCCCCTCACCTGAGCATGGGCGGGACCTTTGTGATTTGCTTCTAATACATAGAAGTGATGTCACTTCCAAGGTTTTGATTGCTCTGATGAAGCCAAGTTGGCCCACTGTGAGCTGTTTTATGGTCAGCCAGGAGCAGAGGCTCTTGCTGTCATCCCAACAGCCTCCGGGGAATTGAATCCTGTCAACAACCGTTTGAGGGAACGTGGATGCAGATCTGCCCTGGATGCCTTGAAATGACTGCAGCTCTGGAGAACATGATGCTTGCCTCATTGTGAGAGTCTCCCCTTCCTTCTCCCTTCTCTCCTTCTTCCCCCTTCTCTTCCTCCTCCTTTTTCCTGTTCATGCTCTCTTTGTGTTTCATTGTGATTTGCAATGTGATTTGCATACATCAGTGATTTGTGATTTTTGTTTTCAAACTAACGTGTACCATTTCCAAATAAAGTAACCTATGGGCTCAGCCACTCTTTGAAACTCAGGCCTCTTTTTCTTTTCTACACAATGCCCCCCTTGGCCTCAGGTGACCCCAGGAGCACCCGCAATGGGGCTCTTCAGCTCCTGCAACACAATGTGAAAGAGTAACCAGGACTGTCTCGACAGTTTCGACAGTTTCGTTATTAGTCTTTCTGACTAGATTATTGCGCAACTCCAATTCCATCTTTTCTCTTCCTGCCTGTCATGTGCCTGAAAAAACAACTTGGCCCTTCTTAAAAGCCTTTAAGATGTCCTCATTGCCTAGGTAAGAGCCATGCCTCTTTGTTTTTTCTTTTTGATGGAGTCTCGCTCTGTCGCCCAGGCTGGAGTGTAGTGGCGCAATCTCGGCTCACTGCAAGCTCCGCCTCCCGGGTTCACGCCATTCTCCTGCCTCAGCCTCCCGAGTAGCTGGGACTACAGGCGCCCGCCACCACGCCCGGCTACTTTGTTGTATTTTTAGTAGAGACGGGGTTTCACCGTGTTAGCCAGGATGGTCTTGATCTCCTGACCTCGTGATCTGCCCACCTCGGCCTCCCAAAGTGCTGGGATTACAGGCGTAAGCCACCGTGCCCGGACGGTAAGAGCCATACCTCTTAACTTTCACATTCAAGCTGCTTCACAATCTAGTCCAAACTGACCTGGTCATTCTGACCCAGGGGAAAGAGGAGGGAACCACTGATTAATGGGGAGACCAACTGAGAGACTTTTGCAAGTATCCAGGTATGCAATGAAGCCCTGCATTAGTAGATAGCAGTGCTCCCAAAGATTTAGCCTGGTCAGGCCGGGCGCAGTGGCTCACGCCTGTAATCCCAGCACTTTGGGAGGCCAAGGTGGGTGGATAACAAGGTCAGGAGTTCAAGACTAGCCTGGCTAAGATGATGAAACCCCGTCTCTACTAAAAATTCAAAAATTAGCCAGGTGTGGTTGTTCGCACCTGTAATCCCAGCTACTCAGGAGGCTGAGGCAGAGAATTGCTTGAACCCAGGAGGCGGAGGTTGCAGTGAGCCGAGATCACACCACTGCACTCTAGCCTGGGCAACAGAGCAAGACCATCTCAAAAAAAAAAAAAAAAAAAAAAAAAAGATTTAGCTTGGTTCATTCATTCATTCCACAATCATTCATTGGCTAGGCATTTTTTGAGATGCTAAGTAATACAACAGTGAACAAAACAAACAATTCTTGCTCCGTAAGTTTCCATTCTCCTGGGGAGAAGCAGACAATCAACAAACAAACAAAAAAATAAGATATGTGTTATCATGGGTGATGAGTAATTGCTATGATGAAAAATAAATCATGGAGTTGGGCATGTACAGAGGTATTGCAATTTAAAATAGGGTAGTCAGGGGAGGCTTCCATGAAAAAGTGACATTAGGGCAAAGATCAGATTATGTAGAGCCTTGCAGGTCATTGTAAGGCCCTGGTTTGCTGAGGAGAAGTGGTTTTGGTCACTGAATGGGGACATGTATCTTCTGTTCTGGTAAAGGGGGTAAGCTTTGACCAGTCACTTTGCCTCTGTAAGCCTCAGTTTCTCCATCTGAATTACAACGGTGCCCACCTCAAAGAGTTGTTGTATATTTTAAAAGAGATTGTGTGTGTAGGTAGAACATTCATTCATTTATTCTGTGCACAAAAGTTTATTGAGTGACTACTGTATGCCGCTGACTGTACCTGGCACATATAAACCCACACGTGTTGGTGAATATATTATAATTACTACAAAGGGACAAGTTGGCAGGTGAATTTTGTCATACCTTTTTTCAAAATGGCAACTGCTGCAACCTTGGCCTGATTCACTGGGGACCATGGGAAAGATACAATTTCATGCATCATTGTAGCCTCTCTTCCTTGTTACCTCATAGCCTTACTTCTCACACAAGAGGCCATCAATCTCAGTATGCCTGAGGTCATCTGGCTGGAGTGAAATCCCCAAAGATCTTATGAAAAATCTGATGCTAAATAATCAATAGAACGATTGCCAATAAGGGCTCCACAATACAAGATCTCGTTCCTTCCAATTTTCAGTGTGAGTCACCTATTGTATTTTTTCACGTTGAGCTTGATGCAGGGGACAGACAGGGAGCTCCAAGACACTGTAGAAAGGACGCTTCATGGTAGCATCACCTCAGGGTTTGAAGTTTCCCTAGAAAGGTCAACAAATCCATCATCTGTTTGGGTCATCTCATTCCACAACAAATGTGTGGAGCCCTCCCGAAGAGGTCCATGGCTGCCTACACTGATGAGTGAAAAATAAAAAGAGAACCCCAAGCCCTTTAGATTCCAGGATTGATGTGTCTCCCCTGACCTCTGAACTCGGTCTCTTTCCAATTCGACCAAATTGAATTCAGTGCCTACCAGGTACTAGACATAGTGCTAGTCATTGGAGTATAAAAGTGAATGAGACAGAGCCTTTGCCCTTGAGGAGCTCACGGTCTAGTGTGTGAGACGACACATGCAAACAAACAATGATGATGCACCCTGACAAGGGTTATAAAAGAGGCAGACATAAAGGGCCGTGGGAAGACGATGAAGACAGCAAGAGCATTCTGCCTGGGTGTGTGTGGTGGAGTGGTGTCTGTGCATTAATGAAGGCTACAGATGTCTTCAAGATACCATGGATTGTCAGCTGTTTTCTGATTTAATAACAGCTTTTGGGTAAACAATAAGAAGTGCTGCCACACTGAATGGCCACATGAACTGTGATAAGCATATCAATGACAGAACTGTTAACATTGTGAAAATACGCTGTTTGAACTCCCTTTCTCCAAAATCTGGTATCTCCTACACCTGAGTGTGGACTCAGAGAAAGTCTCTTCTCAGCATCAAGTGGGCAGGACTAGCTGAGAGGCCCAGTTTACAGCTTAGAGAGATCTGAGAACAGGCAGAGGCCACTAGGCAGACACAAAACCTAACTGGCTGGCCAACACTGGAGTTCTGAGGGCATGGAGTAAATCTTTGCTCCCAGAACTCCTTCCAAGGAAAATACAGTGCATGCTTGCAAGAAGGTTGCAAGAAATACTTCAATAAGATGCTACTGAGGATGTTGGTGACGTGGATCTTCAAAACGTCTGCTCAGGCTGCTAACTGCCTTCCAGGGAGGCTGCAGTTGGGTCAGTTGTTGGGACTCTGGTTTTGCAAAGTTTGATGGGCAAGCTCAGAGCCAAATTGCTGTGATGGTGGAGGACAGGCTGGGGTGGCCACTAACAAGAAGGCCTCCTTCACCCACCCTGCCCCTCTCTTTTAAATAAATGCAGAATAGATATTGAAAGAATATCCATTTCAAGGTGCATGAGACTTCCCTGCCTGGAGGTCCCACTGTTTCTACGCAGCTTTGGCTGAAAAGCAGCATTCAGAAGGAATAAGTGTCAACCCAGAGGCTAGGCTGGGATGTGGAAACTCGGGGAGAGGCTGTGGGTGCAGTCTCTGGAGCCACTAGGGCAGAGCAGCTGCATTCAGAATGGAGGTGAGGAGGTGGGAGGCAGGCCCGGGGCTGTTCCTCAGGCTCTGCAGCCTACTGCAGGGGTGTTACAGGACACTGGTGACCAATGTGGGCTGAGGAGGAACTGTTCAGGGTGCTGAGGCTATTCGGACCACGTCCACATTCCAGGATGTGAGTTTTGGGGCTTCCTAATTATTGCCTGCTGGATTATCTTTTCTTTTGCCACCACTGCCTCCCTAAGTCACTGTCTGTATTAGTTTGTTTTCATGCTGCTGATAAAGACATACCTGAGACTGGGTAATTACTAAAGAAAGAGGTTTAATTGGACTTACAGTTCCACATGGCTGGGGAAGCCTCACAATTATGGCGGAAGGCAAGGAGGAGCAAGTCCCGTCTTACATGCATGGCAGCAGTCAAAGAGAGAATGAGGAAGACGCAAAAGTAGAAAGGCCTGATAAAACCATCAGATCTTGTGAGACTTATTTACTACCACGAGAACAGTATGGGAAGATCTACCCCCATGGTTCAATTATCTCCCACCAGATCCCTCCCACAACACATGGGAATTATGGGAGTACAATTCAAGATGAGATTTGGGTGGGGACACAGAGCCAAACCATATTGCTGCCTTTACCAGATGTGTGTGTGTGTGTGCGCGCTCGCATACGCACACGTGCATGTGTGTGTTTAGGGGTGGAGAACGTGGGGGCAAAGGATGGAGAAAAGAGCAAAACATAGACCAGAAAGATCGCCCTGGTTCACAGCATTCTGGAGACCACCTGAGTTGAAACGGGCTCTGTCGGGAGGGAGAGGAGTTGACCATCTTGGCTGAGAGCACAGTAGTTTGAATCCCTCAGGCCTCTGTTTGAATCTTGTCTCTGTGATATTGGGCAAGTTATTTAGTCTCTCCACAGTATCAGTCTCCTGGTCTGTAACATCTATCTTGTAGGACTATCAGCAGAATTAACTGAAATCATGCATCATAGAGGGTATAGCATTGCGCCTAGCTCATGGTAAATGCTTAGTGAATAGTACCTATCATTGTTATTATATGAAGTATATATTCATATTAGGACTCATTTTTGCACTTTTGTTCAAACCAAACCCTAAAATAGCTGCACTCAGCAGTCAATGGGCCAAAAGACTATATCACGAATTTCCAAAGAAGGCAATCTCTTCATTGAAACCTAAGGCAAAGTGCAAAGGCCCAGGTTCTCCCATTTTCTTGCTGAAAGATCTTGAGTAACTCGCTTGACTTCTGTGAGTGCATTTTCCTACCTAACAAATGGAGAAGGAGGCTCTCAACACTGGTATGTTTGCTTAAAAACAGAATAACCCACATTCTTTAGGGTTGGGGACACGCACTGGGACCCTCTTCCCACAAAAAGGGAAGCTTGATGTGTGTACCTTATCAGCTAGGATTTCCACCTTGTTCCTCCTGTTAAGGCCAGCTTCTTAGTGTCGATAACTGGCTTATGGTAGGTGTTATATGGATATGTGTTAAATAAATAAGTGATGTAACTTACAGTGACACTCTGGATCCATTTATCCGTCTATCCATTCAAGAAACACATGTGGCTCGGGCAAAATTTCCTTCTTTCTTTCTTTTTTGGGGGGATAGAGTCTCACTCTGTCATCCAGGTTGGAATTCAGTGGCATCATCATAGCTCACTGCAGCCTCAAACTCCTGGGCTTAAGTGATCCTCCTGCCTTGGCCTCGCAAAGCACTAGGGTTACACACATGAGTTACCATGCTTAGCCTAAGACAAGATTTCTCAGCAAGTGGATGCCAGCCACCTGCTTGTGTTGAGCCCTTTCTTCTCCTTCTGAGGGAGGATTTGCCCTTTGTCATCCTGCTTCCCTAGACTTGAGGAAGGGCACAAAAATGGGAAATAGGTAGAGAGAGGCAGAGTTCCAAAGATATGGGAGGAAAGCGAGAAAGGACGCTTGCTTAAAGTGGAAAGCAAACCAAAGGCAGAAAAGACTGGGTGTATCCCAAAAGAAAGGAAGTTCAAGCGATATCTGCACTCCTGTGTTTATTGCAGCACTATTCACAGTAGCCAAGATTTGGAGGCAACCCTAAGTACCCATCAACAGAAAAATCATACCAGGCATGGTGGCTCATGCCTGTAATCCCAGTACTTTGGGAGGCTGAGTGGGGAGGACCCCTTAAACCCAGGAGTTCAAGGCCAGTCTGGGCAATATAGTGAGAGCTCATCTCCGTAAAAAACAAAATAAATAGCTGGGTGTGGTGGTGCACACTTGTAGTCCTAACTACTCAGGAGGTTGAGGAGGGAGGATTGCTTGAGCCCAGGAATTTGAATTTGAGTCTGCAGGGAGCCATGATTTTGTCACTGCACTCCAGCCTGTGCAACAGAGTGAGACCCTGTCTTCATAATAATAATTTAAAAAAAGCAGACAAAGGGATAAAGAAAATGTGGTACATTTGCACAACAGAGTACCATTCAGCCATAAAAAAACTGAGGTCCTGTCATTTGTAACAACATGAGTAGAACTGCAGGACATTATATTAAGTGAAATAAGTCAGCTACAGAAAGACAAACTTCACTTGTTCTCACTCATTTGTGGGAGCTAACAATTAAAACATCTCAACTCATGGAGATAGAGACCTACGGATAGAGAGCTAAAAATGAAACTTCTCAACATCATGGAGAATGATGGTTACCAGAGGCTGGGAAGTGTAGTTTGGTGGGGAATGGGGATGGTTAATGTGTACAAAAATATTGTTAGATAGAATGAAAACAGCTAGTATTTGATAGCATAACAGAGTGACTACTGTCAACCATAACTTATTGTACATTTAAAAATAACTAAGAGTGCAATTGGATTGTTTGTAACACAAAGGATAAACGCTTGAGGTGACAGATACTCCATTTACCCTGATGTGATTATTACATATTGTATGCCTGTATCAAAGTATCTCATGTAACCAATTAATATATATATATACAACTACTATGGACCCACAAGAAAAGCCAAAAAGAGAAGCAGATTTACCTAACAAAGAATGGGGAGAGAGAGGTGAGGTAGGGAGAAGGCAGGGAAGTCAAAGAGGAAGAACCAGTCACACGGCCTCTCGGCCTCTCGGGGCTGTGTGAGGGAGAGTGCTTGAGGATGTGGCAGGGGAAAGGGAGGTAGGGTTGGCAGCCAGAGGCTCCAGAGCAATTTCAGAGCGTAAGAGAGCTGGAGAGGAGAAGACATTTTGGATGAGCGTCACTGTCAGTTATATATCGCATCCCCTTTCCTGTTCTTGGAGATACCTAGGTAAAGAATGGGATTCCTTTTTCACTATGTTGGCTGTAAGACTATGGTTCTTTCAATTCAACTGCACCCAAAAACAAGGGATATGGGACTCAGGGTTTATAAGCTTTGTACAAATAATGAGCATATATCATATGCTAGAATCTAGGTGAGGAGGCAGGGACACAGAAATGTATCATAAAACAGCCATGCCGGCTGGGCGCAGTGGCTCATGCCTGCCTGTAATTCCAGCACTTTGGGAGGCTGAGGTGGGCAGATCACTTGAGATTAGGAGTTCGAGACCAGCCTGGCCAACATGGTGAAACCCCGTCTCTGCTAAAAATACAAAAATTAGTTGGGCGTGATGGGGCCCGCCTGAAATCCCAGCTACTCGGGAGGCTGAAGCAGGAGAATCGATTGAACCCGGGAGGCAGAGGTTGCAGTGAGCTGAGATCACGCCACTGCACTCCAGCACTCTAGCCTGGGTGAAAGAGCGAATCTCAAAACAAACAAACAAACACCCGGCCATGCCTCCAAGGAGCTCATAACCCAGAAGGAGCACCAGATTTCACATATGTGCATGCACACACACACACACACACACATTCTCTCTCTCTCATATACTCATCCAGGCACCAAGGCTTAAAGGCCATAGTGGAGAATCAAACAATGTGCTCTTGGTATAATCAAGGAAGTCTTCACAGAGGAGGTGCCATTTGAGCCAGGCCTTGAAGGGGAAGGTATCCAAATCCTTGTGGAGTACACAACTTAAAAAGAAATAGAAATATGTATGTGTGTGTAAAAATATTAATATTCACATATGATATGGGATATGTCTAATGAGCATATGAATAAGGTACAGAGGGAACACAGAGGAAGGAGGGGCTGAACCTGCCCCTGACAGTCAGGAAGAGTCACAGGGGAGATGACCCTTAATTTGGGTCTTGAAAGATGCATGGAAGTTCACCAGGTAAAAATATTGCAAAGAATGTCATTCAGAGTCTAGACAGAGGGAACATTGTGTGCAAAGACCTGGTGGCCTCAGTCCCTTGGTCCCATGGATGGGCTGGATAGCACTTCTGAAGCTTTAACCTGGCCTGGCCATGCCTAAATAGTTGTTTCTCTGGTGTTTCAAGGGTAGATAAGAACAGACCAGAGTTTGTTATAATAAGTGGTGCTCTCAGTGGTGAGTCCACTCAATTCCTCTCTGGTGATGGACAATGTCACACAGTGAAGATATTAATATCTTCCCAAGAAAGTAAAACCACCTGGATTTGGCTCTGTGCATCCACCCAGATAAAGGAAATACTGTCTTTCACAGAAAGAAGCCACTGAGGTTTAGAGGAGCTGCAGCTCTGAAACCCTAAAGCCTATTCCAATGGTGGGAGTGGTGGTGGGGGAGTCTGTGAGAGGGAGCTGCAGCTATGGCCTAAACTTTGTGCCAGCACCTCAAAGACATTGCCTCATACATGTTTATGTTTCCCTGGTTTCAGATGTCTCTCTCCAGATTGTCCAGATGATTGTCATTATAAGAATGTGGAAGGGCTGGGCACGGAGGCTCACACCTGTAATCCCAGCACTTTGGGAGGCTGAAGTGGGCGGATCACGAGGTCAGGAGATTGAGACCATCCTAGCTAACACAGTGAAACCCCGTGCCTACTAAAAATACAAAAAAATTAGCCGGGCGTGGTGGCGGGCGCCTATAGTCCCAGCTACTCGGCAGGCTGAGGCAGGAGAATGGCATGAACCCGGGAGGTGGAGCTTGCAGTGAGCCGAGATTGTGCCACTGCACTCCGGCCTGGGTGACAGAGCCAGACTCCGTCAAAAAAAAAAAAAAAAAAGGAACGTGCCGGAGGTGACTAGGCGGGGGCAGCCAAGGAAGACCTTGTAGTGAGGTGTGATTTGAGCCAGGCCCTGGAGGATGGGGAGCATCTAGGTGCATGGATCAGGAAAGGATGGACTCGTAGGCAAGTAACTTAAATTTACTCAGCTTCACTTTGCTCAACTGTAAGCTGGGCATCATCATATTATTTCATGGAGTTTGGGGATTAAATGAGACAATATGCTCCTACTCTATGGAATGGAACAGACAATACTAACCCCATTTTACCGTTGAGCAGACTGAAGTCTGGTGCATAGTAGGTACTCAGCGAATAGCGGTATTAGTTGTCATCATCATTGTCATCATCCTCATTCCAGGTATGTGGACCCATACAAAGAGCATGGATATAGAAGGTTTCTGATGATCTTGTTTGTTGCTATTTCTCCAGTCTCTAGAACAGCACCTGCAAAGCTGGGCACGGTGGCTCATGCCTGTAATCCCAGCACTTTGGGAGGCTAAGGCAGGTGGATCACGAGGTCAGGAGTTGGAGACCAGCCTGGCCAACATAGCGAAACCCCGTTTCTACTAAAAATACAAAAAAAAAAAAAAAATTAGATGGACATGGTGGTGAGCGTCTATAAACCCAGCTACTTGGGATGCTGATGAAGGAGAATCGCTTGAACCTGGGAGGCGGAAGTTGCAGTGAGCTGAGATCGTGCTATTGCACTCCAGCCTGGGCGACAGAGCGAGACTTTGTCTCAAAAAAAGAAAAAGAAAAAAAAAAAAAAAAAAAAGAACCAGAACAGCACCTGCAGATAGAAGGCACTCAGTAAAGATTTGCTCAATGAATGAAATCCTAGCTTCTCCGCTTACCACTTCTGTGACTTCGGACAAGTACTTAACCTCTCTGTGTTTCAGTTTGCTTACCTATAGAAAGGGGATAATAATACCCACCTCATTGAATTCTTGAAAATGATAAAATAGTGCCTGACTAAAGGATCCCTGGTTTTAGTCAGGCTAAAAGCCTGACCACTGCTATTAGTGGAATCAAGGATGTCTTCACAGAGGAGGTGCCATTTGAGCTGGGCCTTGAAGGGAAAGGGATCCAAGTTCATGTGGCATTCACTGCCTGAAAAGAAATAGAAATATGTATGTGTATGTAAAAGTATTACTATTCACATGTAATATGGGATATTATATAAAATATATACTATTCAATATATATAAATTATATATTCACATATATACATACATCATATAATATTTACATATAATATGGGCTAAAAGCCTGGCTTGGCAGTGGTGCAGTGTCTGGTTGGAAAATCCTTACATCTCTGCTACAGGTTCATGGATATATTCGTGGATTTGAGGAGTGTTTTTCCACCCACATGTTTTTAGAGCACCCCTCCCCCTGAAGACCGTGGCCTGAGAGTTGTTATGCAGACCTTTTACCAGGAACAGAGTGATAGGTAATTAAAAAGGCTCTTGGTCTGGGAGAAAAAGGGACAGTGTGTGTAATGGTTAGTGACACTGGCTATGGGTATTGTGTGATCTTGGGCATGTTGTTTGACTTATCTGAGCCTCAATCCTGCAGCTGCAAAATAGAAACTGCCAAAGTATCCATCTCATAGCACAGAATACTCTTTAAATGGTAGTGAAACAAATGCCTGGGGGGAGGCGGCAAAGGACAGGCTCCTGTGCTGAACCTCCTATTAAACAAATGGCTTTCCCTCAGCACAGTCCCTGGGGCCCACAGTCACTGACAAAGGTAATTTAATTATACTGTTGGCAAGGGAAGATGTTGCTGACCCGCAGTTATCATTATATGAATTTTTGGAGATGTACATAAGAGATTGTTGGAAGAGCCACCTTCAAGACTCTTTCTTAATCACAATCTGAGGTGTTTTCCAGTTGGATTTGTCTTCTGCCAAGATTTTTTTTTTTTTTTAAACTTTTCCCTCTTAAAGAAGAGGCTGACAGGATCTCCCAAGAAGAAACAAATTATCCTGCTTGCAAACTACACAAGGTTGTGTTCAGGCCTTGGATGGCTGACAAGGATCCTGTTGGCTTTGGCAGAGAGAGGTAACTGGGGACAGGTGAGGTGGAATTACTAGGCATTTGACTTCAGCAGTTCAGTTCAGCCAGCATTTATTTGGCATCTCCTCAATGTACTAAGCGTTGGGAATGTAGAGACTGACCAAAGTATGGTCTCTACCTTCAAGGAGCTCACAGTCTATTGGGGAAAAAGATATAGACAGAGCTCAAAGCTCTACAGAACAGAACACATAAAGGACATTGGGGCAGGGGTCCCCTGGGGGAATAGTGAGGCTGAGAAGACAGGGGTGGTTGCTTGATAAGGTTATATCCTCTCTGGTTGGGAAGGAGTATTGTATCTTTTGTCACAGTCTTCCAGAGCTCCAGAAAGCTCTTTAATTCATCTAATTAATCACTGCACTCCTTTCTCTCCCTTCTTTCCTTCCTTCCTCCCCACCTCCTTCCCTCCCTCCCTTCCTTCCTCTCTCTCTTTCTCTTTCTCTTTTTCTCTTTCTTTCTTCTCTTTCTCTCGCTCTGTCACCCAGGCAGGAGTGCAGTGGCATGATCATGGCTCAGTGCAGCTTCAACTTGCCAAGCTCAAGCAATCTGCCCGCCTCAGCCTCGTGAGTAGCTGAGGCTACAGGCATGCACCATCAAGCCTGACTAATTTTTGTATGTTTTGTAGAGAAGGGGTTTTGCCATATTGCCCAAGCTGGTCTTAAACTCCTGGCCTCAAGCGATCCGCCCGCCTGGGTCTCCCAAAGTGCTGGGATTATAGGCATGAGCCACAGCGCCCGGCCACATTTCTTTTTTCTTGAACTTTCAGACCTTATCCTCACTCCAATTTGTCTCCAAGAAATACCAATCATGCCTTTGGATGGTGACTTATTTGGGTCTTTAAAGATATATGCTCATTCATTCAACAAACTTTTGTTAGGATCTTGATTTTGGCAGGCATATGGCAGATGGAGCAAGAATGTGAGAGGCCTTAGGAAACAGATGCTAGAGAAGGATACTGCACCAGTCCACAGGGAATTGATGAGGAGCTGAGCTCAGAAGATGGTGCTGGGGATGGAGAGGAGGGAGAGATTCAAGGGCCACGAAGGGGCAGACTCTATAGGACCTGATAGCAGATTTGTATGAAGTGACGGGGAAAAAGGGTCTAGACTGTGCTCAGATTGGGTTATCTATGGTTGATGTCTGAAGGCATTTAGTCCATGATAATGATTTTCTAGTAAGTTAGCCAGTGTTTCCACAGGGCCACCTGTGTACTACTAGTAAAATATGCCTGTATGGCACACATGAGCTGATTTTCTGTGGTGCACTAATATGGAATTAACCTTAAAACATAAAGTGAGATAGTAGCTTCCCCACTCCCTTTTCTTTTCAACAATATGGAGGAAGTTTCAGTTCAAGGTCAATAAGTGAAACGCCTTTCTGTCTCTTCTTAACCTTTTTTTCCTGAACAAAGCTAAGAGTCTTACAGAAGCAATGGCATTTGGCTGGAATTCAACAATAATGTTGTGTTTTCATTGTAGTTCTTTCTTTGTTTCCTTTTATTTATAGCAAGCACTTTTCATTTTTTCTACATCTAGTTCCCTTTGTAAATAAATTTATTTAAATTTTAAAAGGGAGCTAGTCTAAAGAAGAAACACACTAAGAAGATATGGCAAAAGTTGTACGGGTTTTATTTGAAGGAGCAAAGGTTGAGGAAACACATCCCTAGTCCCACCTATGTTGCATATGCTGTTATAGAGGGTGACTAGAATAGATGATTCAAAAGGCATGAAGAATGGATTACAGAATTATTAGGTTTGTGCCAAAGTAATTGTGGTTTTTGGCTGGGCAAAGTGGCTCATGTCTATAATCCCAGCACTTTGGGAGGCCAAGGCAGGCGGATCACTTGAGGTCAAGAGTTTAAGACCAGGCTGGCCAACATGGCGAAACCCCGTCTCTACTAAGAACACAAAAAAATTAGGCCAGCATGGTGGCAGGCACCTGTAATCCCAGCTACTTGGCAGGCTGAGGCAGGAGAGTTGCTTGAACCCGGGAGGTGGAAGCTACAGTGAGCTGAGTTTGTGCCACTGCACTCCAGCCTGGGCAACAGAACGAGACTCCATCTCAAAACAAAACAAGACAAAACAAAAGTAATTGCAGTTTTACCATTACTTTCAATGGCAAAAATCACAATTACTATTGCGCCAGCCCCATGGGGTACTAAAGCAGGTAATCCTGACCTTAACCCAAGGGGTTAGATGAACAACTTTGCCTAGTGTACGTGGCCTAATTATAGATGATAATTTTGTTTTTCACTCAAATAGGGTAATATCTCCGCATTTTCTGATTTATTTGAGAGGAGCAATATAATGTCACGCATTTCCAAATGAAGGGGAGGCGTGCAGAAAGAGTGGGAGAGGAAGAGGCAGTTCACAATTTTCATGATGTGGGATTTCACCTTATTCATACGGTATTTTTCTTCTTCCCAGCAATTTCACGTATTGTATTGTATCATTTGAGCCTCCCAGCAATTGTGACTTTGTTACTGAGGAAATAAGTAGAAATGACTGAGAATGGGTAAATGATTTACCCACGATCACCCCATTAGCAATGATAACAGCCACGTGCACCATCTGTCAGGCACTGTCTGAGCACCGTACGTGTGCTGTGTTAATACCCCTGCAACATCCCTGTGATGGTCGGGTGGCTGTTATTACCATGATCGTCATCATCCCTGCTTTAGGGATGAGGAAGCGGACTTCATGTATGTATTAGTCCATTCTTGCATCACTATGAAGAAATACCTGAGACTGGGTAGTTTATAAAGAAAAGAGATTTAATTGGCTCACAGTTCTGCACACTGTGCAGAAAGCATGGTGCCAGTATCTATTTTTGGTGAGGGCCTCAGAAAACTTCCACTCATGGCGGAGGTGGAACAGGCACAGGCGTGTCACATGGTGACAGCAGGATCAAGAGTGTGAGGGGGGAGGTGCCACACACTTTCAAACAATCAGATCTCACAGGGAGAATGCACTCATTACCATAAAGAGGCCACCACGCCATTCATAAGGAATCCACCCCCATGGCCCAGACACTTCCCACCAGGCCCCTCTTCCTGAGATTACATTTCAACATAAGTGATTTAGAGGGGACAAATATCCAAACCATATCCGTGTAACTTGGTCGACATCATATATCTAGCAAGTCGAGATCTAGGATTTGAACTCAAGCAATCTCTTTGTAGGGCCCATGTACTTAACAACTCTGTCATACTGTGCGGTAGTAAGGACTTTGGCTCATGTTCTATATCCTGTGTTCTACAAACATTTATTGAGCACTTGCTGTGTGCCAGGCACTATGCTAGGCACAGGGGCTATAGAGACAAACTAGACTCAGCCCCTGCCCTCGGGACCTCAGAGTTGGGTAAGGGAGGAGATAGACACAGACAATTCAAGGTGACAATTGTGATAGGTCAAGAACAAGATCTAGTGAAGGCACGAACAGGGAGAATAATTAACTCAGGGAAGGCCTTGGCTCTCAGGAGGCGTGGCTGGAGTTGGCCTTAATGGGTGAGTTCCCATGGATGGATGTTGAAAGTGGCCTGATGGGGAAGGCATTCCCAAGTAGAACAAGCCACTGGTGGAAATAGTTGTAAAGCAAGATGGCATGTTTGGGAGATTGTAATTTGGCCTAACAGGAGCATGCCTGAGGAGACCAAGGAGGAGTGGGAATGGAGATTTCAGAGCAAAGTGCATGGCAGAGGGAGTTTGGTTTGAAACACCTGGTAAAACAAAAACATCCCCCCAAATCCATCCTCCACTAGGAAACAATGGTAATATCTGCATAAGCCAACAAAGTATGAGGGGATGCTATAGCGAAAGGCAGACCTGTGAATGCAACCTTAAGGCTTGTGGTGGAGATGTACCAGAGTGGAAACAGACCAAGTCGGGATCCTCACGGCCCCTCAAGGTCCAACCAGCACTGAAAAAGTCCCTCTCTGCCTTGCATCTTTATAGAGACTCAGTGGCATTTGTCATTTTTCCATTCCCCTAATAAGATTGTTGCTTTCAATTTTCATCTTCTTGGCATTTAATCACCCTCCTTTGAAGAGGGCTGGTGCAAAACAACCTAGATGCAGCCATCCAATTATGCTGAGTATGAGGAGAAAATTATCATCAGAACAACCTGCCAGTAAAGCCCTGTGTTTACTCAATTTTATCTCCCCAGCAATATTCGTCTTTGGAAATCATATTTGCATATATTCGCAGTTGTCTTGAACAGAGTGTCGAGCATGATGCTTGGTATACATAGCTATGGAATTCCAAATGGTTCTTAGGGGTCTGTGAGGACAGTCAACATCACTTATTCAGCATTGAAGGAACACTGACAGTGCACAAGGCACTTTGCTAGAAGCTGGGAGGAGATGGGAGATACAGAGATGAATTAGGTGAGGAGCTAGATCAAGGAGCCCAAGCTCTAGTAGGGGAGATAAAAGCTATAAATAACTGCAGTACAGGCAGAAGTGCTGAGGACCTTAGGAGAGGCAGAGAGTGTGGCTTTGCCGTTCAGAGGAGGGAGATTATTTCTAGCTCAGGGAATTAGCAAAGGCTTATTTTATTTTATTTATTTATTTATTTTGAGACAGAGTCTTGGTCTGTCGCCCACGCTGGAGTGCAGTGGCGCGATCTCGGCTCACAGCAAGCTCTGCCTCCCGGGTTCACACTATTGTCCTGCCTCAGCCTCCGGAGTAGCTGGGACTACAGGCGCCCGCCACCATGCCTGGCTAATTTTTTGTATTTTTAGTAGAGACGGGGTTTCACCGTGTTAGCCAGGATGGTCTTGATCTCCTGACCTCGTGATCTGCCCGCCTCGGCCTCCCAAAGTGCTGGGATTACAGGCGTGAGCCACTGCGCCTGGCATATTTTAATTTATTTTATATTATTTTATTTTATTTTATTTTTTGAGATGAAGTGTTGCTCTGTCGCCCAAGATGGAGTGCAGTGGCGTGATCTTGGCTCACTGCAACCTCTGCCTCCCGGGTTCAAGCAATTCTCCCGCCTTAGCCTCCGAGTAGCTGAGGTTACAGGGGTATGCCACCACGTCCGGCTAACTTTTTATTTTCAGTAGAGACAGGGTTTCACCATGTTGGCCAGGTTGGTCTTGAACGCCTGACCTCAGGCGATCCACCTTCCTCAGCCTCCCAAAGTGCTGGGATTACAGGCATGAGCCACCATACCTGGCCTTAAGCAAAATCTTTTGATGGTTCCACCTAAACTGAGCTTTCAGTCATTTACTCAGCAAGTATATGTTTGCTATAGGGGCAAGAATTCTGCCAAGTGCTAGAAACACCCAGGTAATGCTGAACAAGGCAGAAAAGGAAACTGCTCTCATGGAGCTCCTATTCTAGTAGCGGGGAGGGAGACGTAAAAACACAAGTGAACAAATCATGAACAGGAAAATCTGGAATAAGTGCCTTGAAAAAAATCAAACAGATTGATCAAAAGATTATGCCTGGGGCATATACGGCTACTTTATATTGGGTTCTGTATTTATTTTATTTTACCTTTTTTTTTTTTTTGAGATGAAGTTTTGCTCTTTTGCTCTTGTCACCCTGGCTGGAGTGCAATGGTGCAATCTCAGCTCATTGCAACCTCCAACTCCTAGGTTCAAGTGATTCTCCTGCCTCAGCCTCCCGAGTAGCTGGGATTACAGGCACGTGCCACCGTGCCTGGCTAATTTTTGTATTTTTAGTAGAGATGGGGTTTCACCATGTTGGCCAGGCTGGTCTTGAACTCCTGACCTCAGGTGATCCGCCTGCCTTGGCCTCCCAAAGTGCTAGGATTACAGGCATGAGCCACTGTGCCTGGCCTAATTTTTTTTATTTTTAGTAGAGACAGGGGTTTCACCATGTTGGCCAGGCTGGTCTCGAACTCCTGACCTCAGGTGATCCATCTGCCTTGACCTCCCAAAGCTCTGGGATTACAGGCGTGAGCCACCGCACCCAGCAGGGGTCTTAGATTTATAAGGGTCAACCTTGCAAGGATTTAGGAAAACAGAGTTTGAGACAGAGGAAACTGCAAGTGCAAAGGTGCTGAGGCAGGAAGGAGTATTGGTTGTTGGTGGCCGGAGCACAGAGAAGGCAGAGTGAAAGAAGATGAGATTGGTGAGGTGGGTGGAGCCAAAGTGTGCAGGGCCCCTGAGACTATAGGGAGGAGTTTGAATTTTACTGCAAGCATAATAGAAAACCCTGGGTATGGTTTGTGGGGGAGGGGCAGGTCAGTCACATGGAGATGAGAGGGGGCTCATTCCAGGCAGAAGGAGAAGCAGAATCATATTTGGGGCTTGTAAAGAAGCCATTTTAGAGAAACGTATCAGGAGCCATTCTGGGGCCAGATGAAGGAGACCTTCAAATGACTGTAGTTTGGCCTTTGACCCTGGGAAACATAACCATAAAGGAATTTGTTCTTTAGATCCTGGAGATCCTGTCTGTGGTGCAGACAGTCACCTGTGAGTTATTTTATCTCAGCAAACATCTCTTTTATAGGAATGTTCGGCATTCCCAGAGCTTTTAATATTCTGCCAAGTCAATGAGAGATGAAATTGATTTATACCAGCAGCCCTGAGACCACAGGACAGGATGAGTCCCTCTCCTTCCTGGGAGCCTTGGGCACATACTTCTTGCTTTCCTCACAACCAGCACCACACACACACACACACGCACACACACACACACACACACACAACCACACAGACTCACACAAACATAGCTTAAAAAAATGCAGGAGCTGTGTGCACTCAATTGCAATGGGGAGGACGTTGAAACCAGTCCTGTGCAAACTGTAGAGAGTTTCCCTGCTATATGTAGAAGTCCATGCTAACTAAAGAGAAGAGGGGCCTCTCACCCCAAAGAGGGGGATTTTGACCCTCAAGGTCCCTGCTGGGCCTGGCTCATCCTGAGAGGAGGGCTATGCTCTGGGGATGAAAAAATGCTCACCCTCAAACCAGTGTCCAAACCACCTAGTACCCCTTCTGTCTCTGACAGATAGGAGTCCAGCAGGAAAAGGCCCGGGGCAAGGGTCTTGGAAGGGAGCTGGCAGGAGGTTTGCAGGCGTCCTCCCTTCTCCTGACTTTCCCTCAAGAGAAAAGCCTTGAAAGTCTAGGGCCGAGATGGTGCAGGACTCATATCTAGTATAGCTCAGACCACATTTGGCTTAGAAAAAAATTCCAAAATATTTTTACAGACAGGATCTCCCCCTGTCACCCAGGGTGGTGTGCAGTGGCATGATCAATCGTGGCTCACTGCAGTCTTGACCTGCTGGGTTCAAGCGATCCTCCTACCTCAGCCTCCAGAGTAGCTGGGACTACAGGTGTGCACCATCATACCCGGCTATTTTTTTTTTTTTTTAAAAGAGACGAGGTCTTGCTATGCTGCCCAGGCTGGTCTTGGAACTCCTGGCCTCAAGCAATCCTCCTGCTCCGGCCATCCAAAGTGCTGGGATTACAGGCATGAGCCACTGTGCCCGAACAACTTTTTTTTTTTCTTTTAAATTACAATTCCTGGTTGGTGTCAGGCCTCAACCTGAACCAGAACAACCCCAGAGAGAGACTAGGTCTCCAGACAGAGCTTTAAATAACCTCCTCTAATTCTCTTAAGTGTTATGATATAACAACACCTTTCTCTCTCATCCACTACTTGAAGTCAAAAGAGACTTCAGAATCAAATTTTTCAGTTTCTCAACTACTTTTACAGATAACAGTGGCCCACAGACTGAGTTCTAACAACTACTATTTAATAAAATATTTGCTGGGTGAAGACTTCCAGGAAGGGATAAATAAGAGAGCTCTCTCCTGCAGCCTTGTTTCCCAATTTCTCCTCTACTCCCACTTTGACCCTTTGTGCCTGATGAGAACATGAGGGCTGGAGCTTAGGCAACCATTTTACCACCATGAGTTGGAATGCTTAAGACTAAACAGTGAGCTAAGTAGAGTGTAAGAATGGAAATACTGGTCTTCAGTGATGTCAACCGCTAAACCAACAATGGAATAAACTGCCTTTAGATTTCTTTAGTAAACAATAAACATGCTCATGTTTTAGCCACTTTTAGTCAGTTTTTCTGCTACTTGCAACTGAACACATCCTAATGTATGCCATGTTCTGGGGCCCTAAGTATTCCAATGAGTCCTGGGAAGAGTCATGGATCCCTGTATGGCAAATACAAGACGAGCTTATGCTCTGCACTGCTAGCCTTTCCCTTCAAAGCTCTATGTGTTTCTTTTCTTTTCTTTGCTTTGCTTTTTGTTTGAGACAGAGTGTCCCTCTGTCACCCAGGCTGGAGTCAGTGGTGTGATCTTGGCTCACTGCAGCCTCTGCCTCCTGGGTTCAAGCAATTCCCCTGCCTCAGCCTCCCGAGTAGCTGGGATTACAGGCTCCTGCCACCATGCCTGACTGATTTTTGTATTTTTTTTTTAGTAGAGATGGGGTTTCACCATGTTGGCCAGGCTGGTTTCAAACTCCTGACCTCAGGTGATCCAGCTGCCTCAGCCTCCCAGAGTGCTGGGATTACAGGCATGAGTCACGGCACCCGGCTGAAAGCTCTAGGAATTTCTTCTTGGAAACTAAGTTGATTCTGTCTCATGTCTGCTAATTAATCCTGCTGTTTTCCTTCATTCTTCCCAAGCACAGGCTCTTTTATTCCCTCCATATCCCACCTGTGGAGGAGGAGTTGTGTTTGTTATTGTTTTAGAATGCACGGTTGATTTCTACGACAGAAACCGGTATACCAGTGGCTTAAACAAGAGACAGCCTCCTCTTGCCCTCATGTAATAGTCAGGTGTGCACAGTTCAAGGCTGATATGGAGATTCCATGGTAGCATGGAGGCAGGCTCCTCTCTCGGGTCTGTCAGCTATGGGTATTGCCTGATACATTACAGCTTACTGCCATACTCACAGCCAGCAGTGGAAAGGAGACAGAGGTGGGGGAAGAAGGACCAGGCCCCTCCCTTTAAAGTCATAATCTGGAGGTGCCACGTGTCACTTCCAGTACCATTGGCCATTCTGCTTCCTATTGGCCATTCCTCAGTGCTGGGGGTTGGAAAATGCAGGCTTACTGTGAAAGGAGTGCAGGATGGCATTTGGGGGTAGCTGGCAATTATGCCAGTCTTGATCATCGCTGGATCCACAGCTCCTAGGACAGTATCTGACACATTATTAGTATTCAGTATAAATTTATGGAATGGGCCGGGTATGGTGGTTCATGCCTGTAAATCCCAGCACTTTGGGAGGCCAAGGCGGGTGGGATCACCTGAGGTCAGGAGTTTGAGACTAGCCTAGCCAACATGGTGAAGCCTTGTCTCTACTAAAAATATAAACATTTCTAGTGTGGTGGTGTGCACCTGTAATCCCAGCTACGTGGAGGGCTGAGGCAGGGGAATTGCTTGAACCTGGGAGGCAGAGGTTGCAGTGAGCTGAAATTGTGCCACTGCACTCTAGCCTGGGTGACAGAGTGAGACTCCTCAAATAAAAAGCACTCCAGCCTGGGAGAGAGCAAGACTCCGTCTCAAAAAAAAAAAAAAAAAAAAAATAATAATAAATACATTTATGGAATGAATGACTAAATGGATTATAATAATTTGTTCTTGGTTTATCTCATGAACTGTGAGCTCCTTGATGGCAGGTATTTCTGTTACGATAATAAAATACCTAATTCAATAGTAAGTGCACATTGAATGAGTGAATGAAGATGTAAGATCAGTCTTTTATCCACCCTCCACCTCCCTACGTGATCATGGTCTCATGATCACTGAACATTTAAAGACAGAGCCATCCGCTTGGACCATCCTTGGCCCCTGCTCACATTGTGACCTGTTCTCTCTATTTTCAGCTTCACCTCAGTTCTATTTTCACCTTCACCTCCAGGCCCCACCTGGATTGGGCCCTGTCTCTGAGGTCTGCTGAATCAGTCACAGGTTGGTGGGGGACTGGCTCTGCTTTCAATTCAGCCCTCGGTTCTCAGGTGCTGTTTGTACACCACCCTCATCATCTTCAGGGATTTCTGCATCCCAAAGCATGTGGCAGGGCCTCATGGGAACATGCTCAGGCTTTGGAAGGTGGCTTACATTCTGAAAGACAGTGTTGTGTCCTGGATGGCGCTCTGACCTGGATTTTGGTGGTAATAAAATGTGATTAAGGGCATAAGCTTTGGAGCTGGGTGGATCTGGGTTCAAATTCCAGGTCTGATGATAAAAGTGTTGTAAAATTAATTATGGTATAGTTGCAAAACCCTGTCAATATACTAGAAACCATCAAACTATACCTTTTATTTTACTTATTTTTGAGACAGTGACTTGCTTTGTCACTCAGGCTGGAGTGCAGTAGTGCAATCATGGCTCACTGCAGCCTCAGTCTCCGGGGCTCAAGTGATATTTCTGCCACAGCTTCCTATGTAGCTGGGAACACAGATGCACACCACCCTGCCCGGCTAATTTATTTTATCTTACTTTTTGTAGAGACGAGGTCTCACTATATTGTCCAGGCTGGTCTTGAATTCCTGGGCTTAAGCAATCGTCCCACCTTGGCCTCCCAGAGTGCTGGTATTACAGGTATGAGCCACTGCACTCGGCCAAAGTACACATTTTAAATGGGTGAATTATATGGTATTTGAATTATGTCTCAATAAAGTGTCCTTAAAAAGTCATCTCTGTTTTTTCTTAGTTGTGACCTTGCCAAATCTCTCTGCATTTTTATTTTTCTCCTCTCTAATATGGGGGAACTAATAATTACCTCATAGGATTGCTGTAAGGCTTAAAATGAATGATGTATATAAAGCTTTTAGCATAGTGACTGACACATAGTAATACCGTTTTCTTTTAATTCACTCTAAGGCTTAATTTCTAATACTGATTCTGCTGCTAGCTAGTTTTGGAAATGTTGGGAAGTGTGTTAATCTATTCTCGCATTGCTGTAAAGGAATACCCGAGACTGGGTAATTTATAAGAAAAAGAGGTTTAATTGGCTCATGATTCTGCAGGCTTCACAGGAAACATGATGCCAACATCTGCTCGGCTTCTGGGAAGGCTTCAGGAAGCTTCTAATCATGGCGGAAGGCGAAGGAGGAGCAGGCACATTACATGGCCAGAGCAGGAGCAAGAGAGGGGAGGGTGCCTCACACTTTTAAACCACCAGATCTCTTGAGAACCCACTCACTATTGTGATGACAGTATCAAGGGGATGGTACTAAACCTTTCATAATCTGCCCCCATGATCCAATCGCCTCCCACCAGGCCCCACCCCCAGTATTGGAGATTACATTTCCACATGGGATTTGGAGAGGACAACATCCAAACTGTATCAGGAAGTTTTCTAATAACCTCTGGGCTTCAATTTTCCCACTTGTGAAATGAGATAGCACTATGTCCTCATGTTTATATTACAGGATTACTGTTTAAGCACAGGTAATAGGATACACGTGAAAACTCTTCCTAAACAGATTCTCTTCAGTAATTTAAGGCAGTGATGCTCTGCGAAGCTGTGTAGGTGTTCAAGAAGGCAGAGTCTGCAGCAAGGGTACCCAGGCTCAAATCCCAGATCAACTCTGATCAGCTCAGGCATATTTCTAAACCTCTTTGTTCCTTTATTTTCCCATCCATAAAATGAGGGTAATGCTGGTGCCTACCTCCTAGGATAATTGAGGTAATTCCATGGATTAGTATGTGCAAAGCACTTAGAACATTAATTAGAATAGAGTAAGCTCTCAATAAATGTTTGCTATTGTTATTTTAAGAAATTGGCTGCACGTGGTGGCTTACACCTATAATCTCAGTGCTTTGGGAGGCCCAGGTGGGAGGACTGCTTAAGCCCAAGAGTTCAACACCAACCTGGGCAACATAGTGAGACCCCATATCTGCAATTAAAAAAAAAATTAGCTGGGCATGGTGGTGCACTCTGATAGTCCCAGCTACTCAGGAGGCTGAGGCAGGAGGATTACTTGAGTCCAGGAGTTTGAGGTTACAGTGAGCTATGATGGCACCACTGCACTCCAGACTGGGCAACAGAGCTAGACCCTGTCTCAAAACAAAAAGAAAAGAAACAGGTAGATTTTGATGGTGAGAGTAGTGACGAAAAATCTGTGTGGAGCATACTGGAAATCTACTAGCATTATGAAAAGAACACCAATGGATATCGTTTCATATTAGCCACTGCTAAGTGAAACATTTTGCTCAGATCACAGGACTGTGCCCTCAAGAAACCATGTAGGCTGTGTCTCAGGACTCTACCTAAGGGCATAATTTATCCAGCCTCTTCTGTCTTCCATTAATCAAAGTTTCACCTGATGTGGCATTAACTCCCCTGTGCTTGAAGGTTGTGTGTGGGTGGACGTGCACCCCAGGCAAGTGGATTCTCAGAGCTCTCAGAACCAGGCATGGACAGGAAGGAGCTGGAATTGAAAAATATCTCCAGGAAAAGGATGAGCAGAATGTTGGGCTTGCTTCTTTGCAGTTAATTTTTCTCCAGGATCTTGGCTCCTCAAACTCTGACTATCTCCATAGCCACGACACTGGTGAAAACTCTTAGTAGCTGTTTTTAGGTTGGTCTCTTGGCTTCATGGGGCTTGCAAATCAGTAGATGCCTCAAAGGCAGGAGAGGTTCAGAATGTCAGGCTCATCACAAGAGACTTCCTTCTCTCCAGCACCTTTGCCTCTCAGGTTCTGGGCACCTTGATGGTTCTCCTCTGCCAGTGCAATTCAAAGAGTGGTCCTTAGAACACTGGCATCATCTGTAAGGTTGGTAGAAATGCAAATTCATGAGCCCAAATTTGACCAATTGAGTCAGGAGCTTTGGGGATGCAGCCCAGGAAACAGGATTTTGTTTGTTTGTTTTGTTTTGAGACAAAGGCTCACTGTCTCCCAAGCTGGAGTGCAGTGGCACGATCTCAGCTCACTGCAGCCTCCGCCTGCCTCCCAGGCTCAAGTGATTTCTCTCACCTCAGCCTCCTGAGTAGCTGGGACTACAGACACAAGCCACCATATCCAGGTATTTTTTTGTATTTTTTGTAGAGTTGGGGTTTTGCCATGTTTCTTAGGCTGGTCTCAAACTCCTGGGCTCAAGCAATCCGCCCACCTTGGCCTCCCTATATGCTGGGATTATAGGCATGAGCCACTGAGCCCAGCTGGGAAACAGTTTTAACAAGTTCTCTTAAGTACGTTAAAATTGAGGCCGGGCACGGTGGCTTACACCTGTAATCCCAGCACTTTGGGAGGCCGAGGCGGGTGGATCACAAGGTCAGGAATTCAAGACCAGCCTGACCAACATGGTGAAACCGCGTCTCTACTAAAAATACAAAAATTAGCCAGGCTTGGTGGCATGTGCCTGTGATCCCAGCTATTCAGGAGGCTGAGGCAGGAGAATCACTTGAGCCCTGGAGGCGAAGGTGGTAGTGAGCCGAGATCGGGCCATTGCACTCCAGCCTGGGCGACAGAGCGAGACTCCGTCTCAAAACAAAACAAAACAAAAATTAAAGTTGAAAAGCTGTTGCTCTGTGCTTTTCAAAGTACTGGGTTTTAGTTTTTTGGTTTGCATTTTAGTTCAGTTTTGATAGCTATTTTCTGAAAGAGTGTTGATGTGATACAAATAATCATGCCTAGGGATGGAAGGCCACAGGGTGCTTTTCAAATGTCATCTCTGTTAATTTGCAAGAATTCGGGTATGTTTTGCTCACTGTTGCTTCTCCAGCATCTAGAATAACACTGGGCACTCAAGTAAGCTCAGTAAGCATTTGTGGAATACATACAACTCCGTGAGGCTGTTTTTATTATTCCCATTTTACAGATGAGAAAAACAGAGGCACAGGTGATTAAGTAGCTTGTCTAACATCACCCAAATAGTAAGTGACAGATTGGTATTTGGACTGAAAATTCCAATCCCCATGCGTTTCCCATGGTCATGCAGTGGCCTGGGCAGCGGAGGGGGCTGGGCACTGAGGGTGGGCCCAGAAGTGCCAAAGGGAGAAGCAAGAAAAGCGTCCAACATGATTGACCCTGCTGCCTTGAGGATTCGCCTTAGGTGGACGTCACTTCTGAGTCAGGATGCAGTATTGGGGGTATTGGAAGCCCCGTTACAGGGCATGCGCCCTGCCTTGTGGGGGTGGTGGAGTTGCGTGTTTCAGTAGTGGGAAGTTGAATGTGGAAGGCACTAGTGGGGTTGTGTGTGGGACTATTGGAAGCCCAGTCACAGGGCATGTGCCCTGCCTTGTGAGGGGTGGCAGGGTTGCGTGTTTCACTAGTGGGAAGTTCAATGTGGGGCTGTGTGTGGGAGTATTGGAAGGGACTCATGGGGTTGTGTGTGGGAGTATCGGAAGCCCAGTCACAGGGCATGAGTCCTGCCTTGTGGGGGGTGGCGGGGTTGTGTGTGGCACAAGTCTGAACTCTGCCAAGAGAAGGGACAGTCCGCTCCAGGCTTTCTTCAGAAGGCTTGACTCTCTGCTGCCAAGGGCTTGGCTCCTAGAGCAGGAATGATGGAAAGTTCCTCCTGCATCCCAAGAGCAAGCAGGTACCTGTAGGAGAGAAGGAATCTGCAGGCAGCCGGATGGAAGCTGCCTGGGTGCAAGCCGAGCCTGAGTGTGGGCAGAGGGCTGGGAGTCACCTCAAAGGGGCTGCCTGGCCCTGTTTCCCCAGAATAGCCCGGAGGCAGCTGGGATGGGAAGTCCCCGTGGTTTCAGTGGATCCAGGAAACTGCATCACTAGAGTGTGGGCTCCCTGGGGAAGGGAGGAGCCTTTCCTGGAGGAAGAACTTTCAATAACCCTTCTGCTGTGTCCCCCGTCTCCATGGAAATGGCTGAGGCCCAAACAAAAAGTCAGCTTTCTTGGGGAAGCGAGGGCTGACCCATCAGCAAAGAGTCTCAGCTATGTGCTGTGGCATTTCCACAGCACATCGTGTCACCTGCATCCCATCTGGGTGAGGGCGGTGGCTAGGAGAATTAGCTGGGAGCCAAGGGCAGGCCAGCAGGGAGGGTCTAAGAACAGTACTCAGAGTGTCCTGTTGGAAGAGACTTCAGAGTTCATCTGGGACACAGGAGTGACATGACTTGCCCAAGGCCACACAGTAAGTCCCGTAGACTAGGACTAAATTCCCATCCAGGAGTGGTCCTTCCACTGCTCCAGATCACTCCTTCTTTACTAATGGTAAAAGTGCTACTTGCATCTTACATGTATTTAATGTTTACTATGTGGCAGGCACAGTACTAATCCCTTTCTGCACATTACCTCGGTTACTTCTCACAACAATCCTGAAAGGTACAAACTATTATCCCCAGTTTACAGACAAGGGGATGAGTCTGAGCGAGCCTGAGTTTGTTGATTAAGGTCACATAGCTGTTAAGTAGCTGAGCTGGTGCGCAAACCTTAGACATCTGACCGTATACCCTGGGCCCATCACTGCCATCCTTTTCCTTCATTATTTTCGATCTTCTGCTTCCTCATGTGCCCCAACTTGCTGCCCTCCCCTCTGTGCCCAGGATGGCTCCTAATCTAAGTGACTAAGTGACAAGCAGCTGTAGGTTTCTGATATTAAGCGCACAGCAGGGGCTGTTTTGTTGTAGAACACAACAGCAAGGAAGAAGCCTTAGGCCTTTTTTGAAATCACTGTCTAGATTAATAAAATAATCCTTTTCTGATTGCCAAGGTAATATCAGTGCTCTTTGCAGAACACTGAGAAGCTATAAATAAGTAGAAAGAGGGTAGGCAAAAACCTTGTATGTTTCTTGGCTGTCTTTTCTGGAAATTGCTCCTGTCCTTGCCCATTTATTCGTTGACGATCTTGATGACCTCCTTATTCATTTGCTTAAGATCAGTGTCCTAAACACTCAAAATTGTGGTAGGCATCTTTTCCCCCCCAATAATTTTTTTCTAATTTGTTGTTATTGCATTTTAAAAAGTGGTTTTCGATATTGGAAGTGGCTGCCTAGATTTTACGACCTGGTCTCTTGCCCTGCAGATATCTAGTTGCGGAGTTGGGCTGCCTGATTGGCAGTGGTGGGCTGACTTGACACTGGCTGCAGTGAGTGTTTGCCCATGGCTGTCAAGGTTCTTCTCACCCAGCCTGACCTGCAAAAAAGCAGTTCTGTCCTCCAAGGCCCTGGCATGTCAGTCAGAAATGCCATTACCATTTATTTTCCTTTCCTGAGAAGTGCAGGGCTTTGCTTAAGGGGCTGAGAGCCGGGACGACAGGACTGTAGTTTCGTGCAGGTCCTGGGAGCCTGTTGCATTACCCCTGGATGCAGTTTAAAAGAAAATGATCCTGTAGCATCTCTCTCCTTGTGCATAACTCCGTTCTGTTTTCACTTGGTGAGAAAGCTCCAAGTTATCATTACAAGCATAATTTGTGTGGCTGGAGGACCATCAGCTGCCTAAACTTGCTCCACAATGATAACCTCTCATGGTTGCAATGTCATTTACATGAAGTAGTTTTCACACCCATCCCAGGAAGTAGCCAGAGTAGTTATTATTAGCTTGCTTTGCAGATGAGGAAACTGAGGCTCAGAAGCACAGTGGCAAGGCTGGGGCTAGAATCTGAGCTCCAGTGACTGAATGAAGGTAGAGAGCTAAAGCCTGGGGAGATCCTGGGAAAGGAGACTGTTCTAGAGCTTGGAAGACAAGGTGGGAGGAGGAAGATGCATGTTTGAGGCTGTCTGGGATGTAAGCACAGAATTCACTTGCTTTGCTCATTTGTCTCGGTCTGTTCTGTCTCCTTCTGCTTCCTCCCTTTCCCCGTGCCAGCTGTGAAAATAATAGGACACACACACACCATGTGCCAAATCATGAAAGCCCAGAAGTCATCCCATTAAAGTCAGGAATGTGACGTGTCCATGATGGCAATCACTACCAGATAATGGTCATGAGGCAGAGCTGATGGGGTTAGAAAGGAGAAAGAAATGAGATGTGAACATTACAGAGAATGAGGCAAACTTATTCTATGTAGATATGACTATGCTTGCAACACTCAGGATATTCAATTAAAAAACATTGCTAACAGTAGAATGCAGTAGGGCATCTGGGTAACAAATCAGTATCTTCCAACATCGTAAGCAGACAAGAATAAAACGAGGAAAAAGTGTATTTCAATAGCTGCAAACAGATCCCATACCTGGCAATAAATATAGTTATCAAGTTGTGTGTAAGATGTATTGTATATGAAGAAACTTTGAAGAAGTTACTGAGGAATATACACAAATACAGGAAAAATGGAAAGACAATGTGTAAGAGAAAAAGCTCCATGCTACATAAGCCAATTGCCCCTATGTTAATATTTAAATTTAGGATAATCTGGCTGGGCATGGTGGCTCATGCCTGTAATCCCAGCACTTTGGGAGGCCAAGGTGGGCGGATCATCTGAGGTCAGGAGTTCGAGACCAGCCTGGCCAACATGGTGAAATCCCATCTCTACTAAAAATACAAAAGTTAGTTTGGTGTGGTGGCGTGCGCCTGTAGTCCCAGCTACTTGGGAGGCTGAGGCAGGAGAATTGCTTGAACCCAGGAGGCAGAGGTTGCAGTGAGCTGAGATTGTGCCATGCACTCCAGCCTGGGTGACAAAGCGAGAGTCCGTTTCAAAAAAAAAAATAGCATAATCTCATTTAGGAAATAGGCTTTTAAAAGATTAGCTATGCTAAAGTTTATATGAAAAAAGAAACAGATGAGCATAACCATATAAATTCTGAAAAATCAACAGTAATCTAGGCCTAGAGGATATTATATTATAAAGCTAAAAGAAATTAAGTAGTTTGGTAATGGTACCCGAATAGATAGATAGAGAGACAGATAAAACAGTGTGGAGAGCCAGACATAAACCCAAGTATGCAGGGAAATTTAGTTTGTGATGAAGAGGACATTTCAAATTAGTGGGAGAAAAGGAGATTATTTAATAAATGGTGTTATGTTTAGACAAATGGTAGCCATCTAACACAGAGTTTAGATCTCTTCTTCATTCCTTATGCCAAAATAAATTCCAGATGGAGCCAAGATTTAAATTTTTTAAAAAATCCATAAAAGTATTAAAAGAAAACATGGGAGATCTTATTTAAATAATATCCAAATGGAGGAAGAACTTTGCCTTCTTAAACGTGATACAAACTTTAGAATCCATATAAGAAAAGAAAATTGCTAACAATCAATATTATGATGTCATAAAATTAAAATTTTCTGCATTCCAAAAATTAAGTCAAAAGATAAGCAACAAACTTAGTTGGAAAAAAATGTTTCCAACATGTGAGATACAAAGGCCTAATTCCTTTCAATACCTCTACAGAGGAATAACGAAAAAGACTAACTGGTCAAAAGAAAAACAAAGGACATGAGCAGAGAGTTCTAAGTTCATAGGAAGATAAATGACAGTGGTCTTGAAACACACAAAAGGTGCTCACGCTCACTCACTGTTAAAAAATGCAAAGTTTTTGTAAGATACCATATTTATCTATTAAACAGGCAAAAATAAAGACATTTGATACACGTTGTTAAGGGTAGAAAAACCAACGTTCTCTGTCATTGTGGGAGTACAAACTGGTGTAAGCTTTCACAGGGCCATTAGGCAATGTCTCTCAAAATACAAAAATGCACATATCCCCTGACCGAGCAGTACCACTTCTAAGAATTTACCCTGCATGTACATTAACACATGTGCTTAATGACATATGTATAAAGATATTATTAGTAAAAAGAAGATTGGCGATAACATAACGACAGAGGGCCACTTAAAGTATGCTTCACTCTCACCTTGAAATGCTCTGCAGCCTTTAAAAGCAATGTGGTAGCTTTATAATGACATGGAGCAAGCTCTCAAACATACTAACTCTGAGGCATCATCTACAGCTGGAGCTTTCAAACTTTTTTGATCCTAACCCACCATAAGAATTATATTTCATATCACAAACTGGTGCATTCATTCATTTTTTTTGGACAAATATTTAGTAACTACTACGTTGTTATACACAAATTAGGCACTGAAGAGACAAAAGTGAAAAAATAGATTAAAAAATCTTTGCCAGGGCCCAGTGCAGAGGCTCATACCTGTAATCCCAGCACTTTGGGAGGCCAAGAGGGGTGGATCACTAGGTTAAGAGATTGAGACCATCCTGGCCAATATGGTGAAACTCCGTCTCTAGTAAAAATACAAAAAAATTAGCTGGGCGTGGTGGCGCACACCTGCAATCCCAGCTACTCGGGAGGCTGAGGCAGGAGAATCACTTGAACCGGGGAGGCAGAGGTTGCAGTGAGCCGAGATAGAGCCACTGCACTCCAGCCTGGTGACAGAGCGAGACTCTGTCTCAAAAAAAAAAAAAAAAATCCCTGCCATTATGGAATATATGTATATTCTATTTTTTAACTTTTTTAACTTGTTATATATAGTATATTATAATATATATCATATGATATATATCCCATATTATATATCATTATATGTAATTAATAATATATAATTATGTTATATATAATTAATAATATATAATTATATTATATATTATATATTATTAATAACATATATATTATGTTATTAATAATATATTATATTATAGTATACACAATCATATTAAATGCATTATATAATATATAATAATATAATATATTATATATAATATGTACAATATATTATATATAATAAAATATATAAAAATTTATATATAAATTTATACATATAAAATATATAAATATATAATAATATATAATATATAATTATATATTATATAACCATTATTATGTAATATATAATATGATATGTAATATATTATTATAAATTACATATTATTATAAGATTGTATATAATGTATCTTATATACCAAATATATAAAATATATCTATTTTCACTTGTTATATAAATATAACAAGCAAAACCCTAGTGACAGAGGCAAATCAGTGGCTAGCAGGGCTGAAGATGAGGGGGAAGGGCACCAGTGAGCTTTCTGGAGTCATGCAAATGTCCTGTGTCTCAACTGTGACTGTGGTTACACAGCTGAATACATTTGTTAAAGCTCATCACATTTTATACTTTATTAAAAAGGGTGAATTTTTATTATATGTAAATTATAACTCAATAAGCTTGATTTAAAAAGTCTGAAACAAGTTTTATGAAACAATGCTTGATCTTTTATGTGGATGTACTCTAATCCATTCCATCCCATACCATTCTTTTTCATTAAAACAAAACAAACAAACAAGGCCACACCTATAGTGAACTTTATAACCTATTAGTGCATCACAAGCAACAGTTTGAAAAATTCTGTTCTATGTTTGCTACTGTTAGTGTAAGAGGAGGTAAATACCATATATGTGAATAGATACTCATAGAATGTCTGTAGAAATGTGTATATACAGTATATGTAAATGTGTGTACATATTAACAATAGCAATGAACTTCTTATAAGAAAGGAATTGGGGACTGAGGATCAGAGAAGAGAAGGAGGATTTAATAATACTATACACACTTTTGTAATATTTGATTTTTTAAACCATGAGTGTAGGTCACTTTGTAAAAATATAATTAAAACATTGAAAAGAAAAGAGAAAAACCTGAGAGCAGAGTTGGGGTCCAGCTGTCGTTTGAACAACCTGTGTTACAATGTCTACGTTGCTTAACGGCTCTGAACTCTTTTTCCATTCTCTATAATACAACAATGTGAGCCTATATGAATCCTTTGGCCCTGGGCTCTTAGATATTCCAATTGCTCTTTGAGCCAACCCCTATCTACTGGGGTATACTGAATTATGAGATACAGGAAGTGGGAGGATCACTTGAGGCCAGGAGTTTGAGACCAGCTGAGCAATATAGTGAGACCCTGTCTCTTAAAAAAAAAATAATGTTAGCTGAGTGTAATGGCACTCACCTGTAGTCCCACCTACTTGAGAGGCTGAGGTTGGACGATCACTTGAGCCCAGGAATTCAGATGCAATGAGCTATGATCACGCCATTGCAATGTAGCCTGGGTGGCAGGGTGACATTCCTTCTCTAACAAAAACCAAGTTGTGTGTTCATTCATTTCATCTGCAAACATTTACTGAGCACGCACAACAGGTGAAGGGCCAGGCTAGAACCTGAGCATATAGTTTTTGCCTCAATAGTCTTGCGGGGGAAAGAGCAATGAATAAATAAATGGCCCTGCCTTGTATCCTTTGCCACCTATTCTCAAATGCTCCTGCACAACAAAGAAAGGAGCATTTACCTCCACCTGGGTAGATTAAGAGAGGTGATTGTAGGAGGGTTGGACCTTAAGGATTGGGCCAAGCCTGTGAGTTGGAGGTACAGTAGGAAGGGCATTCCAAGCAGTAAGTACTGCACCACCAAAGGTGTGGAGCTCTGAACACCTCCCCCACATTCCAACCTCATGCCTTGTACAGCTTTGCCCAGCCCGGGACACCTCCCCTCCTCCTTTTATTTATTTATTTTTTTGAGACAGAGTCTTGCTCTGTTGCCCAGGGTGGAGTGCAGTGGTGTGATCATGGCTCATTGCAGCCTCTACCTCTCAGGCTCAAGTGAACCTCCCACCTCAGCCGCCTGAGTAGCTGGGATTGCAGGTGCACACCACCACACCTGGTTGAGTTTTTTTTGTAGAGAAGGGGTCTCACTATGTTGCCCAGGCAGTTCTTGAACTCTTAGGCTCTAGCAATCCTCCTGCCTTGGCCTCCCAAAGTGATGGGAATGTAGGGGTGAGCCACTACACCTGGCCTCTCCTCCTCCTTGCTCATCAAATCCTGTCCTTTGGAGGGTCATAGCCCTGAAAAAGCATAGCCAGAAAGGTCTCAGCGAGGTCAGGGAGGGAGAGAGCTGGAGAGTTAGGTTAAGGTCAGGCTGGGAAGGAGCTGGTGGGACAGGATAAATGGTTTGAACTTGATCCAGGGGCAATGGTGAGCCACTGAAGAGCCACTGAAGGGAGATGGGGAGCAGAGTTGACAATAAGACCTGCTTCAAAAGTTGAGTCTGGGGTCGGTATGGACCATGGATTGGGGGGTCAAAACCAAAGAATCAAGGATAAATTAGGAGGCCCATGTTTCAGAGGGTTGGCTCCCCTCACTCTGGCCTGATTCTCTATGGAGCACAAGAGACTCCCACAGAGAGAAAGCCATGCACCTGCTCAGGGCTGTGTTGGTCCCAAGCAACCTGAAGCCCATTAAACCCCTCTACTGAGAGGATGGGAGAGCAAGGCAGAGTGATGGGTGGCACTTCTGGTGGTCTTAGATTGTGTGCACCAAACCTGGAAATGTCCATCCTGAGGAATCCATGGGCCTAACTTCCTCTCCTATAGCACAGAGACAGGAAGTGAGGGACTTCCTCTCCCATAGCACTGGGCACGAGGGCTGTCATCTCCACCTTTGATGTGCTCACCTCTCGCCTGGAATCCTGCTGGAATGCAGATCCTGATTCAGAAGGTCTGGGCTGAGGCCTGAGATTCTGCTCCCAGGGCAGCTGCTGGGCTGCAGGCTATGCTGTAGTATCAAGGGTTTAGGCCACATAGCATATACACAACGCAGTGCTGGAATTTGAACACAGGTCTGCCAGGCTGCATTCATTCTTTCATTTATTCAACAAATCCTTGTGTGTGTGTGTGTGTGTGTGTGTGTGTGTGTGTGTGTGTGTGTGTGTTTAACAAATACAAATGAAATGCTTACTATGTTCCAGGCATGGTTCCAAATGCTTTATCAACACCAACTCATTCAACTCTCACTACATCCCCAGAGGATTGGGACTATTGTTATCTCATTTTACAGATAAGGAAATGGAGGCACAGAGACATGCAGTAACATGCCCAAAGTCAAACAGCCCGTAGGTGGCCTAGTGAATGCCATCCTTGCCAGGTGAGCTGCAGGGGCTGAGCCCTTCCTAGGGCACCACAACAAATGTGGGGCACTGAGTCTCCAGGCATGGCTGTTTTTGACTTCACAGAACCCAGATGTGGCTCTGGAGCTTGGCTTTAAATTCCATGAGTGAAGAGCCTGCAGCCCCATCCCTTCTCATCCCTTCCCCTTTCCAATGAGACTCACTTAACAGCTCTGCCTCTGGCAAGTTCAGAATGGTCATCTGTTTAAATGAGGGCTTAGTCTCTATCTACCTTTCCTCCAGAGACCAGAACTCCCGAGTCTCTTATATTTTTGAGAGTAAACTCTGGGCAAAGGCCTATGACTTTCAGGAACCAGTGAGACCTGCAGTGGCTCCAACAGACCTCGGTGGCTTCACTTCCAGCTGTGGGCATGGGTTCATTTCTTTACCTCCCAAGGCCTCAGTTTCCTCTTTGGTAACACCAAGATGACAATAATAGTCCCTCCTTGTAGTAGATGCTGGGGTCACTCTGTACCCATCCTCTGGCTGCTTCGAGGGCTGTTCCTGGCAGCTCGTTGCTGCCCCTTCTCCAGAAAATTGTCTTAGGTTGAATAAGGGTTCCCCACCTAAGATGTTATGTCCGTTCCTCTTCGAATCCCAGAGGCAGCCAGAGGTCAATGGCTGAAGAACAGGGCCTGCAAGTCAGACTTACCTTTGCCTTATGGTGAGACTAAATTTGCGATGTGGTTCATGCACCAGAGCTCCCTGTGGGACCAGACTTGAGCTGCCTCCAGCTGAGACCTACCTCATGCTTGCCTTGCTCCTCCCTGGTCCTGAGAACACAAATGGACCCAAATCCCTGCCTCAGGCTCTGCTTCCAGAGCACTGATTGGAGGTACCATGTCGCAGAACTTTTGAGATGATTACGTCAATGAATTAGGGCACTGAAATGCTTAGAAGAAGAGCCAGCACTTAGTAAGTGCTCACTAAGTGTTAGCACTTATGATCCAGATTTCTCTGAAGTCAGGCTCCCATGTCCGCATCCAAGAAGCAGCTTGGTGTTTATCCAAATTTTCCACTCGAATGTGTCTTGCTCGTCTCTTTATCAGTAACAGTTCAGCCTGGAACTTTGTAGGTGTCCAATAAATGTTTGTTGAACAACATTTATTTCCCTCATTGTTCACAGAGTACAAATAAATATCCCCAATCTTCCGAAATAGTCTCGGTTTCAAACATATTGTCCTGTTGTTCCCATAAATGGATTTTATTGTTAGACTGGTGGTCCAGTACTTCATGATCACCATGATCACCGTGTCAATGTCTGTTGCAGAGTGCCAAGTCTCTTGTGGCAATTACTGGGGACTCGGGGCTTCAGGGGAAGGTCACCTAAGCCAATCTTGGAGGGCTAGGCAAGGTATTTCGTTTGTTTGTTTTTGCAGAATCTTGCTCTGTCACCCAGGCTGGAGTGCAGTGGCATGATCTCGGCTCACTGTAACCTCCACCTCCTGGGTTCAAGTGATTCTCCTGCCTCAGCTGCCCGAGTAGCTGGGATTACAGGCATGTGCCACCAAGCCAGGCTAATTTTTGTATTTTTGTAGAGACAGGGTTTCACCATGTTGGCCAGGCTGGTCTCGAACTCCTGACATCAGGTGATCTTTTCACCTTGGCCTCCCAAAGTGCTGGGATTACAGGCGTGAGCCATCATGGCTGGCCCAGGCAAGGTTTCTTAAAGGAGGTGAAATCCCAGAGAAGACTGGAGGAAGAGCAGGGGTTAGTGGGAAAAGTGTCGTAGAGGAAAGTCTGTGAAGTGAGGCAAGCAAAATGCCATGTATTTGGTGAGTGCCAAGTGCTTAGGTGGGGCTGCATTAGGAAAGGCGGGGTGGGCAGGTGGGAGAGAGAGGTGGGAGGGGAAGGCAAGGCTGGATCAGGAAGTTCTGTGCCCCAGGAAGGCTTCATCCTGAGAACAATGAGGGGACTTTGAAATGAGCAGGTAATGTGAGGAGTGTCCAAGGACTAACTTATCAGTTGGAGTTCTCCAGAAATGGAATCAGTAGGATATAACCTATGTGCCCTGGTCAGGGTTCAGGAGAAAGACCCCCAATAGGTGTCTGCAAGCTGGAGAACCAGAGAAGCCAGCAGTGTGGCTCAAAGGTGGTAGCGTGGCTCAGTCAGAGTCTAGGAGCCTCAGAACCAGGGAAGCCAGCAGTGAAGCTCCCAGTCAGGCCTGAGAGCCCCCAGGAGACTGCTGGTGTGAGTCCCAGAGTCCAGAAGCCTAAGAACCTGGAGTCTGATGTCCAAGGGCAGGAGGAGAAAAAACATCCAGCTCTAGAAGGGAGAGAGAAAGCAGAGGGAGAGAAAATCACCCTTCTCCTGCCTGCTTTGTCCTAGCCAGGTCCCCAGCCCATTGGATATTGGCCACCCCCAGTGAGTGCAGGTCTTCCTCTCCCAGTCCACGGACTCCCACATCAGTCTCCTCTGGAAACACCCTGATATGGTTTGGCTGTATCCCCACCCAAATCTCATCTTGAATTGTAACTCCCACAATTCCCACATCTCATGGGAGGAACCTGGTGGGAGGTGATTGAATTATGGGGGAGGGTGTTTCCTGTGCTGTTCTCATGATAGTGAATGAGTCTCATGAGATCTGATGGTTGTAAAAACCAGTTTAAAAGAAGTTTAACTTTAAAAAATGTTTTCCTACACAAGCTCTCTCTTTGCCTGCTGCCATCCTCGTACGACGTAACTTGCTTCTCCTTGCCTTCTGCCATGATTGTGAGGCTTCCCCAGCCACATGGAACTGTGAGTTCTCCATTAAACCTCTTGCCTTTGCAAATTGCCCAGTCTTGGGTATGTCTTTATCAGCAGCATGAGAACAGACTAATACACACCCTCATAGACTCACCCAGAACAAGGCTTCACCAGCCAGTGAGGCATCCCTCAATCCAGTGAAGTTGACCCCTAAAATTAACTATCACAATATGTGTGCATATATATCTTACACCTATATTTATATTTATATTAATTATATAATATATAACTTATATAATTATATATTATATTATATTTATATATAATATTTATATATTATATAAATTATATAAATATAATATATAAATATATTTATATATTATATATAATATATAAATATATTTATATATTATATATAATATATAAATATATATTACATATAATTAACTATATTTACAGGTACATATAGAATACATTATATATGTGTGTATGTATACATTTATATACACATATAAAGAGATTTATTTTAAGGAATTGGTTCATATAATTGTGGGACTGGCAAGTCTGAAATTTTTGCAAGGCAAGCCAGAAGGCTGGAAACTCAGGTAGGAGTTGATGCTGCAGCCTTTTTTTTTTTTTCTAGTAAAGAAAGAGTTTAATTTATGTGAAGCTCACCACACAGGAGATGGAATGGATTACTCAAATCAGCCTCTATGAAGGCACAGAGGTTAGGGTTTTTCAAGGACAGTTCAGTGAGCAGGGGGCTAGGGAATAGAGAATGTTGGTTGGTTGGGGATGAAGTCACAGGGTGTGGAGGGCAGTCCGGGTGTGCTGAGTCAGCTTCTGGGTGGGGGCCACGAGACCTGCTGAGTCATGAGTCCAGCTGGAGTCAGCTGGTCATGAGAAATGCAAAAGTCTGAAAAAAAATTCCAAAAGGCTAATCTTAGGTTCTTTAATAGTGATGTTATCTACAGGAGTAACTGGGGAAGTCATAAACGTTGTGGCCTCTGGAACATTGGTTGGTTATCATTTAACAACACCTACATCTTAGCAGAATTCAAGCCCCTCTCATAATTTTAATCTTATGGCCTCTCCTTATTTTTACAAAGGTGATTCGGTTTGGAGAAGGGCTATTATCATCTCTGCTTTAATGTTAGACTATAAATTAAGTTCCTGTCAAAGTTAGCTTGGCTTATGCCCAGGAATGACCAAAAACAGCTTGGAGTTTAGAAGCAAGAGGGAATCAACTATGTCAGATTTCTCTTACTGTTATAATTTTGGAAAGGTGGTTTCAATGCCCCACCCTCAGGTTTTAACACACCTCAACCCTGTGGTGTGAGCTACCGAGATAGGAAAAGGCTGAGGGATTACTCTAATTTCTTCTAATTCTTTTCAAGGGATGTCGTCGGTCCGGGTTGCCTCTAGGGTCAGAGGAATGAAATTGTTTTGCATTTGTCTCTGTGTATTCCAGGGCACCAAGGTCTGCATAACAAAAGCATTGGTGCTCTTATCCCAGCTTTAGTACAGCATTTAAGAGAACAGCAGATTATGAGAGCCCTAACATGAGGAGTGAATGCCTTATAGAAATGACCTGAACCCTTGAGGGATCCAGGTTAATGATCCCAAGAATCAATCAGATATTGGGTCATCAGCAGAGGCTCAAAAACAATGGACAAGGCTGGAATCTAATAATAGGTGTACTCTAGTTTTTCTGAAACATAGTTTTTCCTCTCCAGTTTTCCATTTCTATGAAAAACAAATCATAGTAGGACCAACTTATTTGCCAAATAGGTTTTAGTCTTATTATACTTGGCCTAATTATTTGCATAAAGTGCAGACGCTGCAGTTTTGAAGCAGAATCTCTTCTCTGGGGAATGTCAGTCTTCAACTGACTGGATAAGGCTGACCCACAGTGTTGAATCCAATTTGTTTTACTTAAAGTCAACTGATTATAGATGTTAATTCCATCTGCAAAATACCTACACAGCCCCACCCAGATTTGTGTTTGATTCAATAGCTGGGTACTACAGCTTGGACAAGTTGATATATGAAACTAACCATCACAACTGGTGTATTCGATGTTGCATTTTACCAGCTAGGTAGACATCAAAGATGACTGATTAAATAAATTACAGTATATTGACACAAAAGCTGATGGTGTTATCATTAAAAAATGGAGCAGGATCTATTTATGCTCACATGAAAAGTCACCAAGATTTATTGTCAAGTGAAAAAAGCAAGGCATAATAATATAATTCCATCTGTGTGGGGTGAAAAGGAGGACTATGCATTTACGTGTGTATGCACAGTCATACATGTACCTGTAGGTATATGTTTTGGCAGAGATTTGTGCATAAATGCACTTCCATATATACATACACACGTATATATTTGTAGGCACACATATATTTAAATCAATTAAACTAATATTTATTGTCTTGATTATGTACAGAACACTTCCTGTGCCAGGCAACGAGTTTGGCCAGATGCATTGCGATATGCCAAATACTGAGATTCAGTGGTGAGCAGAAACAGATAGCTCCCAAGCAGATGTCTCCCCTTGACATTATTTGCTCTGCTGGGTATTTCCTTTTTTGCTTTGTAAATTTTTGGCATTATTAATTTCCAAATATTAGGTTGGTGCAAAAGTAATTGCGGTTTCAGTCATTACTTTCAATGGCAAAAAACTACAAGTACATTTGCACCAACCTAATAATGGTTTACCTTTGCAGACACACTATGTGTCCAGTTTGTCGTCTACGGGATCTAGTTCATTCCTATCCTACAGAGACTGTTTAGTTCATTTGTAGCTTCTCAAACTCCAGGCACTCAATGGCACCTGGGGCCAGCTTAACCAAGGGGCATACAAATATTCCCAGCATGGCCTACAGTGTGCATGAGAATCACACCAATGCAGTGAACAGAGCTGCAGAGGAAGGCATGAAATTCACACCAATGCAGTGAACAGTACTGCAGAGGAAGGCAAGAAATGCCTGGACTAGTAAAGTCAATCAAGGAGCTAGTGAAAAGCTTCATTTATTGAGCGCTAATCTAGTTCCTGGGATGTGGAAGTGAATAAAACAGAGTAGGCCTCTGCCCTCAAGGAGCATATGTTCTGGTGGGGAAAGACATGCTCTAATCAGGTAGACAAATGAACAAACAACAACACAGATTGTTTTGAGTTTTGAGAATGAAATGGAGTGATTTGATAGAGAAAAACTAAGAGTGGTGGGGAGGGTGCTGTAGAGGGTGGTCAGGGACAGCTTCTCAGAGGAGGTGACATTTGAGCTGAGCCATGAAGAATGAGAGGATGAGAATGACTCAGCTGCAGAAGAGCCTGGGGAGGAGAGTTCCAGGTAGAGGAAATAACCAAGTGCAAGGGACCAGAGCTGGAAGAGCCCACTGGTGACGTGAGAAAGAAACCTGAGTTTTCTCATCTGTAAAATGATGTCAATGGTACTTACTGCAGAGGTTGTAGTATCATCTTTGAGATTACGATTATTGTCCTGTTCAGAAGTAGCTTCAACAACGTAGATGCTTTCAGTATGTCCAGGGAGCGAGATTCCTTATTTATTTATTTATTTATTTATTTATTTATTTATTTATTTATTTATTTATTTTGAGACAGAGTCTCACTCTGTTGCCCAGGCTGGAGTGCAATGGCGTGATCTCAGCTCACTGCAACCTCCGCCTCTTGGGTTCAAGCGATTCTCCTACCTCAGCCTCCCGAGTAGCTGGGATTACAGGTGCCCACCACCACACCCAGTTAATTCTTGCATTTTTAGTAGAGAATGGGTTTCACCATGTTGGTCAGGCTGGTCTCGGAGTCCTGACCTCAGGTGATCCACCCGTCTCGGCCTCCCAAAGTGCTGGGATTACAGGTGTGAGCCACTGAACCCAGCTGAGATTCCTTAATTATATGCTGTGATTTTTCAATGGAGAATATGGCTTAGACCCTGAAACTGACAGTGACACAAAATACATATACACACACAGCTCCCACACTGGATGTGGCTGCAGGATCTCACTCCCAGACTGCCACGGAGAGAGTGCAGATTTTGGCATTTAAGGCTCTCAAGAATTCAGCTCCCTTTCCACGCAGTCTGTGGGAGGAGCTGGCTGTCAGAGGCACAGAAGGAGGGGGGCGAGGCAGTGGGTGGGGACCAAGCCACTTAATTAGCATATCAACTCTGAGCCCCAGGAAACCTCCCCCAAAGTTCCCCTGCACCACTCCCCAGGGAGACAGGAGAACGGTTTGCGGCCCAGCCGTACTTAAAGGTTGCACAGGTGCCACGCCAGGGCACAGGCAAGGAATCGAGTATGAAGTCGGAGGATCAGCTGTGGAATGGGAGAAACAGGTGTTTCCTTGGGGAAACCGAAGAAGCAGGGAGAAAAAAGGCCAACAAAAAGAGCAAAGGCAAAAAACCAAACAACAAACAACAACAACAACACAAACACAACAAAAAAACCTAGAGACAATTCAAAGTGTTTTTATTCGTGGACTCTCTCCCAGGCCTCAGAATATGGAGTAATTTCCTGTGTTAAAGGGGGTGCTAGGACAGAGTGTAGCACTTAAAAAAAAAAAAAAAAGGTCTTCGGCCAGGTGTGGTGGCTCATGCCTGTAATCCCAGCACTTTGAGAGGCTGAGGTGGATGGATCACGAGGTCAGGAGTTCAAGACCAGCCTGGCCAAGATGGGGAAACCCCGTCTCTACTAAAAAATTCAAAAATTAGCCGGGGGCGGTGGCGGGTGCCTGTAATCCCAGCTACTCGGGAGGCTGAGGCAGCAGAATCGCTTGAACTAAGGAGGTGGAGGTTGCAGTGAGCCAAGATGGTGCCAGTGCATTCCAGCCTGAGCAGCAGAGCAAGACTCCGTCTCAAAAAAAAAAAAAAAAAAAAAGTCTTCCTGGCCAGGCGCGCTGGCTCACGCCTGTATTCCCAGCACTATGGGAACGTGAGGTGCGTGGATCACTTCTTGAGGTCAGGAGTTCAAGACAGGCCTGGACAACATCGTGAAACTCCGTCTTTACTGAAAATACAAAAATAAGCCTGGCAGTGGCGTGTGCCTGTAATCCCAGTTACTAGGGAGGCTGAGGCAGGAGAATCGCTTGAACCCAGGATGTGGAGGTTACAGTGAGCTGAGATCGCGCCACTGCATGCCAGCCTGGCCAACAAAGTGAGACTCTCTCTCAAAAAAAAAAAAAAAAAAAAAGGGTCTTCCTTATCTCAGTTCATAGCAGCATCATCCTCACAGCTGCTCAGATAAAAAATGTGCAGTTCTCCTGACTCATTGTCTCACACCCCACATCCAATCCACCAGGAAATCCTATTGTTTCCACTTTCAAAATACATCCAGAACTTGACCAGACCACTTCTCCCACCCGCCCTGCCACCTAGCTGGTCTGAGCATCCATTGTGCCTTACCTGGGTTTGTGAAAGGATGTCCTTGTGGGTCTCCTGTTTCTACCCTCATCCCTTGAGTCTAGTTTCAGTACATGGCTGGAGTGACCCTGTCAAAAGCACATCAGCGGGAAGTGGCTTGCAGAGCCCCTTGCAAAGTTTTGGGAGGGGCCCTAGCAACAACTTTGTATGTTCATATATTTTTGTAAAATTTGTTAGATTAAGAGCTTTAAACTGCAGTTCTCGGTGTTTGATAGATAGTAGGGTGACTACAGTTAATGTCAATAGATTGTACATTTCAAAATAGCAAGAAGAGAATAATTTGAATGTTCCTGGTGTAAAGAAAAGATAAATATTTAAGGTGATGAATATCCCGATTACCCTCATTGATTACGCAAATGTTTCAAGTTATTACAAAAATATGTACGTCTATTACCTATAAATAAAACAATTTAAAAATAAAAAAACCTCTTGGAATTCCCTCGCTCCAAATACACAGCAATTAGTTAAGACTACTGTCTTATTTTATTTTATTTTATTTTATTTTCTAAAGGTAGGATCTCACTCTGGAATGCTATGGTGCAGTCATAGATCACTGCAGCCTTGAACTCCTGGGCTCCAGTGATCCTCCGGCCTCGGCCTCCCAAAGTCCTGAGATTACAGGCCTGAGCCATTGTGCCCAGCCACGATCTCTTTCCACTCTGATTTTCCTCCATTGCACCTCCTCTCTTGATCAATAGTACTGGAGTGCCTGGGAGAAGTCTGGGAATCTGATGGAGAGTCAGATGAGTTGGGTTTGCATTCTTATTTGTTTGGTGGGTTATATTTATGTGTGATTCACAGTAACTTCCATATATAGTAAATTTATTGCTAGCTGTCCTAGTGTAGGACTGGCTTCCAGGAAAATTCATACCACCTATGTGCTCAACCGAGGTCATACCGTGACATGAAAGCATCCTATGTTGCCCAGCCCCAGGAGTGTGTGGGTATTAGATGGTTTATTAGTTTCCTATCGCTGCTATAACAAATGACCACAATATTGGTGGATTAAGACAACATAAATGTATGCGCTCATAGTTCTGGAGGCCAGATGTCTGAAATCAGCATTTTGAGCTAAAATCAAGGTGTTGGCAGGGTGACCCTGCCTCTGGAGGGTCATGGGAGAATCTATCCCTGCATCTTCCACTTCTGGTGGCTGTAGACATTCTTTGACTTGTAGCTGCATCCCTCCAGTCTCTGCCTCCAGGATCCCATTGCCTCCTCCTCTTCTGGATGTGTCTAGTTTCCTTCTGTCTCTCTCTCTTACAAGGACACTTGTCATGGCATTCAGGGCTCACCCAGATAATCCAGAAAAATCTTCTCATCTCAGGATCCTTAACAGTGTGGTCCAAGGAGATGCAGACACACCATCGTTGGGGCTTCTGGAAAAAACTATTTGCTTTTTCCTCAGAAAACAGTAGGAAGTGAAGATTCATGCTCAGGAACTTTGGCCATTTTTGGCTTGGCATGGGGAGCCAGCTGGAGATGAAGCCAATACAGAGAGACTGCCAAGGCTTAGGACAGCAGGGAGAGATGGAGCCAAGTCCTCCTGACATGTTATGAGCCTCTGGATCACACACAGCCTGAAGGCCTTCTCCCCACCTCTTGCCTTTTCAGTTATGGAAACCGATAACTTCCCTCTTTCTTTTAAGGCAGTTTGAACAAGATGTACTGTCATGTACATCAAAAAAGAGTTCTCATTGATATTCTGTCACTTTTTTTTTTTGAGACAGGATCTCAAATTACACATTATTCTTGTAAATTTGGAGTGCAGTGACATGATCTCGGCTCACTGCAGCTTTGATCTCCCAGGTTCAAGTGATCCTCCTGCATCAGCCTTCCAAGTAGCTGTGATTACAGGTGCATGCCAGCAGGCTAATTAGCTTGCCAGGCTAATTTTTGTATTTTTAGTAGAGATGGGGTTTTGCCATGTTGAACTCTTGGACTCAAGCGATCTGCCCACCTTGTCCTCCCAGTGTGTTGGGATTACAGGCGTGAGCCACCATGCCTGGCCACATTGGTATTCTCTTTAAGCCTCAGTCTTTCATCTTAAAATGGGGCTAAAATACCCCATTGGAGCGATGGCAAAATTTAAATAAGATGGCTTATGTAAAGCATGTGTGTTGGTTCCTGGTACATAGAGATTGTCTTTGTGAATGATAACTATTAAGATGTAACAATACTGTGATTAGAGAAGAACTAATACAACTTCTATTTTTTTCTCCAACTTTTAAGTTCAGGGGTACGTGTGCAGGATGTGCAGGTTTGTTGCATAGGTAAACGTGTGCCATAGTGGTTTGCTGCACAAATCATCCCATCACCTACGTATTCAGCCCAGCGTCCATTAGCTATTCTTCCTGATGCTCTCCCTTCCCCCACCCCAACAGGCCCCAGTGTGTGCTGTTTCCTTCCCTGTGTCCATGTGTTCTCATCATTCAGCTCCCACTTAAAGTGAGAACCTGTGATGTTTGGTTTTCTGTTCCTGTGTTAGTTTGCTGAGCATAATGGCTTCTAGCTCCAACCATGTCCCCGCAAAAGGCATGATCCTTTTTATGGCTGCATACTATTCCATGGTGTGTATGTACCACATTTTCTTTATCCAGTCTGTCATTGATGGGAGTTTAGGTTGATTCCATGTCTTTGCTGTTGTGAATAATGGTGCAGTGAACATAGATGTGCATGTATTTTTGTAATAGAGTGATTTGTATTTCTTTGAGTATGTACCCAGTAATGGGATTGCGGGGTCAAATGGCATTTCTGCCTCTAGGCCTTTGAGGACTTGCTACACTGTCTTCCACAGTGGTTGAACTAATATACACTTCCCCCAACAGTGTAAAAATGTTCCTTGCCAGCAATCTCACTAGCATCAGTTGTTTTTGACTTTTTAATAATAGCCATGCTGACTGGAGTGAGATGGTATCTCATTGTGGTTTTGATTTGCATTTCTCTAATAATCAATGATGTTGAGCTTTTTTTCATGTTTGTTGGCCACATATATATCTTCCTTTGAGAAATGTCTGTTCATGTCCTTTGCCCACTTTTTAATGGGGTTGTTTTTTTCTTGTTAATTTTTTTAAGTTCCTTATAGACTCTGGATATTAGACCTTTGTCAGATGGATAGGTTGCAAAAATTTTCTAACTAATACAACTTCTAAATAGCTGGGTACGTTTGTATTATATTTATTAAAATTGTAGGACCTTACAATCCAATGCCCTACACAATCCTGAAAGTCCACTGCAAGAATCCCTTTATTTGCCTGGCCCAGGGATGGCTACCTCCTGGGATGTCAAACTCACCACCCAGAGTTGATCCACTCCATCCTGCTTTTGGATTGAGCTGAAAACTATCTCTGCAGTTCTTGGTTCCATTTGTTTAAGGGTGGGGGATGGGGAGCAAAATGAGTCCAATACTCTAGTCTCACTATCCTTTTTCCCCCTTTTTTAGAGATAAGATCTTGTTCAATAACCCAGGCTGGAATGCAGCGGCTCTATCACAGTTCACTGCAGCCTAAAACTCCCGGGCTCAAGCGATCCTCCGGCCTCAGCCTCTCGAGTAGCTAGGATTATAGGTGCATGCCACCCCATCTGGTTCTACATTATTATTGATTCTCCAGTAGATTCACCTTTGGGAATCTTGTCTGTTGTCCGTGTGTACTGTCATGTTCCTCTGTCTACTCAGGGCTTGAGGATCGTGCCGACTTTGGTGGAGCAATGGGCAGGTGGGAAGCACACATGCAAGTATCTATGGAGAAAGCTTCTTGTGCACACACATATGCATTTGTATGTGTGCTTATGTGCACCTATTTATTAGATTCAGGTCCATCCCATCTTCATTCAATTTCAGGAACATTTGGTTTGCATCCACGCATACTGTATATTTGCATCATGTACAGTTTGCAGGCATTGGAATTGCACCTAGAGGCACTTTTCTAGTTGTCCATTTTTGTAGCTTTAATGAGACTCTCAGGGCCACACTTTCCTGAGTAGACCCTTAGACGGATAGCTCCACTCAGAACATGCTGGCATGGATGAAGCAGATGAAGCGAACCCTGAGGAGGAGCTGTGTGTGTGTGTTGCCTGCATATCTGTGTCAACAGTGAGTACTAGGCTGCAGAACTCCCTGCCATGTCTGCTGAGCCATGTCTGAAGTTCAGGGCTCCAAAGTCTTTTCAGGAACCTGCTCCTTACTGGGGCTCTTGGGCAGGCCTTGGGGTGGGCTTTACCTTCCCCACATTCCACATGGGGGTTGGGGAGAGCAGCTGAGTGGGTCTGGCAGACAGCAAAAGCTTCTGGGGAAAAGGGGGACTCAGAGGAATCTGGGAGATGCAGAAAGCAGGGCAGGTGCTTTTCTTTATGGGTAATCCTTTATTTAATCACTTACTCAATCATTGCCAAATGCCTTGAGGGTTGAGTCCTGGTCTCATCAGGAGCCTGTCTTCTTTCTTGCTGGCTAAGCTCAATATCTGTTAATCAGGCATTTTCTATGTTCCAGGGTTAGGAGCTGGAGATACAATAGTGCTATGGTTTGGCTTTGTGTCCCCACCCAAATCTCATCTTAAATTGTAATCCCTGTAATCCTCACGTGTCAAGGGCAGGACCTGGTGGGAGGTGATTAGATCATGGGAGTGGTTTCCCCTGTGCTGTTCTCGTGATAGTGAGTTCTCACGAGATCTGATGGTTTTATAAGTGTTTGAGATTTTTCTCCAAAGCACACTTGCTCTCTCTTGTCTGCTGCCGCGTAAGACGAGCCTCTTCGCCTTCTACCATGACTGTAAGTTTCCTGAGGCCTCCCCAGCCATGTGGAACTGTGAGTCAATTAAACCTCTTTCCTTTATAAATTACCCAGTCTCTGATATGTCTTTATAGCAGTGTGAGAACTAATACAAATAGGAAGCAAAGCAGAATTCTCAGCTCCAGCAGGGCCCAGTCCAATGGAGGAGGTGCATGTTAATCCATTAATCACACACATATGAAGTGATGGTTGGGGTGCTAGGGTGGGGTAGGATGTAGAGGAGTCAGGGCAATTCAGGAAGGCTTCCTGGAGGCAGTGATATTGGCTCTGAGACCTGAAATATGCACAAGAGTTTATAAAGTGAAGAGAATTTTAGGCAGAGGGAACTGTATGCAAAGGCCTATGACAAAAGTGTATAGGAGATTGAAAGAGGTCTGGAGCGATTCAGAGAGGGCAAAACCAGGGAGCAGGGAAAGTGGGTGCCAGACTGCACAGGCCCCACAGGTCAGCTTGGGGATTTTGGTGTTTTTTGGAGGAGCAACAAGTGTATGGAAATCAACAATCAAGGCTGGGTGTGGAGGCTCACACCTGTAATCCCAGCACTTTGGGAGGCCGAGGCAGGCAGATCCCTTGAGGTCAGGAGTTGGAGACCAGCCTGGCTAACGCAGTGAAACCCCATCTGTACGAAAAAAATAAAAAAGTTAGCTGGGCATGGTGGCACGCGCCTGTAGCCCCAGCCTTGGGAGGCTGAGGTGGGAGAGTTACTCGAACCTGAGAGGTGCAGGTTGCAGTGAGCAGAGATTGTGCCACTGCACTCCAGCATGGGCGACAGAGACAGTGTCTCAAAAAAAAAAAAAAAAACAAAATGTACAAGTAGAAACTGATGATTACTTCAAGAAAGTAAGGGGATTTCTAATCTACCTTTATTGTATTTAATGTGTTTATTGCATCTCACTCACACTAGATTGTTAGGTCCATAAGAGTAGGGTCGGAACTGTCCTGTTTGTTGCCAAATCGCCATTGCCTAGAACAGGGCCTTACACCCTAACTGGTGCTCAATAAATGTTCCTCGAGTGCATGATAAAGAGATGTACAGGTAAATAGCATTCTCTCAGGGTCCAGAGTAGAAGAGATTACTCTGACTGACTGGTTGGAGAAGGTTGGATTCAGGACCAGCTTCGTGATTTTTGGGGCCCAGTAAAAATTGAAAATTCAACACTGCTATTTCAAAAATGGTTACAAATTTCAATTTGGTGACAGCAGAGCATTAAAGCATTAATTTGGAGTCCTTCCAAGTATGGAGGCCTGTGTGACTGCACAGGTCACAGGCCCCTGAAGCCACCCTGGCTGGAGTTGATTCTGGAAGGCGTCATAGGGGAGGAGGCATTGGAGCTGCTTCAAATCTGGGACTGGGAAAGGACATTCTCAGAGAAAGGAATAGAATAGCACAGGCAGGGGGTGGACAACTGCCCAGGGAGCATTGAGTCCTGATTAAAGGCCAGGGGAAGTGGGTGGATATTTTCTTGTACTGTTTAAAAAAAATAAAAAAGGCAAGTCTCCCTCCTCTGAGCTCTATTTTGGGGTGGGTTTTATTAATAACAGATGAGCCTGGGCTCTGGGGACCTCAGGAGTAATTCATCATTTTCATCAGGGCTTGATGAGGCCTCAGAACCATGCAGAAGCTCATCCTGAATCATTTCGGGGTTTTTTTTTTTTTTTCCTTTTTCTGCTTAGCAATTGAACAGGCGCCACCAGCAAGGAGGGCCTTTGCTCAAACACAAACCCTTGGCACGATGCCCGCCGATGTCAGCAACTGTGCTGCCTGGCATCTGCTGTGGTGAGGTCAGAATGGAGCATGCTGCCTTGTGTTTGCATGCCAGCAAGGGGGTGACAGACGCGATATTGGGTGGAAGAAAACATGCGCGGGCTATGCTGGTGGCAGAGTGAGGTCTGGGGGCTGGTATGAGAGGGAGACCGGTCAAAGAGGTGGCTTGTCAGGTTAAAGAGCGTGAGTACCACTGTAGGAGCTCTGCGAGGCTTGGCTGGTAAGAGTGACTTTGCACTTCGTGCTACTCTCCTAGGGCAGCTGTAACCAGCAACCACAAACTGGGTATCTTAAAAGGACAGAAATGGATTCTCTCACAGTTCTGGAGGCCAGAAATTCCCAGTCAAGGTGTTGGCAGGGCCATGCTCCCTCTGAAGGCTCTAGGGGACCTTCCTTGCCCCTTCAAGCTTCTGGTGGCTCCTGGCAATTCTTGGCATTACTCAGCTTACAGCTGCATTATTCCAGTTTCCGCCTTTGTTGTCATATGGTGCACTTCCCTCTGTGTTTTTTCCAAGCTCCCCTTTCTTGTGAGAACACTGGCTGGGCTCTGTGGCTCATGCCTGTAATCCCAGAACTTTGGGAGCCCAAGGTAGGTGGATTGCCTGAGGTCAGGAGTTTGAGACCAGCCTGAGGAACATGGTAAAACCCTGTCTCTACTAAAAATACAAAATTAGCTGGGTGAGATGGCGCGTGCCTGTAATTCCAGCTACTTGGGAGGCTGAGGCAGGAGAATCACTTGAACCTGGGAGGTGAACGTTGCAGTGAGCTGAGATTGTGCCATTGCACTCCAGCCTGGATAATAAGAGAGAAACTCCGTTTCAACAACAACAAAAAAAAACCCAATCATTGGGTTTAAGACCCATCCAAATCCAGTATGACTTCATCTTAACATGATTACATTTGCAAAGACCCTATTTCCAAAAAAGGTCACATTTACAGGTAATGAAACTTGAACATGTCTTTCAAGGGGACACAATTTAACCCACAGTCCACTCCAAATACCCTTTGCTTCAAAGGTATTAAAGATCATAAGTAATACCTGCATAGAGTATTGTACTTTGCAAACTGATTCTGTACACCCTATCCCTTGACTCATTTGCTCAGCAGCTCTGTCAAGTAGATCGGGAGGAGACTTTATCTCCATTTTGCAGTTGGAGAAATTAAGATACAACACATTTTAAGTGGCGGCAAAGGGCACATGTGAGGCTGTTAACAATATTTAAGGAAAAGACAGGAACTGGATGGCAGGAGAGAGAAGGGAGGAAAAGGAGGTAACAGAACTGGAGAAATGAGACTGGCCTCCGAGAAATGCTCCTGAATCAATGCTCACTGTTCAGGGATCACGTTCCTGTCTGCTTAGCCCTGTAGCCAACAATTCAACCTTTACTGAACATGTACTATAGGATGGGGTCTGTGCCAAGCCCATTACCTGTATCCTTTCAATTAATGCTCACATCATCCTGATGTTGTGGGTATTATCACAGGTTAAGTATCCCTTATCCAAACAAAATGCCTGAGACCAGAAGCGTTTCATATTTTGGGTTTTTTTTTTTTTTAATCTTGAAAATATTGCATTACACTTCCTGGTTCAGCATCCCTAATCTGAAAATCTGAAATTCTCCAAAATTTGAAACTGTGTGAGCACCAACATGATGCTCAACGGGAATGCTCATCGGAACATTTGAAGTTTGGATTTCTAGGGTCGGGTTACTCAACCTGTATTCCCCATTTCCAGAGCAGGAACTGAGTGAGGCTCATGGAGGTGGTAAATGGAGATGCCAGGATTCATACCCATGTAGTCTAAATCTAAAGCTTCCACTCCATCTCTATGCCTTTCCTACTGCGGGCTGGGATGGAGGCAAAGGCTAGGGTCAATCCATGTCCTGTCAGGACCTACCGTGTTGAATGGCAGGGTGTGACTATGGATGGGCTACAGCTGGAATCCCATTCGGCAGGAAAGAGGAGCTGACCATTATAGAGGCATCTGTCAGATGGTTGGAAAAGAGGGTTATGAAAGAAAATGGGCTATAAAGTTGTTTTGAGAGGTAAGCCACAATGGTATAGATCAGAGGTTAGCATCTTTTTTCTTTTAAAGGCCATATAGTCTCTGTTGCGACTACTCCACGTACAATACACAAAAGAATGAGCACGGCTGTGTTCCAAAAAGCTTTATCAATATCAAAATTTGAATTACATATACTTTTCATGTGTCACGAAATACCATTTTTCTTTTGATTTTTCCCCCAATTATTAAAACATGTAAAAACCATGTTTGGCTCACAGGCTGTTCAAAACCAGGTGGCAGGCTGGATTTGACTGTGGGCTGTAGTTTGCAGACCCCTGGTATAGACTCAAGCTGGTGCTTGTTTGCTGAGACACACAAGGATTTAGGCTCATGGGAAGGATATGAGAGAATATGGTTAGGCATGAGAGTTTCCACTCAAAAAGTGACAAGAGCAAGAGCAAAAGGAGGCCGAGCGAGAAGCATGATTCCTGACGAGCACATTCTAACTAGTGAACCCCCCAAAGTTCTAGCATTTAGGATTGTGCCATAAATACAGAAAGGGGAAGACATGAAGGCTCTGCCTTAGGAACCCTGAGCCCAGTGTGCAGATAAATGCCCATTCCCAGAGCTTCTGCTGTCAACGGCACTCAAGTTCCTGTTGCCTCCTGAGGTGTCCATCAGCAGTGTGTGTTGAAGGCAGGATGGGGCCAGGTCCTTGAGCCAGCTGGAGGCTGTGGGGCTGGCGAGTCTTGCCTTTCCAGGGCATGGAAGGAGAGTGCTGGCAACAGCACCTATTGAGAGGCTGGGAGAAGGGCTGCGTGAATGAAGTATGGACAGATCAGAGAGGCGTGTGGGGCGTTTTGTGAGTGGGGTGTGTGGAGGGTGGGGAGTCGCAGGAACCTCACTGCTCTTGAGCAGGAAAAGTGGGAAGTGAGCCCATCCTCTCATTTTTCGATTGATTCACTGCACTTTCTTTCCTGGAGTGGCTACTGTGCTAGGCCCTTTGGGGAGAGGAGGATGGAATAAGGTGGCTCCTCCCCAAACTGAAAACTATTCAAATATCCATTCACTGGAAAATGGGTAAACAAAATGTGATGTATTCTTTTGATGGGATACTATTCGGCACTAAAAATAAATGAACTACTGTTACCTGCTATGACGTGGCTGAACCCCTAATATATAACGCTAAGTGAAAGATGCTAGATGCAAAAGATGACTACGTATTTATTGTACGATTGATTCCACTCATACAGAATGTCCAGAAATGGCAAATTTATAGTGTCAGAAAGCAGACCAGTAGTTGCTGACTGGGCGTGGTGGCTCATGCCTGTAATCCACTACTTTGGGTGGCTGAGGTGGGCAGATCACCTGACGTCAGGGGTTCGAGACCAGCCTGGCCAGCATGGTGAAACCCCGTCTCTACTAAAAATACAAAAAATTAGCCAGGCATGGTGGTGCATGCCTGTAATCCTAGCTACTCAGGAGGTTGAGGCATGAGAATTGCTTGTCCGGGAGGCAGAGGTTGCAGTGAGCAGAGATCATGCCACTGTATTCCAGCCTGGGCAACAGAGCAAGACTCTGTTTCAAAAAAAAAAAGGTAATCGTTTAGGCCTGGAATTGGAAGTGGGAATTAACAAGGGAACTTTTTGAGGTGATGGAGATGTTTTAAAACTGAATTGTGGTGAGAGCTGCACAAGTCTATAAATTTAATAAAAGTCATAGAAATGTATCCTTACAATGGTTGAATTTTATGGTATAGAAATTAGACCTCAATAAAGCTGTTAAAACCACAAGAAAAAGAAAGAAACAAGCTAGCTCCTGCCTTCGCATTCCAGCTCTAACACTAACTGGCTGTGTGACCTTGGGTAAGCTGCTGAACCTCTCTGAGCCAGTTTCCTCATGTACAAAAAAAAGTAGCTAGCTGCCCTCTGGTGGGAGGGTTGTTTTGAGGATTTCAATGGCACAACTTGGCTTCATGTGCATTGCACATAGCATGTCCTCAGTGAGTGCAATGATATGCCATCCATCTGCCAAGCACGGGCATGGCATTTTTTGTTTTGTTTTGTTTTGTTTTTTTTTGAGACGGAGTCTTGCTCTGTCACCCAGGCTGGAGTGCAATGGCGCGATCTTGGCTCACTGCAAGCTCCGCCTCCCGGGTTCAGGCCATTTTCCTGCCTCAGCCTCCCAAGCAGCTGGGACTACAGGCACCTGCAACCACTCCCGGCTAATTTTTTGTATTTTTAGTAGAGACGGGGTTTCACCGTGTTAAGGAGGATGGTCTCGATCTCCTGACCTCGTGATCCGCCCGCCTCGGCCTCCCAAAGTGCTGGGATTACAGGCGTGAGCCACCGCGCCCGGCAAGGGCATGGCATTTGTTGAAGGTCACTGAAAATCTGAGCCCCGAGGGAAAAACCCTTTGCCACCACATCTCAGAGTTAATCTCTCCCTCCTAGCTGGCTTTCAGCCACCTACAGGGCAGGTTGACTTCGCAAATTCCCTTTGAGATGCAAAACCCAGCCGGCTGTCTTTGCCTCTCCCTTCCCACCAGCAAGCACACCGCTTCCCAGGGCAGACCCAGGGAACTCATCAGACATTCGAAGGCGGGAACTGCACATTTTTAACAATTGAGATGCCAAGAAAAAAAAGCCTGAAATTAAATCCAGCAATTAAGCTCTAATTGCGCAATTACTTCACCGTGTGGCTCAGTGCCAGGGTTGGGAGACTTGAGCCCACAAATGGTGTTTTTGTGCAAACTAGGGGAGGGGGAGGTGAAGGAGACAGGGCTAAGGAGGTGATATCCGGGGACCAGGAAACAAAAGCATTTAAAAATTAGACATCTTGCCAATGCCTTGGTGCCAGTCTTCTGACTGGCAGGGCCATGGGGTGGGCTGGGGTACTCGGGGGCTTTTTCAGGAGTAAAATCCATAAATATACTGAGTTTGTGGCTTTCTTTCAGCAATTCCCTCTGGTCTGTCTTCTAGTGAGGTCATCTCTCTGTATGCCTGGGCTGGGTACCCCTCTGTTTAGGGTTTGGAGTGAGGAAGTCCTCTCTGTACGCCTGGGGTGGGTTCCCCTCTTTTTAAGGTTTGGGGTTGGGGAGTCCTCTCTGTATGCCTGTGGGGGGTGCCCCCCTGTTTAGGGTTTGGGGTGGGGTGGGGGAGTCCTCTCTGTATGCCTGTGGTGGCTGCCCCTCTGTTTAGACTTGGGGTGGGGGAGTCCTCTCTGTATGCCTGTGGTGGCTGCCCCTCTGTTTAGGCTTGGGGTGGGGGAGTCCTCTCTGTATGCCTGTGGTGGCTGCCCCTCTGTTTAGACTTGGGGTGGGGGAGTCCTCTCTGTATGCCTGAGATGGCTGCCCCTCTGTTTAGACTTGGGGTGGGGGAGTCCTCTCTGTATGCCTGTGGTGGGTGCCCCTCTGTTTAGACTTGGGGTGGGGAGGTCTTGTCTGCATGCCTGAGGTGGGTGCACCTCTGTTTAGGGTTTGGGGTGGGGGAGTCCTCTGTATGCCTGGGGTGGGTGCCCCCCTGTTTAGGATTTGGGGTGGGGGAGTCCTCTCTGCATGCCTGGGGTGGGTGCCCCTCTGTTTAGACTTGGGGTGGGGGAGTCCTGTCTGCATGCCTGCGGTGTTTAGGGTTTGGGGTGGGGAGTCCTCTGCATGCCTGGGGTGGGTGCCCCCCTGTTTAGGGCTTGGGGTGGGGGAGTCCTCTGCATGCCTGGGGTGGGTGCCCCCGTGTTTAGGGCTTGGGGTGGGAAGTCCTCTCTGCAGCCTGGGGTGGGTGTTAGTTTCCTCATCTGCAAAATGGATATAATAGTAATATGTACCTCAGCCCCTCTGTTTTGGCTTGGGGTGGGATTGTCCCCTCTCTGCATGCCTGGGGTGGGTGCCCCTCTGTTTAGGCTTGGGGAGGGGAGTCCTTTTCTGTAGACCTAGAGTCTTGGAGCTTTATGGTTGGTGGTGGGTCCGGGAGCTGTGTCCAGACTTCCAGAGCATGTAGAAGAAGAGAGTGCCCAGAGAGCATCTAGAGAGCTGGGAGGGGCTTGCATCGGTTGTTCTGCTTGGTGGATCCATATTTGTGTTCTGAGAAGATTTGGGAGATGAGAAGCTGCTGTTCCACCATTTCAGTCGGTGGATTCCATGGGGAGTGTTGAGAACAGCTTCTCTGCCTGTCATTCATTCACTCAACTTGTACATTTCTCTCACTTGCTAATTCTTCAACTAGTATTTATGGAGCATCTAATTTGTACAAGGTACTCTGCTTGGCTTTATGGGAGAAAACAAAGATTGAACATGGCTCTTGCTTTCAAGGAGTATGGAGAGAAGACATGTGTAGGATGATCTGGAAGTTACTGAGCACCTACTACGTGCCAAATGCTACTGTGGCACTTTACACAGGTTCTTGTTGAATCCCATAACGTCCCACTGAGGTAGAAATTACTATCATTTCCATTTTGGAGATGAGGATACTGGCACTTGGGAGAGGTCATAATGCCTCCCTCCCTAAGGTTGTCAAGGTCACATAGTAAGTCAGTCTGGGAGATCTGGGACTGACTGGAGTCCAGCTGAGTTTTGATTCTGAAGCCAGTGACTTCTTCATGCCCTCAAGGTAGAAAGCGGTTTGTTTCCCAAAACAACAAAAGCATGGCTGTGCCCTCTCTCTCCCTCCTCTCAATGGAAGACCAAAAGTGAAATGGGGAAAACAAAGCGGGCATGGTACTGATGTTGTCACCAGGAACCATGGCAGGTTTGGCCATTCTGGCAGAATCCTTGGCACCTTTCTCGGCTGAGCAGCTGGCACGACAGCCACAGGGTATTCTGGGCTCGCACCAGCTGAGCTCCTGCCACGTCATACAAGTGCCAAAATCACACTCCAGTGAGTTGCCAAAGATAAAGAATTGCTTGGGAGGGAAATTCCATATTCTATGTTGCAGCCAACACAAAAGCTCCGGAACTCTAGCTGTGAAAGAAATCACACGCAGGCATAAGAACCTCCTGCACTGTGCATGAGAAGCTTTCAGACCAGAGCCACAGGAGGGAAGTGGAGGGGGACAATGTGAATTGCAGTCTCCCCTGTGATCATCTGGCCTCCTGAGACTTTTCCAGCCTAATCTGCTGCTGCTTCTCCAGATGCAGTTGATGTTTAGCTGCAAGTGATGCATCCCCCCACCCCCCACCTGTGAGCTGGTGAGATCATGGGCATTCTGCCCTCATACAGAGGGATTAATGCCTCTGTAAAAGAGACCCCGGGGAGCTAGTTAGCCCTTTTCACCATGAGAGGACACAACAAGAAAGCACCATCTATGAACCAGAAAGTGTGCCCCCATCAGACATCAAATTGCTGGCATCTTGGTCTTGGACTTCCCAGGCTCTGGAACCGTGAGAAATAAATTTCCATTGTTTATAAGCCACCCAGTTTATGGTATTTCCTTATAGCAGCCCAAATAGACAAAGAATGGTGAAACAATTAGCTGCCATTTTGCAATTAATAAAGGATTATCAATAGATGAAACCAGTCAGTTGATGAAAAATTTGCATCTTTGGCAGGGCACAGTGGCTCACACTTGTAATCCCAGCACTCTGGGAGGCTGAGGCAGGCAGATCACGAGGTCAGTATTTCAAAACCAGTTTGGCCAAAATAGTGAAACCCCGTCTCTACTAAAAATACAAAAATTAGCTGGACATGGTATCATGTGCCTGTAGTCCCTACTACTCAGAAGGCTGAGGCAGGAGAATTGCTTGAACCCAGGAGGCAGAGGTTGCAGTGAGCCAACCACTGCACTCCAGCCTGGGCAACAGAGTGAGATTCCCTCTCAAAAAAAAAAAAAAAATTGCATTTTTGTTTGAAAATTTTGTAGACTGCCACCAACTGGACTCACTTGAAAAATATTCCACAAAAGCTCCACTGTGCCCATCAGCATACTCTTTGGCACCTTGCTTGAATGTTTTTCTGGGTAAGCACAAATAGATCTACATTATACTTTAAAAAAATTTTTAGATCTACATTATACTTTTATTGGCTGCCTAATATTTCATAAAATAGATGTACCAAAATTGATTTATCTCGTTTCATAGTAATCAATATATAGATTATTTCCAATGTTTTATAAATAATGCGATGAGAAGGCATATTAGATTTTTATATCTCTGTGGTTCTAGACGTGGGCTTCCTGTATCTCTAGAAGTCTTTAAAACAAGTAATGACCAGTCCTCCTACATGGTTTTGCTGATCATCTAAAGTACTTATTTATTTATTATTATTATTTTTTACGTTTAGCTCAGATTGGACAACTTCAAGAAGACACCCCTGGTTATCTCACAGTTGTCAAGATAATAAAATAAATATTGGCCTGGTTATGGTCAAACCAGAAGTGATTGGGCTGAGTTTTCATATGTTGAAGAGAAAAGCTATTCATGACAGTTGCTAAAGGTGGAAAGAAGACTTTATTCAAGAGGGACAGTTGCAGTGGGGGTTTTTCAGTAGGGGAAAGAAATCAGGCTCAACTCAGAATACAACAAGGACAAGTGGAGATTTATAGTCAACAGGGTGGAAGAGGTCGGTGGATGGAACATTACTATGAGGAAATATTAAAGCTAGGGAGACTCTTGCTATAATAATTCAACAGGGTTCTTGCTGAAGGCAGGCCAGGGTGATAAGATATCAGGCAGGTGATGTTCACTAAACTGACCCAGCAGGATTCTTGCTAAAACTGGACTAAGTAGGCCAAGGAAAGGGCCCAAGTTTGGGGCCTAGTTGAGAGAGCGCTGAGTCAGTTTTGTCAGGGAGAGGATCCTTGTCACGTGCTCAGCTTCCATGCCTGTGGTAATGTCCCAGCCCTGCTCAGAAGCTTTCAGTGACTCCACACTGATCTAGGGTGAAGTTTTCCCCTGCCTCCTTCCTTCTTGAGCATCTCCTCTGTGCCAAGTTGAGTAGTAGAGCTGTGATATGGTTTGGCTGTGTCCCCATCCAAATCTCATCTTGAATTGTAATCCACATTTTCCCCATGTGTTGAGGGAGGAACCTGGTGGGAGGTGATTGGATCATGGGGGCAGTTTCTGCCATGCTGTTCTCGTGATAGTGAGTTTTCAAGAGATCTGATGGTTTTATTAGGAGCTCTTCCCGCTTCGCTCATTCATACTCTCTCACCTGCTGCTATGTAAAACCTGCCTTTGCTTCTCTCTTGCCTTCTGCCATGATCATAGTTTCCTGAGGCCTCCCTAGCCATGCAGAACTGTGAGTCAATTAAACCTCTTCCCTTTATAAATTACCCAGTCTAGGGTATGTCTTTACAGTAGTGTGAGAACACACTAATACAAGCTGAATACACAAGTTGCCTCCAGAAGCTGATGGTCTAGCAAGGGAAACAGCCATTCCAACAGCAGATTAAAGCCTTATAATTAAATAATAATGTGGTAACTTGTGAGAAGTGCTTAGAATAGTGCCTGACACATAACAAGTACTCAATAAATATGGCTTTTCTTAATACTGCTGTTGTCTATCACGTGGCCTTCTATCATGAGGTTTTATCTGACCCCTGATCCACTCCTACTATCACCCGTTAGACATCCAGGTTGAATCCTCCTTTTCTATAAGGTATTTCTAATTATCTTCAAATTTCTTCCTTTAAATCCTTAGCATTTTGTTTAGTCTGTCTTGTAACTCTTAGAGCTTTCTACTTGGAATTATGATGACATTTTTTTATTCCCTCTTTTTTTTTTTTCTTTTTTCTTTCTTTCTTTCTTTTTTTTTTTTTTTTTTTTTTGAGACAGAGTCTCACTCTGTCGCCCAGGCTGGAGTGCACTGGCGCAATCTCGGCTCGCTGCAACCTCCGCCTCCTAGGTTCAAGCGATTCTTCTGCCTCAGCCCCCTCTTTAAAAAAAAAAAAAAAAAAAAAAAAAAAAAAAAAAAAAGAGACAGGGTCTCACTCTGTTGCCCAGGTGGGAGTGAAGTGGCACAATCATAGCTCATTGCAGCATTGAACTCCTGGGCTCAGATGATCTTTCCACCTCAGCCTCCCAAGTAGTTGGGACTTTAGGCATGCTCTGCCACGCCTGGCTATTATTGATGTATTTATTTTTAGAGATGAGGTCTCACTGTGTTGCCCAGACTGGTCTCGAACTCTTGGCCTCAAGCCATCCTCCTTTCTCAGCCTCTACAGTAGCTGGGATTTCAGGTACATGCCACTGTGCCCTGCTTATTCCCTTTAAAATACGGTAACCACAGGGAAGGAGGGATTCTTCCCTGCTAATATTTGTCTGTCCAGTCTCTGGCGCTGAGCTTGGTGCATGAAACCCCTAACATTTATTAGGCATTGTGGAAAGTACTTCCCGTGTATTGTCTCAGAAACAACACAGTGTCCCGACAAAAACTTGAGAGTCAAGTGGCCCACAGCGGGCAAGTTGCTTATTTTCTCTTAGGTTTCTCATCTGTAAAGTGGGAATAATATTAGTACCCCCTTGTAGGATGATTATAATGTCTTGTGGCTACAAGCCAAGGAATGCCAGGAATTCCTGGAAGCCAATAGAATGTCCTATCCCTGCTCGGAAGCTAGAAGAGGCAAGAAAGAATTCTTCATTAGGACCTTTGGAGAGAGCATGGCCCCGGTAACACCTTGATTTCAGACTTCTGGCCTCCAGAACTGTGAGAGGATAAACTTCCATTGTCTTAGACACCCAGTTCGTGGTTAATTTGCTACAGCAGCCCCAGGAAACTAATACAAGGACTGAACATGTGAACACTGGTAAAAAAAAAAAAAAACAAAAACAAAACCTAGAACTGTGCCTGGCCATAGTAAATACTATGTAAATGTTTGTGAAATAAATCCTTTCTTAAAAATGTCACAGCTCCCTGAGGTAGGTGTTATTTTTATTCCTATATTCCAGAGGAGGAAACTGAGGCTTAGGTCAAGCCCATAACTATGTGACAAATGAAATATCCTCCATGTTCTCTCATTTCCCCCACTTAATTGGACCTCACCATTTTTAAATGCTCCATTCAGCTGAGGCTTCTTGAACATTTTATGACACCCTTTGCGTATAGACTGAGAGGTAACAGGAAATTCATGTTTTGTTTGGGAAAGGCCTGGCCTATGATGCGGGAACAAATCCACCCAGCACCACGGTGTCTGCGTCATGCAGAGTCTGGTGACTCTCCGGGGCAGCTGTGCTCTCTGCAGTCGTTCCTGATCGAGGCTGCCTCATTTTGTGATGCCACTATATCAACCTATGGCTTCCAAGATATCTGTGACAAATTAAAAAAGAGCATGATGTGTATCATGTGTGCTCATAGCTGTGGGCCTGAATGGATCACATGGCATCAGATTAACTGGAAAGGTTGCTGGTAGCTATGGTCTTCCCTTGTGCCCAGGAAGTGGAAAATGAAATAGGATTTGGGGAACATTTAGCTTTGGCTCGGTCACAGCCTCCAGACTTTAAAGCCACGTTTTTAAAGCCAAAGGTAGTTGTGGGCCAGGTGTGGTGGCTCATGTGCGTAATCCCAGCACTTTGGGAGACTGAGGCGGGTGGATCACCTGAGGTCAAGAGCTCAAGACCAGCCTGCCCAATGTGGCAAAACCCCGTCTCTACTAAAAATACAAACAAAAAATTAGCCGGCTGTGGTGGCGTATGCTTGTAGTTCCAGCTACTTGGGAGGCTGAGGCAGGAGAATTTCTTGAACCCGGGAGGCGAGTGAGCCGAGATGGCACCACTGCACTCCAACCTGGGTGACAGAGCAAGACTCTGTCTCAAAAAAAAAAAAAGTAGTTTGCTTGACAGTTCTCCACTGTGGGATTGTTTCTTACACTTGGTTTTGTTTGTTTTCTTTGCTTTAGCTGAGTTACCTCCTCTTGCCCTCTCTCAATAGCCTTCTGATCCTTACCAGTTAGGAAGGTCAGAATCACTCATTTACCACTTGGTTTTATCGCCGGCTATGAGAATATAGGGCAAATGGGGGAAATAAAACATATCACACCATGATGAAGCTGAAGGAACAGTTTTTCTGTAATTACAGCTAGAATATCAGTCTGCTTGGTGATGTATGTTGTGAAGAGCAGTAAGAAGTGTGGACAGTGAAGGGCCTTTGATTAGAGGTATGCTATGGTTTAAATGTTTTTGTCCCCTCCAAAAATTCATGTATTGGGAATTGAATCCCCAGTGCAACCATGTTGAAAGGTGGGGCCTAATGGGAGGTGTTTAGGTTATGAGAGCTCTGCCTGCATAAATGGACTAATGACACTCATTATAAAAAGTGTTTGCAGGCCAGGAGTGTTAGCTCACAGTGTAATCCCAGCAGTTTGAGAGTCTGAGGGGGGAGGATTGCTTGAGCCCAGGAGTTCTAGACCAGCCTGGGCAACAAAGCAAGACCCTGTCTTTACAAAAAATAATTAAAAAATTAGCTGGGCACTGTGGCACATACTTGTAGTCCCAGCTACTCAGAAAGCTGAGGCAGGAGGATGGCTTGTGCCCAGGAGTTTGAGGCTGCAATGAGCTAGGATCATACCACTATGCTCGCTCTAGCCTGGGTGACAGAGTGAGACCCCATCTCTAAAAGGCGAGTTTGAAGGAGTGGGTTTGCTCTCTTATGCTCTTCTGCCACGTGAGGACACGGGGTTCCTCCCCTCCGGAAGACAGCAACAAGACTCTGTCTTGGAAGCAGAGAGATCAGGTCCCTCACCAAATGCATCGGTGGCATTAAAGCTGTGAGGCCTGAGGTTTGCCCACTTTCCCTCTTGTTCACTCCACTTTTCATGAGAGGTTCCAACATCGAGAACTTGCATAAAGCCTGACATTTGGATCCCCGGTGACAGCCTGGGCTGGGAAAGAACAGGCAGGAGAAACAGTTTCTTTCTGTCCTGGAGGAATTTGTAAAATGGTGACCCATAACCTGCAAGTGGAGAAAAATGTAAGGCCACTGAAAGACTGATTGATTGATGTCTTCTGTGCAATGATGCTGCAGAAGGTCCCCTCCAGGCTGCAGAGCTCTGGTCCCTGAGGCTAAAGATCTGGTTTGACGCCATCTGTTTGAACACTTAACAGCTTTGTGGCCTTCGGCAAGTCAATGAACCTCTCTGAGTTGCTGGTTTGCTGTAAGACCAGAGGAGACAATGAATGTGAAAATAATTAATGGTAACACTCCAATCAATGCTAGGTATCCTCATTGATTTTATTTATGTTTTCTCTTGATGATGAATAGCAAATTTGGATTCTTTAGGAGCAGGTGACAGAAATAGGACTCTATCTTTCTTAAATCAAAAAGGGCTTTATTGGGAGAATATTGGGGGTGCTCTCAGAAATGGAGAAAATTTGAGGAATTAGATCTCTAAAAGGGTAGGAATCATTTCAGGTCCAGGGATTTGGGTGACAAAAACCAATAAAAAGCCTTGTAGCAGGGGTGGGGAATGGGGAGTGGGAGGGTGGGGAATCCACTCTGGCCTGATTCAAGGAAAAGAGCATCTGACTGGCTTAGCCTGAGCTCAGTGTCCACCACCTGGTCAGGGAAGGAAGTTCACCTTGACTTACAATCCCACCAGGAGTGGGGGAGGGGTGGCTCCCCAGACAGAAACTGGGGCATTGTTGCCAGGAAAAGGAGCAATAGATGCTGGGCAGGGAACACAAGAAATAGAGATTAAAATAGTCAAAGCACTTTATTTCCTGTGTTCCTGGCCCAGTGCAGGACTCTGTGGGGAGCTAAAGTAAAAGAAATCTTGATGCTGGGGATTTTTGATTTTTTTTGCAAGTGGAACAGTGAGGGAGTTGGACTGGGGTGGGGGGCAGTGCTTCTAAGCCTGGCTATTCTCTAATTCCACAATGTGTTGGGTCTGATTGTTTAGAGCTCCCTCTTGGCAATTAACATGCCTAATTAGTCCAGCCTTGTGTGGTTCAGGGTCAAAACTCGCTGTCAGCTCTCCCAGCCCCACCCCCGCAGCCCACCCCACCCATATTCCTTTAGAGAGGGAGGGTTCTCTGCAGAAATTGGCTGGCTGCTGCTGGCTCTCATGCACTTTCCTATCTCAGGCACCGCCTGGTGTCAGAAGCCACTTCTGAGTCATCCCTCTGCCTTGTGTCAGAAGCCACTTCTGAGTCATTCCTTTGTGATCTTGCCTTGGGACAATGGTGAATAGTTGGTGTTTTTGTCATTTCTCAGGGTATGTCCTGAGTTGAAAGCAAAGAGGAAAGGACATAGATGCATTTCTGTTTGTTCTGGGCTTACAGATCCTTTGCTCAGATATTTTTGTAAAAATAACTATGATTGCTCTTATGACTAGGACATGAACAAAGTCTTATGGCAGAGAACTTGACATAAAGAAGAAATCAAGTATTACCCTTAATCCCATCATCCCACCACACAGTGTCATCATTTTGAGATCTATCCTTACCGTTTTATTTCAGTGGACTTACAGATGCTTCTTGATTTATGATGGCATTGTCCCAATAAACCTGTCGTAAGCTGAAATATCATAAGTTAAAAAAATGCACTTAAGACCCCTAACCTACTGAACACCAAAGCTTAGCCTGGCCTACGTTAAACATGCTCAGAACACATACATTAGTCTACAGTTGGGCAAAATTATCAAGCAACATGGTGCACTGGAGAGTATTCATTGTTTACCTTTGTGATTGTGTGGCTGACTGGGAGCTGTGCTCATAGCTACTGACCATCATCTTGAGAGAGCATCATACCACATATCACCAGCCCAGGTAAAGAGCAAAATTCCAAATTTGAAGTGTGGTTTTTACAGAATGTATATCAGTTTTGAACCATTATAAAGTCAAAAAATTATGAATCAAACCATCATAAGATTGGCACTGTTCATATATACCTAGATAAATACATGGTGATTTTTCTAACTTCTGATATTTACAGAGGCAATTGCCACTGGGTGAAAGCTCAATATCACGTACTCTATTTTGCAGAATGAAGGAAAAAATTCATTGTCAATTTGCATTGCCAGAATGGGATACTGAAACCGAGACCTAATTGCATAATGGTTAAGAGCTTGACTTCTGTAGTAATAAAATGTAACATTTATAAAGTATTTTCTCTGTTCTAAGCACTTTCTATGTACAGTACTAGCTGTCTTAGTTTGTTTGCTGCTGCTATAAAAGATATGCCCACAGACTAGGTAATTTATGAAGAACAGAGATTTGTTTAGCTCATGGTTCTGGAGGCTGGGAAGTCAAAGAGCATGGTACAGGCATCTGGAGAGGCACATCGAAAAGGTGGGTGGATGGGTGAAAGGTGGAAGTGAGCACAGGAGACAGAGAGGGAATGTAGGCTGAACTGAATCCTTTTATTAGGAACACACTCCTGTCATGATGGCATTAATCCCTTAATGAGAGCAAAGACCTCATGATCTAATCATCTCTTAAAGGCCCCACCTCTAAATACCATTACATTAGCAATTCAATTTCAACATGAGTTTTGGAGGGGATATTTAAAGCATAATATTATCCATCTATTTTTTGTAACAAGCAGTGAGGCGGGAGTGATGACTATTGTTTCCATCTTACAGATGAGGACATGGAGCATAAAGAGATCAAGTAACTTGCTCAAGATCACGTAGCTACTAAGCAGAAGAGCTGGGATGTCAGCATGGCTGCCTGTCAGGGCCGTGCTCTTAACTGCTGTGGTACACTGGCTTTCCATGGCTAGAATATGAGCTTCATGATGGGGAGGAGTGCTGTTCACTGTTCCATTCCCAGGGTCTAACACAGATGCTCAATGAATACTTATTTTATTTTAGAGATGGAGTTTCACTCTTGTCGCCCAGGCTGGAGTGCAATGGCACGACCTTGGCTCACTGCAACCTCCACCTCCCAGATTCAAGCGATTCTCCCACCTCAGCCTCCTGAGTAGCTGGGATTACATGCATGTGCCACCACGCCTGGCTAATTTTGTATTTCTAGTAGAGATGGGGTTTCACCATGTTGGCCAGGCTGGTCTTGAACTCCTGACCCTAGGTGATCCACCCGCCTTGGCCTCCCAAAGTGTTGGGACCACAGGCACAAGCGACTGTGCCTGGCCAATAAATACTTATTGAGTAGAGGAATCAGGTTTGAATACTGGTCTGTCTCTTAAGAGATGTAAGAGCTTAGGGACTTTTAAAAACTACTCTGAGTAACTTGCTCAATCCAGGGGCAAGCTCTGTCATCTTTCCCTTCAAAAGATATTTTGAATCCACTTCTCACCATGCCCACCACTGTTGTCTTGGGCCAAGCTACCATCATTCCTCACCAGGACTTTTGCTGTGACCTCTTACAAGTAGTTTTTCTATTTCGACACTTGCTGTAGCTATCTTTATCCAGCAGTCAGGTGATCTCGTAGAACATAACACAGACCAGATCTCTCCTGTACTCAAATCTTCCGATAATTTCTTATCACACTTGGAATAACACACAGGCTTGCAGGGTCTTACATGGCCCCAGCTCTATCTTCCCAATCCCCCCGACTCCTTTGCTCATGTTCTTCAGTGACACAGGGCTTTTCCTTGAACACTGTCTACCTTGGTCTCAGAGCCTTTGCACACTGTATACATTGACGTATGTTGCTGTGAGTGTGAAGGCAGTGGCAAAGCCCACACTAGGCTGTTAACACAAGTAACTGGGTTGAAGTGGAGAGGAGTAGGGAGGATTATCAATGTTTTCTCCACAGGCCAATGTGTTTTACAAATCATGCCTTAATTTTGTAGTTTTAAAAAGGAATTTAATAAAGAAAGGGGATAAGCCCTTTTAATAGCTTTATCCTCCCTTAACTATGAGCACACATCTCTTCCTCCTTTGTAGGCAAGCTCCTGGCTTTCTGTCTTATCTCTCAGTCACCCCAAAGCCCATGGCAGCCTGGTTTCTAAGCCCCTCTGCTGCCCTTGCAGCCTGACCACCAACCTCTTTGTTGATAAGACCAACCACCCTTTTCCGGTTAGCTTTCCAGACTTCTCAGCTGAATTAAATACTGTTGACCGCTCTATTCTTCTTTTTATTTTTTATTTTTTAAATTTTAAATGTGGCAAAATACACATAACAAAATTTACCATTCTACCAATTTTTTAAGTATATAGTACAGTAGTGTTAAGTACATTCACATTGTTGTACAACCATCTCCACCATCCATCTCTAGAACTCTTTTCATCTTGCAAAACGGAAACTCTGTCCCTAATAAACAACGACTTCCCATTCTCCCTCCTCCCAGCCCCTGGAAACCACCATTCTTTTTTCTGTCTCTGATATAGCTTGAATATTTATTCCTGCCCAAATCTCACGTTGAATTGTAATCCCCAAATGCTGCAGGTGGGGCCTGGTAGGAGGTGATAGGATCATGGGGGTGGATCTTTTATGAATGGCGTGGGTCATCCTTTTGGTGATGAGTGGGCTCTTGCTCTGAGTTCACATGAGATCTGATTGTTTAAAAGTGTGTGGCTCCTCCCCCGCCACTCTTTCTCTCACTTGCTCCAGCCTTCGCCATGTGCCATGCCTGCTCCCCACTTGCCTTCTGTCACGATCGGAAGCTTCCTGAGGCCTCCCTAGAAGCCGAGCAGATGCAGCCCCACGCTTCGTGTCCGGCCTGCAGAACTGTGAGCCAATTAAACTTATTTTCTTTATAAATTACCCAGTCTCAGGTACTGCTTTATAGCAATGCAAGAATGGCTTAATACAGTCTGTATGAATTTGACTACTCTGTCCACCTCATTTATAAACGGAATCATACGGTATTTGTCTTTTTGTGATTATCTGATTTCATTTAGCCTCATGTCCTCAAGGTTCATCCATACCATAGCATTGTGTTAGCTTTTCCTTCCTTTTTAAGGCTGAATAATATTCTATTGTATATACCATATTTTGCTTATCTACTCATTCACTGATGGACACTTGAGTTGCTTCTTCCTTTTGGCTATTGTGACTAATGCTGCTGTGAGCATGTGGGCACAGATATCTCTTAGGGCACTCCCTTCTTTTGAAACTCCCTACCTTTTTTTTTTCTGTCTCTTTTGCCAGCTCTTCTTCCTCCTCCTTTCCCTGATCCTTAAATCTTGGTGTTCCTACAGCTTTGTCCTAGGTCTTTTCTACCTCACCCACCATGCCATCCACTCCCCACGTTTCATTTACTATCTTTATCCCTATAATGCCAAATAATAATAAGTATTATTGCTAATTAGAAATTTAGTATTTATTGTGTGCCAATAATTTTTAACATACTTTATGGGTATTTTCTCATTTAATCCTCACAGCAATGATATGAGGTTTGTACTATTATTATCTTCATTTTACACAGAAGGAAACCGAAGCACAGCATGACTAGTGAACTCAGCCCAATTCACACAGAAGGCGAGAGCTGAGATTGAAACTCAGGCAGTCTGTGTGCAGGGCCTCTGTTCTTCACCAGCAAGTTCTTCTTTCACTTGGAGTTCATATCTACAGCCCAGTGTTCTTTCTCACCTGCAGGAGACCGTATCGGCCACACTCTAATAGATGCCAGGGAGCTCCCCGCAGGGCTGTTGTCAACAAAAGGTTCTAACCTGTGCTTACTAAATAAGACTCCTAAATGATATTTTTTGTGAAGTTATTGTATGTTATGGGTTGAATTGTGTCTTCTGCAAAAGATATATTGAATTCCTAACCCACAGCTCCTCAGAATCTGGTCTTATTTGGAAATAGACTAATTGCAGATGTAATTAGCTAGAGACTATACTAGTGTATAGGGTAGGCCCCTAATCTGATATGACTGTTGTCCTTATAGAAACACAGCCATGTGAAGATGAAGGCAGAGACTGGAAAAAGTGTGAAGGCAGAGTTTATCCTGATTGGATTAGGAATAAATAGAGTCCTATAAACCAAGGAATGTCAAGGATTGCTGGCCATCCCTGGAAGCTAGGACGCTGGGACAGGTTCTCCCTCAGAGCCTCTGGAAGGAACTAACCCTGTAAAACACCTTGATTTTGGAACTTTGGCCTTCAAAACTGAGGGAATAAATTTTTGGTATTTTAAGCCACCCAGTTTGTGGTACAAGCATACCTCAAAGACTTGCAAGTTCAGTGCCATACCACCACATTAAAGCAAATATTGCAATAAAGTGAGTCATACAATTTTTTTGGTTTCCCAGTGCATATAACAGTTATGTTTATACTACGGTACAGTCTATTAAATGTGCAATAGCATTATGTCTAAAAACAGTATATATGTTAATTAAGAGATATTTTATTGCTAAAAATGCTGATCATCAGAGCCTTCAGTGAGTCATAACCTTTTTGCTAGTGGAGAGTCTTGCCTCAGTGTTCATGGCTACTGACTGACGAGGGTGGTAGTGGCTGAAGACTGGGGTGGATGTGGCAATTTTTAAAAATAATGCAACAATAAAGTTTGCTGCATTGAATGACTCTTCCTGTGATATTTCTCTGTGATATGCTGTATTAGTTTATCCTCATGCTGCTAATAAAGACATACTCAAGACTGGGTAATCTATAAAGAAAAGAGATTTAATGGACTGACAGTTCCACGTGGCTGGGGAGGCCTCACAATCGTGGCAGAAGATGAAGAAAGAGCAAACGGATGTCTTACATGGTGGCAGGCAAAGAGAACTTGTGCAGGGGAACTTCCATTTATAAAACCATCAGTTATCATGAGACTTATTCACTATCAAGAGAACAGCAAAGAAAAGACCTGTTCCCATGATTCAGTTACTCCCATGACCCATGAGAATTATGGGAGCTACAATTCAAGATGAGATTTGGGTGGGGACACAGCCAAACCATATCACATGCAATGCTGTTAGACAGCATTTATCCACAGTAGAATTTTCTCAAAATTAGAGTCAATTCTCTCAAACTCTCCCACTGCTAAGTTTATGTAATATGCTAAATTCTTTGTTATCATTAGAACAGTGTTCACAGTGTTTTCACCAGGAGTAGATTCCATCTCAAGAAACCACTTTTTTTGCTTATCTATAAGAAGCAACTCTTCATTCTTTCATGTTTCATTATAAGATTGCAGCAATTCAGTCACATCTTCAGGCTCCACTTCTAATTTGGTTTTCTTGCTTTTTCCATCACAGCTGCAATTACTTCCTCCACTGTAGTCTTGAACAAGTTGTCCATGAGAGTTGGAATCAACGTCTTCCAAACTTCTGTCAATGTTGATATTTTTGTCCTCTTCCCTTGAATTATGACAGTTCTTAATGGCACCTAGAATAGTTAGTCCTTTCCAGAAGGTTTTCAATTTGTATTTTCCAGATCCATTAGAGGAATCACTATCTATGGAAGACATAGCCTTACAAAATGTATTTCTTAAATAATAAGACTTGAAAGTAAAAATTACTCCTTGGTCTATGTGCTGCAGAAGGGGTGTTGTGTTAGCAGCCATGGAAACATTAATCTCTTTGTACATATCCATCTGAGCTCTTGGGTGACTGGGTCATTATCAATGAACAGTGATATTTTGAAGGGAATATGTTTTTTGGAGCAGCAGGTCTCAACAGTCAGCTTAAAGTATTCAGTAAACCATGCTGTCAACAGATGAGCTGTCATTCAGAAAAATAAGGTAGAGAAGTTATTGGCGTTGTACTTCCCTAGCACAGACCCTGGATCATAGCAAGCCTTCAAGAAAGTTTTATTATTATTATTATTTTCTTTATTTTAAGGAGCAGAGAGTTAAATAGCCAAGAAAGAAAGAAGAAGCTCACCTGTAGAGACAGAGGGAGGGGGCTCCAAGCTGAGAGAGGAAACCTCTGAGAAAGTTTCCTGTAATAATGAATAAAAAATAAATGAGCATATTCTCTGCTGCACTAAACATATTGCATTTACCCAAATTGGTGCCCCACCCAGCTTCCCTTTGGGCAAACATTTTTGCCCCTGTTGGACTCCAAGCAAATCTATACTGTCCACTATGTGTTCAAAGAAATCACTTATAATGAACAACATACAAAATTAATGTGTTAATTTCCCAGGGCTGCCATAACAAAAATCCAGGAATCCTTCCATCGTATTGAGCTTCGCTTTACTGTACTTCACAGATATTGTGTCTTTTTTACACATTGAAGGTTTGTGGCAGCCCTGCTTCAAGAAAGTCTATCAGTGCCATTTTTTCAACAACAAGTGTTTACTTTATGTCTCTGTGTCACACTTTGGTAATTCCTACAGTATTTCAAACTTTTTCATTATATCTGTTATAGTGATCTGTAATCAGTGACCTTTGATGTTACTATTGTAATTGACAATACAATGACAAAAGTTTGGTAAGATCAGAGTGACAGGTAGATATGAGGGAACAAATTAGGGTAGTGGCCAGCTCGAGGGTCCTGCTGGGAGTGAGACTATCTCACAAAACAAACAAAAAAAACCCAAAATGCTGTCACTAGGGAAGTGCTCCTCTCAGACACCCAATGGTTAATTCCTTTGGATCAGTTATTGCACTGTTATGCTGCCATTAGGGCACACATGCTGCTATGGAGTGACTTGTGTCTCCCTAAATTCATGTATTGAAGCCCTAACCTCCAACGTGAATTATATTTGGGGACAGGGTTTTTAGGAGTTAATTAGGGTAAAATAATGTCATAAAGGTGGGGCCCTAATTTAGCAGGGCTGGTGCCCCTATAAGAAGAGGAAGAGATACCAGAGCTCTCTTTCTGCACCATGTGAGGACATAGCAAGAAAGTGGCCACCTGCAAGCCAGGAAGAGGACCCTAACCAGGAACCAAACCCTGACAGAAACTTGATCTTAGACTTTCCACCCTCCAGGCCTGTGAGAAAATACATGTCCATTGTTTAAGCCACCTAGTTGATAGTATTTTGTTATGACAGCCTGAGCAGACCAATACACATAGGTATGTCCAGGTGGTTAATTTATGGCTGGAATGTGTTCTGAATGGGTAAGCATCCATTCTGATTGGTTAGCTTCCATGCTTTTCCAGTTATAAAATATTTTGCATATTACCCCCACGTGTAATTATCTGTTCATTTGTCTTCATTTACCCCACCCTTGAGATAGTGATCTGTTGTTTAAAGGAAGGAACTATGTGTTATTCACGTTTCCCAAAGCCTCGGTAAATGTTTACTGAATGACTGAATCCATCTTATTTCTCCAGAAACAGAAAATCTTTTTCTTTAAGGACACAAAGCCTTGGGTATTTATATTTGATTTAATGCCCTTGTCCTCACCCTGATCTTCGTTTTCTTGGCGTGACTCTTGTGTAGGGGCTAGTCCTGAGGCGAGGGTCTTGCCCCACATTAAGATTATGATGTGCACAGGTAGAAAGCCATAGGATCTGGGTTAAGAAGACTCAAGTGTTAACTGAGTGTGCATAACCATGCATGCTTAAAGAAAAATTAAAATATCAAAGACCTCATTCCTCTAGAGAGGTGGGGTAGAAGAATAGAGAGAATATAGATTCTAGAGTCAGAAGATCTGAGTTTCAGTTTCCAGCCCCACCACTTACAGGTGTGTTCTTGAGCAAGTCACTCATGCTGATCAATACTTGGTTTCCTCATCTATAAAATGGGTTCCATTGTTAGGCGTTACAAGGAATTCTGGATTGTTATTAGCTGGCATTTTGCTAGGGGACAAAGAATATCAGAATTCTGCTTTGGTTTAGCCATACCTTCTTCCCAGGAGACTCCCAAGGGATATAGTTACATGAAGCACGAGAGCCAAGAAAACAAGCACCATTTTGTGTTTAGCCGGATTGAGGCCCAAGCTATGTGAACGTGACTCAGGTTCATGAATCACACATTTTCCCCTAAGGTAATTAGGTGTAAATGGCTTCAAATCCAAAACTAATAGAACCCATTTATCAGAACTAGGCAGAATGTACCTGGAGAGGGACAGATTCATAGAATGTGTTTATCTTCATGCCAAAGGAAGAGCTGGCAGGGTGTGGGGTCTAGCTGGCTGCCACATGGAAGTAGAGCAGAGAGGAAAAGAGCGAGATGGCAGGGCTTCCTCTAAGAGGGGTCCTTGAAGAAGGGGGAAAGATGTTTCCAGAGCAGAGCATGGGGCCTGTCCCTCGGGTCTCCTTACCACTCCTGCAGCATGGGAGAGGGGTGACCACAAAAGAAGGCCACACTACGTGCATACACTTAAAAAGTAGTCTTTATTTTTTATTTATTATTATTATTTTTGAGATGGAGTCTTACTCTACTGCCCAGGCTGGAGTGCGATGGCGTGATCTCAGCTCACTGCAACCTCTGCCTCCTGGGTTCAAGCGATTCTCCTGCCTCAGCTTCCTGAGTAGCTGGGATTACAGGTGCCTGCCATCAAGCCTGACTAAGTTTTGTATTTTTAGTAGAGACAGGGTTTCACCATGCTGGCCAAGTTGGTCTTGAACTCCCGACCTCAGGCTATCCGCCTGCCTTGGCCTCCCAAAGTGCTGGGATTACAGGTGTGAGCCACCGCGCCCGGCCAAAAGTAATCTTTATTTTTTTGAGCAGTTTTAGGTTTATAGAAAAATTGAGCCGAAAGTACAAGAGTTCTCATATACTCCTTTACTACACTCCTTGAGCTTCCCCTATTATTAACATCTTGCATTAGTGTGGCACATTTGTTACAGTTGATGGGCTAATATTGATTATTTTTTGCTAAAGTCCATCGTTTACATTAGGGTTCATTCTTGGTGCTGTGCATTCTATACGTTTTGACAATTGCGTTAATGCTATATATCCATCTCTGCCTTTTAGGGCTCTACCTATTCCTCCCTCCCTCCTGCTGAACCCCTGGCAACCACTGATCTTTGTGCCTACACTTTAAATCCACAATGTTTCTGCCGACTAGCAGACACACTATTCTCAGTGTCTGATATCTGACCCTTCCCTTCTAACGCCCCCTGGGTGGGAGTAAGCAGTAAAGTCAGGAGAGCTTGTCTCTCTCCTTGAGGGGTGCTTTGCTCTGCCTCCCCACTAGAGGACTATGTGAGAATAATATCTACCTTACAGGGTTGTTATAAGGATTAAATATATGAAATAAAACCTCTACAGATGTTAACTATCACTGGAATCTTTAATTTTGGTTTTGAATAACTCCATCAGGAGTAAGTTAGTATTTATTTTAATATAAAAGGGTTTGCTAAGCATATCCAGGGACTGCAGGGGAAGGTTTAACTTAGGGAATGAGCTTTTTTAGAAACAATTAGCAGCTGCCATTTGTGAATTAATGTGCCACCCAACTGAGCCATTCCCCAAGGCTTAGTCCTCAACTCCTGCTCTTCACCCTCCACTCTCATCTGTGCTCATTTATCTTCATGGCGTCTCTCATTTCTTATTGGATAAATTCCAGATTTGTCTGCAGTACCATCCTGTCCCCTGAGTCATAGTATCTCCAACTGTCTCATGGACAGTTGCACTCAGATGTCCTGCCTTCATATCAAATTCAGAAGGGGCAAACCCAGCTCCTCTGAGGATGTAGAGAGAAATTGGATCCTTTGTGCACCATTGATGGGAATGTAAAACTGTACAGCTGCTATGGATAACTGTATGGTGGTTCCTCAAAAAATTAAAAATAGAATTACCATACAATCCAGAGATTCCAATCCTGGGTTTACATCTAAAAGAATTGAAAGCAGGGACTCAAACGGATATTTTTACACCTATGCTTATAGGGCAATATTTACAATAGCCAAAAGGTAGAAACAACCTGCACAGTGGAATTGTGAAATATTATTCAGCCTTAAAAAGGAAAGAAAATCTGACATATGCTGCAACATGGATGAACCTTTATTATTATTATTATTATTATTATACTTTAAGTTCTAGGGTACATGTGCACAAAGTGCAGGTTTGTTACGTAGGTATACATGTGCCATGTTGGTTTGCTGCACCCATCAACTCGTCATTTACATTAGGTATTTCTCCTAATGCTATCCCTCCCCCAGCCCCTAACCCCCTGACAGGCCCTCATGTGTGATGTTCCCTGCCCTGTGTCTATGTGTTCTCATTGTTCAATTACTACCTATGAGTGAGAACATGCGGTGTTTGGTTTTCTGTCCTTGTGATAGTTTGCTTAGAATGATGGTTTCCAGCTTCATCCATGTCCCCACAAAGGACATGAACTCATCGTTTTTTATGGCTGCATAGTATTCCAACATGGATGAACCTTGAAGACCCCATTGTAAGAAAAATAAGACAGACACAAAAGGACAAATGTTATAATATTCCATTCATATGAAGTACCTAGAGTAGTCAAGTTCATAGACATAAAGAAGAATGGAGGTTACTAGGGGCTGGAGAAAGGAGAATGGGGAGCTGTTGTTTAATGTGTACAGAGTTTCAATTTTGCAAGACGAAAAAGTTCTGGAGAATGATTGCCTAACAATATGAATAGACTTAACATTACTGAGCCACACGCTTAAAAATGGCTAAGATGGTAAGTGTTATGGGGTGTAATTTTTTACATTATGTATCGTGGTGCTTTCTCTAGGTCTGCAAACCATCTCCATGTTAAAAGAACTCTTAGGTACTCACTAGGGGGCTTCCTGGATCCCTTCTAGCCCATGCAGTTAGAGAGGTTTATGTCAACCATCTCCATAAGACATCCTCTCTGGCACTCTGTCGTTGAGTCTTTGTACCTTTCTGCTTGAATACTTCCTATGGCAAGGAACTCAGCTTCTTCAAAGGCAATCCACCTTATTGCTGGACAGCTCCAATTTGGGAACGTTCATTCCTACAGAAAATTAGAAGTCCAATTTCAGAGAAATTCCAAACCAGGATCCTATTCTTCCTTTTGGAAACTTCCAGAAAGACTTTGACTCCGTCCTCTTCTGGATATGTGACTTTGAACATGTCATCGAGCCTCTCTGGGCCTCAGTTTCTTTGCCTGTAAGAGGAAAAATTTGGCCTTATGTTGGCTGCTGTTCCTCTGTGGTAAATAACCCAGTGGAAATAGGCTTACAATCACACAAGGGATTTATTTGCTGAAGAGATTAGAAAGCAAAATAAGAATGGGTTTCCAGGTTGTTTTGACTCAGTGGGTCAATGATATGCTCAAGACTCTGTCTCTTTGAGGTTGGTTGCTTTGCACTCATCTTTGAGGCAACGGGCTCTTGACTTCTTCCAAATCCCAAGTGAGTACACTCTAGAAGAGCAAGGATGCTTCTCTCCAAGAAGCCTCAGCAAAGCTCTGCCAGCACCTCACCGGACAACACTGGCCAATAGAGCATCTCTGAATTTGTAACTGAGACCAGGAAGTGGGGTGCCTGGTTGGAGCTGGAGTGGTACCACCATCTCCAAAGTAAACAGGCTGTGAGAGGGAGGTGTGGCTACCTGAATGAAAATTGGGGTTTCTGACCAAGAGAAGCAAGTGTGTGCTGGGGAAGTTCCCACAGGCTGCCCTTTAGATTGGATGAGTTCCCTTTCTGGTTCTAGCATTTTGTGATTCTAATCAAAGTAGGAAAATTATGTAATGCTTTTTTGCCTCAGTTTATCTTTTCTCCCATATCCGCTGAGCTCCCTCTAGGTGCTGAGGTGAACTGGTTATATTTGCTCTGTGAAACTCTTCCTTAGAAAACTCCTGCTGACTGTCTTATTTTATTAGAAGTGATGATTAACTAATGGACAAGTGATTGCTTGTTTAATAATAGAAGCTGTCCTCACAATAGAAAAGAAGTTCAATTTCTTGTTGAAAGAAAAGAACTTGTCTGCTTTCTATTGAATGTTTCTACTATTTCAGTACGTAGCCTCCCTCATGTGGTGGTGCCTTAATTAACTGCTTAAAGAATATAGGAGCAATCTGGCTAAAACTCACTTTGCCTCTCTGAGGTTGTTTTCTTATCTGTAGAATGGGAAACGAATTCCTCCATTATTGGTAAATTCATCATGGTGTTGCCAGCACCAGTAGCACAATAGCACAATGGCACAGTTTCTGGCACATAGACTACATCTAACACATAAATACTTGAGTAAATGAATATCGCTTTTGCAGGGTCATTGTGAAGATTAAATGTGATAATATAATAGATACGTGCATTATAGTGTTTAGCATAGTGCCTGACACAGACTGTGCCAGACGACCTCCCTGATTATTACAATTATGAGGAACAGCAAGAGAAGAGGGCTGGGAAACAGGGCTGTGGATTCCCAGGGGATGGAGTGGATGGAATTGGCCTTGGTCACTTAAACCACTCTGCCTGGCCTCTTTGTGGAATCTGGCTTCTGTCTCTTTGACTTGCTGCAGGGGACTGGCCAGTGATTTTTTTTTTTTTTTTTAAATCCTCATGTAGTGAATCACTGAGCTTTCAGGTTGAACCTGCAGGTGGGGCTGAGTAATTACCCACTGGGGTACAAAAAATGATCAGAAATCTTGGTGACCTGTCTCCAACACCCTTCTCCAATCATGTCCCCAGCTGTCAGAGAACGTATGGGGCTTCTCTGGGTCTGGCTCACTTTAAATTCACTTAAAAGTGGCTGGGGTTGCCCAACTAATCAGAGCTGTCTGCTCACTATTCAACCCATGACTCAGATCTCGTCAGCCAGGACTAAGCTAAACTCCATGAGGCCAACAGCATCTGTAGTGGGGCCACCTTTTGCCTTCCCTGGCTACTTTCTGCCCTTCCATTGCCACGTACCCACCGCCTGACAATTAGGAACGAGGGATATGATTTTCTGCAAGCCATGCTAATTGCCTTTCACTTTTTCTTTTCTTTTCTTTGGGCTTCCTAAATTCAACTTGTCACCCAGGTGCTGAGCTCAGGCAGAACCAGTTTCAAAAGGAGGAGAGAAAAAACCACGGCATTCCACAAAGCTAATTGCTTTCAGACGGGCTGGCCTGCTTATTTGTACTGTCTGCACAGCCCTAACATGGGCTAGATTTGGAAGCCGGCTGCACCAGGAACTGGTTCCCTGAGAGTATAAGATGGGAGTGTTGTAGGAAAGGAGGGAGGGAGAGAAAAGGGGAATTGGGGAACACAGAGAAAAAGTAAAAATATAATAAGGTACTTGAGTGTGATCTTATTTAATCTTTTTTTGTAGATATTAGGAGCTTGCCCAAGCCCCCCAGCTAGAAAGGGGTGGTAGCACTTCCAACCTGGTTCTGGCCATCTTCTAACTCTAGTGTAAACTCTAGTTCTGTGTCATATCCGATGGGGAAAGGGTTCCACCATTAAATGACTTTGGAAACTGGAAACTGGAATACTATCTTACCCCATTGGAGATTCAGAGTTTGCATTAGGAAGTTAAAGATTCTGAAGAGCCCTGAAGTAAGGAAACCTATTTGACTTGGTTTAATCTAGCAATTCTCACACAAACCACCCTTCTTTTTTTACTTTTTATTTTTGCTAATACATGTATGTATATACATACGCACCTCTCTCTCTTGTCCTTCCTCAAAACTATGAGTTCACACTTATACCTTCAATTCCAGTTCAACACCAGTGAGTTCATTGAAGCCTTTCTCATATTGAAAACTCCTTTCTGGCTGTGTGCAAACTGAGTCTCACTTGTTTAATTCTGGAATATACATTATATCCTGGAATTGCTCTTCTATACCATTGTGGAAAACAAACTCACGATTTGAGGTTCAATAATTGTTTACAATTCTTTTTGTCTTTAGCCTGCAGGTATTTAGTTAGACTGTGATCAAGATTTACACGAGTTCTTTTCATTGCCTCTCCTAAGTTTGGTTGTGTTATTCATTTGAAATCTAGTTAGACTGATTTATTTCTATTTGTATTCCATTTTTCTTTTTCTTCCCTGACCGTTTTTATTTTTTCCTTTAGTGTGTAAGACACAATATTCTGAAAGTCAAAACTACACAAAGAAATACATCCAGATAAACGTCATCCTCCCTTCTCCTCTACATTACTCCCATTCACCCATCCTTTCCATTCTATTCCCACCCACCCCTGTACCTAATTTCTTAGTTTCTGATTTCTTCTGGTGATTCTTTTTGTTCAAGGTAGCAAATACATTAAAAAAAATCTCTTTCTATATTGGTCAGGGTTCTCCTGAGGAACAGAATATGTAAAGATAGATAGATGAGAGGGGATTTATTAGGGGAACTGTCTCATGAGAATATGGAGGCTGAGAAGTCCCATGAGACACCCGCTATAGTCTGAGGCTGAAGTTCCGAGAAACTTGGGAGCCCCTGGTACAAGCCCCAAGGGTCTGAAGGCCAGAGAACCTGGAGTTCAGATGTCCAAGGGCAGGAGAAGAAGGGTTTCTTAGCTCCAGGAGAGAAAGAGAGAGAATTCTCCTTTCCTCTGCCTCTTTGTTCCATTAGTGCCCTCAGTCGATTGAATGGCATCCACCCACATTGGATAAAAATGGATCTTTCTTACTCAATCCACTGATTCAAATGCCAATATCTTTTTCAAACACCCTCACAGGCATACTTAGAAATAATATTTTACTAGCTATCTGGGTATCCCTTAATCTAGTCAAGTTGACACCTAAAATTAACCATTACACTTTCTTACATGAAAGGTGGCATACTATAGATCATCTTTTGCAATTTGCTGTTTTCATGTAACTATATTCCCTGGAAAGCACTCCACTTTTTCTTTTACAGCTGTATAGCACTTCATTGTGTGCACATATTATAGTCTCAACCAATTTTTTACATATGTGCATTTAGGTTGTTTCCAATATTTAGCAATTGCAGATGATGCTGCAATGAATAACTTTGTGCATATGTATTTTGATTGTGTTGGAGGTGTAATTTAGGGTAAATTCCTAGACCTGGGATTGGTGGGTCCAAGGGTAAGTGCATATGTGCTTTTGTCAGATATTGCCGAAATCCCTTCCACTTCTGAGTAGGTGTAAACTCATTAGAAATTCACTTCACTTTCCTCTTTCTTGACTTCCTTGTCTCCACTTCTCTCTTTCCTCTCAATTTTCTCCTTCAAAAGTGGAAATGATATAGTAATAAAATCTCTGTCAGAGGGCTGATGGAGAATGAAATGAGGACACGTGTGTCCATCTTTTCTTCTGGTACTTGTGTGGTTTCTTTTTCTTTTTCTTTTTTTTTACATTTAGATCTCTGACTTATTTGGAGTTTATTTTTGTGTATGGTGTGAGCTCTAATTTTTTTCAAATGCCTGCCTGTTTTCCTAGAGCCACTTATTTAAAAAGTCCATTTTAATCTCTGAGAATGTTTTTCACACGCTTACAGAACACTCAGATTGACTAGATAAGAAGCTTGGCCGGTGTCTGGCCACAATCTACCCTCAGATTTATTTCCATCCCAGCTGAAATGACTCTGACTGCTGGCTGTCCAGCCAAGCACCTGTCCAAGCTGGCTTGGTGATGACAGGCCTGTAGCAGGGCAAGGCCTCAAGGCCAATTTTGGCACCAGAACTCTGCCCTCTGGTTTTGGGATTGGATCTCATGGTGTCTTTCCAGTTTCTTGCCCCTGGTCATTTCCATATGTTGAAACCTCAACAGCTGCTCTTGTTCTAATCCTGATGACCCAGTGAAGTGCAGGAGAGATGACAGGACCAAGAAAGAGAAGATTCCTTCTTTCAGCTTGCCCTCAGAGTTCCTTTCACCTGTTTGGACTTATGTTAGATTGGAGAAACTGGAGATATGTTCATATCTTTATGCAGCAAGCATTTATTGAATATCAACTCTATGCTAGCTCCTGGCTGGAGCTCATGGTCTAATGGGGAGGGCTCAGATGGCAATAGATAATAAAGCTGATATGTAAATAGATAATAAGAGCTCTTGCATAAAGGTACAGAATATTGTGGGAGGCATAGGAAAAAATAAATCTGTGATTTGAGAGTTTGCAAAATGAGAATGAAGGCTGGAGAAAAGTTTTCAAGGTAGCCTTTCCATAAAAATAGGTACTGTTCTCTGGTTAGAAAGTCCTTTTACCTCTAGTGTCTTTTTGGATCTTCTGAGCACTACTCTCTGAAAGGTATTAATGTTACCTGCATTCTGCAGGTGAGGAAACTAAGTTCTGGGGACATTAGCATGTAAAGGGCATAACTGGTATGTGAGTCTGGAGCTTCTGATTCTAGTATGTGTTTTGTTGCTTATTTTTCCTGGGATTGGAAAAAAGAAGTTGGCATGCACAGTTTGAATTATTTGGGGGTGTGGCTCACTTTCCCTGGCCCACTTCTGAGTAGGTGTAAACTCATTAGAAATTCGCTTCCCATTTCTCCCTCTTGACTCTCTTGTTTCTGCTTCTTTCTTCTCAGTTTTCTCCTTCAAAAGTGGAAACAATATAGTAATAAAATCTCTGTCAGAGGACTGATGGAAAACTAAGAGAGAAAATGTATGTGACATAGGTTGGAAATTATAAAACACTACCCCAATATAGATGATTATTGTAATTTTCCCTGCTGGCGGGCACTCAAAAAAAATAGACAACAATGGCCAATAATAGCTACTATGCTTTGATTGGCTGCCATGTGCCTGCTGCTGTGTCAGGCACTTCATATACAACGTCTAATTTAGTTCTGTGACAACCCAGCAAGGAGGAACCCTCATTCTTATTTTATACCCAAAGAAACTCAAAGGTGAAATCACACAACCAGTATTTGAACCCAGCATGTGATCAAAAACTGCCCTCCGGAAATCTAGGATGGATGAGGATTAGGGAGAAAAATCTCTGGTTCTTTCTGCTCCATGTTCCCTGCCCTGATGACCCTCATCTCCTGACTACCAGCCTCTCCCTGGCCATACCTGTCTGCTCCACACAAATAGCCCTGCTTTTCCCCTCTGCTGCTAGCAGAAATGAAGAAGAGCTCTGAGATTCAAATAGGAGGTTTTGGTCCCACCTAGGCGAGGTTCAGAGGCTTGTCCAGCTGCTGTTCCTTTGAGAGGCAGCATGTGTGCTGGTCTCCCCAGCTGGAGAGGGAATGCCATCAGCTCTGAAGACACTCAGACTAGGAGCAAAGAGGACAATGGAGGCATCGGCAGCAGCTTCTTGGGTGAGTGACTGGGCATGTCTGGGGCTGGATGAGCAACTGGACATGTCTGGGGCTGCCTCGCTGACCCCAGAATTTCTGCTGCCATCTTGTGCCAGGTTATGCCATCTTCTAATTCATCTACAAGCCTAGAGGCATCCTGAGGATTTTCTGGAACATCTGGTTGCTCTTCAGTTGTTTTTGTCTTTGCTTGGAAAATGGAGGCAGTCTGGTTCTCGGGGGTATGGGGGATACATCCAAGCAGTTGGGCAGGGCTTGCCACTGGCCAAGGTAGGGGATGTGGAGGAAGAGCATTTGGCATATCAGTCACAAGAGAGAAGTGGGACTGGATCCAACTTAGCATAGGAGGACTTTTGGCTTTTGATCCTTCCCTAGTCTCTCTCCACGCATCTGTGTGAGGTTCGTTTAAGGTGTAAATAACTCAATCTACCCATGATCATCAAGTCCTCAAGGTAGTGTGAAGAGAAGACTGGCTAGAGGAGCTTTCCTTCAACTTTGAGACTCGATAAATCCCCATTTACAGAACTTGCCCGGAGCTGGTTCACTGGGTTAGCTTGTAGGTTTTGTGGGGATGGGGTATGAAGCCAGAGAGGGAGGCGGCTAGAGGAGGGAGATTTCAAATTCATTGCCTGGGCCTGGGAGAGCCCAGAATCCTTACCACCTCATCTAGAAGAGAATAAGTAGGGGGAAGGGCAGGAAATAAGGAGTGTCTGCCCTTATTTCCAACTGGCCAGGAAAAGGCATTGCTTAATCCTTCAGGCAGAAAGAGCAAGTAAGTCCAGCTGGCAGAAGCCATTCATCTCACCATTTATCTCTCTCTTCTGTAACTGCCACCTAAAGAGAATTGATGTATTTAAAATATGTTAGTGGGAGGAAGACCTACTTTCACGGCTATGGCCTCAAGCTTTGCCTAAGATTTTTTTTTTTTTTTTTTTTTTTTGAGACGGAGTCTTGCTCTGTAGCTCAGGCTGGAGTGCAGTGGCACGATTTCGGCTCACTGCAAGCTCCACCTTCCGTGTTCAAGCGATTTTCCTGCCTCAGTCTCCCGAGTAGCTGGGACTACAGGCGTGTGCTACCATGCCTGGCTAATTTTTTTTTTCTTTCTTTTTTTTTTTTTTTAGTAGAGGCAGGGTTTCACTGTGTTGGCCAGGATGGTCTTGACTTCCTGACCTCATGATCCACCTACCTTGGCCTCCCAAAGTGCCGGGATTACAGGCGTGAACCACCGTGCCTGGCTTGCCTAAGATTTTTTTTTAGCTTTCTTTGGTCAGTAATCTTATTCCCTCCTCCCACCCCTGCTAACAGCATGTTATCCAGAGGCTTGATGTATTTGTGATTCACTGCTGCGTAACAAATTACCCCCAAACTGAGCACTGAGCACTGAAAACAATGCTTCTTATTCCACAGCCTCTGGGGGTCAGGAATCTGGGAGCTGCATGCTGGGGGTGTCTGGGTCAACCTGTCTCCTGAGGCTGCAATCAAGCTGCCAATTGGAGCAGTAGTCAACTCAAAGCTTACTCAAACCCTTGGCTTTCAAACACCATGGTTTCCTAGCATAGCATTTTCCTGAATTTCTTCATTGCTGAGAAGCCATTTCTACATTTTAACATAACTTACCATCTAGAGAGGCTGAGAAATTTAAAAACCATCAGGTACTAGCTCTTTTTTATTTACAGCTCTTTCTGCAATTGATCGCTCACTCACATTTGACTGCAGGCAGCAGGAAGAAACCTGGTGGCATCTTCAAAGCTTGGCTTAGAAATATTCTTTTTTTTTTGTGCTGGGCATGGTGGCTCACGCCTGTAATCCCAACACTTTGGGAGGCCAAGGCAGGCGAATCACAAGGTCAGGAGTTTAAGACCAGCCTGGACAACATAGTGAAACCCTGTCTCTACTAAAAATACAAAAATTAGCTGGGCATGGTGGCACGTGCCTGTAGTCCCAGCTACTCGGGAGGTTGAGGCAGGAGAATTGCTTGAACCCAGGAGGCGGAGGTTGCAGTGAGCTGAGATCACACCACTGCACTCCAGCCTGGGCAACAGAGTGAGACTTCGTCTAAAAATAAATAAATAAATAAAATAAATAATCTTTTTTTTTTTTTTTTTTGAGATGGAGTCTCCTCTGCCTCCTGGGTTCAAGTGATTCTCCTGCCTCAGCCTCCCAAGTAGCTGAAATTATGAGTGTGTGCCACCACGCCCAGCTAATTTTTGTATTTTTAATAGAGACAGGGTTTTACCATGTTGGCCAGGCTGGTCTCAAACTCCTGACCTTAGGTAATCCACCCACCTCAGCCTCTCACAGTGCTGAGATTACAGGCATGAGCCACCGTGCCTGGCCAGAAATATTCTTAGCTAGATTACCCAGTCCGTTAGACAGATATTTAACTTTTCACGTAACGGCAGGTGAGAGTGTTGCTAAGCTTTCTGCTACTTTATAACAAATATCCCCCTTCGTTCAGTTTCCAATAAGATTTTCTTCAATGTCCTGCAAGCTCTCACCTTAGCATCCCCAAAATCCAAAATTCTGTGAACAGTTGTATTCAAGGTACTTTAAACTTTCATTAGCACACTGTTCAAAACTCTTTGCCTGGTTTTAAGGTTATTCCTACATTCTAGGTTTTTTATACCTAGGCACCCCACTCTTAGTACCAAAATCTGTATTATTTATTTATTTTTGCATAACTTCAAACAGCAGGCATTACCTCACAGTTTCAGTGGCTCAGGGATCCAGAGTGGCTTTGCTGGATCTTGCTGGCTCAAGGTCTCTTTTGAGATTGCAGTAAAACTGTCAGACAGGCCTTCAGTCTCATCTTAAGACTCAAGTAGGGGCTGGGTGCAGTGGCTCACACCTGTAATCCTAGTACTTTGGGAGGCTGAGGTGGGTGGATCACTTGAGGCCGGGAGTTCAAGACCAGCCTGGCCAACATGATGAAGCCTCATCTCTACTAAAAATACAAAAATCAGTTCAAGCGTAGTGGTGCACACCTGTAATCCCAGCACTGTGGGAGGCTGAGGTGGGTGGATCACCTGAGGTCAGGAGTTCGAGACCAGCCTGATCAACATGGAAAAACCCTGTCTCTACTAAAAATACAAAAATTAGCTGGGTGTGGTGGCACGTGCCCATAATCCCAGCTATTCGGGAGGCTGAGGCAGGAGAATCACTTGAACCCAGGAGGCAGAGGTTGCAGTGAGCCTAGATCATACCGCTTTGTGACAGAATAAGATTCTATCCCAAGAAAAAGAAAAGACTCAATTGGCACTGAAGGACGGACTTGCATGTTCACTTATCTGATCATTAGCAGGCTTGATTCCCTCACAGGTTGTTGGATTGAGGGTGTTAATTCCTCACTGGCTGCTGGACTGAGGGCCTCAGTTCTTTGCTGTATCATGTAGGCCTCTTCACAGGGCTGTTTGTGACATGGCAGCTTGTGTATTTTAGCATAAGTGATCCGAGAGAGAGAGAAAGGAAGTGAGAGGGCCCCTAAGATGGAAGCCACTGTCTTTATGACCTAATCTTAGAATTTTCATTCAATGGCTTTGTTCATATTCAGTAATCTAGAAGAGAGTCATTAAATCTAGCCCACACTCCAGTGGGGGGACTACACAACGGACTGAATAGCAGGAGGTGGAGATCATTGGAAGCTATCTTAGAGGCCATCTACACACTGAAATGAAACCATTTGTAGGCACAAATATTTACTGAGCAACTACTTTATGCCAGACATTCTTCTAGGTGCTTGGGATGCATTAATGAGTAGAACAGAAAAAAAGGACTGTTCTCAAGGATCTTTCAGAGGAAATTGCCCATGCAACATTTTGGAGGCATGTGAGAGTATGGTGCCTTTGAGGAACCATTGGAAATTCAGAAGGATGGGAACTTACTTGGGACGTGAGGTTTAGGAGGTGATCAGGATCCAAATCACAAAAGGACTTTCTTGCTATGTTGGGCATTTGGATAAATACCAAAGCAACTAGGAGTCATAATGGGCTTTAAGTGATGCAGTCATATTATATGTGGTAGAGTGGGCTGGATGCAGGGAAGTCAAATAGAAGGTGGGAGCAGTAGTTCATGCAAGAATTGATGTTTTCCATCAACTGGTGAATGGATAAAATGTGATGCAGTCATACAGGGGAATATTATACAGTAATAAAAAGGAATGACACACTGCTACAAGCTACAAGTGTGTCACAAAAGATTACATATTGTTTTAATATGATTCAATTTATATGAAGTTTCCAGGACGGGCAAATCATCCATAGAGACAAAGTAGATTAGTGGTTTCCTATGGCTGGGGAGGATGAAGGCTGGGATGGAAAATGATGGCTACAGGGTATGGGGTTTATTATTGCAGACATGAAAAAAGTGTTCTTAAACTGAATTTGGTGATGATTGCACACCATCAAACACTAGAATGTATTCCTTCTAACTGTAAGTTTGTACCTATTAACCAACCTCTTTTTATCCTCACCCTCCCTACCCTTCCCAGCTTCTGGTAAGCATCATTCTACTCTACTGCCATGAAATTAACTTTTTAAACTCCCATATATAAATGAGAACATGAGATATTTGTCCTTCTGTGCCGGGCTCATTTTGCTTAATATAATGACCTCCAGTTCCACCCATATTGCTGCAAATAACAGGATTTTGTTCTTTTTTTATGGCTGAATAGTATTCCATTGTGTATACATATTACATTATCATTATCCATTTATCCATTAATGGACACTTGGGTTGATTTCATAGCTTTACTATTGTGAATAGTGCTGCAATAAACATGAGAGTTCAGATATCTCTTTGATATACTAATTTTCTTTTGTCTGGATAAAGACCCAGAAGAAGAATTGCTGGATCATGTGAAAAATCTATTTTTAGTTTTTTTGAGAAAATCCTTTTTCATAGTGGCTTACCAACTTACTGTTAGTAAGTTTCCATAGTGGCTGTGTTAACTTACATTCCCCCCAAGCAGTGTATGAGTGTTTCCCTTTCCCTGCATCCTCATCAGCATTTGCTACGTTTTTTGATAATAGCCATTCTAACTTGGGTGAGATGATACGTAGTTTTGATTTGTATTTTCCTGATGATTAGTAAAGCTGAGCATTTTTTCATCTATCTTTTGGCCATTTGTATGTCTTGTTTTGATAAATGTCTATGTATACTCTTTGCCCACTTTTTAATGGGATTATTTGTTACTTTGCTGTTGTTTGAGTTCTTTGTATACTCCGGATATTAATTCCCTGCTGGATGAATAGTTTGCAAATGTTTTCTCCCATTCTACAGGTTGTCACTTCACTCTGTTGATTATTTTCTTGGCTATGCAGAAGCTTTTAGTTTAAAATAAAAGCTATTTGTCTGTTTTTATTTTTATTGCCTGTGCTTTTGAAGTCTTAGCCATAAAATCTTTGCCTAGACCAATGTCTTGCATTTCACTTTTGTTTTCTGCTCATAGTTTTTTATGGTTTTGGATCTTATGTTTAAGTCCTTAATATGTTTCAAGTTGACTTTTGTATATGGTGGGATAGGGATCTAGTTCCATTCTTCTGCATGTGGATATGCAGTTTTTCCAGCACCATTTTTTGAAGAGGGTGTCCTGTTCCCAATGTACATTCTTGACACTTCTGTTGAAAATCAAGTGGTTGTAAACATGTGAATTTATTTCTGGGTTATCTTTTCTGTTTTATTGGTTTATGTGTTTGTTTTCAAATCAATACCGTGTTGTTTTGGTTATGATAGCTTTGTAGTATATTTTGAAGTCAGGTAGTGTGATGTTTACAGCTTTGTTTTTTTTCGCTCAGTTTTGCTTAGGCATTTGTAGGGTCTTTTGTGGATCAACACAAATTAAAAAAATTGTTCTATTTCTGTGAAGAATGTCACTGGTATTTTGAAAGGAATTACATTGAATCTGTAGATTGCTTTGGGTGGTACGGTCATTTTGACTATATTAATTCTTTTGATCCATGAGCATGGGATGTCTTTCCATTTGTTTCTATCCTTTTAATTTCTCTTACCCATGTTTTGTAGTTTTTGTTGTAGAGGTTGTTTACCTTCTTGGTTAAATTTATTCCTAGATATTTTATTTTTTGTAGCTATTATAAATGAGATTGTTTTCTTGCCTTGTTTTTCAGCTAGTTTATTATTGGTGTATAGAAATGTTACTGATCAATTTTAAGAGCTTTTTGGTGGAGTCTTTAGGCTTTTCCATATATAAGATCATGTCATCCGCAAAGAGGGACAATTTTATTTCCTCCTTTCCAATTTGGATGCTGTTTATTTCTTTATTTTGTCTGACTGTTCTGGCTAGGACTTCTGGTACTATGTCGAATATGAATGGTGAAAGTTGGCATCCTTGTCTTGTGCTGGTTCTTAGAGGAAGGGCTTTCAGCTTTTCCCCATTCAGTATGATGTTAGCTGTGGATTTGTCACATATGACCTTTATCATGTTGAGGTATATTTTTTCTATGCCTAACTTGTTGAGTTTTTTTTTTTATCATGAAGAGATGTTGAATTTTATCAAATGCTTTTTCTCTCTATTGAAATGATCATATGGTTTTTGTCCTTCATTCTGTTGTTGTGATGTATCACATTTATGGATTTGCATAAATTTAACTATCCTTGTATCCCTGGCATAAATCCCACTTATTATGATGTATTTTCTATTTTTGTTTTTTTGAGATGGGGCCTCACTGTCACCCAGGCTGGAGGGTAGTGGCATGATCTCGGCTGAATGTTGCCTCAACTTCCCAGGCTCAACCTATCCTCCTGCCCCAGCATCCCAAGTAGCTAGGACTATAGGCATATATCACCACAGCTTGCTATTTTTAAATTTTTTGTAGAGATGGGGTCTCCCTGTGTTGCCCAGGCTAGTCTCAAACTCCTGGGCTCAAGCTATCTTCCTGTCTTGGCCTCCCAAAGTTGTATTATCTATTTGAAGTACTGTTGGATTTGGTTTGTTAGTATTTTGTTGAGGATTTTTGTTTCTGTGCTCATCAGGGATATTGGTCTGTAGTTTTCTTTTTTGTTGTGTCCTTGTCTGATTTTGTTATCAGGGTAATGTTGACCTCACAGAATGATTTAGGAAGGATTCCCTCCTCTTTCATTTTTTGAAATAGTTTGAGAAGAATGAATGTTAGTTCTTCAAAAGTTTGGTAGAAACCTATAGTAAAGCCATTTGGTGCTGGGGTTTTCTTTGTTGGGAGGCTTTTTATCATTGATTCAATCTTGTTACTCATTATTGGTCTGTTCAGGTTTTTTATTTCTGCCTGCTTCAATCTTGGTAGCTTGTATGTATCCAGGCAGTTTTCCATGTCTTCTGTTTTCCAATTTTCTCTTATGTAGTTATTGATAATGGTCTCTAATGATCCTTTGTATTTCTGCGCTATCCATTGTAAAGTCACTTTTTTATTTTTATTATTTGGGTCTTCTTCCTTTTTTCTTGGTTAGTCTGCTAGCAGTTTATTGGTTTTATTTATCTCTTCAAAAACCAAATTTTCATTTTTTTGATTCTTTGTATTTTTTAATCTCGATTTCATTTAGTTCTGCTCTGATTGTTATTATTTCTTTCATTCTACTAATCTTGCGTTTGGTTTGTTCTCACCTTTCTACTTTCTTGAGGTGCATCATTAGGTTGTTTAGTTGAAATCTTTCTACTTTTTTTGATGTAGGCATTCACTGCTGTGAACTTCACTCTTAACACTGCTTTTGCAGTATTCCATAGGTTTTGGTATGTTGTGTTTTCATTTTCATTTATTTCAAAAAACTTTTTATTTCCTTCTTAATTTCTTCATTGACCCAATCATTGTTCAGCAACATGTTGTTTAATGTTCATGTATTTAAACAATTTATAAGGTTCTTCTTGTTATTGATTTATAGTTTTATTCCAACTTGGTATGAGAAGATACTTGATGTGATTTTGATTTTTAAAAATTTGTTAAGGCTTGTTTTGTGGCCCAACAAATGGTCTATCTGGAGAATGTTTTTCTTTTTCCTTTCCTTTTCTTTTTTTTTTTCTTTTCTTTCTTTTTTACTTTTGAGACAGAGTCTCACTCTGTTGCTCAGGCTGGAGTGCAGTGGTGCAATCTTGGCTCACCGCAATCCCCGCCTCCCAGGTTCAAGTGATTCTCACGCGTCAGCCTCCTGAGTAGTAGCTGGGATTACAGGCGTGCACCACCACACCTTGCTAATTTTTGTATTTTTTGTAGATGTGGGGTTTCACCATGTTGGCCAGGCTGCTCTCGAACTCCTGGCCTCACACCATCCACCCAACTTGGTCTCCCAAAGTGCTGGGACTACAGGGGTGAGCCACCATGCCTGGCCTTCTGGAGAATGTTTCATGTGCTGATGAGAAGAATGTACACTCTGCAGTTATTGGAGTGAGCGTTCTGTAAATGTCTGTTAGGTCTATTTGGTCTACAGTGAAGATTAAGTGTGATGTTTCTTTGTTGATTTTCTGTCTAAATGATCTGTCTAAAGTTGAAAGTAGGGTGTTAAAATCCCCAGCTATTATTGGGGTCTATCTCTGTGTCTGTCTCTAATAATATTTCTTTTATTTATCTGGGTGCTCCAGTGTTGGATGCATATATGCTTACAATTGTTATATCCTCTTGCTGCATTGATTCCTTTATCATTATGTAATGACCTTTTTTGCTTCTTTTTGTTTTTTGACTTAATGTATATTTTGTCTGATATAGGTATAGCTAATCCTGCATGCTTTTGGTTTCTGTTTTCTTGCCTTTTCATGTTTCTTGTGTTCTTATGTTGATAGCTATGCATCTGGTATAAGAGCCTGTCCTCAGGTCCTGGAATAGCATGCAGGTGGGCCAGACGCCAGGTTTCCTGAAGGCATGTGCAAGTGTGCAGTGGCCCTGACACTGGAGAGGTTGGGTTACTATCAGTGACAGTGCTCCTGGGTAGGTGGCTGTCAGGCTCTGGGAATCACACGCTCTGGGAATCACACACTCTGGGAATCACACACTTTGGCTCCCTTTGTCCCAGGGGACAGCCCCCCTGGTGAGCTGCACTGCCTATTCCCTGGGCTGTAGGACATTACTTGGACTAGAGTGTGGGGGATTTGGCCACACTGGGGGGTTCAGCTGGCGTTCAACACTGCGGCCCTTTTTGGTTGATGTGGGGAGATATCAGCAGGTCATTTTGACTATATTAATTCTTTTGATCCATGAGCATGGGATGTCATTGGCTACAGGGATGTGGAGACACAGGGGTTGTTAGGCTCCAGGGGAGGATGTAGTCTGTCGGGAGTTGGGCTCTCAAAATGGCACCATGCTGCAACTGCTTGGGTCTCGGAGGGTGTGTGGGACCCAATGCAAACTCCCTCTATGTAATAATGCTGTTAAATGGACTCCAGGCATCTCCCTATACTAATCTCAGAGCCAGTGAGGGCTGAGAGGCTCTCCCATGTCTAGGATTGCAGTGGGAATGTGAACTGCTAGGGATTTCTATCTACTTTTTCTCTGTTATGGGGAGTTTCTCCTGGCTCTGAGCTGATCCTGTCTGGGCCAGCTGCCTTGTTTTCTTTTCCTTCCATGCCTCAGACGTACCGTCATTTCCCTGCTGAATTCCAGTGTTCTCTCTTAGAAGTTCTATTTGACATGTAGTTATCTATATGCTGTTTGGTCATTTGTGGAGGAGATGAGTGCTGGCCATCTCTCATCAGACATCTTTTGTGCATAATATTTTTGAATTTTCACAACAACATTTTGAGATCAGTTATTATTAACACCATTAACAGATGGAGATTCACTGGCTTTGAGAGGTGAAATGACATGACCACAGCCACAGAGCTAGTGAGTTGCAGAGTTGGAATGTCATCCCAGGTGGCTGCAGGGTTCCCTGGTTTGAATGTTTTTGTTTCCTCCAAAATTCATGTTGAGACATAATCTCCAATGCAACAATGTTGGGAGGTGGGGCCTAATGGGAGGTGTTTAGGTCACGAGAGCTCTGCCGTCATGAATAGATTACTGCCACTATAAAAAGGGCTTGCAAGAGTGGGTTCCCTCTCTTCTGCCCCTCCTCCCATGAAAGGACATGGTGTTCCTCCCATCTGGTGGGTGCAATATTTAAGGTAACATCTTGGAAGCAGAGACTGGCCCTTACCAAGTACCAGAACCTGCCAGCACCTTGATCTTGAACTTCCCAATCTCCAGAACTCTGAGAAATAAATTTCTGTTTTTTATGCATGACCCATTCTCAGATATTCTGTTATAACAGCACAAAACAGATTAAGGCAAGGTCTCTTGCTCTTCTCAACTTACTATGTGGCCTCTGCTAATGGTATGTGCATAAAACTTACTCTGATAATTAATTTTGTTGTTTCCTTGAAGTGAAGGAGGAAACACTCATTTCTTCTGGATGGCTTTCTGTATCCATTGACCTCTTTGCTACCATATTCAATGAATAGCTTTCAACTCTTATCTTTTGTTACTGTTGACCAGTCACTCTTGAAGGCTTTTTTTGCCTTTGGCTCCATTCATCTTGTTTTTCCTCCCATCACTATGATCAATACTCCTGCTCAGAACTTTCCTTAACTCTTAGTTTGTGTTTTTTTTTTTTTTTTTTTCCAGGATTCTGCCTCATGGCTGTTTCTCTTCACAGTGTACACCCTTGTTCTTGGTGAGCTTACCTATGCCCATGCTTTCAAGGATGATTTTTCTGTATGTGAATAATGTCTCTAGATTTATAACTCTAGTCCAGTTTTTCCTTCTGAGTACCAGACTTATGTTTCTGGCCTATGCAACATCTTCCCACTTAGATGCCTTACAGGCACCTCAACCCAGCATGTTTAAAACTAATCTCCTGCACCATTACCATCCTGACCCTGGCCTGCTCTTACTCTTGTTGCCCTAAGTGAACAGTGTTAGCAATCGCCTACACAGCTTTCCCAGCCAGAGCCTCCCCATCATCTTTTGCTCTTTCCTTCTCTCTCCTTCACATTTCAGTTCCTAAGTATGTCCAGCTTTTTTCTTCACATCTCTTGATCCAATTCAGTTCTCTCAATCCCCATGACATTACCCTAGTTCAGGCTGACATAATCTCTTTGCTGATTTACTGCATTAGCCTCCTGGCTGGTTTCTCTGCCTCTAGTCTCAATCCCCTGTTGCATTCAAAGAGGTCTGAGATGAAAATCTGATCACGTTGTGCTTTCCTGGCAAAATGTCTTTGATGATGCCGCATTGCTCATGAGATAGAGTACCAAATCTTTAATAAGACTCTGAATGATCTAGCCTCTGTTTTCTTTTTCTTCTCATTTCTCTCTGCTCTCCTGGTTAAACTCTATCCTCAAGGAATTCCTTTCTGTTTCTCAAAGGCACCATACTCTCTCTTGCCTCTGGGCCTTCACATGAGTTTTCCTCTTTGCTAAGAATATTTTCCTCAGAGATTTTTCTGGCTTCTTTTTCAACCAGTCTTAGGTCTTGCCTTAGGTACTCCTCCTTCTGGAAAGCACCCTGCCTCCACCTCTATTCTGCAGGGCTGTGTGAGGTGCATCTCTGTGATCTCATTTATCTTATTAATTATTCTCCTGTCCTCTAATTTATTATTTGTCTGTTTCCTCCTCTAGATTGTAAGCTTTTGCAAAGATGTGGAACTTATTTGTTTTACTCACTGTGCTATCTCCCACTATTTAATATAACAGAGGCTCACTAAATATTGGAATGGATAAATGAAAATTGTGTCTAGCACAGTGTCATATGATCACAGATGAGTTAACCAGGAAATTAACATTACTAGAAGATGGCATTTCTTCATTGTGGTTTGGCCTGATTTTATCGGTGGATCCTGGTGACAATGTTATATACTAATATTAAAATGATAGGCTGAGTGTGATGGCTCATGCTTGTAATCCCAGCACTTTGGGAGGACAAGGTGGGAGGATTGCTTGAGCCCAGGAGTTCGAGACCAGCCTGGGCAACATAGTGAGATTCCGTCTCTCCAAAACAAAACAAGACAAACCCAAAATGAGACATACTATTGCTGTCTTTTAAATTTATGCCCCGTGTAAGATGTTGCTACCAGAATAAGCATGATCCTGGAATGAGACAGAACCAGTTTTCAGTCCCGATTCTCTCCTTCCTGGTTGCATTGGTTAACCTCTTTGAGCCTCAAATCCTTCAGTAGAAAAATGGGAATAATATAACCTGCCTTGTAGGTTCAATGTAGTAAGTGAGTGAAATAATACATGAAAGGTACTTAGTACAGGGGCTGGCAACAATAATACTCAAAAATGTTAGTCATTATTAGTATTACAGTAAGGATAATAAACACTACTTTGCCTGGCAACTAGATGCTTGACAGATAGTGGCTTGTATCATTACTATTATTATAAAGGAATGCTGCAGTTTTACTGTAATGACTTCGAGCTGAATTGGCAGGAAGCTGCTCTTTGGAGGTTCAGAGAAGCGGGAACCAGTGCTGAGAAGATTCTTCCTCTGGTTTCCTAGAGGCAGAGCAAGAGTGGTCAGTTTGGATTGCACCAGGCCAAGGGAGAGCTTTGAAAGGGAGTCATTTAAAGTGCAGCACCTTCTCCTGGCAACTTACTTCTTGGGACAAAGCACAGCACAGCACTTGCAGAGGCCTTTGTTGAGTAGCTTGGGATTTTTCCTTCTGCCAACCTGAAGGGGAAAAAAACACAGCGCAGGGCAGCCTTTGGAATTGCATGGGATGATCTGGGTAAGAGTGCTTAAAAGAGAACTTTGTACTTGGGAAAGACCGTATTCGTGAATTTCTGTTGAAACCTCACGGACACATCTTTGTAACAAGCACTACAAATGTTAGAGGAGGCTCAACCACCGGTCTGAAGGCATTTCGCCTCTAACCTGAGGCTTCTAAGGACTGCTTTACCTATAATGTGCTCCTTGATGATTCCTCCACGCTCATTTTCCAAAGGCTGGCCTTTAGGGGTATGAACACTGCTATTTCCCTTCCCAATTAAGATCCAGAAGGTGAGCAGGATTGCAGAATCCCAGAGATTTGGGTATTTGGGGCATGCAGGCCTATTACCTCTCTGGCTTCTGACTGAGGGTACTAACACCTTCTATGTGCAGGCCTGGGACTCCTGGCTACTTGGAGGGTGTGATGAGAACTTTACAAGCTTAAAACATCAGAAGAGGGTGGGTCTGGGGGCCTGGGCAGAGCTGGACTGGAACTTTGGCTCTGCTACTTACATCAGTGCACCCTTGGTTAAGTTACAGCACTGTTCTGAGCCTGTGCTTCCTTATCTGTAAGGGGGGGATCATACCTTCACTTAATATGATAATTGATATGTCTGGATTTAGTTCTATCACCTTATGATTTGGATTCTTTTTATTCCGTATGTTTTTATTTTTTCTGTTTTCCATTTCCTGTCTTCTTTGGAATTATTTGAATATTTTTCAGTATTTCATTTTGACTTATCTATGGAATTTTTGACTATTTCTGCTGTGGACTGAATTGTGTGCCCCAAATTCATATGCTGAAGTCCTAACCCTGAATGTGGTGGTATTTGGAGATGGGGCCTTTGGGAGGTATTTAGCTTTAGATGATGGCATGAGGGTATGCCTACATGATGGAATTAGTGACCTTATGATATGGTTTGGCTCTGTGTCCTCACCCAAATCTCATGTCAAAGTGTAATTCCCAGTGTTGAAGGAGAGGCCTGGTGGGATGTGGTTGAATCAGGGGATCAACTTCCCCCTTGCTGTTCTTGTGATAGAATTCTCACAAGATGGGGTTGTTTGAAAGGGTGTAGCACTTCTCCTCTTTGTGCTCTCCCTCTCTGTCTCCTGCCACCATGGTTAAGACATGCCTGCTTCCCCTTCCCCTTCTGCCATGATTGTAAGTTTCCTGAGGCCTCCCAGCCATGCTTCTTGTATAGCCTGTGGAACTGTGAGTCAGTTAAACCTCTTTTCTTCATAAATTACCCAGTCTCAGGTAGTTCTTTACAGCAGTGTGAGAACAGACTAATACACTTTATAAGAAGGAACACTAGAGAGCTCGCTTCCTTTCTCCCCACTCTCATGTACCAAGGAAAGGCCACGTGAGGACAAAGGGAGAAGGTGGCCTTCTGCAGCCCAAAGAGAGGGCCCTCACCAGACATCGTCCCTGCTGTCCCCTTGATCTTGGACTTCTAGTATCTAGAATTGTGAGAAATAAATCTCTGTTGTCCAAGCCACCCAGTCTATTGGTATTTTATTATGCCATTTTGTTATGGCAGGCTGAGCTGACTAAACAATACCTCTTTGTGTATTTTATTCTTAGTGATTACTCTAGGGATTACAATAGTCTACTTAGAATCTATATTTTACCATTTCTAGTGTGCATCTTATAGGTCCATGTACCCTTCTGCCTTTTATGTTGTAATTGTCATATGTATTTCATGTATATACATTGAAAATCTCACCTGTCAATCATTTTCGATTTAACTATAATACATATGTTAAAGAACTTAGGAGAAAAGTAGTCATGTAAGTAATACGTCATTTTTCACTAGCTGTTTTCAGGTTTTTTTTTTGTTTCTTTGTTTTGGCCGTTTGATTATGATGTGTCTGGTAAATAATGTATTTGAAAGCATTTTTTTTCACACAAGAGGAATATAAGAAAGACTTTACACATTGCGATTGCACGTTGGACTAAGCCACATAAAATATCCAAAATTCAATTGGATATAATATAAATATCTTGTAGGAATTTTATAGTCCTAAGAATATAAAGAATGCAGAACTCCATCAGATCTCAAAGCTTTAAAAAACACCTTTTTTAGCATATAATTAATTTAAAAAACCTAGGGTTAGAAGGAGAAAAACATTTACACATTGAGGAGCTTATCACCTAAGGTAGGAGCTTCAGAATTTTGTTAACAGAAGAAAAAATGGGTAATTAATTACTCCTAAAAAGTGGGCTGACTGCTTTCCTCTTGAAGTTATGGTATAAATGATACTAATATTCACAAATAGGTTCACAAATAAGAATCTAGGCAGCCTGCTCCATCCCACATCTCTGTTATAGAAGCCAACTGCAACAAATAAGCAGGCCTCAAGTAGCCTGAGGTTCTTCCAATTGTCATGATGTATGTGAGGGCTGCAGTTCAAAAGACTGTGGAGCCATAGACCAGACGACACTATCAGGAGAGAGCCTGTGATGGCTCCAGTCCCTGAGGGCATATTATTTTCTTTGTCCAAAATACATTCCTTCTCATCTGAAGTGTGAATGCCAGGACAGCACTGGACTCCATGCCAACCCCGTCACTCTAGCTGGGAGATCGAGTCCACAGGAAGGAATTATGAATAAAGACCTGCTCTCTGCTACAAGTTGGCTCTGTGCTACAAAGTCAGAGACCAGTGGACGACAAGCCACAACTATACTAAAACCATCACCAAAACAATGTGAGTCTGACTCCTCAGCCAATTATGATGTTTAAGCTTAATCACCTAAAAGCCTAAGTTGTCACCACTCTATGGCAGCTTTAAAGTATACAGTAAGAGGGGGCATCTATGGATCCTGTGGCATCGTGTGGCTAACAGTAAATTTTATAACAAAGTCTGGAAAAGCTGCTGCAGGCTACAGGAGCAATGACTTCTTTGGACTGCTGTTATGACCTGGAAAACCACTGGGCTCATATCAACTGTGGAATTCACAACAATCTTTACTTATGTGTGGATGTAAACATCCAAAGTTGGAGAGCACTGAAGCCCCCAGAATCAAGAGAACTTTGTGGCAAATATTCTAAAAATGAAAATCGCAGCAAGCAACAGTCTTAATATTTGACTCCTTCAATGGCACACTCCTCTTTGCTCTGTGAAGGAATCCTGTGGCTTTCTTTCTGTTTACATGTCTACTTAACATCTTCTTCTAGATGTGTATTTTGTTTTGTTACTTTTTCTTTTTTTCGAGATGGAGTCTCGCTCTGTCACCCAGGCTGGAGTGCAGTGGCATGATCTTGGCTCACTGTAACCTCTGTGTCCCGGGTTCAAGCAATTCTCTTGCCTCTGCCTCCTGAGTAGTTGAGATTACAGGCATCCACCACTACACCTGGCTAATTTTTGTATTTTTAGTAGAGACAGGGTTTCACCATGTTGGCCAGGCTGGTCTTGAACTCCTGACCTCAGGTAATCCACCCACCTCGGCCTTCCAAAGTGCTGGGATTACAGGCATGAGGCACTGTGCCCAGCCTGCCTTTTCACCTTTCCCCTCTCATTTGCAAAATCTGCAGATAATTCACCCTTTACATGTATGTTATCAGCCTCTTGAAAATGTCAATGTGTCAATACAATGACCACTTTCACCTAAAAGATCCGAAAACAATTTCTGGAAACATGGTAACGCTGGTCCCTGCTCATGTATAAATGGGAACTCATAAAATGGATGTGTTAAGAATTTAGGTGAACTAGTCCCTGGCTTCATCTGGTTCTTAATCCCTCTCTTAAATAAATGACAAAGCTATATTTTAGAAAATTCTGAATTTGCATTTTTAAACTGTGTGTAACCACGTTTCTCTCTGAGATAAAGGTCTAGCCAGGTGGCCCAGGGCTGGTAGGCTAGCTTGACATTTGGGGGACTGCGTTGCTCTGTCTTGTGTCTCTGCCATCCTCTGCGCACAGATGACTTTATGTGATTCAAGATGGCTGCTCCAACTCTCACTCTGCATTCCAGGCAGGGGAAAGGAAGAGAAAAAAAGGTAATGCCTGTTATTATTTTATTTTATTTTATTTTATTTTATTTTAACAAGTGAGAGCATAGCAAACTGTCTACCTTAATGTAATCTTACTATTGGCGGTCTGCGTTTACATGGCTTTATCATTCCAGAAAACTCTGGCATAGGAAGGAGGAGTTACAAATAACTTTATAGTTGGTTTCAAGAACTTCCCCAAAAGTCATTCATCAGAAAGACAGACTATTCCTATAGTCCTAGGTAGAATAAATACCCCTTCTTAGGACAATGGAGTGCTCAAGAAGGCTTATCAAAGGACTTGAAGTTTGCTTGGTTTCCATGAGTGTTTCACTCTGTCATGGTGTCTACCAAGCCTACCTATTATTTCACAAACTCTGTCCAATCCCAATCAATTAATTCCTTCTCCCCTAACTGAAAGACCTACCTGAAACCAAACTTTTGATTCTCATACATTTGTTAACAACCTTTTCTACTTCATGATTCTATAAGGATTTTGTTAAGGTAATATTCTCTCTTACTGTGGCAAGCAATAAACTCAACTTTTCCTTATTAATAAGTTATTTTCATGGCTATTTCAGGGAGTCAACAATTTTTATAACCTGAAGTTTGCACACACAACTTTCTATTGGCCATGACTTGGTCCTGTGGTTACATCTAAATGCCAGGGAGATTGGAAAATGTAGTTTTTAGATGGGTAGTTTTATGTTCAGCTAAAACTTCTATTCCTATGGAAAAATTGGAAAACAAATAACTGGGGAACAGCTACAAACTCTCATGTCAATACAAAACTAATACTAAGGCTGGGTGCAGTGGCTCACACCTCTAACCCTAGCATTTTGGGAGGCCAAGACTGGTGGACTGCTTGAGCTCAGGAGTTTGAGGCCAGCCTAGGCAACATGGCAAAATCCCATCTCTACAAAAAAAATTAAAAAATACAAAAGTTAGCTGGGTGTGGTGGTATGCTTCTGTGGTCCCAGCTACTTGGGGGGCTGAGGTGGGAGGATCACTTGATCCTGGGAGGCAGAGTTTGTAGTGAGTGGGATGGTGCCACTGCACTCCAGCCTGGGTGATAGAGCCAGAGCATGTCTCAAAAAAAAAAAAAAAAAAAGACTAATATTAATAGACAACATTTACTGATGAGTCCCTCTGTGTCATGCACTTGAAAAGATCTTTTCCACAGATGATCTCATTCAATCCTCAGAACATCATGAAGGAAGCACTATGGTTATTTCAGTTTTATTGAAGAAATTGAAGCACAAAGAGGCTAAAAAAAACTGGCTAAGTTCACAAAGCTCCTCAATGGTGGAAGTAGGTTTAATCCAGGAGGTTGGCTATAGAGCCCAGAGAGTAAGATGAGGTAGAGGGACATGTGATTTTGACAGAACTGTCTTGGAAGGAATGCTAGGTGTAATAGTTTTCTATTGTTATGTATCAAATTACCACAAACTAGGCAGCTTGAAACAGTATGCATTTAGTATATCAGTTTTTGTTGGTCAGGAATCTGAGCATGTCTCACTTATATGTAGGAACTCAGGGGTTCTCTGCTCCAGGTTTTGCAGGGTTGCACTGAAGGCGTCTGCTTGGCTGCATTCTCATCTGGAGGCCTGAATGGGGAAGAGTTCGCTTCCAAGCTCATCCAGGTTGTTGACAGAATTTGGGTGAGGGCCCCAATGTCTCGTTGGTTGTCGGCTAGGCAAACAATCTCCAGTTTTGGAGGCTGCCCACAGTTCCCTGCCATGTGGACCTCCCTCCCTCCGGAAAAGCTGTTCACACATGGCAGATTGATTTTTCAAGGCCAGTAAGGGTGCCCCTCTCTCCAGTTACAGAGTCCTGCATAACAAAATGTAACCACGAGAGTGATGTTGAAACATCTTTGCACTAATCGAGGTAGTGACATTTCATCATCATTGGTATAGTCTAATCAAGTCACAGGTGCTAAGGGGAGGAGATTAAACAAGGTCGTGACTCATTGGGGGTTAGCTTGGGGTGTGTTCGCGACACTGAGTTATGAGACAGATGACCTACATTTTGCCCTGACCCCACCATTTACAAGATGTGTACCTTTCAGCCAGTCACTTCACTTCTCTTGATACGTGTTTTCATCTCTAAATTGAAACTAATAATTTGCTCCCTGCCCATGTCACAGTTTCTGGGAAGATTAAATGAGATAATGCATGTGCAGAAGACACAATACTATGAAATTATAGTGTGCATGAACATGAACTTATTACCCAGATGAAGCCTTTATTAGAACCAGTTATCTTCCTTGGAATTGAATACATGTTGAGTCATAAATTTCTGATCTATCTGTCATCAGGGGCTTAATTGTACTTGGACAACAGAAGACTATATTTAATTTTACACAGGCACTTATGGTTTAATCAATTATGCTAATGGATGTATATGCAAAAAGCTTTACAATTAAGTAAGACTCTTGAGGGTACTTTTTCAGAATGATTTAAACTTCATAAATGTAGCCATATAGATCGTATAACATTTGCATAATATTCTGCTAGCCAGACATGTCTGCTAAATAAATGCAGAGCTGGAGTCATGTAATGAATTATGAGTCAAAACAGCAAACTTCTGCATTCGGCGCTATCAGGCCCGCAGAATGGCTCTGTCATGTTGGGTAAATGAATTCACTATACTATGAGCCTGAAGTGCCTTCTAGTTCACAGATTCTAAGAACAGAAATGACAATGCCATTACGTGATTCAACATATTTAGGATTTTTGGTTATAGTAGGTAGGTCTAATCATCATATATCTCTTTCATGAGAGTCTGTTTGCACAGCAACTTGAATTAGAGGTTCTGTGTGGGGTGGATGCTCTGAGGGGCTGCCTCATTTCCCTTAAGGACCAATGCAGTCATTCCTCCTGTTGATGTTAATGTTGTCTGCTGATAGTTCACAGCTGAGTTCCTGCCCAGGAATTGCTGCTTTGCTCCAGGCCATGCCTGTTCCCTGGGAGCAACTCATACCAAAAGACTGGTGGATGCAAGAGTCATAAGGGAGGAGACTAGAGGGCCAGCCTCTAGCTTCCATTTGGGTCAGCTCTAATTGGTTGGTCCTGGCCCCAGCATTCCCCATGGGTTGGCTGAGACCTCTTTTGCAGCTACCTTGCATTTTAATTCCTTCTGCCCAGTCCTGTTTGTGTCACTTTCTGACCGGTGTCCATCCTGAGGATGTGCCTCAATCAACCATCATCTTAGTTTCTGTTTCCCAGGGTTATCAGCTGGCATCAGCTTCAAATAACAGAACACCAACCAAAATCTTGGTTAAAAAATGTTGTGCAAGGTTAGTTAATTCAGTGGCTCCTGAGCATCTTCAAAGATCCAGATGCTGTTCAACTTTTCATTCTGCCACCAATAAGAAGAAAAACATGGGCTGGGTGCAGTGGCTCATGCCTGTAATCCCAGCACTTTAGGAGGCCGAGGTGGGCAGATCACCTGAGGTCAGGAGTTCGAGAACAGCCTGGCTAACGTGATGAAACCCTGTCTCTACTAAAAATACAAAATTAGCTGAGCATGGTGGTGGACACCTGTAATCCCAGCTTCTCGGGAGGCTGAGGTGGGAGAATCGCTTGAACCTGGGAGGCGGAGGTTGCAGTGAGCCGAGATCATGCCATTGCACTCCAGCCTGGGCGACAAGAGTGAAACAGCATCTCAGAAAAATCGCAGCACTTTGGGAGGCCAAGATGGGACGATCACTTGAGCCCAAAAGTTTGAGACCATCCTGGGAAACGTAGTGAGATCTCATCTCTACAAAAAATAAGAAATTTAGTTGGGTGTGGTAGTGTACACCTCTAGTCCCAGCTACACTCAGGGGGCTGATGTGGGAGGCTCACTTGAGCCCAGGAGGTTGAGGCTGCAGTGAGCTGTGATTTTGCCACTGCACTCCAGCCTGAGCCACAGAGTGAGACACTGTCTCAAAAAAAAACAACTAAGCATATTTTCTGTAGACCTCATGGGACCTTAAAAGTCTGCTTTTTTTTTTTTTTCATGAGTTTTCTTAGTTAAAAAACTTAAACTTTCTAGATAATTGCTAATGTGTTCAATAAACTAGTGCAGTTCCAACCAACACTTATTAATGCCTATTAGGTAGTGAACACATTTTTAGTTTTTCACGTATTTAATCCATACAATCATCCTGTGAGATGGGTGTTATTTTCCTTGCTTTGTGGATGAGGCTCAGAAATACGAATGATACACCCAAGCCATATGCTTCTCAGTGGCCAAACTTAGGTCTCCTGAATCTAAACAAGTTTTTTTTTTTTTTTTTGAGTCGGAGTCTCACTCTGTCAGCCAGGCTGGAGTGCACTGGCACGATCTCGGCTTACTGCAACCTCTGCCTCCCAGGTTCAAGTGATTCTCCTGCCTCAACCTCCTGAGTAGCTGGGAATACAGGCCCACGCCACCACGCCCGGCTAATTTTTTTGTATTTTTAGTAGAGACGGGGTTTCACCATATTGGCCAGGCTGGTCTCAAACTCCTGACCTCAGGAGTAGCTTAGCTTCTGCAAATGTCACTTCAGGCACTTATAGAAAGGATTCTTTGATTGCAAGCAACAGAACTACCTTTGGCAAGCATCGGCAAAAAAGGGATTTGTCAGAAGTATGTCAATCAGGGTTTGATGAAGAAATAAAACTTCTGTAGTCATTCTAATTAGAAAGGGACTAAAGATAGGTAAATGGTGCTAACAAAATTATTAAGTAGGCTGAGAGAAAAGGTTCTAGACTGAACTTCCGGGAATAACTGTGGAACTATATAGACAACATAAGAGGAGTCATTCCTTTTAATGCCACCATTGGAGCTAAGCTGGAATCAAGAGCCCACTGTTGCTGCCACCCTACAGCCACTGCTGCCATTGTCCCTGAAGATGCAGAATGAGGGAGAATGGATGCTAAGATGCTACATCAGAGAAACCTCACATCTCCACTTTCTTGCTTGTCAGAAGAAATAGCCAAAAGAGAGCAGGACCATTTCCTTCTCAGATAGCAATGGGGGTACATCTAATTGGCAGAACTAGTTTGTATCCAGAGCTCTAATTGCAAGGGAGTCTGAGATATAATCCCCCAATGCAGAAGGACAGTAGAACGGAGGCTGAGGGGTAACATTTATCTCACAAAGATATGGGTAGTCATGCTACAAAGTGAAACCAACATTTTATTTTTTATTTTAAGAAATGATTTACTTATTTCTATGTTTTTGTAGCGATAGGGTCTCGCTATGTTGCCTAGCTGGTGTCAAACTCCTGGGCTCAAGCGATCCTTGAGACTTGGCCTCCCAAAGTTCTGGGATTACAGTCATAAGCCATGAGCCTGGCCTGAAACCAACGTCTTAAAAATAAGGAAGCATATTTGACCATATCGCTCTAACAAAAAATATGTTGTTTTTGTTAATAATTTTATTTTGGTGAGATTGAGGGTTTTGTGTCATTAATGAGTGAAAATTACTTATAACTTATATACTGGTAAATAATATAAATAGAAACACATATATTGAAGGTACTTGCTCAAATGTACTTGAAACCTGTTACTCTTAACTCCTCAAAGGTGAGGACATACATTACCAATATTACTCTTAACTCTTAACATTACCAACTTAACTCTTAGCTCCTCAAAGGTGAGGACACACATTACCAACATTCCATCTTCAGTTCCTGACAGTTAGTAGATGTTATTGAAATAATTAATAACAGAGAGTATAAAATTGAATTAATTGATGGTGGGATGACTACTGGATAAATGGATGTTAGATGGAAGGATGGATTGATTGACAGATCCAGCACAGTGCTAGGAAGGGACACAAAAGTGGTGCATGTCTTGTGCCTTTGCTGGGGAGCTTACCGCCTAGCTGGGGAAATAAATATATATGCAGGAAATAGTTCAACAAAAGCGCAAGGCACTTGGTGATGGACTGTTCAGAAAAGTAGCATAAATGCAGTAGACGAGATTGTTCCATTCATTTAACTTAAAGTGAGCAGATTGAGGGTTGGAGGCTCTCCTCTTCCACTTTCCAACTCTTCACGCCAAAGTCTGCACAAACCCATTATGCACTAGTGGCATTAATCAACCCTCTAGTTTGGGAAGGTAACTTTCTTGCTTAAGGAATGATTTCTAGTTGCTGCTTTAGTCAGTTTTATGTTTTTTTTTTTGTGAGAAATTTTTCCCTTCCAAATAATTATGACTATAATTATGACTCTCATAAACTCAAGTCTGGGAATTACCTGCAGGTAATACCTAGCCTTTCTTATTGAGGCATTGCCACAAAAGGGAGAAAAGAGGCAAAAAAAAAAAAAAAAACCCAAAAAAACAAAAACCCTTCCCTAATTGTTGAATAGCTACCCAGCAGCTTTATAAATTTACCTAGCTAGGAAATTTGAAGGGAATATGAATATTCCCTTGGAAATTCCCTATTTCGCCAAATGCTATCTTTTATGTGGCAGGGCCACGCTGGTGAAATTATGACTATTAAATAAGCAATTATGACATAAAATGACTTTTATAAAGCAAGAAAAGGATTTAACATTTTTGTGTCAGGCAGGCACCTTTCAGACAGCATTACTCATGCAGTCCACATTCATTGGTACCCCGCTGTGTACCAGAAATAGTCCTGAGTGTTGATACAAAGATAATTATAGATCACAAAATTAAAAATGTACATGAAACAAATGTATCTATTTGCCCTTCCATTGGAAAAACTCCTTTAATGACAGAAAATGTACTTTTTTTTTTTTTTTCTTGAGATGGAGTCTTGCTCTGTCACCAAGCTGGAGTGTAGTGGCGTGATCTCAGCTCACTGCAAACTCCATCTCCTGGGTTCAAGTGATTCCCCTGCCTCAGCCTCCTAAGTAGCTGGGACTACAGGCGTGCACCACCACACCTGGCCAATTTTTTTGTATTAGTAGAGATGGGGTGTCACCATGTTGCCCAGGATGGTCTCGATCTCCTGACCTCGTGATCTGCCTTCATCAGCCTCCCAAAGTGCTGGGATTACAGGCATGAGACACTGCGTCAGGCCTAGAAAATGTACTTTTCAGAAAAAGTAATTTTGACCTAATGGCATACTAGGTACCAATAACCAACCCTTCTGCTAAAAACCACTAGAAAAGCTGGACAAAATATTTAATAAAATCTTCTTGAGGCACTAGAGAACTAATCAGATGGTAACAAATTTCCCATGCCAGTACCCAGGAAGGGACAGAGGCCCCAGCACATGATCTCAGTATATGGGGCCACTTTTTCCTCTGGGAAAGTTTGTCAGTTCTGAAGAGAAAAGTCAAGAAGCGTTGCGCTTTTGACTCTCAAGGATCACGGGGTGAGGAGCACAGTGAGTAACGTTAACTTTGAGTAGGACCCTGTGTGGAAGTAGCCTACGAGGAAAGATGAACCAGAAGTAGGCTCCCTCAGGGACCCACGCTCAGCTTTGAAACATTTTGATCCCTGAAATGGGATTAAGGTGATCCTGGAGTACCAGTGCTTTAAGGTGCTTGGCAATAGATAATATGAATAGTTTCTGATGGAGGATAGAGTCACCTTAGGTTTCAAATTTATTTTACAAACATTTTTATAAGAACTATGTGTGAGACACAATTAAAAACAGACATGCAAAGAGACAAGATAACATAAATGAATATCAAAAAAACAATAGAGGTAATAGGCCCACAGTTGATGTTTAAATAGCCGCACTTATGCTCAAGAGGATAAAAGACATAATTAAGAATATCAGCAGAAAGCTGGAAAACATACAGAAACCAAATGAAAATTCTAAAGCTGTTTTATTTGTTAATTTTTTTTATATTTAAAAAGAATTTCTAGGGATGTGGTCTCACCATGTTGCCCAGACTGGCCTTGAACTCCTGGACTTTAGTGATCCTCCCTCCTTGGCCTCCCAAAGTGCTGGGATTACAGGTGTGATCCACCATGGCCAGCCTGTTTTATTTGTTGAATGAAAATTTATTCAACAAATAAAATTAAGAACTCAGTGAATGGGGTTCAGCAGCACATTAGACTGCTAAAGAGAGAAACAGTAAACCGGAAGATAGAAGAAAATGTTCTGAATGAAACAAGGGGAAGCAAAGGGTGAAAAAAAATCAGAAGGTAAGAGCCCCAAATGAGCCTGTATGAAGGCCTAATTTATAATAAATTAGAGCCCACATCAGAGCAGGGAACGGGGTGTGATATTTGAAGACATAAGTGCAAAATTTCAAAATTTATGAAAGGCATCAAACTGTGAGTCAAGAAGCCCTGCTAAGCCTAAACAAGATAAATACAAAGAAAAATATACCTGGAAATCTTACAGAAATACTGCTTAAAGATCAAATCAAACACGAAGTCTTAAAAGCAACTAGACAAAAAGATCTTGTTACCTACAAAGGAGCAAAGATGACTGAAAGCTGACTTATCAACAGAAACACAGAGACAGCGGAACCTAGAGACGAAGGAATGATAGCTTTAAGGTGCTGAAAAGGTGAAAATTGATCTGCCAACTAAAACTACTGTATCCATTGAAAATATCTTGCAATAATAAAGTCATTTCCAGAAAAACAAAAGTGAGAGGATTTAGCATGCACACTAAAAAAAAGTAGAGTATTCTTCAGACAGAAGGAAAATGACCCCTTCTGTATGTGATTGAAATTACACAAACATACACATTTAAAACACAGTCAACCTTGTGGGAGGGCTATGGGAAATAGGGAGTTACTAATCAACGGGTCTAAAGTTTCAGTCAAGCAAGATGAATACGCTCTAGAGATCCGCTATACAACATTGTAGCTATAGTCAACAATCATGTATTGTGCACAACGAAAGTGGTATGTAAGTTGGAAAGATGTTAAAATGTTCTAAGAACTTTGCATTGACCTGGAAGTGCTTATTAGATTTAGATAAAGCAAGGATGCATATTGTAATCTCGAGAATAACCTCTGAAATATCTTTATATGTAACTCTCATGCAGATATGGAGTACAAATAAATTTTTGAACCAATCTTGATGGAGGCAAAAAAGATAAAAACAAGATAGGATGAGTAGAAAGTATTTAGTAAGATGGTTAGTTAAAATCCAAATATAACAGTAATCACATTAATTAAATGTCAATAGAATAAATGCTCCTTAAAAAAAAAAAAGATTGTTGGAACGGATTTTGAAAAACAAACCCCAGGTATCTGATCTTTAAAGAGTCACGTCTAAAACAAGACTACAGAGCAAGTATAACATAAAAAAGGACATTTCGTAATACAAATAGGTTCAATTTTCCAGTAAGATAAAACAGTTCTAAATTTGTGTATGCTAAATAACATAGCTTCATATATATATAAAGTTAAATTTAACCAAGCTACAGAGAAAATACACAAATTTGCTACCAGAGTGAGAAACTTCAACACATTCCTCAGTAACTAATAGTATAAATAGACAATAATTTTGCAATATTTTCTACAAAAAATGTAAAGACAGTTCAATCTTTTTTTCCTGCATGGTTGGTTGAAATTTGCTTTTTCATTGATAACATTTCAGGAAAGTTTCTTTCAGCTTCCCCGTGTGTTACTGGTAATGTCAAAGTTAGGAAGATCTCTATCAGATTTCTTCCATTTGTGAGCTATAAAATAAGGAGGGGTTTTTCCCTGACTTTCTTTTGCGCCGTGTTTTTTTCTCCATACTTTTATACCAGGCACCATAGAAGATGTCCATATTTTAATAAGCAGTTTTTGGCTGTGGACATTAATTGTATCATAACCCTAGGTGCATTGGTATAGTGGGCAGTAACTGTATTTCTGAAAGTTATTTCTTTCTGGCACAGGTAACAATAATGTAACATACATGGAAGTGACTGCGTGCACATAAATCTGTCACACTAAACCCACACTAAATTAATCCACCTCTCAACTTTAGCTAAATCTCTAAAATGCCACAACTACTCCCACATCAATCAACGTGAAGGACAGTGTGAATGAGGGAAGGCTTGAAAGGTAAGAGACAATGACCTCAACTAGCTGTGGGTAAAATAACTTATTTGGTATACTTTGTGTACCATGACTATATGAATCCTCAGGCGAGGGCTGTGCAGGTGAGAGGCCCTGAGGGTTACACTTGATGAGCTTCATAGCAAATCTGTCCTTGCCTGGCACATAGTAGGAGCTCAGTAAATATTTGTTGAATGAGTGAATAAAACTTGTAGGACTCAGATTCTGTGACGGTTAATACCGAGTGTCAATTTGATTGGATCGAAGGATGCGAAGTATTGTTCCTAGATGTGTCTATGAGGGTGTTGTGAAAGGAGATGAACTTTTCAGTCAGTGGGTTGGGAAAGGCAGGCCCACCCTTAATCTAGGTGGGCACAATCTAATCAGCTGCCACTGCAGCCAGAATAAAAAGCAGGCAGAAGAACATGAAAAGACTTGACTGGCTTAGCCTCCCAGCCTGCATCTTTCTCCTGTGCTGGATGCTTCCTGCCCTCAAACATTGGACTCCATGTTCTTCGGCTTTGGGACCCAGATTGGCTTCCTTGCTCCTCGGCTTGCAGATGGCTTGTTGTGGGACCTTGTGATCGTGTAATTTAATACTCCTTAATAAACTCCCCTTTATCTCTCTCTCTCTCTCTCTCTCTCTCTCTCTCTCTCTCTCTCTCTCTCTCTCTATATATATATATATATATATATATATCTCCATATCTATTCTATTAGTTCTGTCCTTCTAGAGAACCCTGACTAATACAGATTCTCACCAATTGGAACAGATGCTAACCATAAATGTTTGGTACAGCCATCCTGGTGAGTACCAGGTGACCACTGGCGTGATTGTTTCAATGGAATCTTGTTGCAGAGTTTCTTTGGCCAAGGAAATGGCCTCTTAGGGGAGATTTATCTTTCATATATAATTAAACAGTCTGAATTCCATTTGGGATCACATCATAGAGCATGACTCTTGAGTTTGTGAACAAGCCACAAAGATCCAAATTTAGCCCCTCCAAAATTGCCATCTTGGCCCTGAATGCGGGAAAAAAATTTGGGATAGTCAATTTAGCATTGCCTGGATTTAACAGTTGAAAGCCACATCCTTAACAGGGCTCAAAAGCACACAGAAAACTGGGCTACTTTGCAGTTAAAAGCTCTTTGTATTCTGCTCCATTACATAATCTATTACTCTATCTTGCACTTTGAATCGATCTTGTACCCATGTTTGGTTTTGAACAGAATGCATTGGTCACTTAGAAAATATTGGCCCACTGAGTTATATAGCTCTCCTAATTGTTGACATTTTTTATTACACAATGTCAAAAAAAATCACATTCATCACCACAACCACCACCAATCTGATCATGAGTCATTAAACACTGAGAAGCTCTCTGAAATTCTAATATTTCCTTGAAAAATTGAATTTTGTCATGGGAAAAATATTGTGTTTTTTTCTTTAAATGACTGGCTCACTTCATTTTCAATAAAATGTCTGCCAAATACCCAAGTCTGAATATCATAATTTGTCTGTTGGTGTTCATTCAAATGAAATTGGTGTTCCCTGAAAAATGCATCTCGCTCAGCTTGCAACTCAGATGATGGCATGAGTATTACTTTTCCTTGAGACAGAATTGTATACCTCAAGGCAGCAGAAGTGCCTCATACATATTTCCCATATTATCTCATGGATGTGTACTCAAGGGTCAAGAGGAAATAAAATTAAGAGTTTTTATAGCTTCATCAAAGACATTCTAAAATGGAACTTCTTTTTAAATGTTTAAAAATTCATCATCATCATCATCATCATTCATTTACTGTGATTTTTTTGGCAGTGACGAATACAATAATTATTAGTGCAGTTTGAGGTTCCCTGCTTGGATTCCTGCTAAACTTTCAGCAGTTCTACCCATTGCTAATTTTGTACCTCCAGTGCAAATGTGAACAGAGTTGGAAAGGCAAATAACATTGTAGACATCCTGTAAAGGTCTTAGGACCCCTGGGGGTCCTCACATCATACTTTGGGAACCACTACTCTAGGGATATGTGGGTTCTTCCTCTTGTTCATGGACATCAGATAATAACCAAAGCTCAAATCTGCAGCCAATAATCTCCTGCTCAGGAAAGATAAATACAGGTGACCGGAGCAACACCGGTGCTCAATTCTTGGACCTTCCTGAGTGCTGTCCCCATCTAAAGAGTAAATAATCAGATTTTCAGCTTGCCACATGTCAGTCAGGAGAAAGTGAATAGGTTGAGAAGTTTAATGACATCCGTAGCCTCCTGAATCTAATGGATTGAGTGCTTCAGAGTTCATCTGAGAGTGTCTATCGGCAGGCATCCCTGCTGAGAGAGTATAGCCATGACTCTCAGATGGCCCATCATGAGCTGATTTTACACAGCATGAAAACCAGTGATTTAAACACACCATAAAGAGTATTTTTATGGGGCATGCAATATAGCCAAGAGGAAAGAGTATTATATTAACACCAGAAATTTGTCTCCTTTTTCCAGAAATGTTGAATTGCACTAATTTATTCCTAAATTCCACAATTTACTCTTAAATCCCATAGTAACATTTCCATCAATTGTAGACTTAGGTTTGCAAATTCAGTACCTAAGAAGCTGTTGGTTTTCTAAAGTGTCTATAGTCTTGATTTTCCACATCTCTGGCTTTGGGGGCTTATCTGTGGCTTTGGCAACTGCAAGGCAACCTTGAAATATCTGGGTTCTCTTAACTCTAGCTTGACTTTTTCCTCTTCACAGTTGACATGCTTCCTTGGAAAATGACATCCATCTCAAGATTTTAACCACCACCTCTACTTTCCCTCTCTTTCTCTGCCTTTAAGTTGGGCTGCTCTTCTCTTAGAGGCTCAAACAAGGCACGCTGAATCCCATTTCTGGGCCTCTGTCCATACTGGGCCTTCTGCTTGAAAACATCTGCCCCATCTTTTCACCTGTTTAATTCCTGCTAGCTGGGTTCAAAGGACAGTTGCTCAAAAAGTGTCACTTCCCTGATATTCCAGAGTAGATCAGTCCCTTGTTCATGCTTTTCGGCTGTGTACTTTGTAGCATTTACCACAAACGAAATGAAATCATTATTTGTATAATAAATTGTTTAACATCAAATGGTCCTGACTTGGACTGCTTAATCATTTGTTTCCCATGGAAACTCCATCAGAGCGAGGACCATGACTGTCTTGTTTACCTCTGCATTACCACCTCCAAGTCCTGTGCATGGAACAGAGAAGGAACTTTGTGTTTATTGGAATAAAGAATGAATGAGACTATGTCCAATGGCTGGTTACTCTGTATCTAGCCCAGACCTATTTGTCTAGCCCAGACATCTTCACATGGATATCTCACCCAGCCTTAGTTCAAATTAATCATCTTCCGTCCACTCCACTGTAGTTCAATACTAGTTCCCTTCATTTATTCTGCTGCAATAGTTTTTCTTTTCTTTTAAATCTAATTTTTAAAAGAATCTAATTCTTCTAATTCTTCTAAATCTATTCTTTTAAAAATGCAAATCCGATTGTGTTCAAATCCCTTATACTCCAGGCTACAAATCCCTGCCTTCTTTTTCAACCTTGCCTCATGCATCTCCCTTCTCACCTGCTAACACACCAAGCTCATTCCTCTCTTTAGGGTCTTTGCCCTAGTTGTTTCCTCTGTCTGGGAGATCCTTCCCCTAATCTGCGCACAGCTGGATCTCTCTGCGCATTAGACTACAGTGTCAATGTCACTGTTTCATACCGGGACCGGTAAGTGAGCCTTTCCTAAGCAGCCTTTTGCTCATTTTTACAATTGTTGTGTTTGGTATTCTAGCTAGGCCTATTCAAAATGCCGTCTCAGGCCTCATCCTAACTTTACTCAATCAGAAACTGCATTTTAACAAGCTTGCCAGGCAATTTTTGTGCATATTACACTGTAAGAAGAACTGCTGATCATGATCTCCTTGGGCTGTTGTTGAATTGCAAATCCTGGGGTGAATTTGAGAACCGGGAGTCAGAATGTCCAAGGGTATGAGAAGCTATATGTTCAACACGCCTTCTGGGTGAGAATTGGGAAATACTCCTTCTAGGAAATCACTGAATTCAGGTCAGATTTGTTTATAGCTTGTGAATGCCCCATATTATCTTAGGAACTTGTAGATATAAAAATGAGTAAGATTCAGTCCTTGCCCTTCAAATGCTGAGATCCCGGTGGGAGACAAGCATGGAACCTAATACTTTCAGGATAATGCCGTAAGCACAGTGATCGATGGATGAGTAGCATGGAAGAGCACTGGCATCAAATCCCAGCTCTGTGGTGGGGCAACCTTGAGCAAGGCACTGACATTTTTGAACCTCAGCTCAATCGTATGCAAAATAGGGTAGTACTACCTGGTGTTCAGGCCTGTTTTGAAGATTAGTGAGTTAATGAATGTAAATATGTAGTGACTCCATAAACTATGTTGGTTACAACTGTTGCCCAGGGTGACGAGGAAGCTGGTAGAAAAGCAGTGCTAGTTCAGATAGAATATTCTGACTCATGCATTTACAATTACCATAGGCAGCCAGAGACGGGGAGAGTCAATACTAGTCAGAATTAGAGAGCAGCATCTTGGCAGAAGTGGGATTTGAAGTTGGAATTAAATGGAACTCTTAAACAACTGGAACCTAGAGGTCTGGGGAGAATAGAGGGTACATCAGTTAAAGGAAAATAATCCCTTGCAAATCAATCTCTGTTCTGCTTTTCAGTAGGTAAAAGGGCTGATCTGTCAATGTGGCTCTAGATGAAGGAGTTTGTAATCCCGGTTTTTTTTTTTTTTTTTGAGACGGAGTCTCACTCTGTCGCCCAGGCTGGAGTGCGGTGGGGCGATCTCGGCTCACTATAAGCTCCGCCTCCCAGGTTCACGCCGTTCTCCTGCCTCAGCCTCCCCAGCAGCTGGGACTACAGACGCAGGCTGCCACGCCCGGCTAATTTCTTTTTTTTGTATTTTTAGTAGAGACAGGGTTTCACCGTGTTAGCCAGGATCTCCTGGCTCGATCTCCTGACCTCGTGATCCGACTGTGTCGGCCTCCCAAAGTGCTGGGATTACAGGAGTGAACCACCGCGCCCGGCCTGTAATCCCAATTTTTAGGGGGGCTTTGGTTTTTGGGGTGGTCCACGGCCTTGTCAGGGCACCATCTGGCATGGGCAGGAGATGGCACCTTTTAAAGATGGGCCAAAAGTCCAAGAACTACTAATGGCAGACCCTGGGGTTTAGCAAAGGGAAGCTAGTAAAGAATGAGGAGGATCAACCTGGGGTTACTGATGGCAGACCCTGGGGTTTGGCAACTTCCCCGGAGGGCACACATGGTGCAGGTGCTTCCTGAGTGTAGGAGTACAAGAAAACTAGGAAGATACTAGTCCATGCATTTCCAGACATTTCCCCATGCATTTTTTATTCTTCAGTTAAACTTAAATTTGCTGGAAAGGCCTGCAGGGACAGCTCATTACCAACTAAAAGAGTTTGACCAGTAACTGATCAGAAACAAACACAGAATCCAAAAGATGAGGCATTCATTATTTTCCCTCTGTGAGTCATTTTGTAGTCCATGCAGAGTCTGGCTTGGCAGAGGGACCAGGGACCAGCAATTCCCCCTTTTATTGTTGTGGTCTCTTCCCCTTCTATCCTCCGTTCTATTTTCTCTTCTTTGTGTTGTCTTTTTTTTTTTTTTTTTTTTTTGAGATGGAGTCTTGCTCCTTCGCCCAGGCTGGAGTGCAGTGGTGCGATCTCGGCTCACTGCAAGCTCTGCCTCCCGGGTTCATGCCATTCTCCTGCCTCAGCCTCCCAATTAGCTGGGACTACAGGCGCCTGCCACCACGCCCGGCTAATTTTTTGTATTTTTTAGTAGAGATGGGGTTTCACCGTGTCAGCCAGGATGGCCGATCTCCTGACCTTGTGATCCGCCCACCTCAGCCTCCCAAAGGGCTGGGATTACAGGCGTGAGCCACTGCGCCCGGCCTTGTCTTTTCAACTCTTTCTTGTCCCTTCTTCCCCTCCTTGTGTAAAGAGGTTTTTTCATCTTTCAGATTTCTGAGGGTGGAGCATCTGCAAGAGAAGCATTCTCTTTATTATATATCTGTATCTATATCATCTATTCTAATTCTCGTATAGTAAAATATAATGGTTTTTGCCATTATTTTTAAATGGCAAAAGCCGCAATTACTTTTGCAACAACTGTCTATCTATCTAGAGAAAATGGTTTGGATCTGTGTCCCCACCAAATCCCATGTTGAATTGTAATTCCCGTGTAGGTGGTGGGGCCTGTTGGGAGGTGACCGGATCATGGGGGCAGCTTCTCATGAATGGGTTAGCACCATCCCTTTGCTACTGTCCTCACGATCGTGAGTTCTCATGAGATGTGGTCACTTAAAAATGTGTCGCACCTTTTCCTCCTCTCTTGCTCCTGCTCTTGCTATGTAAGACTCGCCTCTGCCACGACTGTAAGGTTCCTGAGGCCTCCCAGAAGCAGATGCCGCCATGCTTCCTATACAGCCTGTGGAACCATGAACCAACTAAACCTCTTTCTTTATAAATTACCAAGTCTCAGATATCCCTTTATAGCAATGTGAGAATGAACTAATACATATAAACAATATACATTATTATTATATATTATGCACACATATATGTAATGTATATTATATATTATACACACATATGTATACATATCCTTTTATAGAAACCCCTTCTCAAAACAGTACTTTGAGATATTATTGTGCTAAGAAAATATTCAGTCTCCTCGATGAGTTACTAGAGAACCCTCAGGTGACGGAGAAGGGAAGAAAAATACCTGGAAGAGGATAAGAGAAGCCTTCATCCTGTTACATAGACACTGATAATAGATAAGTCTTTCTTTGGGTGTTTAACAAGATTGAAATCACATTGTGGACTATTACATGTAGCTGCATTTTTTGGTATTTAATAATATGTCACAAAAATTTCCCCATACCCTTATCTACAATATGTTTTTTTCAGTACTTTATTGAGGTATGATTCTCATACAGTAAAATGCACAAGTTTTTAGCATACAGTTCAATGATTTATGACAGATATTTTACACACACACACACACACACACGTGGCCACAACCCATATCAAGATATAAATATTTGTATCACCCCAGAGAATTTTCTCTTTCCTCATGCCCCACTCTGGTTAATCCACTCCCTGATTGCTGCCCCCACCTTAAGTATTGCTTCAGCTTCTATCACTATACCTGAATTTTGCCTATTCCTCCACTTCACTTAAATGGAAACATGTAGTGTATATGCTTGTGTCTCCCTTATTTCATTCAACATAATGTTTTTGAGAATCATCCTGTGATTGAATGTATTCAGAGCTCATAAAAAAACTAATAACTTGTATAAATATTCCACAAATTGATTGCCAATTCTCCTATTAACAGATATTTGCGTTGTTTCTAGTTTTGGGCAACTATGAATAAAGGGGCTATGAACATTCTCATGCAAAGATATTTGTGGACATATGTACTCACATACACTCTCGCATATATATTCAGGAGTGGAATTGCTGGGTCATAGCATTTGCTGGGAGGGTGAATGTTTAACTTTATTAGACACTGAGAAACATTTTTCCAAAGCGGTTGTACCAATTTATACTTCCATAGGTATTAGGGTTTCCATAGTCTTTCACATTCTCACCAACATGGTCAGTCTTTATAATTTTAGCCAATTTGGGAGCGTTTTTTGGGTATGGTTTTAAATTTTTATTTCTCAAACAATCAGTGAAATTAATCATCTTTTCATATGTTTTCTGGCTGTTCCAATATCTTCTTTCATCAAGTGTCTGTTGAAGTTCTTTGCACATTTTAAAATTTGGGACATTTGTATTTTATTATTATATTTGCAGCAGTTTTTGCATATCCTAGATACAACTCCTTTGCTAGATGTATGTATTATGAGCATTTTCTCCTAATCTGTGTCTTGCCTCTTTACTTTCTTAACAACGTCTTTGAGTAAATAGAAGTTTTAATTGTGATAAAATCTCATTTATCACGTTTTTATTTATGGTTATTTACTTTTATAGCCTAAGACATCTTTGCCTATTTCAAGTTTAAGATTTTTTACAATGTTTTCTCCAAAAAGCTTCATAGTTTAGCTTTTACATATAAGTCTATGATTCATTTTGAGTTAATGTTTCTTTATGGTGTGAGACAGAGATCAAGGTTTTTTTTTTCTTCGTGCATATATTAGGTTGTTCTAATACCACTTATTGAAGAAGGCTTCCTTTCCCCCGTGATTTTCACTGGTATCTTTGTCAAAAAACAAATGATTAGATCTATGTTGGTCTATTCCTGGACTCTCTATTCATTTCTATTGATTTATTTGTCTACTGAAAATTAACCATTATCCTAAGTACTATAACTCTATAGTAAGTCTTGAAATATAATAATACAAGTCTTCCAACTTTATTCTTCTTAAGATTATTTTGGCTATTCTAGGTTCTTGCCATTTCCATATATATTTTAGAATCAGCTTATTAACATTTACAAAAAAAGCCTTTTGAGATTTTGATTGAAATTTTGCTGACTCTATAGATCAACTTGGGGAGAATTTATAGCTTAACAAAATTAAGTTTTTGAGTATGTTAACATGGTATGTTTTTCTTTTTTAAAGTCTTTAATTTCTCTTAGCAATATATTGTAGTTTTAAGTGAAAAGGTCTTCATATTGTTTGTTAATTTATTCCTATATATTTGTGATTTTTTATTTTTTTTGAGATGGAGTTCAGCTCTGTCACCCAGGCTGGAGTGCAGTGGTGCAATCTCAGCTCATTGCAACCTCCGCCTCCTGGGTTCAAACAATTCTCCTGCCTCAGCCTCCCCAGTAGCTGGGATTACAGGCACATGCCACCATGCCTGGGTAATTTTTGTATTTTTAGTAAAGATGGGGTTTTACCATGTTGGTCAGGCTGGTCTTGAACCCTTGACCTCAAGCGATCTGTCTGCCTTGGCCTCTCACAGTTCTGGGATTACAGGCGCGTGCCACCATGCCCGGCTAATTTTTGTGTTTTTAGTAGAGATGGGGTTTCACCATATTGGCCAGGCTGGTCTTGAACTCCTGACCTCAAGTTATCCGCCCACCTCAGCCTCCCAAAGTGCTGGGATTACAGGCATGAGCCACTGTGCCTGGCCTATTTGCGATTTTTTTTAGCTTATCAATGTGCTGTGTCTGTTCCCTCTGAAACTCGTGTTGAAACTTAATCCGCAAGCTAACAATATTAAGAGGTGGGGCCTTTAAGAGGTGATTCAATCATGAGGGCTCTGCCCTCATGAATGGTTTAATCCATTCATGGATTAAGGGGTTAGTGGATTAATCGGTTATCACAGGAGCAGGTTAGTTATCCTGACAGCGGGTCTGTTATAAAGGCCAGTTTGCCAGTTTGATTTTCTCATGAACCCCCTTGCCATGTGATGCTTGCAGCGAGTTCCCACCAGCAAGAAGGCCCTCACCAGATGTGGCCCCTAAGCCTTGGACTTCCTACAGTCAGGAACTGTAAGAAATGCATTTTAAAAAAATAAATCACCCCATCGCAGGCATTCTGTTATAGTAACAGAAAACTGCCTAAGACAAAGTGCTTTCTTATTGTTACACTGACCAATGCACTCAATGTCTTTCATTGCCTTCTACATCCTAAACATGGGGAGAACCTAGGTACAATATGCAGGTTTTAATACCTGCATTAAAATTCACTTTAGGTGCATTTTGTAATTTACTTGAATTCTTTACTGTTGGAGATTTATTTAAAGATTTAGTTTATTCTACTCACTTATAAGTAAAGCCGAGCTGAGCATTTAAACAAAATATGTTGGCCAGGTGCGGTAGCTCACGCCTATAATCCCAGCCCTTTGGGAGGCTGAGGTGGGCAGATCATGAGGTCAGGAGTTCGAGACCAGCCTGACCAACATGGTGAAACCTCGTCTCTACTAAAAACACAAAAATTAGCTGGGCTTGGTGGTGCGAGCCTGTAATCCCAGCTACTCAGGAGGCTGAGGCAGGAGAATTGCTTGAACCCAGGAGGCGAAGGTTGCAGTGAGCCAAGATTGCTCCACTGCACTCCAGCCTGAGCGATAGAGTGAGACTCCATTTCAAAAACAAAACAAAACAAAACCAACAACAACAAAAAACAAAATATATTGAGCTGTAGATTGCTCTTAGCACTTTGTTTGTGTTAGTTTATTTATTCCTCAGAAAAGCCATTTTGTTTGTCTCTGATTCTTTCCTTAGGATACATCCCTGGATGTGGAATTGCTAGAGAAAAAGATGTGTATTTGCAAAGCCCTGGAAGAGCAATGGGAACTTTTTGCCAGGTCGCTTCAGTGCAGTCAGGTGACAGTGCTATACAGTCTGCACCATGCTGTTCATTATGTAAGGTTAAGAACCTGGCCTATAGGAAGCACTGTAATAAATCTTTATCCACTGGGTGAAAGGATGAGGGAATGTTTAGATGAACCATGGAGGGGAATGGTGAGCTCGTTTGATGTGAACTTTCCTGGATTTGAGCCAGCTGTGTTTGTCCACCTGTGTTCATAGTCTTCGAGTAAAGGACACAAACCTCAAGAGAATCCACATTGGTTAACTGCTCACACCTTGAAGTTAACTAACCTTCAGTGTTGGACTCATGAACTTCTATCGTCAGATAAATGGGTTTGGCCATTATTATACAATTCATGCTAATGTCTCTTCTAATCAGACTTCATACTCCTACCCATTCTGGCTTCAAAACCCTGGGTCACACTTGATCTTTCCTCAGGAAGCCAGGCACACATTGCCCGTAACCATTGTCAGCATGCAGCACAAGACACATTAGCCCTCTGTCTCAGTCTTTTTTGTATTGCTGTAAAGGAATACCTAAGACTAGGTACTTGATAAAGAAAAGAGGTTTGTTAGCCTCGTGGTTCTGCAGGTTGTACAAGGAGCATGGTGCCAGCATCTGCTCAGCGTTTGGTGAGGGCCACAGACTGCTTCCACTCATGTGGGAAGGCGAAGGGAGCTGTTGTATACAAAGATCACATGGCGAGAGAGGAAGCCAGAGAAAAGTGGCGGGTTTGGTGGGGGCGGAGGGTAGGTGTCAGGCTCTTTTTAACCAACAGCTCTAGTGAGAACTAATAGAGTAAGAACTCCCCACCTCCAAGGGAAGCATTAATCTATTCATGAGGGATCTACTTTTATAACCGAAACACCTCCCAATAGGCCCCCTTCAAAACTGTGGATCAAATTTCAACAGGAGGTATGGAGGGGACAAATATTCAAACCAGAGCACCTTCCAAAAATCTCCTATGACTTCATAGTGTTATTATCATGATCCCAATAAGGCCATGGCTATTGATATTGTCCCAGAATCTATGGCCAGAGTAGACAGGCAGATCCCAGAGGTGGGGGAAAAAGGTATTGGGACTCAGTTATCCATAAATCTTTCAAGTTTCTGCACATCTCCCGGGCAGAGGCACTGAGAGCTCTTGTTTCCAACTACCTTTTCAAGGATGTGTGTATAATAGCACTTTAACATAGAGTGTTTTCTTCTGGGGCAGAGGGCATATTTGTTTGTTGACCGGCAATGTCTCTCTCCAGGGCAAAATTTGGGATGTTTGCTTACAATCCCTTTAAAAGATAAGGATTACCTAAACTGGGGATTCCCTTCCTGTAATGCAACCCACTGAATGTGCAGGAGTTACCTGGCTCTCTACACATTGCCATGTTGGAACTGGGAGTCAGGGAACCACCAATGATGATATTCTGGCTACTGCTCTACTGCTATTGCTGAGTAATAAGTTGTCCACCTCTGACCCAGGAGTCTTGTATCTTCTGCCAGTACCCAGGAATTGTGGTAGAATAACTTATTAGATTTCAGGTAGGGTAAGATGCAGACGCTTTACAGTTCTTTAGTAAAAGGCAAAAGATTTATGCGATATGAAGAGAAACCAGAGTATAACACTTTACAGTTCTTAATGCAACATGAGAGTCCAGAAGTGAGGTCTGGGCTGAATCCAGAATTGATGGTGAAGATCAAAACTCTGAAGCAACTTTCAGGACGGAGAAATTTTTTGCCATTTTCATGATCAACTCGGGCAGTGGGATAAGCCTCAACCTCAAACAGGGAGCTGTTGCTGAGTCCTCCTATGGGGATTGAGGGAGACAAAAGAAGGATAAAATGGAGGCAGGACCTGTCAGACAGGAGGCAAGACTCAACTCAGTCAAGCCTTGTTGCTGGTCAGTAATCTTCATTAAAAACAAAGTGGCGATTGAGAGTCATGGACAAATTCTGGCATCACCCTTTCATTCATCCAAATCTTCATTGTATCCTCATTGTGTGAGGGTCAATAAGGTCTGCTGCGCTTCCTCCTCCAGGGTTGTAGTGAGGCTCAGATGACATGGTGTGTGAGAAAGCTCCAATGCAAGAGGTAAAAAAGCAAGGACGTTTTTCTCAAACATAGCCTGGTGCTTTGTTAATTGAAATAAATAGATCTAGGGCTAGAGTGAATATACCATTAGTCACCATTTGTGGAACACTTATTGTCCTAAGCACTTTACATTCATTATATCATTTAATCCTCACAAGAAACCCATGAAGAAAGTCATATTATTATCCCCATGTTAGAAATGAGATAAATGAGCATGTAGGAAGAGAAGACATAGCACACAGTAACTAGGAAATGAGGCAGATCATGGAATGACTGTGATGTGCTCTTCTCTACTCCTACTTCCTTGCATTTGGGGACCACCTTCCCTGGTCCCCATTCCTGATTCCTTCCAAGATGCAGCAATAGAAGTGAGGTCAGCCATGTGACCAGCCACTTTTGAAGAGGTCCTCACTGGTTCTATGCTGTATGGTTCCCCACCTTAGAAGCCCTGATCAGAAACTCTGAGCTTTCTTATCTGCTAGCCTGTTTCTCCCTCATTCTGTGAGCATCAGGAAGTAAGAACAGCATCTCCAAACATAAATGTTTGATGAAGGCAGTCAGGAATTCCAGAGTAAGCCTGGGAGGTAAGAAAAGAACAGTCAAGCCAGGACAGGATCTTGCTTCACAAGCAGGTAAGAAAAAAACCTTGTCATGAAAAGGAGGTTGTGTGACCACTCCTGGTATCCACCAGGGTTCAAAGGCAAGGCTTGCATGAATATAAATAAAAAACAAACATCTGCTCCCAATCTCTCCCATCTGAGGATGGAGTAACAGAAAGTTGGGAGTAGGAGGTGAGGAAAGGAGGCTGTTCCCCTTCCCATAACTTCCTGGAATAGAAGGAAAGAACCTGGCCTGTTTGTTCTGGGAGATGTGAGTCCACCTGCAATCAGAGCCCACTCGGCGCATGGCATTCAGTGGTTCACAATGTGGATGACAGGCATAACTCAGAGCAAGATCGGATGGGAGTTGGCAGGAGGATGAAGGGCCTTCTAGCTCTGTCCTGTGCGGAACTGTCAGCAGATCAGAGGGAGAGGAGAAAGGGTAAATAGAATCTTAAAAAGACTTATCTTGAGGAAGGGTGGGAAGATGAGGTTTGTATGTTTTTAAGGGGGAGAAGAGACAGAAAGGGAAATTTAGGCCAACATCCAGAATTTCCTGGAGTGCTCCAGGAATCATCTTCAGAAGTAAGTTCCCATCCCTGATGGTCATCAAAGAATGTGGGGTGGCTTGCCCCCAGCTGCGGAGGCAACTTGGTATGGGAGTTGGATGCAGATAGATGTGAGTTCAGATCTAGTTTCCAGCACTTTCAGACTGTGTGATCTTGGCTTAATGTCTTGAATTCTAAGTGTTTTTCTTCCTTTAAAGCAGTAAACTGTCTGGTTCCTAGATGGTCTCCATCATGACATCTATAGTCAACCCACACACTATAAAAAGGATCTTTTCATCAGGTGGGTGAGAGAAGAAGGTAGGGACCAAATAATCTTTAATGTCTTGCCCAATATTCCAAGGAAATGAACTGAACATCAAATGTGACTCTGGGCAGTTTGCACTGCCATTCCATGCCCCATCAAAGACATCATTATTTCTATGTATTTCTTCCCTTATAATTCCAAAAGGGAAAAAGACAGATACATCTAAGGGAGAAGAAAATGTAAATAAACTATTATGACCCTAATGTGAAGGTTTTAAGGGTGACAGGCTCTGTGAAAACACTGATCCAAACAGGCTAGGCATCCCATTGGCAGTGACTTTCCTCCTTAATGTCAGTCCCTAGGGCCAGTCGGCTGCTGTCTTGGTGATACAAAAGGCTCCATTTGGCTCCATTTCAGACAAGTTGAATGAACATCATTAGAGAAATGGATGAGGGGTGATGGATGACTTGGATGAAGTCACACAAAGAGTGCAGATCACATTTGCTTTTGACTCAAGGCTGGGAGGAAGAGGTGAAATGCTGGCTGACATCATCAAGACTCTAAAAGATCTAGGCTGGTTGTAACAATGAATTGAAATGAATTGGGTCAAATTTAATAGAGGAAAAAGAACTAAGATCCTGCACCTGGATTATAAAATGAACCAAGCTTTGTAAACATAATGACAAGGAGTGAGTCAAAAATGGAAAAGATTGATTGATTTGGCTCTAATAAACTATAAAACATGGATGTCAAAAACACTATAAACAAGATGAAAAGGCAAACTATAAATTGAGAAAAATAATGGCAACACATATGATAGTGAGAGTGGGTTGATATGTTTAAGAGGTCTTTCAAATCAATAAGGAAAAGAAAAATACTCCACCAGAAAAAATGGGGAACGAATGTAAACAAACAGTTCAGAAGATGAGAAATCAAAATGGTCAAACAGCACGTGAAAAAGGTTTATCCATGGTATTATTAAAATGCAAATAAAAACAACAGTGGAATACATTTTTTTCCCTATCTGATTAACGATGACTTAAAAGAGTAACGAGAATCAAGGTTCACAGGATGCAGGAGAAGCAGACAGGCTCAACCACTGTAAGACAGTATCAACTTGCATAACCTTAATGGGGGCCAGTTCTGTAATGCATATCAATAGCCTTAAAAATATCCAAACACCTTGACCTAGAATTCCACTTTTAGGAGTTTGTCCTAAGGAGAAACTAGAGAAGGATACGAAGATATAACACAGTAGGGAATTCGTGGCAGGATTATTTAGAAGAGCAAAAAGTAACAATCTAATGCTCAATAATGGGGAATTCACTAATTAGGATAATTAGAACAATGAAATACCATGGTATATTAGTCCGTTTTCATGCTGCTGATAAAGACATACCTGAGACTGGGCAATTTACAAAAGGAAGAGGTTTAATAGACTTACAGTTCCACGTGGCTGGGGAGGCCTTACAATCATGGCAGAAGGCAAGGAGGAGCAAGTCACGGCTTACATGGATGGCAGCAGGCAAAGAGAGAGAGCTCGTGCAGGGGAACTCCTCTATATAGAACCATCAGATCTCATGAGACTTGTCCGCTATCACAAGAATAGCATGAAAAAGACCCATCCCCATGATTCAATCACCTCCCACTGGATCCCTCCCATGACATGTGGGAATTGTGGGAGTTACAATGCAAGATGAGATTTGAGTGGGGACACAGCCAAACCATATCACATGCAAACCTTAGAAATCACTGATGTGAGAAAATATTCATAGTATGTTTCTGTGATACACATGGAGATGTGCTGCTCAGATCCTCCTTCAAGGAAGGACTTGCTACCATGAGTGTTAGTTCCATCAGGGTTTGTCTCAACTGCAGAGAGAGACAAGCCATGGACACATCCTTCTTTGCTTTCACACATCCAGTGATTGAGGTAGGGGCATAAAAGCCCAGCCATTTCTACCCAGTGCAGACCATTCTGGTACACCATTTATGCTCCAGAGCTCCCCACCAGGTTGGCCTGGCTTATGTCAAGTCCTCCACAGGGAAACAATTCTCCATGAATTTTTTTTTTTTTTTATATCCTATATGTCCTGGGATTTCTGAGCAAAGAACACGAGCAAACTTGGTTAAAAGATGACTGAATTACTAACATGTCTTGCAACTTAGAGATTGTGTATGGCTCCAGAGAGATTTAGAGACTTATCTTTCCTGGAGATATTTGCTCACATTTAGGGAAATAAGTCCAGAGATGCCTTCCTCTCTCCTGCAGAAACATATATTTATATTTCAGACTCAAAATCTCTCTTCAGAGGGGAGGATGGGCAGATGTACTAGCCACCCTATATAAGCTCTGAATTCCATGAGTTTTTGGGTTGCAACCTATGTTGCACCCCTGCTGAATGCACCTGGCCCTTACTGCATCATCCTGTGGGGACTGGGGTGTGAAGAACTGGTGTGAATATGCTCTGTGAGTGAGAAAGGTCTCTTCTCTGAACCAGAGATTTCATGTTTCCTGTCTTAATCAAACTTTCTCTCTCTCCCTCCATCTCCTCATTCTCCATATAATAGATAGATCGATGCATATGTATGCATATGTATGGGTGTGTGCATGTATATGTGCGTATGTATGGATTTGTGCATGTATATGATATATAAGTAACTTAACACCTGCATTAAAGTTTGACTTCTCCCTCTGCCCTACCTGTCTTCCTCCCCCTCTCTTCCTCATGTGTTGATCTCAGATAAACGTCTTGCACACCTCCAAAACGGTCTCAATGTTTACCTCTGGAGAATTCAGCCTGCAGTATTTGCTGAGTTAAAAAGAAGAGCAGTCTATAGAGCCATACATAAACATGATAACATTTTTGTACTTTATGAGAGGTGCATTGAAAGAGATGACAAAACTGCAAAATATTAATGATGGTTTTCTTTTGTTGGTGTGAATATGATTTTTTTTGTGCTTTTCTCTATTTTCCAAATTTCCTGCATTGAACATGTATTACTTTTAATTACAGGGTGTGCCAAAATACTATTGCCATCAGCTGTATTCAGCAGGAAATGGAGGTGGGGATGGGGATGTTAAAGCTGATATTTACAGACTGCTAGCTATGTGGCTGGCACTGTTTTAAGCAATTCATATTTAATTTCTCCTTATATGCAATCTTACAGAGGAGGTATCATCTCTTTCTCATAAATGAAGGAAACTGACACCTAGAGAGATAAATAACTTTCCCAAAGTAGAGGAGTCAGGGTCTGAATCCAGTCTTCCTGGCCTCAGAGCCTGTGCTTCTACAGTCTCAATGTTCCCATCTTAGCCTCATCCTTGGGCACACAAATTAGGGCCTGGCATACCTCCCCTTCTGAGACTCGGATGGGTCCTCTGCCCAAACTCTAAGCCCCTCATTTCACTTACAAGGCCCACGATCTGGCTGTGCCTCCATCTACAGGTCCTCTCATGCCACTTCTCTCTTTCTCTTGGACTCTGATTGGCATGCCTCCATTCTTGGGGCCCTCGCCCTAGGATGTTCTTCCCAGCTCAGGGTATGGTTGACTGCTTCCACCCTTCATGTTCCAGTGTAACTGTCCCCTCTTCAGCGATGCCTTCCCCAGCCACTTTCAGTGTTTCCCTTCTCTCCTGCTTGCCTACCATAGTTATTCCCTAATTCCCAGTTTTGTTCAATGTGGCTCATGGCATTTGGTAGACTGCCATATTGTTCACTCGTCTAGAGATGTGTAATAGCACATGTGGGCTCTGGAGCCAGACTGTCTGTGTTCAAATCTCAGCTCTTCCTTTACTAGCAATGTATCTTTGGGTGAGTTAGTTATTTCTCTGTGCCTCAGTTTCTACATTTGTAAGTGGTTTATTTAGAACACTGTCTGGTCTATAATGAGAACCCCATCTGTCTCTAAAGCCCATGCCAGCAGGGACTGTACCTCACACCATGCATCAAGTTCTTAACACAGTACGTGGTACACACAGGGACTCAATAAATACTTTTTGAATGAAGAACAAATGCAGAAGCTTAAATCTCATAAACGGTTACTGAGATCTGATGCTTCTTACTGGCATCTGTGCGGCCATGACTGTGTTGAAGGAACAGCTTCTCTTGTTCTAAGTTTTGTATCTTGCCAAAGGAGAGAGCAGATGCAACGAACCTGTGCAAGGCTTTGCCTGTGAACTGCCGAGGGTCTAAGCAAGCTGTTTACAGAGCATGAGTCTCACATATGAACTCAAGGTCTGGCTCACAGTCCAAGTGCATTTTTTTCTTTTACCCATTAGACTTCAACCTTTGAAATGAGATGGATTTGGAAAACTCTTGCATAGGGTTTAGGGCCTCATCATTCAAGTAGGACCACACATTCTCCATCCTCTTGCCAAAGTCAATACCTAATGCTAAAACAGCTTTAGAAACTTTGGTTTTATTTCCCGTCTTCATTTTTCATGGGTGATACAATCTTTCAGTTAGAGATACCTCTTGCCCTGTAGTGGTTCCTGTATTCCTCTCTCCTTTTTAACCACGATCTGTTTTGAGTTTCGTAACTGTTCCTTATCCATAGTGCCTGACACAAAGTGGGCATTCAGTCAGCTGGCTCTAAATGCCTGATGATGGAATGACTGAATGAATCAATGAATGAATTAATAATTATTAATTGATTAAAGTTCAGTAAAGGCAGGGCCATGTCATCCTTGTATCCTCAGCAGTCCTGGCACAGACCATGCATGTAGTGGTAGATGCTCAGTGAATCATTACTGAGTGCATTGTAGATTCCAGGAAGAATATTAAAGTTGTGGAAATAGTGGTGAACCCCACAAGCATTTACTCTGCCCCAGCAGGAGGACTTGAATGAATGAATGAATTGCTCCACTGTTTTGAGTATCTTAGTTTGCAAAGCAGCAAACACTGTACTTGAACCTGAGTTCTCTCTGAAGCACTGCTTCTCCCACAGAAAAGCTGGGGCACCAGCAGGGAATGAGGGGCCTGCACTCAGCTGGATGATTCAGTAGAAGAAACTGCAAGACACAGATGAGATTAAAAAGGAGCTGGGCAGGTGTGGTGTCTGCAGAGAAGGAAAAACCAAAACAGAAGAATCAGGAAGAATTAGAAAAATTGTTCACTGAGGACCTGGTCAGGGTCGGGACACAGGAAGGATATCAAGCATCTCAAGAGTGGGAGTTGTTGGGTACGAATCCAAGACAAAGTCTGCTCGACCACAGCTGGTGGCTTTGGACATGCTCTTCTGCTGCGGCTGTGACCAGGAGTCAGTTTGCAGTGAGACTGCATCCCTTTTAAAGCAGCCATGTCCTTATTCTTCCATGTGACATATCCTTCTCCAAAGTCAGAGTTGTTTCACCAGGAGTTTCAGGATTCAGGGTATTTACACTATGAGCACAGAAAAGGCCTTTCCTTGGTTCCTGGCTCACAGGTGAGATGCATGAAACCTGTTGGGTCTTTTCCAGGCTCTCCAAACACTTGGCTTTTACTCCTACCCTGGCTGACATTGACAATCAAGTGCGTCTGGGTGGCCTTATCAGTGGCTAAGATACTCAAATGAGTTCATGCTAAGTGGGAAAGAGCCACTGCCTTCACCATCAATGCCCCTCCCATGAATGCCCCCTCCCTGCCACTTGGTCCCTTTGCTGGGACTGGTAGGGATGAGCAGGAGGACTTTCTCCAGCAGCCTTACATTCTATTTGGTTGATGTCCATTTGATACTGATTGTTCAATATTTGTAAAACTCCCTTGCCTCCTGGTAATTGTTAATCCCCTGCCTTAATGGTAATTGTTTATTTCTGTGTCTCCCACATCCCCAGTCCTTTTTCCAGACTGTAATGAGAGTAATCCTTCTAATATGTAAATCCTACTGCTCCTTTGCTTAAAATACTTTGAAGGTTTTGCACTGGCCTCATTAAAGCCTCCAGGTTTCTTAACATATGTTTCAAGGCTCTCCGTGCCCCAGCCCTCCTCCAGCCTTACCTAAGCCTGCTATTCCCTCTTATACTCAATTCCAGCTGCATTGACCTTCCACATTTCTTCAAGGACTACACAGTCTCTCCTCTCCAGACCACTCCTGGGACCTTCTGCTCCCTCCCTGACCAACGCTGCTCCAACTAAGTCCTAACCTCTCCATTCCTGGTGCCTCAAAATTACTCAAGTGCTGCTTCCTTGGTGAGTCCCCATGCTGTAGGATTCTCCCATGGGAGTGCTTAACATATTTCATTTTATACGTACATCTGCCTTCAAAACAATACGCTGTGTGGGACACAGCCACAGGTTATACCTGTTAGGTATACCTTTGCATTTCTACCGTCTTCCATGCTGCCAAAGATACAGAATGTGTAATGAAATAGATGATATGGTTTGGCTGTTTCCCCATCCAGATCTCTTCTTGAACTGTAGCTCCCATAATCCCTACATGCTGTGGGAGGGACCTGGTGGGAGGTAATTGAATCATGTGTGTGGATTTTTCCCCTGTGCTATTCTTGTGATAGTGAGTAAGTCCCAGGAGATCTGATGATTTTATAAAGGGCAGTTGCCCTGCACATGTTCTCTTGCCTGCTGCCATGTAAGACGTGCCTTAGCAACTTCTACACCTTCCATGATTGTGAAATCTCCCTAGCCACGTGGAACTGTGATTCCCTTAAACCTCTTTTTCTTTATAAATTACCCAGTCTTGGATATGTCCTTATAGCAACGTGAGAATGGACTAATACAATGAATATTTGCCAAGTAAATGTTTCTCCCACTGGGATGTGAGCTTCTTGGGATCCTGGATTTCCTAGAAATGCCTAGCCCTTCTCCCATTGCATGGGTGCCTAATGAAGTGCTCAGTGAATATTTTTTGCAGCTTTGAACAGAAATAGATTTGGGTGCATGAGAACCAGTTTTCCATGTCTGCCCCTTAACTCTGTGATTTTGGGCAAGTCCCCTTCTGTCCTGGAATTCAACATTCTCACCGGTACACTATGATGGCAACGACTCTGCAGAGTAGATACAAATGAGAGTCAGCTCCCCCGTGACTCTCCTCTGTGCCAGAGAGTGTCCCGTGTGTTGCAGGATTTTTATCTGATTAAAAACAATTCATTTGAGCAGATGTAATTTCCCCCTTTTACAGAGATTCTGAGAAGAACAACTTGCCCAAAATCACACAGAGAGAAAAGGATTGAGCCAGGATTTCAAATCATCTTACCTGAGTCCATAGTTTATGCTCTTTTCACTATCCTCCTGTCCTGCCTCTATGGAAGGATAAGATGATCTGAGATTATCTATCTATCTGTCTGTTTGTCTGTCTGTCTATCTATCTATCTATCTATCTATCTATCAATCATCTATATCTATCATCTATCTCTATCATCTATCTCTATCTATTTATCTATCTATCTATCTATCTATCTATCTATCTATCTATCTATCATCTATCTGTCTACCATCTATCTAGCTATTCTGTTCTATCTACCTACTGACTTACCTATCTATGCCAGCATAGTGCCTGACACATGGCAGATATGCAATAATTGTTCATTAGAGATGGTTTAAGTCTCATCTTGCTTGGAAGTAGGTTCTGAACAAGGCAGTCCTGCTGAATCCCATATAGTCCTGGGATCCCAATAGGTGGAAGCAAGAGGAGGTGAAGGTCATGGCAAGCTTGTTTCCTCTCAGCCCATTATGCTGCTCTTGTAATGTCATTTGCAAATTCCTGTAAGCACAAAGTAGCCACTTGGGGCAAATGCACCAAGGAGAAGGGTTATGTGCCTTTCCTCATGGCTAAACTTGACAATCATGGAGTCTCTCTTAGTCTCACAGAGGAGGAGAAGCACATTCACTGCTCACTTGCTCACTCATTTCCATAGTTATGGAATAGTTAATAATCACCACCATTTACAGAGAGCCGACTCTGTGTTAAGGGCTATGCTGAAGCTATCTTCACAACAGTCCTTCCATAGGCTGCAGCTACAGCAACAGAGACAGAGCTAGAGAGAGCTTCTTGGCTGGTAATTAGGAAACTAAACACAGAGAACTTTAATAACTGACTTGCTTAAAGTCACCTAGCTTGTTAGTGGTGAAGCTTAGATTTGGTCCTGGTTCTGTCTGCTTCAAAGCCATTTCACTTCACTATGAATATAGCATTAGATAGCACAGTCACTCATTGCCAAAAGATGTTGGGGAGTGGGGACATCAAAGACAGTCCTTTTCTTGCTGCCCAGAAAGCAGTGCCTTTCCCTTAAAGAAAAGGAAACTCACTAGACTCTCTGACCAAGTTTAGGGTGTAAAATTGAGGTGCTGACGAAAAGCCCATGGATCAATTAGAAGACCGCTAACAGTCTCTCTCTCTCTCTCTCTTTTTTTTTTTTTTTTTTTTTTTTTGGAGACACAGTCTTGCTCTGTCTCCTAGACTGGAGTGTGGTGGTGTGATCTCGGCTCACTGCAACCTCTGCCTCCAGGGTTCAAGTGATTCTGCTGCCCCTGCCTCAGCCTCCCGAGTAGCTGGGATTACAAGCATGCACCCTCATGCCTGGCTATTTTTTTTTTTTTTTGTAGAGGCGGGGTTTTGTCATATTGGCCAGGCTGGTCTCGAACTCCTGGCCTGAAGTAATCCACCCACCTTGGCCTCCCAAAGTACACGTGTGAGCCACTGCATCCAGCCTCTCAGAGTCTCTTTTAACCCTTGTATTTTCCTTGTCATTTCCCTATAAGAGTATAGTGGTGGAAAGAGTTTTGATCTAGAGTCAAAGCTTGGGGTTTGATTCTCAGCCATGCTGTCACAGGCCGTGTGGCTCTGGCTGGGTAGGAAATGTCATTGCTCTGAGCCTTGGTCTCCTCCTTGTCATAGGGATTAAATGAGGTAATTGATGAGAAGAACTTGGGCCTCACTGAATTGTCAATAATTGGTAGAAATCAGGTCACACAATCTATGCATGGGATTTTGGCATCAGCTGTTATAGACAGAGTTGTTTTTTGGGCTTTTTCCTACATCTAATTTCTTCCGTAAAAGAAAACCACAAGCAAAACACAAGCACAGAGGCAAAATAGGCTTCAACTCTCCCTACAGAAATGTTTCTGAGGGTTATTAGCTCAGCCATTTTCCATCAGCAAAAATAAATCGCTCAGAAACATCTGGGCCACATTTGTCAGGAATCTGCTCTGTGCCGGCATTTCATTTTCAAACCCAGAGGACATTTTGGACCTACTGCCATGCCCTTGAGAAAACAGAAGGGTTCCAGAGCCCACCAGGGCTCCCACTTCCCTATCTCTCTTTTTCATTTCTGAAAAGCTCAGAGGCAGCGGCAGCCAAACAACGTTTGGGTGGGATGGTGAAGAAAATCCCCTTCTGGCTGTAGACAACTCCCTTTCTGCCAGCTCTCAGGCCTGTGCACCTGGGCCCGAGCCCTGAGGGTGAGGATTTGGGGTGGTGGTGGGAGCTAGAGACTCATGGTGCCATGTGGTCAGGCAGCGAGGCATCTCCAGCTCAGAAGGCACGGGGTTGCCATTGCGGGGGCCCTCTGCCATGGGAAGTTTCCTGCTGTTGAGAGTTAGCCCTTCTGCCAGCAGCTCTTGGTTCCCAAGCAATTCTCACAGCTCAGCACAAAATGTGTCACTGAGGCAGAGATTCAGCCAACCTGAGCAGGTCCCCGAGGGGCTGATGTACTCTGGAGATGGTTGCCTGTGCCTGATGTCTCTGGTCGGTGCCATGGGAGACAGGTGAGATGAGATGGATGTAATTATTCACTGGCCTTCAGCCACACAATGTCAACTAATAACAACTACATGTTCATGGTATTTGCCCTAAGAGGGAGAAGCCTGGGCAGTGAAGCAAGGGGTGAGGAGAGGATGCGGAGAGGGCGTGATTCAAGGGGAGCAGTGCTGGGGGCAGAGGCAAAAGTCAGGAGCTTAGGGATCAATTAGGCAAAAAGATTCCGTGTTGATTTTTCTATGAAATGACTATTTTACCATTTATACTGCAAAACAACATTGGGCCTGTCAAAGCCCATCATTCTAAATGTGTACAGTCAGAACACCAACTAACAGCTGAGCAGAATTAATTACCTCTCCCCAAGACAGCTTCAACAGTTTGTTAACTGTTTTATGCCTCAAGCCCTTCACTTCTCAGCGTCATCCTCCTGTCTCTTCTGCCAATTTCACACCTGCTGCCGGGTAAATCTTCATAAAGCACGCTTCCTGCCCTGCCGCTCCTGTGCAATGTTTCCTTATAGCCTGGGGAATAACAAATACTGTGGCTCATAGTTCCCAGCTTCCCGCCCACAACTGCCTGGTGGAAGACAGAGGAATTGTTAGAATTCTACTTTGATAGTTGAGTAAATGGGGGCATGGTGAGGTTGAGTGCTTAGCACCTCAGGCCCCTCTGCCCCACCCAGCTAGCTGCCTCTCATGATTCCCAGATCCATGCTTACCTAATGTCCTCCCCAAGTTCTTCAGGTAGGGGCTGACTTCACCAACTTTGAAGGCTGACAATGCCACCTGTACCAGCTCTTCTCCCACTTTCTGGTCCCTTCCTTTCCCTAAGGCCACTCTGAAGAACCATCCCCAGCCTTACCTAACCTGCAGTCTTCTGCTATTACTTACTACCACCACTCTATCTCCTCTAGTTCCCACTGGCTCCCCAGCCTCCAACTTGCTGGGCTTCCCACGGTCTAAGTTTCTCACATATTAATTTAGCCACCTTATTTATATTGAGGAAACCCAGTACCAGCATTTACCCATTGTCCAAACCGGAAATTTAGCTAAAATCTGCATCCCAGGCAAAAGAGAGGATGGCTTAGTTGGAGGATAGGGGTGGACAGTGTACAGGAGAGATGGGACCTTGCATTGCCCTTCAAGTAACAAGGGGATGGGTTCCCAACACTTGATATCCATTCTTGCTTGAAGGAGTTGACAGACTATCATGGAAAAAGCACTGAGCTTGAGAATCGAGCAACTTGGTTCTGCCAACTTTCTATGACTTTGGGCAAGCTACTCCTCTTTGCCTCAGATTCACTGAAGCTTAAAAAAGGAATGACCAAGATGTCCTCTAAAGTTCTGAGTGTGACTCTAGAAGACCCAGACTCATTGGATTAACGTCATCTGTAAGCAAAGTTCCCACCTGAGGGATGGTCTTGGTTGGTTCCCTAGCCTACCTATTATATAATCCTCTCCAGGGTTGGTAGCTGCCCTTAGTTTCCCAGGAAAGATCTCAGCTACCCGCCCTCCATCCTGGCATGATGGTCTGGGACTAATTTTCTTCCAGGGACAGAGATAAAAATAAATCATGCCCTGCTCCCCAATCAGTCTGCACATCTTGTTCCTCATAAGCAGCAAGACCAAGTGAATACAGGGCTGTTGAGGCTCCCGGGTCCTGATGCAGAGGCAGGGGCCCAGGCAGGCATATGGCTAGCAGGCCGGCTGCACTCAGAATGTTATTTTCAAAACTGAAGTGAAATCTGCTTCAGGCCCGAGCATGGTAGGTGGTCTCCGTTCTTGGATCATAAATCACTGAAGGTAACTATTTTTCCTGGCCTCACTTGTGACCCAGTATAATGTTATTATGATTGGAAGGATGATGGAAAAGGGATTTTTTTTCTCCTGTTCTAATCTCCAGTATATATAAATCTTTGTACTTTCACAGTCCCGGGGACCATGTGTGATGTTGTAGAGAGCATATAGGAATGACCCCCTCAGGTGCTGGTGAGGTTCTCTGCCACTAACTCACTTGTATTTTCTAAGCCACAATTTTTCTCATCTGTAACAGAAGTTGTAGCTGGTGGTTCTCATTCTAGGACTCAATGATTTTCTGAAAAAAGGTGTTCATGAAACCAACTCAAAGGATCAAGTCTATTAATATCTTTGACATTGGAGTCCTCTTGTAATCTGGTCTCCAGTGGTCCTTTCACCTTCATTTCCAACCATCTCTCTGTTCTCCTCTCTTATTTCACCTAGTTCTCTTCAATGTGGCTCATTGTTTCATACTTTTAAGCTCTGGCATTTTAAGTAGATTCATCTACTTAAAATTTCTATTTTAAAATCTTCTCTACCTGATGAAATCTTTTCATTTAAAGCCCATTTCCCATCTTACCTTCTCTGTGGAGTCTTCCTAGTCTCCTTCTGGCCTAATGAGTTAATGACTTTGTTCTCTGGGTGCTCCTAGAGCTGCAGGTAATTACCTCCACCACAGTGTCCATGTACAGAGCCTGACACCAATCAGACCCTGGGCTGAGTTCCCTCCACAGTCTCCAGTGTCAAAACATTCCTGTGTTCATAATCTGCGGTCCCAGAATGTGACTGTATTTGGAGATAGGGCCTGTAAGGGGAAATTAAGATAAATGAGGTCATTATAGTGGTTCAGTCTGACTGGGGTCCTGAATAGAAGAGCAAGTTTGGACACAGATTGGCATCCTTATGAGAAGAGGGAGTTTAGATACAAACATGTACGGAGGCAAGATGATGTGAAGAGACAGAGAAGATGCCATTTACAAACCAAGGAGAGAGGCCTGGAACAGATTCTTCCAGTATAGACCCCAGAAGGAACCAACACTACTGATACCTAGTCTTGAACTTCTGGCCTCCAGCACTGTGAGAAAATAATGTCTGTTGTTGAAGGCACTCAGTCTTGGTACTTTGTTAAGGCAGCGCCCCTTTGCCAGCCAACACAGACCCTCCCCACACATGGTTCCTGTGAGTCTCCACCTCGAGGCGGGGAGCCCTTGGAGACCCTTGAAGGCAGGGTCTGTGTTTTATTATTATTATTTTTTAACGTTTTGAAATCCAGAATTCATTGTTTCTCAAAGCACGTCTCAGACCTCTTGCACCAGAATCAGTGTTTTTTAAACTGTAGTTTTGGTCACAAAATTAGCATAGTGAGTCACAACTAGCATTACCAAAACGTGAATCAGATTAAAAAGAGCACACAATAGGCACATCTATGTGGCTTGCAGGTCGTAAGGCAAATTATTGGGTAGTTATTGTTTTATAAAACTTCTGTTTTAGTTGTGTACACTAGGTTACCATGTAATCTTTTAAAAAATATTGTGGAGAAAGTTGAAAAACACTGAGTCGAAGGTACTTGTTAAAAACACAGATTTTTTTTTTTTTCTTGCTGGACTACAACTTTATGCCCATTGATTAACAACTCCCCATGTTCCCCTCCCCCAACCCCTGGCAACCACCATTTACTCTAATTCTATGAATTTGACTATTTAAGGTACCTCGCGTAAGGGGAATCATGCAGTATTTGTCCTTCTGTGACTGGATTATTTCACTTAGCATACTGTTTTCAAGGTTCATCCATATTGTTGAATATTTTTTCTCTTTTTGAGGTTGAGTCGTGCTCTGTCACCCAGGCTGGAGTGCAGTGACATGATCTTGGCTCGCTGCAACCTCTGCCTCCTGGGTTCAAGTGATTCCCTTGCCTCAGCTTTGAGTAGCTGGGATTACAGGCACGTGCCACCACGCCCGGATAATTTTTGTGTTTTTTAGTAGAGAGGAGGTTTTGCCATGTTTCCCAGGCTGGTCTTGAACTCCTGGGTTCAAGCGATCCACCCGCCTCAGTATCCCAAAGTGTTGGGATTACAGGCATGAGCCACCACGTCTGGCCAGTATATAGCACATTTTCTTTATCTACCTATAGTCAACAAAAATGTACTGTACATTTAAAACTTTAAGAAGGTAGATCTCATGTTAAGTATCATAACCACAATAGTTTAAAAAATGAAGCTATTTGGACATTACCCCAGACCCACTGAACTTGAATCACTAGTAGATGTGGCCTGGGAATCTACATTGTGTCTAGAAAATTCTTATGTACATGAAAATTGGAAAATTATTCCTAGTACCTAAGGCCAGTGTGAGGCACAGAATTATCACAAAATCTATATTTATTGAGCCAGCATGGCATCATTTTGGTGCCAATTATTTGTATTTTCACACTATCCAAAGAACTGGTGGAATAATAGCTAAGAAGAATATCAATGCAAAATCATTAAAAAGATTACTGGATCAATTTCTGATATGTACCTCAAAATAATTGAAAGGATTTTAAATTACTTGCTAAAGGACCTAAAAGCTTTTGTGTGTCATTGTCCCATTTGTCTTTGAACCCACCCCAGGAAATAGGGGTCGTTGTTGCCATTTTTGGATGATGAATCTGAAATTTAGAGAGAAGTGACATGCCAAGGTCACACCAGTAGGAAATGGCAGAGCTGGGCTGTAAATCCAAACCTCATTCCATGCTGCCTGACGTTGGTCCTTGGTTCTCCTGAGACCCTTTCTGGCAGTAGCTATTGATGAGGCTTTTAAAAGAAGTCAACGCTGTTCCTGGCTGCTCCTGGGAGATTGGAGCTCCCATACTGACTCAGAGAAAAAGCATCTTCCTATGGTGTGGGGCCAGGTAGAGCCCCACAGGGACTACCAGGGGCAAACCAGTCCATATATTTGGCCTGGGCTATGGGAGACTTTTACATATCAAGGACCCCCAAAACACGGGTTTTGCAGAGACCAACAGTACCCACTGTCAAAAAGCCAACTCCTTTTCTGCCACAGTGAGTCAAGAATGAATGGTTTGAGGCTTGATTTAGAGACAAGGCATTTAACTCAGAGAACTCAAAGAGACCACACCAGGGAGGTTCCAGGCCCCGCTGATATGGTTTGCTTCTGTGTACCCACCCAAATCTCATCTTGTAGCTCCCATAATTCCCATGTGTTGTGGCAGGGACCTGGTGGGAGATGATTGAATCATGGGTGTGGGTCTTTCCTGTGCTGTTCTAGTGACAGTGAATGGGTCTCATGACATCTGATGGTTTTAAAAATGGGAGTTTCCCTGCACAAGCTCTCTCTTTGCCTGCTGCCATCCATGTAAGATGTAACTTGCTTCTCCTTGCCTTCTGCCATGATTGTGAGGCCTCCCCAGCCATGTGGAACTGTAAGTCCAATAAACCTCTTTCTTTTGTAAATTGCCCAGCCTTGGATATGTCTTTATCAGCAGCATGAAAATGGACTAATACACCCACCCACTTCTCCCACACCAGTTTCCCATGAGTAGCAGCATCTGAGCTGAGTCTCCACTTTGAGGATTTGCCTCATTGCCTCTGGTTTCTGTGACCACTGCAGAACCCATGAGCCAGGTGTTCTGCATTTGTTATCACCTTTAATTCTAACGCCACTCCTGTTTCCCAAAGGGTCAATAACTTGCCTAGCGGCCACAGCTAGGAAGTACAATGGATGGAATTTGAACCCAAGACTGTGTGCTGTGAGTCTGTACTCTTTCTTCTGCATAGACTTGCTTTCCCTGGTAGAACTTAGCTTGTCCCTGTGCCTATGCTGAGCCAGCTTGTCCCAAGACTAAATTGGGCTATGGTGCCTGGGGGATGGGCTTAGAGAGTCCAGGGAACTGTGAAGGGCCCTGAGGTCATTTCATTAAAGGCACCTTTCGGCACATGAATACCAATGAATACTATGAGTCCTGCTCATTCCTTCCTTGGTCCATCTGACCAGGCTCCAGGCAATGGAGCCATCCCCTTCCATTTTCCTCAGTGACTTCCTGAGGTCTGAGGATCAAAAAGCACCTGGAGGAGACAAGTGATTCTGGACCCAGAATCAGAAAAATCTGATTGCTATGTTGTCTCTGCCACTCACTATGAGATCTTAGGAAATTCCTCTGTTCCTTCTGTGCCTCAGTTTCCTCATTTGTAAAATGAGGACAATTCTGTCTTCTTCACAGTGCTATTGTTGGATAATAGGGTTGAAAATCTCTTGTACACAATAAGCATTTAAGACATGATTTAAACACTGATTTAGTCAGATAAAGTGATTAGGAGAACTTCTCAGTGAGTAAGGGGTCAGACAAAATGACAGAAATGTAGCCAAGTCCAATTCAAACGTCACCATCAGCAAATCACCATCACTCATGTTCCCCCACTGCGACCCCACCACTGCTGCTCCATTGCCACCATGACCAGCAATGGCCCAGCACGGTCAGTGTCAACAGTAGCAACACCTCTATTCCCATCACTACCCCACCCCTCTGCTACCGCTACTATAGACACACGCATCTGAGTTGTTTGTTCTCTCACCTTCACTATCATCTCTGCCTCCATCATATCACCATTGCTATATTACCACCACCACCATCACCAACACCACCATATCACCTAACCATGATAACAATACACTACAAGGTTCATTCCAGCCCCAGTACAATGCCTGACCCAAAGTAGGTTCTCAGGAAATTTTGGCAAAATGAATGAAAGCATAAATGAATGCCACAAATTATGTAATCAGAACTGCCAGGAAGCAAGAGTTTCCACCCCTTGTAAACCTTCTGTAGATGTTTCAGTGGCCAATTTTCTTCTGTGTCTTAGATCCTTTACCTCTTTTTTTTTTTTTTAAATTTCAATAGCTTCTGGGATACAAGTGGTTTTTGTTTATATGGATGAATTGTACAGTGGTGAATTCTGAGATTTTAGTGCATCCATCACCCAAGTAGTATACACTGTACACAATATGTAGTTTTTTATCCCTTACCCTCCTCTTTCTCTCCCCCATTCCGAGTCTCCAATGTCCATTTTACCACTCTGTATGCCTTTGCATACCCATAGCTTAGCTCCCACTTATAAGTGAGAACATATGTTATTTGGTCTTCCATTTCTGAGTTACCTCACTTAGAATAATGGCCTCCAGCTCCATCTAAGTTGCTGCAGAAGACATTATTTTGTTCTTTTTTATGGCTGAGTTATATTCCATGGTGTATATATACCATATTTTCTTTATTCACTCATTGGTTGATGGGCACTTAGGTTTGTTTCATGTCTTTGCAATTGTGAATTGTGCTGCAGTAAACATGTGTGCAGGTGTCTTTTTGATATAAACACTTCTTTTCTTTTGGGTAGATACCCATTAGTGAGACTGCTAGATTGAATGGGAGATCTGCTTTTAGTTCTTTAAAAAATCTCCATATTGTTTTTCATAGACGTTGTACTAATTTATGTTCCTACTAGCAGTGTATAAGCATTCCTTTTTCACCACATCCAGGCCAACATCTATTATTCAACTTTTTAATAATGGAAATCCTTCGCCTCTTAAAAGGTCAGTCCTGCTGGACCAACCCAGGGCCTCACTGATGGGTAAAAATGATGAGGACAAAAGGTAGAACAATATAACTGGAGAAATCAGCATTTGACTCTGATTGTTTCTTTCTCAGAAAATCACAGTATTAAACCAAACTAAAGAAAACTCATTCCTCAGGCTAGGTGCGGTGGCTCATGCCCACTTTGGGAGGCCAAGGTGTGATGATCACTTGAGCCCAGGAGTTTGAGACCAGCCTAGGCAAAAAAGTGAGGCATTGTCTTTACAAAAAATAATAAGAAATCAGCCAGGCATGGTGGTGTGCATTTGTAGTCCCAGCTACTCTGAAGGCCGAGGCCGGAGGATCCCTTGAACCCAGGAATTTGAGGCTGCAGTGATCTATGACCATCATTGCACTCCAGCCTGGTGACAGAGCAATACCCTGTCTCAAAACCAAACCAAAACAAACCAAACCGAAACAAAACACAACCTTTTCTAAGATTCCAACAGTTGTCTATGTATTTATATGTAAACCTCAGGTATTTTCTAGCTGCAACTTTTTTTCTACCTTCTACTCCTCCCTGTGTCCTGGGGATTGTTGACATTATTTTTTTTTCCCTAGCAACAGCTCCCTCTGGTTGGATTCAAAGTTAATACCACCTTTGAAAATTACATTTGAAAACATGCCAGCCCATTCTCTGTCCCAGGAGGCAGGCAAACAATGAGATGACCAAGCATTCCATTCAGTTCCTGTATTATAAATCATAACTCACTTGGGTCAGTGGGAAGAAGGTGACTCTGTAGCTGATTTAAAGGACAGTTTTCAAATACAGGCTGCTGGCTCATTGCCGAGGCAAAGACAGGACTCAAAGCCCAGGTGCCTTTTCCATCCTTTTCCTAGCAATAGCTCCTGCCTTGACATCTAAGCCTGGCTGTCTCTGTGGGGCGGGACAAAAACTTATCTATGCCTTTTCAAGCATGACTCATTGATCCTTTTATGTCTGTCCTCTGGATCTCTTTTGGGAACATGGTAATGACTGAATCTGAGATCATGGCTGTCCTTGGGGTATTCACTCAAGGCATCTGGTCCCTAAGATGTTCCCAAGGTACCTTTCTACTTGCAGGCTTTTTTGATCACCTTGTGAATTCACCGAGCATTCCATAGACTGTTTGCTCCTTCCCCTCCATTGTGTCTTTGGTCCTTTCCCTCTCTCTCATTATCTCCTGGGCTAGGATGGTGTTGAGGTCATTGCATTAGGCAATGTCCCAGAAACAATGATCATAGCAGTATTTTTAGAGGAGTCTGTGTGATGTCATGGAAATAGCATGCAGTGTTCAGCGATCCAGGCATGGGACACAAACTCTGCCTTGTCCATTTACCAGCTGGGAGAGTGACCTAAACCTATAGTGCCTCAGTTTCCCCATGAGCCCAGTGAGCATTATTATACTACTCACAGGGTTATGGTGATTAAATGACACAACATAAGCAGTTGCTTAGAGCAATTCATGGCACTTGCTAGATCACTCAAAAATAGCCCATTTACTTTCCACTTCCCTTGAGCTTTTATTACAACATCTTGTTTGGAGATAATTAAAATGCAGCTGAGATTGCTTTCATGAGGAGCCAAGGGGCAATATTTCTCAAGTAATTATCATTGAAGGAGAATCAATGTGGGAAGGAGCATGTCAGATATATACCAGGCAACACAGCCTCTGGGGTCCTTCATTCCTCCTGTGTCTGTGGTGCTGGGTTGAGGTGTTGCAGATGGGATCTTCGTTTGGTGCTACACGGTTTCAGCCTCTGTGTGGCTCCCTCCACAGGTGGGACCATCTGACCGCCTGTTAGTATCCCTCAGACAACCCCCAGTATACTGTCAACCGGAGAGGAAGATGATTAGGAAGATGCCACTGCACAGTACTTGGTGGGGGAGACTATACTGGCTATGGAGTCACGCAGGCCTAGGTTGAAGCCTCATGATGTCCTGTACTAGTTATCTAAGCTTGACAAGTCACCCATCCCTCCGAGCCTCAATTTTCTCAGCTATAAACTGAGGTTGGCAATATCTACTTTTCTCCATGATACTTTATGTGACAAGGAAGGGAAAATCCAGTTCCAAATGGCTTCATAATAAAAGAAACATTGCATTTGATAACTACAAAGTCTAGAGGTAAGACTTCAGATATAGTTTGATCAGGGGTCTGGCTCCACTCCTCTGCACAATTTTATTCCCATCCTATCTTCTGTGTTGGCTTCATCTTTAGGCCGGCTTCCTTTATATGTCAAGATACCTACATGTAGCAGCTTTCTCAGCTTGGATTGGACCATCTTAGCTGACAGGATCAGTGCTGGCATCCAGATCATTTTCAGCCCAGCAAGCAGCTGGGGTCAGTGCTACTCAAATCATGGGCTATGCAGTGAGAGAGAGATGAGAGATGAAATAATGTTGGGAAGACAACTACCACACTACTCAGAGTGGGATTTTGAAGACTAAGGAACTACCGTGATAACACTCACAGTTGATGGTTTTTGAGAACTGACTCTGTGTCAGGCAGATAATACCTTGCTTAATCTTCCCCAAGACCCAGGATCATGAATGTAACTATTAATAGCACTCTCAATGCATACCAATTTCTCCTCTATCATGCACCTCAGATTCCCCATCTCTGTTATCCACCCACTAGAATTATTAATCTGTATGGTGAGCTGAATGATGCCCCTCCCCCAAAATGTTCATATTTTAACCCTATCAGCTGTGAATATTACTTATATAGATAGCAAAGAGCCTTTGCAGATATAATTGGGTTAAAGATCTTGAAATGGGCAGACCATCTTGGATTACCTGAATGGACCCTAAATAGAATGATGGTATCCTTATGAGAGGGGTGCAGTGGGAGATTAGCAGAAGAAGAGAAGGTGATGTAATGATGGAAGCAGAGATTGGAGTGATGCATTTTGAAGGCAGAGGAAGGCGCCACAAGCCAAGATATACAGGCGGCCACTAGAAGCTAGGAAAAGGCAAGGAAACCAATTCCTTCCCTTCAGAGCTTAAAGAAGAAACCAGCCCTGGAAATACCTTAACTTTAGCCTAGTGAGACTGGTTTCAGACTTCTGACTTCTAGAACTTGTAAGAGAATGAATTGGTATTGTTTTCAGCCACTGTGTTTATGATAACTCATCACAGCAGCAATAGGATACAATATATTATAATGATAGCGATCAAACCAGACACTTATCTGAGTGTTTTTGTATTCTTACTTAATTCTCACAATAACGGTTGGTGGTCAGCAATATTCTTACTTTCATTTTATAGATGGGCAAACTGAATCAAAAAGACATTATACAATTTGCCAAACACATACCATTCAGATGTGATGGAGTCAGGGCTTATGTCAGACAATCAGGCATCAGAATTGGTACTGCCATCCATTACACTATCTGTTGGTTCATCATGCATAATTTCTCCCTTATCTATCCCTTCCCTCTTGCCAACTGCTTGCCCACCCTGTGTTTGTTCGGTAGACCAGATTTTTGCCGTTCTTAGCACTCCCCCTTATGCCAGGCTCTGTCTTGCCCATGAGCAGAACAAATGTCCTGACTTCTCTCTGTCTTCTCTCATCCCAATAACCAACATTTCTTCTACCTAGTGCCAAATGTCTACCATGTAAAACAAGTGATCCCTTTGGTTAGTTTTATTAGCCTGGGGCTCTGTTGAAAGGGCAGTGTAATCAGGCAAATGTGATGCAGTGCCAGCAACCTGGCACCCACTGTGTTTCCCAACTACTCTAGAAGGCAAGTTTTGTTGTTATCCCCATTTCACAGATGTGGCAATGGAGACCTAGAGAATCCAGGAAAGTCATTCAACTGGTCATTGGTAAGGGTTGGATCCAAACCTAGGCAGTGTGCCATGAGACCCTGTGACCTTGTCCATCACCTGCAGCTCTAACTGCACAGGGCTTAGGTGAGTTTAGTCTAAAGGTAAACTCCATAAGAGTGCAAAGAAGATCATCTGCACACAAGCCTCACAGCACATGTGTAGGCGCTCTCTGCTCTCTGAGCATCAGTGCCTCATCTACAAAGTGGAAGAAAATAATAACAACTGCCTTATCGAGTTGTTATAATGATTTAATCAGGTGATGATAAAGCATATAGAGTTCATGTCTTACTCCATGGCAGAAAATAAGTGCTCAAAATTAGTTACTATTTTATACATTTGCTTAAACATCATATATACATAAGCGTGAGAGGCCAATGTGGCTGCTGGTGGGGATGGACAGAGAAACAAAATATCAACTATGAGGAAGGAATGTCAACCAGGAGCCCAAGCCAAGAGCCGTGAGACAGACCCTCTAATAGCTGGTGTTGCTGTGGAGTACAGGTGTCTCTTACTCAGACAGCTTCCTGCTCCTGAACAAGGAGCAGCAGAGATGAATTTATGTAACTAGATGTTGCAAGTTGTGCCTGGCACCCAGCTTGTGAGTAAGGCAGATCCAGGAGATGCAGCTAAGAACACCTTTCCTGGAGTCAGGGATCGGGTGGGGAAGGTCTGATGGAGAATATGGACGGCCGTTTTGCCTTAAAGACACCACAGTGGCATTGACTTGTGATATTGAGTGGCTTGGAGAAGTCAGTCCGTGGGGGTTGGGATTGGGGAGTGAAGTTAGGGTGGATGCTGGGTCTGCGAAGTGGGGAATCCACAGACTAGGAAGTTGGGAGGTAGAACAAGTCAAAGGTAAGGTGAAAATGAGCCCCACTGTGCTCGGATGCTTGCAGTATGGGAGAATTCCTGTTCACATGTTGTCTGAGAAAACTATGGATTACCTCTTGCAGACAGAACTAGTAGACGCTGGGCATGGAACTGATTAGTGAGTTTGAATTTTGAGTTTCATCAAAGGCTTTGACACTGTACTGCCCAAATCAGAAACCTTTATGAATTCATAACATGTTGGATTAATGCCAAAATTTTTTCCCACCAAAGACACCTGTAAATATTTTCCCACAGTGAACTGCATGTTTCAAATAATCTTTTAATACAGCACATTTATTAAATTATACTTTTTTGTTTTGTATGAAATAACTACTTGCTAAGTGGAGATATAACTTCGGAAAAAAGAGAAAATGACTCTTTAATCAGAAAATGTAGGACATGCTTGCCAGTCTTTTTGAGATATTACAAGTAGCTCAAGTAGCTTCTAACTTCCTTCATGGTCCCCAACTAGGAAACATCAAGAGTAAAGGAAGAAAAGCAGAAACAGAGTTTAAATGAACTTTATGTGTTGACACAAATGGACATATATATTATGTATTAAGCCTATGTATTATGTATAAAGTAATGAGGAAAAATGTCTGTGAAGATTATTTTTTTTGTTTGTTTTTGAGACAGAGTCTTGCTCTGTTGCCTAGGTTGGAGTGCAGTGGCTCCCTCTCAGCTCACTGCAACCTCCAACTCCCAGGTTCAAGCGATTCTCCTGCCTCAGCCTGCTGAGTAGCTGGGATTGTAGGCACACACCACCACACCCAGCTAATTTTTGTATTTTTAGTAGAGATGGGGTTTCACCATGTTGGTCAGGCTGATCTCAAACTCCTGACCTCGTTATCCGCCCACCTCGGCCTCCCAAAGTGCTGGGATTACAGGCATGAGCCACTGTGCCCAGACTGTGAAGGTTAATTTTATGTGTCAACTTGGCTAGGTTATAGTGCCAGTTATTTAGTAAAATATTAGTCTAGGTGTTGGGAAAGTGGTTTTTTTTTTTTTTTTGATGGAATTTTGCTCTTGTACTCCCAGGCTGGAGTACAATGGCATGATCTTGGCTCACTGCAACCTCCACCTCCTGGATTCAAATAATTTTCCTGCCTCAGCCTCCTGAGTAGCTGGGATTACAGGCACCTGCCACCACGCTCAGCTAATTTTTGTATTTTTAGTAGAGATGGGGTTTCACCATGTTGGCCAGGCTGGTCTCGAACTCCTGACCTCAGATGATCCACCCACGTCAGCCTCCCAAAGTGCTGGGATTACAGGCATGAGCCACCGCACCTGGCTGGGAAGGTATTTTACAGACATGGTGAATACCTACAATCAGTTGACCTTCAGTGAAGGAGATTACTTTCCATAATGTGAGTGGGCCTCATTCAATCAGTTGAAGGCCTTCACAGCAAAAACTCAGGTTTCCCAGAGAAGAAAAAATAATGCTGCCTCAGGATTGAGTTTCCTTTCTGAGTTTCCAGCCAGCCAGCTGGCCCTACACATTTTGGACTTGCCAGCCCCACAATCACTTTAGATAATTCTTTAAAATAAATCTCTCTCCCTCTCCTTGGCCCCCTCTCTTTACACACACACACACACACACACACACACACACACACACACACACCCCTACCTGTTTCCTGTTCATTCTGTTTCTCTGAAGAACCCTGAGGTTCTCCAGATACAATGGCCATGAACAACAAAGTCAGGCTCATTTAGACCTATAACATGTATACATGCACATCTATATGCTGATGTTCAAGGGTCTAAGACCATGCATATCTTATATTATGCATAAGGTTGCTGCAGGTCCATTGTGCACCAAACCTCATCATTAAACCTGATAAATAAAAGCATCATGTGTATGGTCATTTACTTGTTAAATAAACAAGTATGTATTGAGTACTTACTATGTGTCAAGTTCATATAAGCATCTTTCAATTGAATATAGATGTTGTTGCATATAATCACATGCAAATGAATCCAGAAAGATTTTTGAATTCATAGTCCTTTATTTATTTGAATTGCTAATAGATTCAGAAGTGCGATTATTCTCATGTGGGTGTTCGTGATGATTTTTGATATTAAAAAGCCTTCTTTGTGTTGGTAAAGGTTGAGAATCAACAACAGGTAGCACTTGGCTTATAAAATATGAATTACAGAATGGATGCAATATACCCCACTAGAATTCTGGTGGAGTCTGAAGGGGATATCAGTCACATCTCATCTGCTCTGATTCCCCATACAAATGATAAATGGGCACTAGAGTTACATATGAATCAAAATAATTAACTTTAACACTGGTAATGCTGTATTCAAGGAGGGGGCGTGGACCCAAGGCTCAAATGGCCTGCAGTGTTTTCCCCTTGAACTGAACTTACCACCAGGCCATAGATGGAGCAGGTGGCCAAATACATGCCTTGTCCCATCTCAACCTCTATGGTAGCAACTGCCCTGAATGTTTACCCTAAGGCAGAGGGAGCTGGGAGAAGAATACAGGGCAGGTTAGAGTGGGGAGGGGAGGGAAGAGAGAACCAAAAATACTCATGTATCTTGCTCAGTGCTTCTTGCCCATAAATGTACCAAACAGATTCATCACTTCTTTTCCTGGGAAAGGATTAAAGGGAGTGTTTCACTGTGGAAACTGAGGCACATAGTAATGCCCCAATGAAACTACAGCATTTCCTATAGGCCTCTCAATCTTCCAATTTTTTGGTAAAGATGACCTAGGAGGAAACACTCCCAAATAAGTTCCTGGAGAAGTAGAAAGGACTCTGGGGTAAGGCAGGATGATTTTTGCTAAGCAGAGCTCTGTCATTTATTAGCGGGGTCACTTTGAGCAGTTCACCTAACCTCTCTATGCCTTAGTTTCTGAGGTTGTAAATGGGGGAGGGGGTAATAACAATGTCTACCTCAAAATTGGTATGCAAATTATATAAATTACTACATGAAAAGCACTAGGAACAGTATCTGGCTTACAGTATTCATTGAATTAGTGTTAAATATTATTAAATTGAGATGATCTTATTGATGCAGTAAGACTATGTATAAGAATTTTTAAGTGATTATAACCAAAGTAAAGCCTGTCCTTTAGACTCTTTCATTCATTTATTCAAAGCATATATTGAGAGCCTTCTATAGGCCAGTCACTGTGCCAGGAAGACAGAAATGCAGAGTAGAAATATTCACTGTCCTCAAGACATTGAGATTCTAGTGAAAGAAATAGTTAAGGAAACAATGACAATCTATAGTAATAAAAATGGTGAAAGAGGTGTATTCAAAGGACAGCACTGTGATGACTAATTTTATGTGTTAGCTTGACTGGGTCATGGGGTGCCCAGGTATTTAGTCACATGTTATTGGGTGTTCTTACGAGGGTGTGTTTAGATGAGATTAATGTTTAAATTGGTGGACTGAGAAAGCAGATTGCCCTCCCTAACGGCAGTGGGCCTCATCCTGTCAGTCGATGGCCTGAATAGAACAAAAGTGCTGACTGACTCTCCCCTGAATAAGAGACAATTTCTCCTGTCTGACTGCCTTTGAACTGGGACATTGTTTTTTTCTGCCTTTGATGTCAAGTTGAAACATAGGCTCTTTCTGGGTCTTTAGCCTGCTGGCCTTTGGACTAGAACTACACTATTGGTGCTCCTGGTTCTCAGAACTTTGGGCTTGAACTGGAACTATGCCATTGGCTCTCCTGGTTCTCCAAATTGCCTATTCACCCTGCATCCTGCATCTCTTGAGACTTGTTAGCCTCCACATGATGTGAGCCAAATCCTATTCTTTCTCTCTCTCTTGCTTCTGTTTCTCTGGAGAACCCTATTACAAGCTCCTTGCCCAGGTTGGAGGGAGGATTATAGGAGACTTTCTGGAAGGAGGAAAAACCATATAAACCCAACGTTACCGAAGTGAAGGAAGGAGGATTTCAGGGACAAGGGAGCATTTTACAGTACTACAATTACAGACTGGACAAATGGGACGAGTAATGAAAAGTGTCACTTGGGTTTGGCAACAAAAAGATCATTGGTCAAGAGTGGTGTCTGTGGAGTGATGAGGGAAGAAGTTCAGTTGTAGGGGGTTGAGGTACCAGGTGAGGTTGAGGAAGTGTGCATAGGAAGTATAGACAACTCATTTCAGATGCTTGACTGTGAAAGGAATGAGAAGGATGAGTCTGTACCTGTGAGAATGCTGTGAGCTCAAAGAGGGCTTGTGCTGAGATAAAGGAGAGTTGAGTGTGTTTAAAGCTGAAGGGAAGGGGCAAGTAGGAAAGGAGGGGATAATGATGAGGATGATGAGAGATTGAGAGAGAGAGACAGAGAGAGAGAGAGAGAGAGAGAGAGAGAGAGATTGAGAGAGATCATCATCAATATTCCAAGGTACCCGTGGAGCTGGGAGGCTGGATTCATGCTGGGATTTTTCTCAGACCAGAGGGAGTCCTATGAGGAGCCTCTTTGGGGCCAGGAGGGTAGGTGACAAGCAAAGGATGGAGGCAGGTTTTTGTGTAGGCCTGGGATTGGGATGTTGGGGAATTCCCACCTGATGGCTTTTGGCTCCTCTGTGCAGTAGATGCAAGGGCATCTTCTATGTGGGGCGTAAGAGGATAGAGTATAGGAGGCTTGGAAAGAGAGCAAGATGATATGGTTTGGCTCTGTGTCCCCACCCAAATCTCATCTCAAATTGTAATCCCCACCTGTTGAGGGAGGGGCCTGCAATCCCCAAGTGTCAAGCGAGGGAGGTGATTGGTTCATGGGGGCAGCGTCTCCCATGCAGTTCTCATGACAGTGAGTTCTAATGAGATCTGATGGTTTTGTGTTTGGCAGTTCCTCCTTCACATGCTTTCTCTCCTGCTGCCTTGTGAAGAAGGTGCCTGCTTTCCCTTCCACCATGACTGTAACTTTCCTGAGGCCTCCCCAGCCATGTGTAACTGTAAGTCAATTCAACCTGTTTCCTTTATAAATTACCCAGTCTGGGGTATTTCTTTATAGCAGTGTGAAAACAGACTGATACACAAGGCATGTAAAAGAACCACTGTGGGGGAAAAGATGAGCAGTCCAAATGGGGAAGCCAGGAGGACTGCCCTGCATCTTTAAGGTCCCAGGAAAGCCAGAGACTTGGAAAGTATGAGGCCATTAATCCACGTGTTCATGGGCTGTCACAGAAGAGATTTTAGAGATCACTTGGTATGATTGTTCCTCTTTTCCAGCCTCTTCTCATTTTACATATGAGCAAACTGAGGACCAGAAAAAATTCGAAGTATCTCCCTGTGTGTTAGTCTGTTCTTGTGTTGCTATAAAGGAATAGCTCAGGCTGGGTAATTTATAAAGAAAAGAGGTTTAATTGGCTCACAGTTCTGCAGGCTGGACAGGAAGCATGGTGCCAGCATCTGCTTCTGGAAAGGGCCTCAGGAAGCTTACAATCATGGCAGAAGGCAAAGGGAGAGCTGATGTATTATACGTCGAGAGTGGGAGCAAGAGAGAGGTGGTGGGAGGCGCCACACATTTTTAAACGGTTAGATCTCACATGAACTCAGAACAAGAACTCACTCATTACCATGGGGATGGCACCAAGACATTCATAAGGGATCCACCCTCAAGACCAAAACACCTCCTACTACTAGGCCCCACCTCCAACACAGGAAGTCACATTTCAACAGGAGATTCGGAGGTGACAAATATCCAAACCATATCACCCTGTGAACTAACAGCAGAGCATAAAAGAACCCAAGTCCCTGGGCTCCCAGACTCCTATCTTTTTCCCTCAGCACACAGCAATTTCTGCTTTGATCCTTGGCAGAATATTTGGTGTTTGATGCTAACATGGTGGCAGGTTACATTTCCAATACATGCAGGTCTTTTTCCTCTGTTTGAATTGTCTCTCCCTTGCAGATTAAATGAAGGGTTCTTTGTGAGTTTACAACTCATATATCACTGTGCGATGGCCAAATTGGATACTACGCTGCTCACGTCCCATTACTTAATGAGATGCAGGGCCTTTGTTCCCTCATTCTGCTTTGCAAACAAACATTCTGTCCTGCCCAGGCACCATTGAGACTGTCTGCATCCACCTAAAGACAAGACAAACTGCAGAGGAGACTTCCAGAAATGCTGATCAGGAAATAGATATGTGCTATTTTAAAAATAATAAATCAGTAGTTGATTGAAAATGTAATAGAATAATAGAATAGCTAGAAATTTGACCAAGCATGAATAAGCCAAAGGCTCCCAATGCACTGTGAATTAATCATCAATACATATATTGGTAGAAGACAGTTTCAATGCATACATCAAAGGAAGGGCAGAACACTCAAAAAGCCTTAGCTAATCAGAATAAGTAAATCCATTTCAAGGTGAAATTCACTTTATAAGAAAAAATGAATTATCCTAGGTGCTTGGGAGCCTAGGGTATTTCTAGCTCAGCATTCACACTAAGGAGGCACGTAAACACATTATTTGCTAAATGGATTGGAACTCCGGTTAGAGTTCTGTCCTGCTGTGAAATCTTGCTTCTTTGTTCTTGAGACTTTTCCAGATATAGCAAATTGCCCTTCAGATGAGTCCATGAGGGCATGGTACAAACAAATTCACAAAAATACTCACGTTCTCCTGAGAGCATGAGTACAGTGTTGAAAGGCACCCAAGGCAATTCCTGCATTCTTTGGTTCATTGAACTCAATTATTTATTGAGTACCTACATATGTAAGCACCACTGTGGTAAATGCTAGGTTTACAAAGATAAATTGGGTCTCTGGTGTTGAAGAAAAGACAGACAGGAAAGTATTTCATACACTCATGAAGTTGAGAATATGAGAAGACCATCTCTGTTCTGTGGGCAGGAAGTTTCAGAGAAGGGGAGATCACATGAAAATAGTAATTGGTAGCACTTTAATCCTGCCAATTAGAGAGCCTTGTAATAATAGCTATCAGTCCCCTCCCACCTCACCAATCAAATGCTGGGGAAGAGAAAGCAAAGGGTGGAGAAGGAAGTCGGACGTGGTTCTGTGGTGGGGTTTTTCAAAGGAGACATGAAACATGAGAACTGGAGAGGAGAAATTCCTCTGATAATGGGATGTGGGTAGATCTAACACCAGGCAAGAGCCAAACTCTCTTCCGGGCTCCATCTCTTCCACTGCCCTCCCCCTTTTCCCTCTCAGCTCTGCTGTCCCTGTGCAGGGGCCTTGTTCTCTCCTCCACAGCTGGGTTCCTCCAAGTGGCGGGGAAAATGGCTGCCAGCAGTTCTAGTCCAACACCATTCTAACCTAGGAACCTAGTTGAAAGGGAAAACGTCCTTCCCCGAGTGTTCAGGAAACATCCCATGAAAGGTGTCTGGCCTTGCTTAGTCATGTGACTGTCTCTTGAACCAATCAAAGTTGCCAAATGTCTGAAATACAAAGACTGGACAGATCCAAAGCAGAAGCCTGAAAGAGAGGATGCTGTAGATGAGAGCTCCTTCAGAACACATGGAGTGGTGGGAGGGGGGAACATTTCCTCAGAGAAATTGATGTCATGATCAGAAAACCAGAGAAAGGTATTGGGAAGGTAAACACCAACACCACAAGCAAATCAAAACAATCAGATGTCTACTGTGTAAGAGAACCAGCCTTTTGAGATGTAGAAATATTGACATGTTTGACTCTTTGGCTTCTCTTAAGGCAGTCCTTTAAGTCAGGTCTTCCTAAAATCTTCCTAGCCTCATGAAACAGAGTCCTGCTGTGAACTGACTAAGCTGACCCCAGAAGAAAGTGAGTAACTCCAGGGCTCCAACAGCCCCAGGCCTTTCCTTGTTGCCTTAGAGCCAAGAGGATTAATATCTTGACCCAACTATTTATTACCCTTAGTCAGGAGGCACTGCTTTATGTCATTTGTACCCGTAAGACTCTGAGGAAGGAATTCATTTAGCCAATAATGGTAATCTGTTCTGTAACAACATGGTGTGAAGACAGTTAAAGGACAGTGACTTGTAGTGAATGCTCACATGGAGGCAGGTACCCTAGCACCCACTAGCACCCTGCCACAGCTGAAGAGTATGCACCCCACCACACCGCCACTGCTGCTAGCATGTGTGAAGGAGGACGGATCCTGTTGCCACTGCACTATGAAATACTTTGGCTGGTACCATCCATTGGAGTGTAGTGACCAAGTCCTGGAGCACCTCATTCTCCCGCTAGAGCAGTGGATTCCTAAACTTCAGAAGCAATAGAACAAAGTTGCGGCCTGACACAAGTCCCCCAGAGTTAGAGCACACAGTCCAGGAGTTAGAAGCTGAGTGTTAGCCCACTAAAATCTTCCAGAAATGATGCCCATTGACTGAATCTACCTTATCCCACAATCAAACATTTGAGGTCATCAAATAGGAAAAAAGGTCGGGGGGAACTATCCAAAGGTTAGCAACTTCAAAGATCAAAGAAACAGCCCAGAAAGATGAGAAAGAACCAAGACAAGAACTTTGACAACTCAAAAAGCCAGAGTGCCTTCTTTCCTGCAAACAACCACACCACCTCTCCAGCAAGGGCTCTGAGCCGGGCTGAGATGGCTGAAATAACAGAAATAAGACTTGAAATATGGATGATATGAATATCATTGAGATGCAGGAGTACACTGAAACCTAATCCATGCAAAGAATCACAATAAAACAATACAGGAGCTGAAAAAATAGCCAGTATAGAAAAGACTGTAACCGACTAGATAGAGCTGAAAAACACACTATAAGAATTTCGTGAGGTGATCAGAAGTATTAATAGCAGAATAGATCAAGCTGAGGAAATAATCTCAGAGCTTGAAGACTAGCTTTCTGATATAAGACAGTCAGAAAAGAATAGGGAAAAAGAATGAAAAGGAGTGAACAAAACCTCTGAGAAATATGAGATTATGTAAAGAGACTGAATCTATGACTCACTGATGTCCCTGAAAGAAATGGGGAGAGTGTAAGTAACTTGGAAAACGTATTTCAGGATATCATATGTATTAGTCAGGGTTCTCTAGAGGGACAGAACTAATAGGATAGATGTATATATAAAAGGGAGTTTATTAAGGAGTATTGACTGACACCGTCACAAAGTGAAGTTCCACAATAGGCTGTCTGCAAGCTGAGGAGCAAGGAAGCCAGTCTAAGTCCCAAAACCTCTGATTGTGATTGTATTCTGAGATTCTTGAAGTGAGTTTTTTAGCTCTATCAGCTCAGTTTAGTTTTTATTTTATTTTATTTTTTTAATTTTAATTTAATTTTATTATTATTATACATTAAGTTTTAGGGTACATGTGCACAATGTGCAGGTTTGTTACATATGTATACATGTGCCATGCTGGTGTGCTGCACCCATTAACTCGTCATTTAGCATTAGGTATATCTCCTGAAGCTATCCCTCCCCCCTCCCCCCGCCCCACAACAGTCTCCAGAGTGTGATGTTCCCCTTCCTGTGTCCATGTGTTCTCATTGTTCAATTCCCACCTATGAGTGAGAATATGCTGTGTTTGGTTTTTTGTTCTTGCTATAGTTTACTGAGAATGTTGATTTCCAATTTCATCCATGTCCCTACAAAGGACGTGAACTCATCATTTTTTATGGCTGCATAGTATTCCATGGTGTATATGTGCCACATTTTCTTAATCCAGTCTATCACTGTTGGACATTTGGCTTGGTTCCAAGTCTTTGCTATTGTGAATAGTGCCGCAATAAACATACGTGTGCATGTGTCTTTATAGCAGCATGACTTATAGTCCTTCGGGTATATACCCAGTAATGGGATGGCTGGGTCAAATGGTATTTCTAGTTCTAGATCCCTGAGGAATTGCCACACTGACTTGCACAGTGGTTGAACTAGTTTACAGTCCCCTGGGTGGCTCTTTTCTTCAGTCTAGAAGCACAGTTCGGGGGGCGGGGGGGCCAAGGGGATTCTGCCATTCCCAGTCTTGCATAGGTCTCTGTGTAGAGCATGAATTCTCCTGGGGGCTCTCACTCACTCATCCTTTCCCATATTGGAGAGGTTCTCTGGCTCCTCAGTGAGGAGAAACCATGTCAGGAGCTTCGCTTCTCTCTGTTCTCTGTGTCCCCCTGCTGCCTTGACAGATCCTGACATGGTTTCTCAGCTAATCTGCCTACAGAGTCAGGGTTCACTAGCCCTTTTGTTTCCTCTCTATGAGAGCAGCACACATGAGCTGCTTCTATTCTGCCATCTTAGCCCCTTCCCCTTATTTATCAGTTCAAATAGTTCTTGGTAGAGTCCTTAGGTTTTTCTAAAGATAAGATCATATAATCTGCAAACAGGGATAATTTGACTTCTTCCTTTCCATTTGGGATGCGCTTTATTTCTTTTAAAATAAATAAAGAAATTGTCTGATTGCTCTAGCTAGGACTTCCAGTATTATATTGAATAACAGTGGTGAAAGTGGGCATCCTTGTCTTGTTCCAGATCTTAGAAGAAAGGCTTTCAGTTTTTCCCCATTCAATATAATATTATCTGTGGGTCTGTTGTATATGGCTTTTATTGTGTTGAGGTATGTTTTTTCTATACCCAGTTTTTTGAGAGTTTTTATCATGAAGGGATGTTGAATGCTTTTCAGCATCAATTGAAATGATAATATAGTTTTCGTCCTTCATTCTGTTAAATGATGGATTTGCATATGTTGAACCATCCTTTTTAATGTGCTGCTGGATTTAGTTTGCCAGTATTTTGTTGAGAATTTTTGCATTAGTGTTCATCAAGAATACTGGCCTGAAGTTTTCTTTTTTTGTTGTGTCTCTGCCAGGGTTTGGTATCAGTATGATGCCGGCCTCAAACAATGAATTATGGTGGAGTCCCTCCTCCTCGATTTTTTGGAATAGGGTCAGTAGGAATGGTACTAGCTGTTCTTTGTACATCTGGTACAATTTGGGTGTAAATTCATCTGGCCCTAGGCTTTTTTGGTTGGTAGGCTATTTATTACTGATTCAATTTCAGAGATCATTATTGGTCTGTTCAGGGATTCAGTTTCTTCCTGGCTCAGTCTTGAGAGGATGTATGTTGTCCAGGAATTTATTCATTTCTTCTGGATCTTCTAGTTTATGTGAATAGAGGTGTTCATAATTGTCTCTGATGGTTATTTGTATTTTTGTGGATCAGTGGTACTATCCCCTTTGTCACACATAATTGTGTTTATTTTAATCTTCTCTAATTGGGTTTATTTGGATTTTCTGTCTTTTCTTATTTATTAGTCTATCTAGTCATCTATCTCTTTTATAACTTTTTTCAAAAAGCCAATTTGTGGATTTGTTGATCTTTTGATTTTTGTGTGTGTGTGTGTGTGTCTCAATCTCCTTCAATTTAGCTCTGATTTTGGTTATTTCTTATCTTCTGCTAGCTTTGGGGTTGGTTTGTTCTTGGTTCCCTAGTTCTTTTAGTTGTGAAGATAGGTTGAATTTTTTGAGTTGTTTTGTAGCCTAGCATATTGTTTATTCTTGAGAATGATCCATGCACTAAGGAGAATAGTCTGTATTCTGCAGCCATTGGATAAAATGTTCTGTAAATATCTATTAGATCCATCTGGCCTATAGCACAGACTAAGTTCAATGTTTCTTTGTTGTTTTTCTATCTGGATGATCTGTCCAATGCTAAAACTGGGACGTGGAAGTTTCTAGCTATTTTGTATTGGGGTCTATCTCTCTCTTTAGTGCTAATAATATTTGCTTTATAAATCAGGGTGCTCCAGTGTTGGGTGCATATATATTTCTAATTGTTATATTCTCTTGCTGAATTAGAGATAGGTATTAGAGAATTAGAGTTAGGTATTCATTATAGTCTTCACAGTCTGGGCTTGTTTTTATTTATCCTTCTTGGGAAGGCCTTCCAGGTACCTGAAGTGACTTGGGTGTTATAATCTAAGTGTTTGGTTACTGCTGCTATATCTGCATTGGGGGGAACCCCAAGCCCAGTAACATGGTGACCTTTGAGACTCACAGAGGTACCATCTTGGTTGTGCTGGGTAACATCCAAAAGAAATCCCTGGATTACCAGGCACAGACTCTTGTTCTCTTCCCTTGCTTTGCCCCAAACAGATGGTTTGCTGAGCTGTCTGGAGGTGTCACCAGCTGACATTTGGCTGGCATGACACCAGTACCCCTGTGGCCACCACGACTGGGACTGCACTGCATCAGACCTGAAGCCAGCAGAGCACTGGATCTTGCCCAAGACTCGCAGTGACCAGTGCCTGATTACTGCCTGTATTCACTTAAGGCCTAAGGGTTCCACGATAAGCAGGTGGAAAATCCAACCAGTCTTGTGTCCTTGCATTCAGGGCAGCAAGCTCCCCCGATCTTGGTGCAGGTCCAGAAATACTGTCCAGGAGCCAGACCCTGGAGTTGAGAACCTTGGAAATATACCTGGTGCTCTTTTCTACTGTGGGTGAGCTGGCATGCTAGCCACAAGACAAAGTCCTTCCCACTCTTCCCTCCCTCTTCATCAAGCAGAAGGAGTCTCTCCTCATGGTCACCACCACCCTTGGGCCATGCCATATATTGCCTGGCTACTACCAATATTCACTCAAGGCCCAAGGGCTCTTTAGTCAGCTTGTGATGAATGCTGCCAGGCCTGAGTCTCTCCCTTCAGGGTAGTGGGCTCCCTTCCTATTCAGGGCAGGTCTAGAAATACTGTCCAGGAGCCAAGGCCTGGAATTGGAGACCCCAAGAACCCACTTGGAGCTCCACTGCACTGTGGCCAAGCTGGTACCCAAGCTATAAGACAAAGTCTCCTTTGCTCTTCCCTCTCCTTTCCTCAGACAAAAGGGGTTTCTTGCTCCCCCACCACCCAACCCCAGAGCCACCACCTCTGGGAATGTGCTGGGTCACACCTGAAGCCAACATGGCTCTGAGTCTCACCCAAGGCCTGTGGTGGGTACTGCCTGGCTACTGCTGGTGTTTATTCAGGGCCCAAGGGCTCTTTAGTCAGCGGGTGATGAATCCTGCCAGAACTGGGTCCTTCCCTTCATGTCAGAGGGTTTCTTTCAGGCCTAGGGTGAGTCTAGAAATGTCTTCCAGGAACTAGGGCCTGGAATGGGGGCCTCGGAATTCTGCCTGGTGCCCTGTTCTACTGTGGCTGAGCTGGTATCTAAGTTGCAAGACAAAATCCTCTTTACTCTCCCAACTCCTTTCATCAAGCGAAGGGAAGGAGTCTATCCTGTAGCTGTGAGATGTGCTGCCTGGGGCTGAAGGAGGGGTGGATACAAGCACTCCCTTGGCCATCCCAGATGGTATCTCACTAAGTCATGTGCATCCCAAGTCCACTGGCTCTGAGCTCAATACAGCACCAGGACTTGCCCAGGAATTGCATTCTTTGTGGCTTAGACCACTTTTCAAGTTTATTTAGAACTCCAGAGCACTTTAGCCCATGGTGGCAGGGCTTGCTGGAACTCAGGTTCTGACCACTGGGATGATTGATTTGCCTCTAGCTAGGGCTGGTCTAAGTCTAAATGCTCCCTCCATGGGTCTCTGCTGAGTTCTGCCCTATGTTGCTTTCTGCTGTGACAGGGCAGTACTGAGTTCCAATGCGAAGTCTCACAATCCCACAGATTGTCCTTCTCAAGCACATAGATTTTCTCTCTATTCTACACAGACACTACTGGGTCATTGGGGTAGGGTAGTATAAGCAATTCAAGACTGTCTTTCCTACCCTCCTCAGTGCCTCTTTCCTTAATATGATGTTAAGAACAGGTACTGTCACTCACCTGATTTTTGGCTCTTACAAAGGTGCTTTTTTGTATGGATAGTTGTTCAATTTGGTGTTTCTGTTGGGGAAATAATTGCTGTAGGCTTCTGTTTGGCCATATTGTTCTACCTCTCCCCATTGTAAGATTTTGACAGTGAAAAATGCATTTACAATATCTAATGTTTTCTTATGATTCATCGATGCTTCTTGAATAGTAACCTTTTCTAAGCACTATGGGCCATTTATTTTGTGGAATGTCCTTCAATTTGAGTGTGCCTAATGTATCCTGATGATTGATTCAGGTTGTGTTTCTTTGGTAGGAATTTCACAGAAGAGACATTGGAATCCTCTTACTGCATCTCATCAAGTGGCACGCAATGCTGCTTTGAACCATTCCTGATGTTGTTCACTTTTATCACTTGATCAAGGTGCCAGGCTTCTCCACTGTAAAGTTAGTCTTTTTACCCTTGTAATTAATAAGTATTTTTGTGAAGAGATACTTCAGGACTATCTTCTTCCTTGTTCAATTTTTACTCCCCTACTATTCGGCACTCATTAATGGTTCTTGCCTGAATTATTTTTTACTATGACAATTGCCAAATGGTGGTTTTCTAATTCATGATTTCTTCTATGTCTATTAGTTGGCATTCTATTGCAAGAAAGAAATTTCTATTTTTCCCATTTATTTATTCATTTATGTATTTTTATTTATGTCAGGTTATAGATTCTTAATTTATCTAATGACATATCATCCATTATTATTCTTATTTATTTTGATACTCAAATTGTCTTAGATTTGGCCAGTAGGAGTCCCTTCAAGCTGGATCCTGTAGATCCCCATCATTCTTTGAGCATTTTGGGCATTTTATAACACAACAAGATATTCTAGACTCATTTTACACTTTCCCTAACCAGCCCTGGAATTACTCATTTTTCTAAGGAGTCCTTTTTTATTTAATGGAGAAAGTTATTTAGAAACCAAGATCTAGGTGCTAGATGTGTTCGTGATTAGTTGGGTATCATGGCTTCCAGGCTCTCTCAGCATCTAATTCAATACCACATGGTTCATGCTAGCATTCCCTTTTTCTTCTGCATTTGTAACTCCCTTCTGTGACAATGAGAAGCCTGGCTCCCATTATCCTTCAATATATACTTACTTGTTCACCAGCCACCCCCTCCAATATCTATCTACTCTCCAAGCCTGCTGGGCTGACATCTCACTTGGCTGCTTTTCTCACTTGGGTTCTCATCCCCCATGGGGCCACCTTCCTCATTCAGGCTTGCCAAATGGATTTTTGACTAAATTATTCAGGAAGGAAGGAAGAAGGGAAGCCAAAGAAATATGAATGTATGTTTTTATTAATGTCCATTTTAGGTCTGGCTATGGGGGGATGGGCATGTTCATAAATAGTAGAAGTATATATTTGTATTCTGTTTCTGTCTTAAATATGATGCTCTACTTTTATATATCCAATATGGTTGATCACACACACACACTCCTGCTCTTTGACCTAGAACTTTCACTTCCAAGAAATTATCCTAAATAAATAGATAATTGCACAAATAACAATTGTATATTTGTACAATTATCAATATTTGTTGTAACATATATAATAGAAAAAGCTGAAAATATAAATATCCAATAAGTTATGGTTTATCAACCTAGTGTGTCAATAAATTGTGTAGATTCACACTTTTTGTCATAGAAAAGGTCAACAGTAGATTAAATGAAAAGAGTAAATGTCATGGATTCCTTTGAAATACACATGCACATATTTATAACTCTACTTATGAAGAAGTATCTCAAAGACTATTCATCAAACAGGAGGTTATCTCTAGGTTATGGGATTTTTAGATTGTTGTGCTATTTGATTTTTTTCTTTTTGCTTACTATGAATTCAGCGGTGAATATATGTTGCATACTTTTGAAAAAAAGACCAAAAACAACATGTATGCAACATGTGTTGCATACTTTTGAAAAAAAGACCAAAAACAATGATAAGACCTTAAACTCAATAAATTGTTTTAAAAACTGGCATTGATCCCACAAACCTATATCGAATCTGCACCATCAGCATTCTACCACCCACTACTGGGTAATAATTACTAACAATGCCCATGAGCTCACTGCATGGGATTAGAGTGAGAATTAAATAACTAATAGACATGGAAGCCATTGAAATCTGTAAGAGGCTGTAAAAAAAAAAAAGTGACATGCTATTAAGATTATTGCTATTACTATTAGCATTATCATCATCATTGCCATCATTATTGGTGTTGATTTCAGTACTTCCTATTGACCTGTGTTTTCTAAATTCAGAGGGGGAGAATGCTAGGCCTCCACGCAGCTGTTTGGAAACCAGAAGAAAAGCCTTTGAAAGGCATATTCTCTGAAGGAACTTAAAATCTAATTTAGAAAATAATCTCCCAATACTTCCACATCATGCAACAGTTAACAAGAGCCAGGCTATATCCCTGGGTGAGATGCAAGCTTGAGTCTACTCCTGCTTGTGGTCCAGTGCCAGAGAGACTCATGTGGGCTAGTGGGTAAGGAAGGTTTCACTTTGATTGTAAATTGTTAGCTGCTTTTCAAACACTGTGACTGAATTTGTCAAACTTTAAAATGGCTGACGTGCAAGTTTAGAAACCAGTTAGAAGGCTAAAAATGATGCTGAGGATAAAATCCCTTTGTAAATTTTAGATAGTCTGCCTAGTTTAACAGCTTTAAAACTCATTTTTTCCAAGATAATAATATCCCAAAGTTGAATATATGAAAGGGTGTGTATAGATGTCTGTCATCCTCTCTGGCTCTTGTGTCAGCATCTGGGAAGAAAAAGCACAAACCTCCTGAATATAAGTCCAACATAAGGGCAGGGATTTAGTCTGGTCCTCACTGATGTATACCAAGTGTCCAGAACAGGGCCAGGGCCCATAGTTAGGAGCTTAATAAATACTTATTGAGTAAAAAATAAGCCCTCGTTTTTCACTTTTAATATACAAAGTAGATTGATTTCTTTTTCAAACACATTGGGGCCTTATTCGCTAGTGGATCCACATTAGTGGATGTTAGTAATTAAACGTGTGCTTGGTTTGCACTAATATGAATATGATTTCCCAGGATTCGACTTTCCTGCTGGGAAGCCAGACCCCCTGTCAAATACACGAGATTGAATTGTAAGGCTTCAGTGAAACATTTGGCATCTGGCCTCTGTCTTTCAGGATTTCCAAATTCCTTAATGTGCTGACAGTTCTTCCCCCTTTAGGATGACTAATTGATGTCCAGGCTGTGCTTCTGAAACTTTCTCAGGAAAATGCACCTAAGGGTCAAAGCGGTGACAGGCCACATTAAGTTGTGAATTTTCTATTTTTTGTCTTTTAAAAACAATGATTTCCTTTCTACTCTGTACCTACATTTGTTTAAATATAAAGATAAGGAGGACTGGGCTCTGTGGCTCACACCTGTAATCCTAGCATTTTGGGAGGCTAAGACGGGTGGATCATTTGAGACTAGGAGCTCAAGACCAGCCTGGCCAACATGGTGAAACCCTGTCTCTACTAAAATATAAAAAATTACCCAGGTGTGATGCTGCATGCCTGTAGTCCCAGCTATTTGGGAGGCTAAGGCACAAGAATTGCTTGAACCCTGGAGGCACAGGTTGCAGTGAGCCAAGATTGCACCACTGTACTCCAGCCTGGGTGACAGAGCAAGACCTTGTCTCAAAAAATAAATAAATAACATAACATAACTAAAAAATAAAAAAAAAATAAAAATAAGGAGGTTTCCTCCCAAAATATTTATCTAAAATAAGTCCTCTAATGGCCATCTTTTACCCTCAGGATATAATTCAAATTTCACCAGGGACCATCATAGCTGGCCTCTGCCCATCTACTAGTCTGCCCTCTTCTCACCACCTTCTACCATGGGCATTTTTTTCTCCATTGGTCAGCCCTTGGTGACTGCTTTAGTTCCTCAAATTGCCTTTCCCCACCCATACCATCACAATCTCTTCACACTCAACCTTCACTTTGCTGTTTCCTCTGCACCAAACACTGATCCAACTCTTCTTCTTAGGCCAACTTTTACTGATGTCAGGATTTTTTCCCTTTACCCATCCCTGTAGAAGAGGAAAGATAGCCCTGCCATGGGCTCGTCTGTTTCAGGTAAATTGCACTGTATGACATTGCTATTGCTTATTGAGTTATCTCTCTTCTTCACAGGCTCTATGATGGGGAGGGTTCTTACTGAATTTTCTCTTCATTAACGCTCACTACCTTGCTCAGTGCTGGGCCTGGTAGGTTGTCTTCTTCCATATTTATTCTGTGCTTCTAAACCCTCCCCTTCTGTCCCCAAACAAGGGTTTGTACACCTGGAAATTCTAGAACACTTTGCCCCAGAAATAGATTTACTCCCTATTTGGGATGAAAATCACATTTGGGTTGAGATTTGCCATCAGAAATAGCTTCAGTAGAAGATAATTTATCTGATTTATTTCTAGGTTAATAATATTTCTAGAGTTTAGGCATCTTAGTTCCCCCCGAAAATCTTAATGGTAGATAGTGAAGTCACCAAAATAGACAACTGAGACCTGTCACCCAGAATCATTACCTGAGAGGATATCAGTGTGTCATCTCCATGATTGTATATTTCTATCCTCTCTGGTATTCCCCAATTGCTCCAATCAGCTGCTAGGTATATATCTATCATATACAACACAATGCTATGCACTATAGCAAATTGTTTTTCAATTATCCCAGTAACATGATTTTTAGGATGTGTAAAATGCACACTTTATATAGACTTGCTATTTTGTTTGGATTCTTTTTGAATGTGGACTCCCAAATAAACAGTCTTCTGATGCCTAGAAACCATATTGCTCTAGGCAAAGCGTGATGACTCACGCCTGTAATCCTAGCACTTTGGGAGGCTGAGGCAGGAGGATTATTTGAGCTCAGGAGTTCGAGACTAGCCTGGGCAACATAGTGAGACTTTGTCTTTATTTAATAAATAAAAAAATTATAAATCCAAAAATTATTTTAAAAAAACCATATTGTTTTGGGTCTGTTTACAACTCTGCTGAGGATGATTTTATCTTAGAATATGCCAAGAATGCTCAGTGATTTCATAATGACTGTAATGCTGAGATGGTATTGACAGGTTAGGAATGCGATAACTGGAGTTTCACGCAGGTATTGATTGCCTCTTAACAGGCAGTAATGACTGCAATAAACACTGGAAAACTCAGTTGAAACAAATAGATAAATACTTTCAGAGCAGAAGATGTCTGTGACTACACTGAAGGCTAGGGTAATCTCACATGCATCAGCCAGCTCCTGTGTCTCTGACAGCAAGGTGCCTTCAGATTGCTGGAGACTGCTTCACCTGTGCCCTGCAAAGCCCAGAAATGCCTATGAACTTATATCACACTGACAGCAGCTTTTGACCAGTGCTGAAGGGTGCAGGAGGGTAAATACCCTCGTCCCCTAATCCTCTGGTCGGAACTACTTGGGTGTGATCTATGCTGTCCTGAAAGTTCCCCTGTGGAATTGAGCCCAAGTTCTTCTCTGTGATACTTGACTTAATACTGAGGGACATGGTTTGGCTGTGTCCCCACCCAAATCTCATCTGGAATTGTAGATCCCATAATTTCCACGTGTTGTGGGAGAGACCTGGTGGGAGATAATTGAATCGTGGGAGTGGTTCCCCCATACTGTTCTTGTGGTTGTGAATAAGTCTCATGAGATCGGATGGTTTTATAAGGGGAAACCCCTTTTGCTTGGCTCTCATTCTCTCTTGTCTGCTGCCATGTAAGACATCCCTTGCTCTTCTGCCATGATTGTGAGGCCCCCCCAGCCACGTGGAACTGTGTGTCCATTAAGCCTCTTTTCCTTTCCTTTTCTTTCTTTTTTTTTTTTTCTTGAGACAGGGTCTCGCTCTGTTACCCATGCTGGAGTGTAGTGGTGTGATCTTGGCTCACTGCAACCTCTGTCTCCTGGGTTCAAGCAATTCTTCTACTTCAGCCTCCCGAGTAGCTGGGATTATAGGAGCCCACCACCACGCCCAGCTAATTTTTGCATTTTAAGTAGAGATGGGGTTTCACCACATTGGCAAGGCTGGTCTTGAACTCCTGACCTCAGGCAATCTGCCCGCCTTGGCCTCCCAAAGTGCTGGGATTACAGGCATGAGCCACCACACCCAGACGCCTCTTTTTCTTTATAAATTACCCAGTCTTGCGTATGTCTTTGTGAGCTGCGTGAAAACAGAGTAATACACTGAGCTTTTGCTTGGGTTCCTTCTCTTCCTTTACCACATTTCCAACTCTCTATTTGTTTTCCTTGGAAATTATTCCTAATAAATTACTTCACATGCATTTTTTTTTCAGTCAGAATCGGCTTCTGAGGAATCCAATCTATGAAAACACTTTACAAAACAATTAGAAACCTGGTCCCCCCCGAAACTGATTGTTATTTCTCTACCAAGAGCATTAAACCAAGTGGGCCTTCAGTAGACCTTATAAGATTTGTACGACTGACCTGGCACATCTATAAATGCTGCTAAAGTTATTGGGAATACTCTTTTCTGTCTTCACCTTCCACTGTCATGTTCTCAGATTCATCTTTCCTGACCATCACGTCTAAAATAGGCTCCAATTTCTTCTTTATTCTCCACTTTGACATTTTGTGAGTTTCCTTCAGGGTACTTGTTAGTTGTCCGTATTTGGCATGTGTATTTGTTTCTTCCTTTGATTTTGCCTATCTTCACCACTGAACTCTAAGTCTCATTTGGTCAGGGACCTGTCTTATTTCCTGCTGTGTAACCTGTACCCTACCCAGTGCTCAGTGACAGTTCATTGAATGAATGGAAAACACCTGTGACTCACCCACCCCCACCACATTCTGTCCTCTAAGACTGACCTTTGCTGAGGTTGCAGATGTGGTTTTGCATGTCCAGAACCTATAAGAGATTCATACAGGTTTGACAGACAGAAATTTCAGAAAATCCACCTGGCACAAATAAGGAAAATAGATGAAGCACATGTATTTATGGGGATTGTTTAGCCTGAGACACACCATCCTGCAAACAGATTGTGCTTGACAAGTCTTCATGAAAGGTGTGGGAGCTCTGAAGTCAAAGTGTTGTGGGTATTGATTTGATTCTTGGAAAACGTAAACCTTCTTTTCCCCTTGAGCCCTTCTGCATGACTGTGCTGGTGTCTATAAATCTGATTGTCCTGAGGCAACAATTAGGCCAGAAGGGAGAGTTTTTTGTGTGTTGTACATTAACCTTTCGGGGCAGTTAAGACTTCTTCAAAGTAGTGAAGACAAGATGAGTTCTGAAATATTCAACTTATTAGAGGAGATAGAGTAGAATTTTTCAAAGGAGGTCCCACTGAATACAATTACCACACTATGTTATTAGCCTTCCACAGAAACAAAAGTGTATGTGGGTGGCAAAATATATTTGGAAATATTCTTTAATATGTTAATATATTCTGGGTGTGGCCATGAAACTTACGTGACCATAGAATTTTTTTTGGACTATCACATGGGAAATACTGTAGTAGAGACTGTCTGAAACTGCTATTTCATCATTGGTCTTCATGTCTCTGTGTCCCCATGCTTCTGACTTAAAGCAAATCCTCATCTTCTTCCAGGCAGAATATATCAAAGGCCCCCTCCACCATTCTCTGCTTTGCATCTTATATTCTTTCCAAAGTCAGAGCATCTGTCAGTCTGTAAACAGTCTGTCAACTTTCTCAACTATTGCTTCATAACAAATAATCGCAAAATTTAATGGCTTAAAACAGCAACAATCATTTATTTAGCTCATGCATCTACAATTTGGACAGGGCTTAGCAGGGAAGGTTCATCTCTATTTCAGGCAGCTTCCACTAGGGCTGCTAGACTGAGACTGGAGGATCCACTTCCAAGATGGTGCATTCATGTAGCTGGCATTTGGAGCTGGCCGGTGGCTGAGATCTCAGCTGGGGCTGTCAGTTGGAAAAGCTGTACATGCATGGCCTCTTCATATGGTTTCTTGGCTTCTTCTCAGCATGCTAAATGGGTACCAAGTGTGAGTATTTCAAAGATACAGGGAGTGGACTGGGCTTTGGAACAACTCAGTTTTACTTCCATGGTATTCTGATGCTCAAGCAGCCACAGAACTCAGATTTCAGGGCAGATGACATAAACTCCACTTCTCACAGATAGAAAGTGTGACAAAGAATTTTGGCGCCATGTTTTAAAATGGCTATAGCAGCTCTGTGAATCTCTTCTTAACGTTTCTTCTGCCTATAGTGTTCCTTCATTCCCACCCCCACTTTGTCACCTGGAAAACTAGATTCTCCAAGGCCTAGATCCAAGATCACTTCCTCTAAAAATATTGTTGTCTGTGTTTTGTTAGCATGTTGTTTTTATTGCTAGTCTCACATCAAATTAACATATCATTTTAATGTTGGTTGTCTTCTTAGAGGGCAGTATGACATCTTATTCATCCATTATTCCAGTTCCTAGCACAAGGCTTGTACTGAATTAATTAATTGACTAATTTTTCAGACCAGCTGTTATAGCAACTACTGTTTCATAAATATTTACTATTTAATAGACCCTGAAATATATGCTTTATAAATATTACCATATTAAATCTTCACAAATAGGAAGCTATTATTACTCCCATTACACAAAGAAGAAAACTAAGATCATAGTATATTTTCTAATGCTGTATAGTCTCTAAATGGCAGAACTAGAATTCAAACCCAAATCTAAAGTCCATGTTCACAAAAACCTAAAGTCCATGTTCATAACCAATATGTTCTTATTTGAATAGCAAATTAGTTAAAACAGCCAGTTATATTTATCCAACATTGAAATAACCAAACAACTCTCTCAAATAATTGATCTGTAGACTTACTGCAGTGTATTATTAGTAGGCCTAATTTTATCGAATTCCTGCAAACCATCATCCATTGTTCTAAAAGATCCAACTATTTGAAGCACTATTACATGGAAAGAAGTGTTGGACTTGGTGTGGCTGTAGATGGCAAAATTAGAAGTAATAAGAAATTAGAAGGAAGAAGCAGATCCTGGTTCAACATAGGGGGCATTTTCTAGGGATTAAGACTAACCATAGGCTGGGCGTGGTGGCTCACACCTGTAATCCCAGCACTTTGGGAGGTGGAGGAGGGTGGATCACGAGGTCAGGAGATCGAGACCATCCTGGCTAACATGGTGAAACCCCGTCTCTACTAAAAATAAAAAAAAAAATTAGCCAGGCGTGGTGGTGGGCGCCTGTAGTCCCAGCTCCTCAGGAGGCTGAGGCAGGAGAATGGAGTGAACCCAGGAGGCGGAACTTGCAGTGAGCCGCGATCACACCACTGCACTCCAGCCTGGGTGACTGAGCAAGACTCTGTCTCAAAAAAAAAAAAAAAGACTAACCATAGATGGAATGGGTTGCCAATATAAGTGGTGAGTTCTTCATCACTTCAGGCAATCAAGAAGATTTTAGATGACTGCTGGGTTGTTTTAGACAGAGAAATGGATTAGATGATATGTGTCATGGATATTTTCTGTTTTTGTTCCCTAATATTCCTTCACCCTTCTACTGGTAATTTTTATCAAAATTTTCCTCTGGGAAATACCTACTCCCTCACTCTCAGTTGATGTGTTTCAGGTGAAGTTTAGGTTGAGTTGACTCTACCCCAGCTCTGGGAGTGGTCAGATGACTTAGGCCTATCCAATTAAAGTTTTGCATATCCCTTGACACATTGATTACTTCATTATTCAATAATATATAGTCAACAATATATATTCAACAATATGTATTGAAGTTTTCTTTCAAATCATGAAGGTTTAACTGCTATGGGAAAGGTCCTCTCCTATTAACAACTAGAAAATAAGACAAAATATATAAAACAATGGTGTTCAGACATTACATTTAGGCAGTGAAGGAAATGTGATCAGTGAGAGATGGGACTAATGAGGTGAGCTCTATCATTGGTCCAGATTACTTCTCAGAGGCAGTTTCTAGGATGCAGTATAGGAAAAGGGAACTCAAGAGAGGCTGAAAATCTTGCTCAGTTGAGAAGACTGAGGCTGGAGTTTGAGGATATCAAGTCAGCTAGGACTTGTGGGACAGGTTTATGGAGAGGAGAAACCTGTACAGAAAAAAAAATTCCAGAAATATGCATTAATGTTCCCTTGAGTCTTCAGCTGAATGCTAATTTATGCATGCATATGATGAAACCTGATAGGATGGGACACAAACAACTTTTGAGGAAAGAATTATCAGGAAGCTATAAACAAACAATTTTCAGAGCTCACACAAGATACATAATTAATTTGTCTCTAGCCAGTGTGAAGATACCTTGTTGAATACCAAGGCATTCAGTAGGGATACCAGAAGAGCCACATCTTAGAACTGGGGTGAATTAGCCCTAGAATAAAAGCTACTCTAGACATGTCCTGAAAGAGCTTAAAAATAAGCCTCAAAAAGATTCAATTAATCCATGAATAAATTAACAGACTGCCAGAAAAAGTTCACCACTCTTTAAATGAATAAAATACAATCTAACATCCAACAACACAAAATGATAATGTTCAGAATTCAATTAAAAAGGTATATGAAGAAGCAAGAAAATGGAACCCATAACCAGGAGAAAAATCAGCCAATATGAAGTTAGTCAATGACAGAGATGATGGAATTAGAAGACAAGAATGTTAAAGCAACTGCTATAAATATATTTAATGGGCTTGGTAAGTTTAAGGAAAACAAGCATAGTGAAGTGAGAAGTGAGAAATACAAAAAGGAGCCCAAAGGACTTACGGAGATGAAAAACACAGTATCTGAAATTTAAAAACTATACTGAATGAATTAATACAGATAGACACTGCACAACAGAAGATAACTGAACATGAAGACATAACTGTGGAAACTCTAAATGGTGCTCTAATGCCCTTGCTGAGGTAGTCTCAGTAGGGTCCAGCCGTCTATACCGGGGAGCAGAAATACTAAATGAGGCAGTGCAAGTTGGGCCTAGTCAGGACTCCACTTCTCCTTCCCTCATTCCTATGTAAGTGAGACCCAGTGGGAAGCTGCATCTTCACCCCTATCTGGCATCAGTGAAGTGGAATGAGATGGCTGAAAGGGGAGCTAATAGGTTTCTCTACTACCTCACTCCCCTCCCTTCCCCTCCTCTCTCCCCCTCTCCCCTCCCCTTCCTTCTTCTCCTCTGCTCTCGTCTGGTGTCAGCAAGGACCAACAAGAAATTGAGCTTCTACCCCTTCTCTGCAGCAAAAAAGTGGTTTGAGTCAGCCCTTTACTTCCTCTTTTCCTGATGGGCAGCAGGGCCCAGTGGAGAGCTGAGCTTACACCCCAACTTGGAGGAAACTAGGTGATGCAAGATGGTGTCCCCCATTTATCTAGAAGGTGCCAGTGGGACCAAGGAGGGAGCTGAACTTCCACCCTACCCATCTTCAATGAGGCACTGTGAGTCAGCTCCAGAGCCCAGTAGGAAGATGATCACTTATACACCCACAAGGCTCTTGGTCTACACCTCAGCAGCAGGACTGCTTACTAAAAAAAAAAGATTAAAAGGGATTCAGAGTCTCATAATATACTATCCGAAATGTCTAGGATGCAATAACAAAATCACTCATCATAGCATAAATCAGGAAAAATCACAACTTGAATGAGAAAGCTAATACATACCAACATTGAGATGAATCAGTTATTGGAATTATCTGAATAGAATTTTAGAGCAGTCATCCAAAAGGCTTTAACAAGTACTTATTAATTTTCTTGAAACAAATGAAAAACTAGAAAATTGCAACAAATAAACAGAGGTTATAAAAACATAACCAAATAGAAGTTATACACATATAGTCACTAAAATAAAAAATATAAAATAAAATGTAATCACTAAAATAAAAGACTCACTGGCCGGGCTTAATAGTAGAGTACAGATGACAGAGTGTAGAGCCTGAACTTGAAGACAGATCAATAGAATCTACCCAACAACAGAAAAAAAGATAGATTAAAAAAAAAGTGAACAGAGCTTGTGGGACAGTAACAAAAGAGTTAAATTTGTATCATCAGAGTCTTAGAAAGAGAGGAGAGAGAGTGGAACTAAAAAAAGTATTCAACAAAATAATAGCTGAAAGCTTCTTAAATTGGGTGAAATATGTAACCTACAGATTCAAGAACCTAAAAGTACCCCAGGTAGGATTAACTCAAAGAAATCTAAGAAACAACATAGATTAACTTCCAAAAACTGAAAGAAAAACAAAACAAAACAAAAAATCTTGAAAACAGCCTGAGAGAAATGACAGATTGTTTACATTGGAAAAACCACTGGAAGAACAGAGTATGTCTCCCCCGGAACCAGGTAGGCCAGAAGGAAATAGCACAATGCTTTTGAAATATTGAAAGAAAAGAACTGTCAATTGCAAATTCTGTTGGGTGAGACTATTCTTTAGGAATGAAAGGGAAATAAAGACATTCTCAGATGAAAGAAAACTGAGAATTTGTTGCCAGCACATCTTCTTTCAAAGAATGGGTAAAGGAAGTTCTCTGAACAGAAAGGAAATTATAATAGAAGGCTTGAAACTTCAGAAAGGAAAGAAGAACACTGAAATGAAACAACTGGTTTTTAAAATTGCTATTCTCAATCTAATTTTTTATACACATCAAGATTTTCTCTGAGGCCAGGCGTGGTGGTTCACCCCTGTGATCCCAGCACTTTGGAAGGCCGAGGTGGTTGGATCACCTGAGGTCAGGAATTCGAGACCAGCCTGACCAACAGTGAAATCCCATCTCTACTAAAAATACAAACTTAGCTAGGCGTGGTGGTGCATGCCTGTAATCCCAGCTACTTGGGAGGCTGAGGCAGGAGAATTGCTTGAACCCAGGAAGCAGAGGTTGCAGTGAGCCAAGATTGTGCCACTGCACTCCAGCCTGTGCAACAAGAGTGAAACGCCATCTCAAAAAAGAAAAGATTTTTTATCTGAACTGTGGCCAAAACAAAAGAGAACTGGATTGGAGGTTGGAGCTGATCTGAGATTGCAGTCATCTATCAGTGCCTCAAAGTTCAAATTCTTGTGTTCTAAACAACCTCGCTCTTATCTGGGATTATTTTCTAAATGCATAGAAGTTGTACATTTTCAATTCAATTCTCAATTTTCAATCCAGACATGTGCTATTATAGAATTTTTAGCATGTTTCAAAAATATTAATGTCTTCCCATTGTGTCCCTGTGCTCACAAGTATGATATGAATTTTTGAATTTGCAGCCAGAACCACACATTTACTCTGAAAAACATCCCAATTTCCTTTTATCTTATGTACACAGTGACAAAAGTGCATTATGTACTGTTACTAATATGAAAAATCATACTTATATGGCTTAAATTTTATTTCCAAATACCTAGCAAGAGATTGTTGCAATTTTCAAAGCAACATTCCAATTATAAAGCTATTGAGCCACTGCTGTCTTTACTGGGATTAGTCACTGGAAAGTTTGGCAAATAAATGTTGAAACAGGCATCTCAAAATGAACAGGAAAAGGGAAGCTGAAATAAACCCTGCTGATTTATTTAAAAACTGACAGACAAAATGTAGAGGATACAGTCAATACCAGAAACAAATTTATAAGACAAGCAACTTAATACATGGAATGCCAATCTCATAAACAGTGAAAAAGTGATGCATACTCCCTTTCTTCTAAAATGCTGTGAAGTGAATATGCAGTGATATGGCAAAGACTACAACTTCTAACAGTTTGCTGGAAAACAAGTCTCCATGGGTCTTCTGTGTTTCTGCATGTCTTGCAAGCAGAGGCATGTATGTCTTTTATTCTGGACTATCTTTTCAAGGTTGTTTTAATAGCAAACAGCCTTGGAAGATAAAGCATCTTCTTCTGGAGCAAAGGGCAAGTCTGCTTACAGCCTTGGAAGATGGGAATAATGTCTCCCTCTGGAGCAAAGGTCACATTCTATTGTTATTGTCTCCTTATGTTTTCTCTTCCACTGGACTGTGAACTCCTACAAGCCAGGTTCTGCCTAATGCATCTTGGTATCTTCAATGCCTATCTCAGGGCCCTGAACAAGATAGGCCCTCAGTAAATTAATAAATGAATCTGACCAGGGAATTGTCTGGGTGACTGTCCTTATTGAGAAGGGAAGGAGTAAAGGCTGTGTCTGTGGGGCTGGTGACAGAAAGTGAGGCCTGACCCAGATTTTGGCATTGGTTGAAGCAATACCACAGCTCAGGAGTGTTCCTGAGCTCCATGTATATGGGCTACCCAAGAAGAAAACCTGTGAGGGAAGGAGGTTCCGCAGAACCAGATAACCCCAGATCGCCTTCTGCTTGTTTTCCTTTCCCAGACACCGCCTGGGAGTCCCAATCATAGACTCACTCGCAAGTTCCGCAATTCCAACGGGGAGAGTGAAACTTCTGCATGAAGATTTCAGCCCCCAGGTGTAAGCTCCCAAGAACAGGGCCTGGCACATAGTAGGCTCTTGCTGTGGATGAAAAAACTTCAGGTTTCAGAGTCATAGAGTGTTAAAATGGATGAAATTTAGAGAGATTATTTTCGACTTCTTTTTAAGCTCTCTTTCTGAGCTGACTCATTCTAGGATTGTTTCTCTGTTAAGTGGGTCAATAAAATCAAAGCCTCAGGAAAAACAGAAATTCCTCTGCCTTTCCTTCTCTTTCTTATTTTTCCCTCCTCCAAGCCAGAAAACCACACCTATCTATGCGTGTGCTGTTAAATGTTTAAAAACTGTGTCTCCAGAAGAAAAGAAGTGATTTGTGGTGATTGCCAATTTCTGTGGTGTAAATATTCCTGCCGTGGTCAATTTCAAGTAACCAGCATGATGTCAATGGATGTGGAGCTGGGAACAGATGTGTATGATCAGCTCTCTCAAGCCAGTATGAGCTGGCTCATGCCAGTTATCTGGCTTTGAAGGCATACAAATCTGATACAGATTCTGAATCTAGCATTTACTAGCTGGGCAAATGGCTTTATCTTCACACATCACAGTTTACTTCTCTGTAAAATGAGGATAAAAGTAACAATCATATCATTGAGTTTTTGTGAAAAGTAGTCAGGCAAATGTATGCAAAAGGCTTGTCTGATACGTCTAAGCATTCTGTGCAAGATACAAACTATTAGTTATTATAATATTAAAATCACATAATATAATAACTCCTCCCCCTGTTTGCCAAATATTGCAACAGACTGGTAGTAAAAATAAAAACTCACCAGCCCTCTGAGATATCTGGGTCATTTCTTGTGACAGTCACAAGTTGGAAATAAAAGCAGATGCTGATTAAGCATAGGGGGTTCAGACTTGGGGGAACCCAGTGGCTGGAAAGAAACAATTATTGCAAAATAGAATGACCTCCTCTACATTCAAAATAGATTTTTGGCTAGTAGACATTCTTCAGTGACACCTTAACAACCTTGAGGAAAATACATAATTTAGGCCATGAAGCACACTGCATTCTAATGATCAAGATGTAACCAGGCATTCACTTTAAAATGGCCCATTGTGGCAGGACAGCGGTGCCCACCTTACTCTGGTTACTGAACAACAGATGCCAGAGATAAGAGTCAGCTACGGTATTGGGACGCCTTCAAGTGGTTCCTTGTGGTGAGGCCCAGCAGGAGTATGGGATGGAGGAGTAATTGGAGACAAGAGTAGATAGAAATTGAACTTAGTTTGAGAAGGACCTTGCTATGGACTGAATTGTGTCCCCACCACCAAATTCACATGTTGAAGCCTTAATCCCCGATGTGGTTGTGTTTGGAGATAGGGCTTTTAGAAGGTAATTAAGGTTAAGTGAGGTCTCATGACCTCATTAGGGTGGGATCCTAATCCAATAGCTTGGGGGCCATGTAAAGAAGAGGAAGAGAGAGCTTGTTCTAACTCTCTATGCACAACCATTGGGGACAGGTCATGTGCAGTCACAGTGAGAAGGCAGCCTTCTACAAGCCAGGAAGGGTGCCCTCTCCAGAAACCAAGTTGGCCAAAATCTTGATCTTGGACTTCTCTGCCTCCAGAACTGTTGGAAATGCATTTCTGTTGCTTAAGCCACTTAGTCTATAATATTTTGCAATAGCAGCCTGAGCGAAGATAGGATTTGTGCACTCTGTGAAATAGGGTGAAAATTTCATGTTAGAGAAAATGGGTACCAGTCAAATGTGCTAAGGCTGGGTTGAGACATAGTCAGACTATGTTAGAGATAGATGGTTCTGGATACAGAGTGAAGAGAATTTGGAAGTAGACAAACTGAAGGTAAAGGAGTCCGGTAAGGAGGGTCTAGCATAAGTCTTGGCAGAAACCAAAAAAGTTGAATAGGTCATAGCAATTAGCAATAAGGACCCAATGGAGAGGGATGGAATTCCAGGTCACTTAGCAGTTAGAATTGTCTGAACCTATTGCTAAAGGAAAGTGAAGGGTTGAAGATGATTGTCTGAACCCAAGAGAAGATAACTGGGTAAATGAAATCTTTAAGAAAATCCAAGATACTGGAGAAGGAGTGTGGGAAGATGATGAGTTAGTGAGTGGGCCCTTCTACAGGGCAGGACCCTGTGTAAGGTATTCTAGTAAGGATACTTAGAAATAACTCAGGCTAAGTGAGGATGAGGATACATCTCTGCTTCCCAAGCCTCTAGCAAAGGTACCCGGCCTGTTGTTGGCCTTTAGCACATGCTTGTTGAATTTAATTGAATTATATTCAAGGTAGGCCTGGCATGGTGGCCCATACTTGTAGTCCCAGCTACTCAACTTGAGGAGTCTGAGGCATGAGGATTGCTTGAGTCTAGAGTTCAAGGCTGCTAGTGCATTATGATCGCACCTGTGAATAGCTACTGCACTCCAGCCTGGGCAATATAGTGAACCCTGTCCCCTCAAAACAAAACAAAACAAAACAAAACAAAACTCAATGTGCTGTATTGAGACAAGGTCGTATTTCAATCTGTGAGAGAAAATAATCCCATTGTCTGGAAGCAGCATTCATCTCTTAGTTCCAGACCTGCAGGATAGCAAATTTATCTCTGAAAGGGGGAAATAAATAGAAGGAAAAGAAGAAACATGAACACCTTACTCTCTTTCCAGAGAGGGAATGTTCTCTCCCCTTTGGGTTTCATGTACGTGTGGATGGAGGTTGGCTCAGAGATGTTTCCACATTTCCAGCTCTGACAGCTGTTGGTAATAGCTACAGCCCTGGTCCCCTGGAATTCGCTTCCCTGCCTGGCCTGACCCTGCGCTGACAGTCAGCTCTTCTCAAACAAGCAGTCTCAATGATGATAAGCATCTCCTTGGAAGGAGAAGCTTCGAAGGGAAACAGTTTGCAGTAACTATTTCTGTCTGTGCCTTTGTGTGGCTGCCATATGAAAGCATAGGTCCACTAAAAAAAAACCTCTTGCTCAGGTTGGAGTTCTTCCTGTTATCCTTTTGACTCCTGGAGTGTTGCTGCTCTGGCTGGGAAAACAGCAAAACCCGGCCAGAGATGGCAGGGCCGAATCACTGGGTCACCATCAGGTGAAGGAGCCGGAGGTGTGGGGCCCACTGGGGTGGCCTGGAGAGCATCAACTCCAGCTGTCGGGGCCCGGCTCTCTTTTAAGAACAGTATTGGCAAGTAATTGCGCTATAGCCAAGGGGTATTGGACTCGAGTGCATCTTAAAATGGATCTCCTCTCTCCTGGAACTCACAGATTGTTGCGACATTAATATGACTGATGTGTGTGTGTGTGTGTGTGTGTGTGTGTGTGTGTGAGAGAGAGAGAGAGAGGGGAAGGGGCATGCTTATATTCTCAAAAGATGTTATAGAATAAAACAATATTAGAATCACAGATCTAGAGGAAACGTTCTGGCCTGACATCCTCACTCTATAATACCATTTCACGTCTCCAGTCAGTGCATTGGAGTGCGACTCTGTGCTAAGCACTAGGAATGCAGAGCTCAGGTGGGGCTGGTGGGCAGGAGGGGTAGCACAGTAAATGTAGTCAGAAAGCTAACATTTGTTAAGCGCCCACAGTATTTTGAACACAGTACACATTCTCTTGAGGCTACCATTTCATAGTAACCGCAGTGGATTTCCAGATACTGTGCTAAGCAGTTAAATGTATATTGCTTTTAACTTCCCTAAATAAACCCAGGAGGGAGCTGTGCATGATTTTCATTTTACAGGTGAAGAAACTGAGGCTCAGGTTAAACCACTTGCAGGAGTCACACAGCTGCTCAATTCTGAAGCTCACATCCTTAGCCAGTACACAGTGCTGCCTCTAAAAAAGGGTTAATGATGCTTCCATTGCAGAGTTGAAGATCATCATTCATTCAAAGATTGCTTTGAAGATAATCCGATGATGTATTTGATGTGCTTAGCATGGGGCTGGCACATGGCAGGCCCTCATTACATGGTGCTCTTATTAAAAGCTGGTGTCAAGTTTAATCCGACCCAGGCCCCAGGCCTCTGGAGTGGAGGCCTCTTGGGGGTCAGCCCTTTAACCTCCGTCCCTCCTACCAAGGCACTCGCCTCCTTTCACATCCCAATTGCCTTCTCTGTCTTTCCATGTTGAAAGAAAATGAAAACCAGGCCTCATATCAGAGTTATGACAGCTGGGGCTGTATCTTTTCTATCTCTGTATCTCCAGAAGGGACTGGAATGGTGCAGCTATTAACATAAATAGTTGCTGAACTGAATTGTGCACCCTCTCAGCCTTGTGGATAACAAAGGTTTCCCCTCTCTACCACTGAATTCATTACTCTAAGCACCCAAACAAGGCACCATCTCGTCCTCACGTTAAATAAGGGTGGACGTTCTCACCCTTATTTTCATATCTGAGTGAACAGAGGCTCAGGGAGGGTAGTGCCTGGCAGTTGATTGTCCAGCATGGAAAACAGCCTTTGCAACACACTATGCATGGACCAGAAGCACCTTTTTATTCTGTGGGTGGCAAGAGGGAGTCAGCAGGGTGGGGGTGTGGAGCCTGTCTCCAAACCCACTTCAACCTCTGCCGCTCTCACCCACTTCTGTGGTCTCCGCTAAATTGCTGCAATGTGTGCTCTTTGGCACCAGCCCTGGAGACCACCCAGGCATTGAGGCAAATGCAAAATGCAGCCCCCAACCTCAGCCCAAAGTGGGTGTCTTTTGGAGCCAAGCACGCCCTGTGGTCTCTCTCAGTGCTGGGTTCTCTCCTAGGTGAGCTCCCAGCAAGCAGAACCAAGAACACCGTCACTCACACCAGAGGAGGAATTGCAGGGGCCAGTGGGGACCTGATGGCAACCCCTACAGGCTGAGGACATTCACCACCTTCCTGGCACTGACTGGGATGTCTGTGTTCCTGGAAATGCAGGTGGCCCCACTTTGTGCAACTGGTGTCTTCCTGCAGAGCTGGGTGAGAAAATTAGTGATTGTTAATCAGGAAGATTTTTAACTTACAAGGGAGCTTATGCTTTTAAAGGTATCATCCTGAAATCCTTTTTTAAAAGAGTTCCCACCCTAATGTTCCTCTCTTTATAAATCCTAACATGTACAGTATTTTGGATTTGCTTTGTGCCCCATTTAGTTGCTGTGTCCAGATAAGCCCCACAGATCACAAGGCCGAGGCCGTCTGCATGCGGTTCAGCCCTTTCCTCACTGGCTGTGTGGCCTTGACCTTGGGAGAGCCACCTAGCCTCTTAGACTTCCTCTTAACTGGTACAATGAATTTAAAGTGACAGTACACTGCTAAACACACAATGCCATACAATCAGGAATTATCAGGGCAGTACATTTAATGACATTATTAAATGTTATTTAATAAATAATGTTTATTAAATATTCAATAAATGGTAGTTTTTTTTTGGGAAGAGGGAGACTTACAGTTTTCTTCTCAGCAAAATTGAAATATGGCCTGATCTGCTTGAGTTGTTGACAGTATAGATCACTGGGCAAATTAAGATATTATTTATTCATTCATTCAACACATCTTCCCGAGTGTCTATTAGAAAATGTGCATTCTATTTGGAAATAAATGATCACAACACCGTTTGGTCACTGTTTTAATGGAGGTAAGCGTAAAGCATGGTGGTTATGGAAAGTGTGCCTTATTTCCCCAGGGAAGTGGAGGCGGCTTCACAGAGCAGGTGTGCATAATGGCTAATGGATATTGAGTTCTGACCACGTGCCAGATGCTGAGTCTGCCCGGCTGATGAGCACGGGAGGAGGGTGTGGTCAGAGGTGGAAACAGCATGGATAAAGGCACAGCAGAATTACAGAGAGCACGTTCAGGGAAGACTCTGTGGTTAGGATTGAATTATTAATAACAGAACTTTGCTGCAGGATTGCAGGAATGACTCTTACGTGGATGGATCCAGCCTCTGATTATTGCTTTTGTCTGTAGCCTAGAGGCTGTCAAGCAGGGTGGGAGGGCTTCCTGGGGGTGGGGGGATTTGAAAATATGGGGGAGTACTTTTTGGCTGTCACGGCAATGAGGTGCAGTGCTAAAGGCATTTCATGCCCAGGGCTTAGGGTTGTTAAGTGCCCTGCAATGCTCAGAGTAGAAGCTTGCACAGAATCCCAGGGCACCTCCTTTAGGCCACATTGTGTAGTCCTTGTCTCTCCTTTGACCTCTGACTATATCTGATGCTTACTGGGTCCACCAAAGTGTATGGAACTGGATTGGAAATTGTTGGCAATCCAATGGCTTAACCCCTGACCATTCAAATCAACTCAAATGTTCTAAATAATTAGCTTTTAGCCCTTACTCCATGGGTTCTATTTGGCCTCAGAATCATTGTTTTGCTTTCTTGATTTAGGATAGCAGAGTTAATGAGAAAAGAACCTTATTCAGTTACCTGGTTATCTGGTTGGGAGCACTTCATTCTCTGGGTACCAAGGTGTATTGATTCCATAGCCTAAAGATTGGTGAAATTGATTACCACTCTTCTGCTCACAGCTACTGCTCTGGTTTGGGCCATTTCCTCCCTTTTGGGTTTCTACCCACATCTCATTCCAGGCTCCTCTACTCCATTCTCTTATCTTTCCGCAGCACAGATGCAATTCTCTCTCCTCCTGCTCTTCCTGTTACCTCTAGGATCAAATGGAGGCCCTGGGGCTCTGGGCCTGTTCCCTGTCCAGGTTCTTCTAGAAGGCAGGACAGCCCAGTGGTTGAGGGCATGGCCTCAGGAACCAGGCTGTTGAGATCCCTTCCCTGCCCTGCCACTTCCTGATTATGTGGCACTTTGTAGTTCATTTCATCTTTCTGTGACTCAGTTTTTTTCCATCTGTAAAAGCCAGCAGCGATAATTATAATTAATTATGCCAGCAATAATTAAATGTATTCATTTTTGTTTAAAGCACATAGAAGTGTCTAAGTGGGGATTATTAAGATTTTTTTTGTGCCATACACCCCTTCTCAGAGTAATGGATTAAATGTTTAAAATGAAATATATAGCTTTATAGAGGAAACCAATTCTATTGAGAAATGATTATCAAAATGTAAAAAAAAATCCTTATCTTATAATATAGAAATATATGTGCTTTTTTGAGGTGTTAAATAATAAGATCCAATGGCAGGTCGAATATGTATTGCAGTTTCAAAGCAGCAATGGATGCAAACACTGTTTTGAGATTCTGCAACAACCCTCGTAAAAAAATGGAAATAGTAGTTGTTCCTACTGGTGATGAACCCACAGGTAGAAGCATTGCTAATACTACCGTGGTTTGTTGCCTACATTGAAGAATGAAGAACAATCTAAATTTAAGTTAGAGATTAGTAAAAAAAAGATGTAACTTTTGTTCCCCTTCAAGTTCATGGATCCTTCCTTAATTCTTGAATCCTACAAGGAGTCTGTAGATCTCAATTTAAGAACTTCTTCGGGCAGATCATGAGGTCAGGAGATCGAGACCGTCCTGGTTAACATGGTGAAACCCCATCTCTACTAAAAAGACAAAAACAAAATTACCTGGGCGTGGTGGCGGGCACCTGTAGTCTCAGCTACTCAGGAGGCTGAGGCAGAAGAATGGCGTGAACCCGGGAGGCGGAGCTTTTAGTGAGCCAAGATCACACCACTGCACTCCAGCCTGGGTGACAGAGCAAGACTCCGTCTCAAAAAAAAAAAAAAAAAAAAAAAAGAGCTTCTTCAATAGGGCATAGTAAATGGTGTCAACCAGCTAAAAGCAAGGTGGCCAATTCAGTACCAGCAGAAGCCAGGAAGGCAATATGAATGAGGAAAGTGGGCAGTTGTAAGAAAAACTCAAGCCTAAGAGGCTGAGCAAACACAAAAGGGCATGAGTTATTTAGCCTGCAGATCATTAGAAATAACTACAGATGCATTTGCTAGCCTCTTCTAGGAAAGGTGGAAGTTAAAACATTGGTAATAGTCCCTTTCTCTCCACTCTGAGTTTGAAATATTGTCAAGCACTTTAGCATTTGTTATGCCATGTCTGTACTATGGGCACCAAACTTACTCGTTCTTGGGTCTCTGAGGACTTGCACGTCTTTCCCAGTTTTGCTGTTGTACAAAAGCGGCATGTCCTTCCACGTCTTGGGCCTGGATACACATTTATCCTTCTTTCCAGATTCCTGGACCCTTCTTGACTTCACTAACTGTAACTGGACCTCTAAATCCCACTCCAGGGCCTCTCGTCCAGAAAAGTCCCTAAACGTGGCTTCTGGGGTCGGGCCAGCCTGGTGTCTCAGCGATCACAGGCCTCCATCAGAGTGAGCATCACTTCTCTTTGACCTGTGTGTTTTCCTGTTGCTTCTCTAATTAGAGTGAGGGTGTGTTTGTTGAGGATACTTAGTGTAAGGCTTTTTGAAGGAATGGATGCACTGAATGAATGAATTGAATGATTTAGATAATAAGATTTCTGTTTTTTTTTTTTTGTTTTTTTTTTTTTTGAGACGGAGTCTTTCTCTGTTGCCCAGGCTGGAGTGCAGTGGCCTGATCTGGGCTCACTGCAACCTCCACCTCCCAGGTTCAAGCAATTCTCCTGTCTCAGCCTCCCAAGTAGCTGGGATTACAGGTGCCCACCACCATGCCTGGCTAATTTTTTTTGTATTTTTAGTAGAGACGGGATTTCACCATGTTGGCCAGGCTGGTCTCAAACTCCTGACCTCAAGTGACCAGTCTGCCTCGGCCTCCCAAAGTGCTAGGATTACAGGTGTGAGCCACTGTGCCCTGCCTAGATAACATGACTTCTAAGATGCTTTTCAGTCTGAGGATGATCGTAGGGATGGATCTCTTAATATCTGACGGGCTCAGCACTTGCTCATAGACCTGGCTGGCACAATGGGGCACAGCTGTCATTTGAGGTTGATGAGTGTGAAATATGACTGTGAAATAATGATATTGCTTTCAGATTCCCACATCAATTTCCTTTGATAGTCTCCATGAGGCAAATCTTCCCCCTCTGAGGGTGGATTTGATTTTTTTAAAATAGACATACTTCATTCAGAACGGCTTCTTACGAATAAGATGAGAGAACAAGATCAGAAACACCATTTTTGGCTCCCCGAAATGAAATGGAGGCCTGTCTGTGAGGTAATAAAACTGATTTTCTCACTTGGCCTGTAAACTAGCTGGAAAGGTAATTTCCAAGGAAACATTCCAAACATGCCTTGAGCAAAAACGGCATAATTAGAAAAAGCCTCTGTCTCAGTAGCAGAGGAGGAGGACGCCTCTGAAGGACCAGCTCTCACTTGGGAGGGTTGGGTCTGGTATGTTACTTTAAAAGATCAGCCTCGTTATGTTATAAAACAAACCTAGCATTTGCAGAGGACTTAAATTTTCAAGGGACTTGAGCCTTTGTTATCTCTTCGGACCTCACAGGAGTTCTGTAAAATATTAGAGGCGAGTATTATCAGCCCCACGGACAGGTGAAGAAGTGGAAGACGAGAAACTTGATGATTTGCCAAAGGTCACAGAGCTAGAAGGAGGCAGAGCCACCCCACACTTGCCCAACCTGCATCATCAAGGAAACATACGAAGCACGCAGGCACACGCACGAGAGCCCAGGCGGGTGCTTCCGTGTCTGTCATCTCCATTGAGGTGAAAAGGGAGATGTGCCAATTACCTAAGAATCTGCCCTGTGTTGCTCTCCCCATGCTGAGTTTGTCCTGGAGATGTGACAGTGGACTGGACAGGAGCATAGATTATGAGCCAGATGGCCTGAGGTGGCATCCTAGCTCTATTGCTAACCAGCGGTGTTGCCTTGGGCATGCCACTTCCCTTCCTCATGCCTCATTTCCTCCTCTGTAAAGGACAGATAACCGCTCACAGAGTGTTGTAAGTAATGTGTTAACTATGTAAAGTATATGAACCCTGCCTGGTCCATAGCAAGAAGATGGAGCTAATTATTATTTGATTTGAACTTCTCAAAAACCATGAGATGTCTGTAGTATCATCTTCCATATTACACATGGGGAAACTGAGATTAAGTAATTTTCCCAAAGTCCCAAAACTGGGGACTAGGTTTCTGTGTGTAACAATACACCATGCTATACCCTCCTGATTAATGTGAGCTCTCAAATCATGCTCACTGATTGGCAGGTGACCATATTCATGTTAATTATTTCGTAGATACAGGCAGTAAAATATTTATTTTCCTTTAGTATGTTCCTCAGACAGTATATCTGAAAATCAAATTCTATCCTTGTATATATCACCAAGGGGTTTCTTTCTCTGGAGGCCTGTAAAATATAATCGAATCCCCAATTATACTTCACCTTGCAACACAGTCTTCAACAACAACATTCAGAACCACAGACTCGTTCTTTAATTTTGCTTGTTTCCTTCATAATTGAATCTACAGTTGATCCTCTTGAGGCTCAAGATTCCCAATTTAGAGTGTGCCCAACGCTTTCCATCTCTGTTACAAATGCCTTAAGTTTATGAGATCTCTGCTTCTCATTGTTAATGTCAATTCTGTCATTTTTCCCAATGCAGTTCATTTTTAGAAAATAACGAATGGGGCTGGGAAGGTAAGTTGGTTAAGGGGTACAAAAATACAGTTAGATAGAGAGGTATTTACTAGTACAGTAGGGAAATTATAGTTAACAATTCTTTATTGTATATTTCAAAATAACTACAAGAAAAGAATTGTAATGTTCCCAACACAAAGAAAGGCTAAATGTTTGAGGTGATGGAAATCCTAGTTATTCTGGATTTATCATTATACATTATATACAGGTATCAAAATATTACACATGCCCCCAAATACGTACAACAATTATTTAATCATTGAAAAATAGAAAAAGAAAATAATGAATTCAATACCTGTAGAAACAGTCAGATAATTAAACAATCACTGCTGTACAAATATGACAACCCTGCCAGCAGTGAGCTGCTGTCAGGCCACTCTATCATGTAATAGGTTGAATTGTTTGTCTATCACACAATTATAAAAGTCTGTGTTAAACATACTAACAAGAAACAAAAGTTTATGTCAAATTTGAAAAGAAGGAAGAAGTAAGAGTGAGTGGAGAAGAGGGAATGTTTCAGAAATGAGGAACAGTCCAGGTGAGTAAAGCAGCCTAGTTTGTCTAGCTATAAAGTATTTAGAGGCGCTTTACCAAGCAGGGACCAGCTATAAAGTTAGAGGCATGTTACTAGGCAGGGATTCCCCAAATTAACCAGCCAATTGAATTTTTCAGGACTCTGGCTTGTAAGCCATAGAAGACCCAATTTCCGGTGGAATTTAAGCATCTGTCCACTATTTTTCTTTACCTCCCTGCTCTTGGCTTCCTTGTGAACAGAGTATAGCTTTCTTCCCCCCATTGAGTTTAGGCTTTGGCAGTGAGACTTGTTTTGGCCGGTGGAATGTGGCTGTAAGTGGCTATGGACCAGTTTCAAGCTGAGGTCTTAAGAGGCAAGTGTCTACCAGCTCTTTGATACTTCCTCTTATTACCATGAGAAGAGCACATACCAAGTAGCATTGATTCCTTCAGTCTTGGTTCTGCAACAAAGTCAAATGAAAAAGACCTGAATGTAAGCATATCCTGGGGGTGAGCCAGGCCCAGCTTTCCTGAGAGTATGGTATAAACAATTTTGTGATACATTGTTTATCACAAAATTTACCACTGAAATTTGGGAATCATTTGTTATACAGTATTATCACAAGAACAACAGAAAAACCTGACTAGCTTACACAACCTAGCTTATGGGGAAAAAAATATTGGCCATGTAACAGGTCTGCTATACTGGGGACTCAAATTATGTTGCCTTTCTCTAACCATCTACCCATTCATCCATCCACTCTTCACCCCTTTATCCATTTGACTGTTTATCCATTCATTCTTCCACATATCCATCCATTTGACTATTTATCCATTCATTCTTCTAACCATCCATCCATCTGATGATTTATCTATTCATTCTTCCACCCATCCATCCATTTGATGACTTATCTACCCACTTTTCACTTCTGCCTGAACTCTGCTTTTCTTTGTGTTCTGACCTCATTCCCTTTTTTGGAGGCAAATGTTGTGCATTTGCTCAAATGTAATTTGCAGAGCACTCTTCTGATGAGATGCTCTGGGAGAAAGATTCCATAGCCTAATAGATTGAGAAAGAATATATGAATATATGTTATATTTCAGTTTTAGAGATTCATGAAGCATTTTTTTGGCAAACAAACAAAACAAAACCAAAACTATGAGAAGTTCTGCTAGTAGAAAAAACTTTAATATGATTTATTAATACTTCACGCAGTACTTCACAAGCTTATTTGATCATTGAAAACTGTTCTGGCTGTCAAAATCTTTGACAATTTTTTGATGTACACTTAGGGGGAAATGGTGGTATAGTAGGAACCGACTTGGGAGACAGGAGACTTACATTTCTTTTTCCGCTTTGCCACAAATGTACTCTGCACTGTCTCAGGGAATTCACCTCCCCTTTCTAAGTCTTAGAGCCCCATTCACAAAGGGAAAGGGTTAGATTAGTTGGCCTTTTAAGAGTCTACTGGGATCAACAATCTGTAATCCCAGCAGTTCACCATATTTCAGGAAGTAGGGGTGACACAACCTGAAAAAGGGTGGTTGGACTATTGGCCTGGGAAGCACCATATGGAACCATGGAGTCTATTCAATCAGTTCTTTAGTTAAATTTCAAACACAATGGTCCAGCACATTCAGAGTCGAGGATGGTGAGGATTCAGCAGTGGCAGGTCTAATGTATTCACCTTGCCCACAGTTATGGAGTCTTAGTCCTTGATTCCTGAGCACATTCTGTGTTTCTACCCTCCGCAGGTGGCACAGAGTATCCCTGTCTCTTATACCTTTGCTCTGTCTCCATTCCTATGAACTCCTCAGTCTTTAAACCTCCTGTATTCCATCCCACCCTCACTCCCCTCTTCCTCTTCTGCACAGCCTCTGCAATGGGATGTTGGTTATTCTCAGTGATGTTCAGGTTCAGTTCAGCTGCTGGATGGGGGAGGAGGGGGAGGAGAGTGCACTTTGAATCCTGCATTAGTCAGGATGCTTTTGGTGGCAGAAACAAAACCCTGACTCAAGCTGGCTTAAACAATAGAGAATTATTATCTCATATAGCAGGAATTCCAGGGGGCAGGCAGATCCGAGGCTGGTTGAATTAGCCTTTCAACAGTGGCATTCGGGAGTAGTTTCTCTCTATCTCTTTGCTCTGTCATCATTAGCTGGCTTCTTTCTCAGGCTCGTAACGATATGGTGGCTGCAGCTCTGAGCATCATATCTGGATGAGACAAGATAGAGAGGAAGAAGGGCTCTTTTTTTTCTTTTTTCCCTGTGGTTCTTTCCTAGAAGGAAAGACATTTCCCGCAAAAGCCCCTAAGCCACCACCCATCCTAGAAGAAAACTTCTCATGTTTCATTAGCCAGAATTGTGGGATCACCATTCCTTAACCAGTCATTGCCAGAGAGAATAGAATTCCTCTTAGATCAATCAAGCCCATCCCTGGAGCTGAAAATGAGGTCGACCACCACTGATTTTGATGTAGGAGAGAAAGAACAAAACCTGAGTTTTATCTGGAAGGAAGAAGACAGGAATGAATGCTGGGTAGACAACCAATAGTAAGATCTTAAGAGTAAAGAGGGGAAGGGAAGAGGCCTTTGGAACAATCTGGCCTCAATTAAGCCTCTCAACTGCAAATATCAACCTATTGCTAGCATTTCTTTTGTATCCTGTTGTGCTAAAAAGAAAAATGTCAGTCTCCTTCCTATTCCTGAGTTACATGATAAAAGACCTTCTCTTGCGTTAGCATCTATACATGCCAAGCTCCAGGAAAAGAGGTGGGAGAGGAAGAAAACTCAATCTGGTCTACTTTAATTATTCTATTTATGCTACCTATGTTTTCTGCATTTTAACAGTCTTGTTCACTTCCTATCTGGAATAGCCAGTCCCTTTCTGGTATGATGACCCTTAGCTCCCAATGGGAATGAGGGCATCATGGTTATTATTCCAACAAACTGTAAAATACTGTACAAAGTGACTGTGTAGTACACATCTCCAGCTTTAGGGATGAGCTCATCAGAGTTGGATTTTTACCTCTACCACTTCTTAGAAATGGAATCTTTTTTAGTCCCTCCCCTAGAAATGAAATATTGGGCACATTATTTAAACTCCTTCTTCCTCAGTTTGCTTCTCTGTAACAGAGAGATAATAATAATCATTGCCATTTCATAGAATTGTCATGAAGATGCAAGAATAGACAGTACATAAATGACTTAGTACAGCACCTCACGCAGGGTACCTAATAGCGATTTATTGTTGTCATTTTTATGATTCTAGAAATACAGTTATTATTATGAGGTCATCTAGACAAATCCCAAAGTAGTCAATGAAGCCACGCTGATGGTTCCAATGCCACTGAGAGCAGGCTTTTCTTTTCCTGGTGGTGCTCCAGCGGCACTCCCCATCCTGAGGGACACAGCACGGCTTGGCGTAAGGAGGGAAGCCAAGAACTCAGCTGACACTTATTTAGCAGTGACTCGGGCTGCCACGTATGCTTTTGGAAAATTTCTGGCTCCCCCTCCTGGAGCATATTTTGGACGCCTACTTGTCATATTGCAAAGTGGAAGTGACAAAACAATCTGGGAGCTCGCTGACAATTATTCCCTTCATGCTGAGACTTGGAATCTCTTGGCTCAGGGTGTGCTGTCAGCCTCAGAAACCCTGGCAATGAAGGCGGCCCGAGGATGAAACCCTGCCTGGAGGGATGGGTCAGAGGCAGGGCAGGGGTGGGGACCTGCACTAAGCCAGATGGACCTTTTCCCTTTGGGTCCTAGCCCAGGCATTTCAGTTTTCCCTCCGTAGAATGCAGGCGGCTTTCCAATCTTGGTGGAACAAAAAAAAAAAAAAAAAAATAAAAAAGCAACAGATAACAGTAATAGTGTACATTTATTAAGCCCTGTAATAACTTCCTAGGGCCGTTGCAACAAATTATCCCAAACATGGTGGCTTAAAATAAATTTATTCTCTCATACTGCTGGTGGCCAGAAGTCTGAAATCCAGATGTTCACAGTGCTTTGGTTCCTCCAAAGGTTGTAAGAGAGAATCCCTGCATATTCCAGTTGCTCATGGCTCCAGGCATTTCTTGGCTTGGGGCTGCATAGCGACAATCTTTGCTTCTGTCTTCATGTAGTACCCTCCTGTGTTTGCCATCTTCCTTTCTCTTCTTTTCTAAGGACATTTATCACTGGATTTAGGGTCCCTGATCATCCCCAATCGAGGATGATCTTGAGATTTTTAGCTTAATTACATCCACAAAGACCCCTTTTCCACCTAGTGACACCTTCATACATTCCGGATGGACATATATTTTGCGGGGCCCACATTCAACCCACTACAAGCCTCTTCTGGTAGCAGGTGCCAGACTTAGCACGCACGACTTAATGCCATCCACGCAGCAAGCCCGAGAGTCTGTCCTGCTTTTAATCCCCCTTTTAAGGTGAGAGATCTGAGCTGTCCTAAGCATGATCCATGATTATCCCTTTTATTCCTCACATGGCCCTATGTGATAGAAATTTCTTAACCCCCGTTTTACAGATGAAGACATTGAGGAATAGAGAAGTCACATAACTTGCCCAAAACCTAGTAAGAAACAAAGTTCAGTACTCAAGCTTAGCTCTTTCTCACACTAACAGGATAGAAAGAGATAACTCTCATTCCTTCTGCTATACCTTCTCAAAAAGATTTGCTGACTAAATAACACGTTGAAGTTAAGCCAGCCTGTTTTCATCTCCCAACGAGCTCAGGAATTTCTCCCTTCTTCTTACTTCCTGGTAGGAAGAAGGCCTAATACTGCAGCCAATATTCCAGGGTGTCCTCAGAGGCAGGGCCACAATAGCCCCAGCTGGTCCATGGTAAAAAAGCCTTGGTTTTTTACCATGTGGACCTCTCCATGTGGCAGCTCACAACATGGAAGCTGGCTTCATCAGAGCAAGCAAGGGAGAGGAAAAGAGAGAGGGCACAGAAAAGACAGAAGTCCCAGTCTTTAACTGAATCTTAGAAATGACATCCCATTGGCCGGGTGCGGTGGCTCACGCCTGTAGTCCCAGCACTTTGGGAGGCCAAGGTGGTGGATCATCTGAGGTCGGGAGTTCGAGACCACCTTGGCCAACATAGTGAAACCCCATCTCTACTAAAAAATACAAAAATTAGCTGGGCGTGGTGGTGGATGCCTATAATCCCAGCTACTCAGGAGGTTGAGGCAGGAGAATTGCTTGAACTCGGGAGGCGGAGGCTGCAGTGAGCTGAGATTGTGCCATTGGACTCCAGCCTGGGTGACAAGCAAAACTACGTCTCAAAAAAAAAAAAAAAGAAAAAGAAATGACATCCCATCAAATTTTGCCATATCCTATTCATGAAAAGCAAGTCACTAAGTCCAGCCCACACTTAAAGGGAGGCAATTATGCATGGGTGACGGTACCAGGAGGCAACGATCACTGGGAGCCACCTGAAAGCTGCCTACTGCCATTAGGTTAAGTGACATATAAGCCTAAGGTCACACAACTAGTACATAGTCAAGTTAGAATTCAAATCCGTGTCTGACTCTAAAATCCACACACAGGCCAATACCTATTGGTAGATACCAGGTATGTAACAATACCACACACAGGCCAAGATCCTTTTTACCTCATACCTGGACTCAGCAAGCCTCTGAGGAAAAAAAAAAAAAAAGGAAAAGGAAAAAAGAAAAACAGGAGAGGGAAAGGAGAATGAGGGACAGTTAGAGTAGCAGGGAGAGAAGAAAGGTGTTTTCACGATCTAATGTCCAGCATGGGGTTGATTAGTCAGATGGCATGATATAGCAATGTCAAAGGCAGAGCACCTGGCTCGGAATAGGGCTTCCATACACATAGGCCACTTCTCATCTTCCATTAAACTTTTTTATTTTTCTTTGAGATGGGGTCTCACTCTGTCGCCCAGGTTGGAGTGCAGTAGCATGATCTGGCTTACTGCAACCCCTGCCTCCTAGGCTCAAGTGATCCTCTCACTTCAGCTTCCCAAGTAGCTGGGACCACAGGTGTGTGCCAGCATGCTTGGCTAATTTTATCCATTATTGGGAGAGAGGGATGGGATTTCACCATGTTGCCCAGGCTCGTCTGCAGACATTCATGTAGCCAATGAACATATGAAGAAAAGCTTAACATCATTAATCATTAGAGAAATGCAAATCGAAACCATGAGATACCATCTCACACCAGTCAGAATGACGATTATTAAAAAGTCAAAAAACAACAGATGCTGGCGGGATTGAGGAGACAAAGAAATACTTTTAAACTGTTGGTGGGAATGTAAATTAGTTCAACCATTGTAGAAGACAATGTGACAATTCCTCAAAGATCTAGAGGCAGAAACACCCAGCAATCCCATTACTGGGTATATACCCATAGGAATATAAATCATTCCATTATAAATATACATGCGTGTGTATGTTTACTGCAGCACTATTCACAGCAGCAAAGACATGGAATCAATCCAAATGCCTACAAATGATAGACTGGATAAAGAAAATGTATTATGTATACATCATGGAATAGTATGCAGCCATAAAAGGGAATGAGATCACATCCTTTGCAGGGACATGGTTGGAGCTGGAAGCCATTATCCTCAGAGAACTAACACAGGAACAGAAAACCAAACACCTCATGTTCTTATTTACAAGTGGGAGCTGAATGATGTGAACATGTGGACACACGATGGGGAACAACACACACTGGGGCCTGTTTGTAGTGAGGGATGCTGGGGGCAGGAGAGCATCAGGAAAAATAGCTAATTGATGCTGGGCTTAATACCTAGGTGATGGGATGATCTGTGCAGTAAACCACCACAGCACACATTTACCTGTGTAACAAACCTGCATATCCTGCACATGTACCCCTGAACTTAAAATAAGTTGAAGAAAAATAACCTATCTTGGTGTGACCCTCTTAAGATAGGAAGACCTCTGTCCAGTGTTTTGAAACAATTCAAGGACAGAAAGCTTAAAAAAAAAAAAAAGGGTCCAGGCGCAGTGGCTCACGCCTGTAATCCCAGCACTTTGGGAGGCCGAGGTGGGCAGATCACGAGGTCAGGAGATTGAGACCATCTGGTTAACTGAAACCCTGTCTCTATTAAAAATACAAAAAATGAGCCAGGCGTGGTGGTGGGCGCCTGTAGTCCCAACTACTCAGGAGGCTGAGGCAGGAGAATGGCATGAACCCAGGAGGCAGAGCTTGCAGTGAGCTGAGATCGCGCCATTACACTCTAGCCTGGGCGACAGAGTGAGACTCTGTCTCAAAAAAAAAAAAAAAAGAAGCATCTTACATATTATTAAGTGAAAAAGGCAAGGCATGAAACAGTGTGTAGAGTATAATCCCATTTGTGTAAATGAAAAGATCTATGCAAGTACATATGTTGACACAAGCATATAATTTTTCTAGAAGGATACATAAGAAATTGTCAATAGTAGTTACCTATGGGTAAAAGGAGTTGGTGGAAGGTCTTTGCTTTTACATTTAAAACTACATGGTTGAGTATTTTACCATGTTCATGTATTTCTATTCTTTTACTTAAAAAATAAATAGGAAAGAAAGAAAAAAACACTTAAGCACACATTTCAGAACTATGGGGAAATAAAGTCACCATATAGTCCAAAGTTTTGGGCTGTATCCTCTCCTCCAGGACTGGAAGGGTTCTATAGGGGTTTTAGGTCAAGATGTCTTCTGATGCCAGAAATCTCACTGCAACATTCCTCTCTGTGTTACTGGATTTGTTTTGTTTTTCCAGAAAAACAGAACCAATAGGATATATGTGTATATATGTGTATGTGTGTAATAAATGAAGAGATTTATTATAAGGAATTGACTCACATGACATGGAGAAATCCCAAGATTAGCAGCCGGCAAGCTGGAGACTCAGGAGAGCCAATGATGTAAGTTCTGGTCTGGCCTTCAGTTGACTAGGTTACTTCCACCCACATTGGGAAGGGTAATCTTCTTTTCTCCATCTGCTGATTGAAATATGAATCTCAATCAGAGACACTTTAACAGATACCCCCAGAGTAATATTTAGTCAACTATCTGGGCACCCTGTGGCCCAGCAAAGTTGACGCATAAAATTAACCATCACAGCCTCCTCCCAGAAAGAAACATCTAACCTTCTCTTGGATACCTCTAGTGGAGGACACTCACCACCTTTAAATGAGCTCGTTCATTTAGAAAGCACTTGTCTTGGGCTAAAATCTGTCTCCTGTGGTTCTCTCCCATGATCTTAGTTCTATTCATAGAACACAGAGAACTCTTGCTGCTCTATAATCCATTCTTCCCCAGCAACCAAAGTCATCCTTAGAGATGTAAATTGGATCATATCCCTCTTCTGCTTAAAAAAATTAGAAAAAAATCCAAACTCTTTACAATGATCTTCCAGGCTGTATGGGACCTAACCCCTGCCAGCCTTAGGAACAATACCCCCTACCTTTGGTCCACCATCACTAAGTCTCAGCTGCACTGTCCTTTTGTTTTTTTTCCACAAGTGTGCCAAGCTCGTTCTCACCTTAGGCCTTTGCACTTGCTGTTCTATCTGCCTGACATGGCTTTTCACCAGAATAAAAGCTCTTTCTCCTCATATGGGTCTCAGCTCAAATGCTATCTTGTTGGAGGCTCTTCTCTGACCACTCAACTAAACTACCTGCTTCCTGTGGCTCCTGTCCCCAGCCACTTGCTTTTTTCATAGCATTTGTCACTATCTAATATTTTATTATTAGATAATAAATTTGTAAATTGCACAGAGCCTGAACTTGATTCTATATTCTATTGCATTGTATTTGCTTGTTTGCTCTGTGTCTCCTGTAACTAGTGAATGTAGGATGTAGGTGCTGCCAGGGCAGGGATTTTTTATGTTTCATTTTGTTTGCTGCTGTAACTCCAACATGGAGAACACATCACAGATACTTGATAGAGAGTTGGTGAATAAATGAGTAAGTGAAGTGTATCCTTTTTGTGTTAGCACTTAAGGTTTTGTAGATGGCTATCAGGTCTTCCTGGGACTCTTCTAAGCTAAACATCTCCAGGCTTCAACTACTCTCATCAGACATGGTTTGGGGTGTCCTTCACTTCTAGGGGGCCTTCACTTAGAAGTGTTTCAGTTTATTACTTTTCATATGGGGTGCTGTGAGCTGACAAAAGATTTTAGATGTGGTCTGAACCATAGCACAGAATAAACATATGTCACTATCAATTCCTTATCATCTGGCCTCATATGTAAGAGAGAGAGAGAGAATGCATGATGGCTTCTGATGTTCTGACATGTTTTGTGACTTTGAACTTGGTAATGTTAAACATTTAGCGACCAGGGACATTTTCAAAATGATGTGTGCATACATACCATGCACATACATGTGGCACACAAACACACTCCTCCACCTCTCTGTACTGGTTGTACACCACATGTGGGCACTGGCCAGGTCATGTGATGTTGAGCAAGGCTGTATCAGTCCAAGAGATGGGCACCTTTTTCTACATTATCCACAGAGTGTGAGGGCCATTTTCTACCTGGTCTACTCTATCGGGGGAACCTGCTCCCAATATTTCAACATAGGTTCTTTCTATTTTCTGTAAGTGTCAGCCGGCTGAGAAATAAAGAGAAAGAGTTCAAAGAGAGGAATTTTACAGCTGGGCCGCCAGGGGTGACATCACATATCAGTAGGACTGTGATGCCTACTTGAGCCTCAAACCAGCAAGCTTTTAATTAAGGGTTTCAAAAGGGGAGGGGGTGTAAGAACAGGGAGTAGATCACATGCTTTAAAAGGCAAAAAGGAGAACTATTGATAAGGGTCTATGTTCAGCGGTGCATGTATTGTCTTGATAAACATCTTAAACAACAGAAAACAGGGTTCGAGAGCAGAGAACCGGTCTGACCACAAATTTACCAGGGCGGAGTTTTTCCCCCATCCTAGTAAACCTGAGGGTTGTGCAGGAGACCAGGGCATATCTCAGTCCTTATCTCAACTGCCTAAGACAGACACTCCCAGAGCGGCCATTTATAGACCTCCCCCCAGGAATGCATTCCTTTCCCAGGGTATTAATATTAACATTCCTTGCTAGGAAAAGAATTTAGCGATATCATCCCTACTTGCATGTCCATTTGTAGGCTCTCTGCAAGAAGAAAAATATGGCTCTTTTTGCCTGACCCCGCAGGCAGTCAGACCTTATGTTTGTCTTCCCTTATTCCCTAAAAATCACTGTGATTCTGTTCTTTTTCAAGATGCACTGATTTCATATTGTTCAAACACACATGTTTTATAATCAGTTTGTACAGTTAACACAATTATCACGGTCGTTCTGAGGTGATGTACACCTCAGCTTATGAAGATGACAGGATTAAGAGATTAAGGTAAAGACAGGCATAAGAAATTATAAAAGTATTATTTGGGAACTGATAAATGTCCATGAAATCTTCACAATTTATGTTCCTCTGCCGCGGCTCCAGCCGGTCCTTCCATTTGGGGTCCCTGGCTTCCCACAACACTACTCAGAAATGGCACCTTTTTACAATTCATCTATTCAGAGGGGGTACTTTTCTCAAATTCTCATGATGGAGTTACCCATATTAGCAGCAACCCTGCAAATGACTTGTAGGAGAATGAGCACTAGAGGTGGAAGCAAAAGATAGATTCACATCCTATTCATCCATTCAACTAATATTTGTGGAATACCTGCAATATGCCAAGGACCATTCTGGCATCTTGGGACATAATCAGAGAAGGTCCCTGTTCTCATGAGTCTCACAGGTACATGAGGAAATATGACAAGGGAGTGATCAGATAATATGTTAGACAAGGAATTAAAATAAAGTGATCTAGTAACTAGTGGCCAATGGCTACTTCGGGGTGTGTGACCAGGGAAGGGATCTGGGAAGAGTGACAAGTATCCAAGTTCTGAATAATAGGAGGGAGTCAGGTATGAGTTCAGGCAAAAGTTCCAAGATGGGAATCAACTTAACCATGAGGAAAGAAGAAAAAGAAGGCCCCATGCTCTGGACTAGAGTGAGTGAGGAGAGGAGGAACAGGAGATGAGGTTAGAGAGGTACAACAGAGAGATCCTTTGTAAATGCCCAGAGCCTGGACTTGATTCTCAGTGTAGCAGGCCGCCATTTGCAGGCACCGAGGAGAGAGGAGTGATAAGCTTGGACCAGAAGCAATGGGAAGAAGAAAAGTGTGTCCAGGGAAGAGTTTCTGTGGAGCAGCAGGGCCAGTGCCAGTTGGGATAACCTGGTAAGTCACTTACACCCTTGGCCTCTGTCTCCTCATGGGGGATGGGTTTTTGCAACCATTAATTGAGTATTTCACACATCATCTCCTATCACCCTCAAAACAGCTCTGGTATCCAAATTTCATCCATTCTATGGGGTTTTTAGAAACATTCACATAAATGAGGTAACAAGGTGAAATAATAATACTTAGCACTTACTATATGTTACAGATAGTTTTAAGTGCTTCACACACTCTGTCAGAGAGATAATATTGTAATCAGTATCCCCATTTCACAGATGAGGAAAGTGAGCCCTAGAGAAATTAAACAATTTGAGGAAGATCACACAATTAATAAGGAGCAGAGCTAGGATTAAAACCCAGCCAATGCCAGTGAGGTACCAGGGTCTGTGTTCTTGACCACTGTGATATATCAACGATATAATCTCTCAAGTGCTGGCTACAGCACTTGGGTCCTGATAGGCATTTAATTTCTTTTTTTTTTTTTTTTGCTTGTTTTACATTATAACAGGGCACAAGAATACAACTTTGTCATCAGAATAAATTACCAGCTTGAACAAGGATGATGATATCTCCCTTGCCAGAGGCAGTGAGCTAAAAAACCTGCCTAGCCATTCTGGGCTGTCATAGTCATAGACAAAGTATGTATTCCTCAAACCCTATAATTAGGTGTGTTCTAGCACTTGTGGCAGCAATAACATAATTAGTTTGTATCCAAACTATGCAAGACAATTAGTGTTTTCTATGTGATGTTGAGTAGATTTGCTCCAAAGTCACAGCAGAGAACTGCAGGTAAAAGCTAAATTTAAACTTCCTCTTTGAGAGAAGTCAAACCTGGTAATTACTCTTTTAAATTCCCTGCTGAAAATGAGCCAACAATTCGCCTTGGTCATTAACCGTAACCAGGGCAGGATCATCCTACAGACAGTCTGCTTAGAATAGTAAAATCAGCGCTGGCTTTAGAGTCAGGAGATGTGGATTAGAGAGGATGCTCTGCTACATCCTAGCCATACAGATCTTGAACAGGCGAGAAGAATAGTGGCTGCACTAGGGGACATTGTGGTGTCCACATGTAGTGTCTGGACATGTGGCATCCAGCTTGAACCATGAGATACAAAGTTGACTGGCAGAAGAGAAAGATGGGAAGATCTCAGGTCCTGGGTGATGTTTTTGAGAAACTGAATTAACAAATTGTGAAGGTGCCTCATTGCAGACATTTCGATATCAGAGAAAATAAACCCTTTTAGTGTTTAAGCCATTTTGAAAGGGGGTTTCTGTTATTTGGAGTTGAAAGTGTGCTAACTGCTGTATTGGGCAATCATGAGATGCAATTAATACAGTGTATATAAAACAGTTTATGTATTGTCCAAGATAAAGTAATGTTAATAGAAAGTGAGAAGTCCAGCAACTTGGAATTTCTGTGTTTTTGCTGTGACATTTTTCTCTACCTAGTAGAGAATGATAAAATTTTAGTCTGTGAAGAAGAAGGTAGGAGAATAGAGTGCAGAAAAGCCAAAGATTTTAACAATCATGCAGAAATGGGGAATATGTGGTTGGGGGCTGTTATTGACCCTCTCTGAGCCCAGGACAGACATCGATAATCAAACACAAAACCCTCTCCATGGCCTGGAAACTCTCAAAGCAGAAACTGGGGCAATTGTAGGCCTCTCCTCATTCGTTTCCCATCTCTTAAGGATTATTTTCCTTCTTTGCCTGAAGTCTAGGGCTTCATAGATTTTGTCTACTAAAAAAGTTATTATATTGTTATATTATAGAATTATGTTTTGTAATTGTATAATACATTATATAATATTATAGAAAATATATACATATTATGTGTTATATAAGATACATATTATCTATATGAATTTATATACATAAATACAGTCATGAGCTGCATAATGACATTTCTGTCAATGATGGACTGCATATATGCTGATGGCCCCATAAGATTATAATGCTGTATTTTTAGTGTAACTTTTCTATATTTGATATGTTTAGATACACACATACCATTGTGTTACAGTTGCCTACGGTATTTGGAACAGTAACATGCTCTACAGGTTTGTTGCCTATGAGCAATAGTCTATACCATATAGCCTAGGTATGTAGTAGGCTCTACCATCTAGGTTTGTATAAGTACACCCTATAATGTTCACACAATGATGAAATCACCTAACGACACATTTCTCAGAACATATTCCCATCACTAAGCAATGCATGTCCGTATTTATTTATTTTTTTAATTAATTTTTTTTTTGAGGCAGGGTCTCACTCTGTTGCCCAAGCTGGAGTGCAGTGGTGTGATCACAGCTCACTGCAGCTACAACCTCCTCCTGGGCTAAAGAGATCCTCCTGCCTCAGCTTCCTGAGTAGCTGGGACCACAGGGATGTGCAACCATACCCTGCTAATTTTTAATTTTTTTGTAGAGATAGGGTCTCACTATGTCGCCCAGGCTGGTCTTGAACTCCTGGCCTCAAGCAATCCTCCTGTCTCAGCCTCCCAAAGTGCTGGGATTACAGGCGTGAGCCATCATGCCGGGCCTGCCTGTTTGTATTTAATTCTATAATATACTATAGAATTGTTATAATAATGGATTTCCTGAGGGTTTACACTTTCAAACAGATTTCTCACTGTGGAAGGAATGGCTTGGTGTTCCATTAAGGGAATTTCACACAAGCAGGGTTTGGCAGGTGGGATGTAGGACTGTTTCCTTTCTGCCTCCTGAAATCAAGTCTCATAGGTGACAAGTAATGGTGAACGCAGCCGAGCACGTTGGAGGATTCTGTGAGGTCTCAGCACAAATTCAGGCTATTAATGTTGCCTCAGAGCCTGACTTGAAACAGTATTGCCAAAACCGGGGTAGGTGAAAATGGACTCATGACACCTTCTGTTCTAATTTTACCCCCACCTCAACCCTTACAACTTATTCCCCACCTCAACCCTTACAACTTATTCCCCACCTCAACACTTACAACTTATTTCTGAATAATGCAATGTGGTTTAGAAATGAATGGCATTGGGGCTGTTATTATTGAAAGTAAGGAGATAAGAAACTTCCTTCATAATTAAGACAGAGCAGGAGATGGCTAGGGAGTGAATGATTGACTCTACCTGCTTCCCCGTCGGGTAAACTTCCTTGAGATTCATCTTCCATCTAAAAATTGAGGAGGGAGCCCTTTGTCCACTCAACCTGCCTAATGTGCTGTCACACAAAAACTTAGCCAAGGTAACACCATTTTAAATCTTTTAAATCTCTGAGGCACTACATACATAATTGAGGATAAATCATCTTCAAGTTTAAAATAGACAAGATTAAGTAATTGCACTTAGTAGATTCATTCTGCTAAGTGGCCACTGGCACTGTGGGAAATCGCAAAAGGGCTAAATTTTTTATTCCTTCCTTTCCTGTATTCACACCCCATGCAACATGGCTTTGTAGCTCCTCTATCTAAAAGGTGGAATCTTACCCCTTTGCCCTTGAATTTGGGCTGGCCTCGTGACATGGTTTGGCTGATAGAATGCAACAGAAGTGATAGTGTGCCAATTCTGAGCTCAGGCCTCAAGAGACCATGCATGCCTCCACCATAGTTTTAGAACCCTTCCAGATTCCACGTAAGCAAGCTTGGGCTAGCCTGCTGGAGGGTGATAAGCCATCCCCAGTTAGCCAGCCTCTCTCTGAGCCAGGAGCTGACCTGGTAGCTGTCTGCATCTGCAGATATATGAGTAAGCTTGATCAAGATCAGATGAATTGCCTGGCTGAACCCATGTTAAATATTATTGGCTTGGCTCGGTATGGTGGTTCAAGCCTGTAATCCCAGCACTTTGGGAGGCCAAGGCAGGTGGATCGCTGAAGCGCAGGAGTTTGAGACCAGCCTGGGCAACATGGTGAAACCTCGTCTCTACTAAAAGTACACAAATTAGCTGGGCATGATGGAACACACCTGTAGTCCCAGCTACTAAGGAGGCTGAGGTGGGAGGATCAGTTGTACCCAGGAGGTCAAGGCTGTGGTGAGCCCTGATCATGCCATTGTACTCCACCCAAGGGGAGAGAGTGAGCCCTGTCTCAAAAAAAATTGACTTGTAGAATCATAAACTAAATAAATTGTTTAAACTCACTAAGTTTTGGGGCGGTTTATCACACAGCAATAGAGACACATAGACATTTTTTCAGAAAGCTCACTGCTTTTGTTAAGATCCAAAGACTAGTTTTAAATATGTGCCTTTGCCAGCTGTGCATACAAGTTAAGATTAAACAAGAAGTCAGAAACTTGTGTTCTGTCAGCCTTTATAAGTTCTGGGATAGCCCAGAAAATTCTAGAAAGGTCATGAAAGACATCTATTTAGGAATTTGTCCTCTGGATCCACCCCCACTCCCATCTCAGTATAGTCAGTTATAATGATGAGGATGTAATGAAACAGGCATTCTTGTGCTGATGAACATGTGAATAGGCACGATCATTTTTATTCATTAAGTAAATATTTATTAAAATGCACCCTATGGTCAGGCACTGTCATAGGGGATAGAGTTATAAGATGAAAAAAATACAGCTTTGTCCTCAAGAGGCCCACAATTTAAAAAGAATAACAGACAAAAAAACTTAACTATAAATCCATCTCATACATAAAAATGAAATATTGGAAAGGAATTTGGCAATATGTATCAAAGGCTTTAAATTATTTTTACTCTTTGGTAGAATGATTTCTCTTCTGAAAATGTATTCTAAAGGAATGATCCAAAATGAGGAAAGGATCTTATTCACAAAATGTTCCTTTCTATATATAAATATAGGAGAAATATATTAATTCCCAACATCCAATTAGTTATGATATATCTATTAGCTAGAGCATTACACAGCCATGAAAATTGTTTATAAAGAGTCTGTTAAAACAAAAATGATTATGACATATGCTAAGTAAAATACAGGATACAAAAATATCTTTGTAATGGCGTTAAAACCATGTAACAAAATACTCCTAAATATTCATAGTGGTTTGGATAGATAGTGGGAAAGAAGAAAGGAAATATTTGTGATGATGTATTGTGTATTAAATATATATGTGTTTGCCTCTTAAATGCATTTAAATCTTAATTGCCACAATGACTCTTGAAGGTAGTTACAATTGCTGTGTTTTTACAGACAAGGAAAACAAGGCTCAGAGAAGTTAAATAAGTTCTCCATGCATGGTGAACTGGTAGGAGGTGGAAGTTGGAGCTGAGCTGAGGAGTATTTGACTCCAAAGAGAATGCTCTTTCTGTTAGAGCTGTCAGACACCTACTGAAGGGATTTTGATGGTTTTAATTTTCAAAATTTTCCCTTATTGGGATTTCCTAACTTTTCCATAAATTTCATACCATTAACATTTAAATGTACCTTAAAAAACAAACACAGTATTCACCTGGCATGCCTGTTGCTCAGACTCGTGAGCCTAGTCTGTAATTGCCTATGTCGGACCTTGAGGCTTTTTGGAAGGATGGCTCTATTCTCCTGAAATACCTCTTCTCCTAGCTGGAGGATGCCTAAAAATCTTTTAACAAGGGAAAAACCTTCCATTTCATAACTAGAAAGAGAATCTTCACATTCCTCAAGCCCAGTTGTGTTCTTGATGTTCCAAATCCTTGCCACAGCACTCCCATACACTTATCCATACTCCCCTCTCTAAAGGAGAATTCTCTCTATTGCATGAGGCAGCCATAGTCCATGGTTTGGTGAACTTTTCCTTGGATTGAGCTGAAACTTGTCTCCTAATTCTGTCCTTCTATGGAATGTACTTATCCTTCTTCTTCTGGACAGCCCTTGTAAGTAGGTCGAGATGGACACTATGTTTGCAGCAGCAGAGTCTCCTGGTTGCCTACCCAATATCTAGTCTATCTTTCGCCTTAAAAACAGTTCTCAAATTTTATTCAGGAGTTTGATGCTCCTAATTAAGGAATACATCTCCCAATCTCCCTAGCTAGCTGGGGCAATTTAAATTCTGGCCAAAGAGATGTAAACAAAAGCTGTTGGGTAAGAGTTCCAAGAAAATTCCTCAAAAGGGGTTGATAGCTGATCCTTTCCCCTTCCCCTCACCCCTCCTGGTTTCTTTCCATTTTCTGACTAGAATGGAGAAGTGATAGCTGGAACTACAGCAGCCACACGCGGCAACCATGAGGATAGAAGCCAGTGCCAAGGTTGGCAGAGCAGAAAGGTAGAAGGAACCTGAGTTTGTAATGTCTGGAGCAGCTATGCACACGTGCATGCTTTTTCCATTGAGATTAAAAAAAAATTATTTTTTGAAAATAAAATAGTATTATTTCTGGTCATTTTTATAAGCAGGCAAATGAAATTCTTGATGCTCAATCTTCTCTGCCTCAGCATACACATCCCTAGTTCTCTCAGGAGTCCTCCTGTGATAGAGCTCAAGTCCTCTCACCCTTTGGACATTCTCCTGGAGCTGTTCCAGTCTTCCCTGGGGTCTCTGCAGAATGATGCTCTACACTAAACACAATAAGGCTTAAAGGGCAAGTAGCTCAGGATGCAGAACTCACGTGATGCATCCAAGACTGGGCTGCCTGTCTTTTGTCTGTGCACCTTGGCCTTGTTCCCTTCCCTTTACATTGGTACTTACATTCATAGGAACAAGAGCTGACCTCCACTGAGAGCTTTCTATGTGCCAGGCACCGAAGCAAGCATTTGACATATGTTATCTAATTTAACTCTGATTTAGCATTTCTCCTGGTATGCCTGACATCCCCATTAGTCTGTGTGTCCTTGGGGAACAGCAACCTTACCTTGTTCTTTGCTATTTTGCCAGTGCTTGGCATAAGGCAGTTGTGTGTTAAATGCATGTTGAACAGAAATGAATTAATAGCAAGGTGAACTTGGAATCAGGCAGCCTGCTTTTAAATCCAGCTTTACCACTCACTGGCTTAACCCCTTAAGACACCTAATCTCTCTGAGCCTAATGTGAAGAGGGGATAATGAAACCGAACCTGCAGAGCTGTTACGCTGATCAGAGGAACCCGTGTGTGAAAGGGCGAACATATGTCTGATGAAGAGCAGGCTTTTGGTATGGGGAGGAAGTGAAAACCCAGGCGTGTTTGTCCCAAAAAGTGGGAGGTAGCAGAGAGAAGAGTACCAGAGAGAGGTTGGGAAAAGCAGGAGAAGGCAGGAGGCCTGGCAGCAGGTCTCAATCTATGTCACCTTTCTCCTTTCAGCTGGCCCCGCCTCCAGGTGTCTGTCCTGCAAGGCCAAGGGGTCCAGGGGAGGCCAGGAAAAGAGGCAATGCTTGTTGCCTACAACCATCGGGATCTCTGACCTGGACGAGAAATGCCTTCACATGCATGAGTCCGTGTTCACAGAGACGATGAAGATAACATGTAAGAGCAGACTTTAGCAGAGATGACAAGGAGCAAATGAAAGGCTTATTTCTATCCCGTAATTCAGCAAGTCCTCCCTGACAGTCCCTGCCAAGGTCTTCCCTTCCACACTGTAAGCTCCTCAAGGGCAATGGACTGTGTTTCTGTTTGTCAGATGTATATTGGGATCCAGCACCGTGACTGGAACATAATTGGTGCTTGATAAATACTTCTTAAAACACATAGTTGTATGACCCCAATCAGTCCATGGGGATGGATGGTGTAAATTCAACTCAACAGCTTAATTGAATGTGAAGAGTCAATATAATTATGAGTAAACAACTGTTCTTCTTCAGATATTAAGGTAAAGGGGTAAGTGGGTGGGGGAAAGAACTCATAGTCACTGAAATTTTACTATATAGCAGGCAGTTTACTAGGTGTTTTATTATTGATTATTTCACTTATATACCAATTTATATACAATACCATTATCTAATTTTTACAGATAAGGAAACTGGTGCTTTGAAGGAGTAAGCAGTCTGACCAAGCTCAAATAGAGTCATCTGATTCCAATGTCCATAACCATGTAATTGGTGTTTACTTCAACTATTCTGAACTAGCAAACTAGCTCCCTCCTGCCATTTCTTCTCAGACCCAGTTCTGTTCTTCTTCCTATCAACTCAAATATTAGAGGTCCCAGCATAACTTGCACCTGAGCCTGACCAAATATTAACAAAAACATCAACTCCCAAAACTTATTGATTTATTTCAATTTTGCAAATATCTGTATAATAATGGTAATGACCATTAGTTGATTTTCTACTATATAGCAAGAACTTTACACACTAGCTAGCATCTTGGATTCTTTATAAAACTTTGTTATAAGAGTACTAGTCTCCCTATTTAACAGATAAGGAAATTGAAGCTCAGAGAGGTTAAGTCTTGACCAAGATCACACAGCCTCAGCCTTGCACAAACTCCCATACCTATGCTTTTCTTGCATTACCGTTCTGCTTGTGTTAAACCCTGCTGGTATAAAAAGGTAAGCAAGGTAGTCCCTATCTCCATGGATCTTACTCTCACATTGGGACACAAGCTGAGCCCCTGCTTCTGTGTACTGCCTCTTCTGCCTCATTCTCTTATAGCAACCCTGGGATGACCGGGGGTCTTCTCACCTCTACTCCCCAAACTTCCCATCCTCCAGGCCCCTCTCCCCCTAAATTCCAGCCCTGACATTTATTCATCATATGGTCATGGGATAAGCCACTTCATTTTTGTTAGGCTCATTCTCTTCATCTGTAATTAGGGGCATTGATATCTACCTGACAGGTTTTGAGGTGTGTCAGGTTGTATTTTTCAAAGATGCCAGCACCTACATATACCATGCCATGTGCTTGTCCTATGATGTGAATTTGACACTCCTTCATTGAAAGGTGAGGTCCATGTTTCCCTTCCTTGAACTTTACTGGACATACGGGACTTGTTGACCAAACAGACTGTGACAGAACTGACTGTGTGGCTTTTGAGGCTAGGTCATAAAAGGCAATACAACTTCTGCCTGGGACTTTGTCTTGGGATATGCACCCGGCACCTCAGTAGCCCTGAGATCACCTGTAGGAAGTCCTGAAGCCACAAGTAAGAGACAGCATGAGGAGAAATCACATAGAAATATGGAGGGACATGGGAAGAGTCCTTGGCTGTTTGAGTCTTCCCAGTCCAGGAGACAAGTGAGAAAAAGAGCTTTCAGAAGATTCCAGTCCCAGCTTTCAAGCTGTCCAGCTGACACCAAACGGAACAGAGATAACTGTTTCTGCTGAATCCTGCTCCATACTACATATTCAGCCGCAAATTGTTGTTGTTTGAAGCCACTAAGTTTTGGGGTGGTACCTAGCACAGACAGAGCATTAACTGATATGAAGCAATTAATTCCTAAGCAATTCCTACTGTGCTTAGGAAGTTGGTGCTAAGGTCATCTGAGTAAGTCAGGATTAGAACAGCCTCAGGATCATGAAACTCAGGCTTCTGGTTTTTAGAAATCAATATCAGAGTTTTTCAAGTTACTTAACTCCTAGGAGGTAGGTTTTAACCAACTTCAAGAGCTACGAGCTCACAGGAAGGTAAAACCCGTTTAAAACACACTATAATTTTCATGAGACTATTAAAAAAATTGAGCATATGCTTAATGTTTTATGGCTTCCAAAAACAATACAAAAGTCTTTCAAATGAATCCGTGTGTGTGTGTGTGTGTGTGTGTGTGTGTGTGTGTGTGTGTGTAAGAACTGTCTAGAATCCAAATCCTTCCCTAACTTAGTTAACCTAAGGAAAATTATTTTGTTCCATTGAACCCCGAGGCAAAGAAAATTGCTAGGCTAGAGAAATGGCCTCTGGTCACAGGCTTTGAAAAGTAACACCAGCCAGAGATTATTGAGTAAATTAGGGCAGTATTTTCCCCTCAGTGACTTGCCTGTCTTTCCATCTAGGTCTTGGTTATATAGAATGTACAGTTGACTTCAGATTTGATGAGTCCTAAGTGTCACGGAGTGATGAGTATACACTGGAAGTCAAGAAGCTAAACAGTTGGATGTGCTCAGAGCATCAAGGAATTGTTAGAACTAGAAGGATATTCAGGGATCCTATAGTTAAAGCCTTTTGTTTCTATAGGGGAGAAGTTGGAAGCCATGTGAATGAATGTGATATACAGAGCTGGTTACAGAGCAGAGAGGGGAACTGAGGAAGTCTGACTTTTCTGAGACACCTGGCAGCCTACCAGTTGCCATTACTCTTTTCCAACTTGCCTTCAAAGTATTTAAATCCCGCCAGAAAGCTGTAAGCAGATCTTAAATGTTCTCACCATAAAATGGAGCCAAAAACAAACAAAAAACAGTGACTGGCCGGGTGAGATGGCTCACGCCTGTAATCCCAGCACTTTGGGAGGCTGAGGTGGGTGAATCATGAGGTCAGGCGTTCGAGACCAGCCTGGCCAACAGAGTGAAACCCCGTCTCTACTAAAAATACAAAAAATTAGCTGGGTGTGGTGTGGGTGCCTGTAATCCCAGCTACTTGGGAGGCTGAGGCAGGAGAATCGCTTGAACCTGGGAGGGGGAGGCAGTGAGCTGAGATCATGCTATTGTACTCCAGCCCAGGTGACAGTGTGAGACTCTGTCTCAAACAAAACAAAATAAAACAAAACGACAACAACAACAACAAAAACAAAAAACAGTGACTATGGGATGTGATAGCTGTGTTAACTAACTACTTGATTGTGGTAATCATTTCACAATATATATCAAATCATCATGGTGTATAACTTAAACTTACACGATGTTATTTGTCCATTATCCTTTAACAAAACTGAGGAAGAAAAAGGACTAAAGTAAAGAGTCAATGAGGCAGAGAAATTTTTGCAATGTTTTGTGAAATTCAAAGTCATTCAGAATATCCATTTCACTTACTTAACAATTTTTTTGTGGTGATACATTTGAAATTTACTCTCAGGTTTGATCATTCTACATTGTACATATATATCAAAACAACACATTGTACTCCACAAATGTAATACAATTATGATTTTTCAATTAAAAATAATATTTTTACTTAAAAAGTCATCCTGCAGCCTGGAGGGGTTGATTTGTAAAGCCTGGGTTTCAAATACAGGAGGTGGATAGGGTGGAGTGTGAGTGTGTGTGTGTGTGTGTGTGTGTGTGTGTGTGTGTGTGTGGGTGTGGGTGGAAGGTAGACTGGATGGTCAGATATGGATATGATCAATGTTAAAGCTGACAACTGAAAGATGAGCTGTTGTTTGCCAAGCAGGGGAGTAGAATGGCGGTCTTTTTGGCACTGGTAGCTACTCATGACTTGCTGGAGTGGAGAGTGTGGTAGAGGTCTCACTGAGAAAACGAGCAAGGGGCAGTTCTGTCCCCTGCTGATCTTTGCTGGCTCAGGTTCCATTTTGGTCACATCCTTCTATCAGAGATAAATATTGATTGATGAGTTCTTAACTTTTCTCTTTGCTGTTGTTTAAATCTCAATTTCCAAAGTATAGGATTGTTCTGCTCCAATCTTTAGCCTTTAGAACCCATGTTCCTTGAGCTCTGGTTAGCTGATCTGCCAACCAATGAGGACAAATTCCAGAAACTCCTTAGGCTCAACCCTTCTTTAAAAATTTCTGCCATGTACTAATTTTTTTCTGTGACCTTGCAACCAACTTAATGTCTGTGGGTATATGACTGTGTGTGTGTGTGTGTGTGTGTGTGTGTGCGTGCGTGCAGGGTGTTTGCAGGGTGGGAGAAGGATATATCTTTGTCACTTTCTCCCTACGATATAATAGGTACAATTCCTCAACAATAACACAACATTTCTTTGATTTTAAGACATATTAGTAAGACACATCATCATTTTATTAACCTTTTTTTAGAGGTAAAAATACATACAATGCACTGTTGCATATGCTTTTTAATACTAAATCTCATCTAGATTCCAAAGCTTTAAAATGGCCTAGCTGGGTCGGGGCGGTGGCTCATGCCTGTCATCCCAGCACTTTGGGAGGCCAAGGCTGGTGGATCATTTGAGGCCAGGAGTTTGAGACCAGCCTGGCCAACACAGTAAAAACCTGCTTCTGCTTAAAATACAAAAAAAAAAAATAAGCCAGTGGGATGCGGCTGTAATTCCAGCTACTCAGGAGGCGGAGGCATGAGAATCGCTTGAACCCAGGAGGCACAGGTTGTAATGAGCCGAGATCACGCCACTGCACTCCAGTTTGGGTGACAGAGTGAGACCTCATATCAAAAAAAAAAAAAAAAAAAAAGTCTAGTTGAGGAAAATTTGTAATATGATCAGGTGAAATTTTATGAACACTTATTGTTTGCCCAGCTAGATTAGCTAGCTAGCCCCAAAAGATGTCCATGTCTTAGTTCCTGGAACCTGTGAGTTAGTTTTACCTTATATGGGGGCAAAAAGGATCTTGGCAGATGTGATTAAGTTAAAGATGTTGAGATGGGGAGATTATCTTTGATAATTTGGGTGAATGCTAAGTGCAGTCACATATATCATTACAAGAGGGAGGTAGAGGGAGATTTTACACACAGAGGGGAAGGCACTATGATCATAAAGGCAGAGAGCAAGGTTTGAAGATGTTGGCCTTGAAAATTGAAGGAATGTGGCCACAAGCCAAGGAATGCTGGCAGCCACCAGAAGCCAAAACAGGCCAGGGACGAATTCTCCCCTAGAGCCTCTGGAGAGAGCACAGCCCTGCAGACACCTCCATTTTGGCCCAGTGATATGGATTTCAGACTTCTAGGACTGTAAGAAAATACATTTCTGTTGTTTAAAACCAAGTTTGTGGTAATTTGTAATTTGTTACAGCAGCCACAGGAAACTAATACAGCAGCCCTGTGCTAAGCATCTGACATACACACATCATCTTATTTAAACCTTAGAACAGTCCTTGTTAGCAGTGGCAGCATATATATACGCATTGTTCTAGGTGCTGAAGATATATAGATGAATGAAACAGACAATTTCTGCCCTTATTGAGTTACAAATAGACAAGACGACAGAGTATATGCTCTGAAGCTATATATTTAAGAGACATGCAGGATAAAAGAAAAGTAGGTCATGGAGCAGGTATAATTTTTGGCCAGGGAATGTCTCTTTCTGAGGAGATGATGTTGCTCAGAGACCTGAAGAAAGTGAGGGAATGAGTGTGGAAAGATCTGGGGGAAGGATGTCCTGGCCAGAGGGAACAGCAAACATGAAGGCTTTAAAGCAGGAACAGACTTGGAGCATTTGACAGCAGGAAGAATGCCGGTGTGGGGGAGCCGAGTGGGCAAAGTGGCCTCACAGGTGATGAGTTTGGTGCAGGAAACTGCCTATTGCATGGCAGTAGTGACACCATCTTGAAGAGAAACCACCGTGATCACTGACGGTTGACTCCCACGTACCAAGGTGTTCTGCATTAAGCTCTTTAAACAATGCCAGTAGCAGATAACCCTTCATAAATATGCTTATCTAAGCTCCCCAGTGGTCACAAGTTGTGGCAAGAAAGTCTGAAGATGTGACCAGCTGCATGTTTTACCCTAAAGTCTTGCTATATAAAGAATACTTTCTGGAGGGCGGGTGCAAGTATCCACCATTTTGTGGCCCTCCAAGGCTTCGGTTCTGTATATAAGTCCTTAGTAGATATTTCTTCCGAGGAACTGGATTTGTTAGCCTCTTTCCTCGGCCTCTCAGCTCCCTTGAGGGTAGGCTTGCATAGGCCTGCCCACCACAGAACAGTCGGAGAAAGGCACAGAGTCAAGTCCTGTGGGGCACAGTGTAGACCCTGGAGGAAAGTTGGAACTTGCTGCGAGAATAATGGGAAGCCCTAGGAGGGTTTTGTGCAGGCGATTTGTAAGCTGGAGAGCTCTTTAGGGTAAGGACTATGTCTTCTTATGTTCTCCCACAGCTGAGGTGAGCTCACAGTCCAAAAAAGCAAGATGCACCCTGAAATCTATGATGGCAGAAGGCGAGAAGAAAGAAGGGGAAGGGTACTGGGACTGCGTGAAGCTGCTCTCTGGCCCCTATTCCAGCTTTTCCGCTCCTGACCTCATTTTTTCCTCATTTTACTGCCGTGACTAAGCAGCGAAGAAATGATATCTTCTATTTTAAGACAGGAAACCGAAGCAAAGAGAGGTTGACTCACTTGGCCAAGGTCCCTGCACTGATTATGACAGGGCCCAGATGGGGACCTAGGCTTCCCGACCCCTGGCTCAAGGCTCTCTGAAATACCCAGAGTCCTCCTAAGGGAAGCTGCCTCCACCCTTCCTGACTCTGAAAGCAGCAATCCACAGGGGTTGGAAGGCCCCTAGGTCTGGATGTTCCAACCAGAGAAGCCACTGTAAACCACTTCTGAGCAAACAGAAATGAACACTCTCAGGGACCTGGCAGACTAAATAAAGAGTGTTACCACTGGGTATCACCCACAGCGGAACCATCTGCTTCACAGAGCAGCCGAGAAAGATGTTCACGTGGCACCGTGCAGTGCTTGTTAGGAGTTTCTGCGGAAGCCCGCTGGGAGACCACCGCTCTGCTCACATGTGGAGGCTGCTAGATTCATACCACAGCAGAAACGAATCTAGGTCCAAGACCTCAGGTGTGACCAGAAATGTAACTTTTTTTTTTTTTTCTCCTACAAGGGACTCTAGTTTTGATTTCAAGTTGCTGCTAGGTTTAAGTGCAGAAAAGATAATTTCAGTCCACTTGGGCGTTGCTGTCTGGGGATGCATCTGAGCTCTGGGAGTTTTGTGGAGGAGGCACCTGGAGCCCGGTGGTGTCCTGGCTGCAGGCTGACATTCCCCCTAGAGCCTCAGTCATTTGTCCATTGCTCTGTCCTCTCTCGTGTCTGACCATGAGTCAGTCCTCCTTTGACCCTCTGGATGGGAGAATATTCTACCATTCCCTGACCCACTGTAGTGTAAACGAAACACCATTTCTGGTCTAATTCTGCTGTTCTCACAACAGACTGAGGCATGGGGGGCCCTGTGAGGCTGCCATAAGGTATATCTAGATCTACCGTACAGGCATGTCTTCTGGTCCCACGCCATTCTGAGCTTGGGCTTGGGGACAGGCTTGTGGCTCCACAGACTCTGCCTTCTCTTGACTTCTCTAAACCTATTTGCGGGGGCTCACCCACTCCCTGGACTCCTGGCTGGGATGGGGATGGGATCCACATCTCCTTATTTCTTCTGTCTTTAACCTGGTCCAGGCAAGCTTCTTGTGGTCTCAGAAAACCCAAAGCATAATAGTCCATCCTCACTACACTTTCTTCTAACTCTCTTGTTTCGAGAGTTAAGGCTTTAAAAACGGAAAACCCAAAATCGTATCTTCTGTTCTGGCCGCATTCCTCTGGGTCATTTCTTCCTTAAGCCAAGGAACACTGAATGTTGTGCCTGCTGCTTAAATGCAGGGAAAGGAACACGGGGTACAAGGAAATATGAGGACCACAATATAAAACAAAATAAAACCATGTTAATCTTCCAAGATACTAACTCTTCCACTCCATTATATGCCAGTGTTGGAAACATCTGCTTTGAAGTCAGGCAACCTGGTTTGACTCCTAACTGCAAGGCGCTTCGTTTATCAACTGGGACACACACATAAACCTCTGGCTCTCATCTATAAAATGGAAGTAATTATTCCCCTGTGATGAATTATTTTGAGAATTATAAAAGGCAATGTCTGTTAAGCTATTGATACACTGCTGGGTCATTATCATTACCATCACACCATCTGACCAGGTTTCCAGTTTGTTGAAAGTCTTTGGTGTTTATAATTTCTATTACCTATATTGTTCATACCCTCTTGCTAACTGTGGCTTTGCTTAGTTTTCTGGCCCCTTTCCCATCACTTCCTCCCCTGTCTTCTGAGTTGGATGTTGTTATTTAGATGAGATCATTCACACCTCTGGATGTTTGCTCACTCCACCTGGATCATCTTTCTGCCTCTCTGGGTACCTCTCCAAGGGCCCCCTTCCTGTGTCCTACCAGCATCCACTCACCACGGCAGGTCCACTCCCTTTGTGCTTAGCTAAAATGTCATCTCTCTGGAGAAGCCTTCATGATCCTCGTTGGATGCTTCCATAGTGTTCTGGACAATCTTATGCTAAGATTCTTTTCATATTGTACCATCATGTTTTTAATCCTGGGCCTGACACATGGGAGACACTTGGTAAGGTATACCTTTGTCGACTTACACAAATGATACAATCTGCGGCATATCTGGCTGTATCCGTGAAAAACATATTTTACACCAGGCTCTATTCAGGTTGGTTCCCAAACACGAGGGATTAGATTTCTGATTCTCATTTTTTCCTTTTTATAGGTTGTGGTTTAAAATTAAGAATCTTTTATTTTAATTTTTAAAACCATTACAGTTTATTCTTGATTCCTACCATTGCTTTTTAAAATTCTTCTTTTTTATTTAGACTCTTTTTTTTTTCTTTTGGTATAGAGACGAGGCCTCACTATGTTGCCCAGGCTGATCTCAAACTCCTGAGTTTAAGTGATCCTTCCACCTCGGCCTCCCAAAGTGCTGAGATTACAGGCATAAGCCACCATACCTGGCATGATTCCTACCATTGCTTTTTGCTTTCTCCATAAATCATTTCTCTCCTCCTCACTGAGAGCGCGGCTCCGGAATTAGCAGGCTGCTCAGTCACTTTATCATGTAACACCCAGCTACAAAGCAAATCAAATACTGCTGGCAGGTTCTGCTTGATGAGAAAATATTTATTATGTTGGAGCTCTGGTTTGGAAGCCAGTTATCACTTACTAGCTGTGTTTTAATATTGTGTTGTTTTTCCATTATTGCTTTAGCTGCTGGAAGGAAATCCCAATGGCCTCAGATACTGCCACCTGGCGGTGAAGTGAAATGATAACCAGTTTTTGAGCAAAAGTAGGTTACTGAAGGTCAAACATGCTTGCTGGAGAATTGCAAAGAGGGGAAGCACCATACCATTTTTGTAATGCTTGTGCCATGCCAGTAACTTTGTGAGTCACGCACCAGCTCATCTAATCCCCACTATGGCTCTACAAGGGAGATGCTATGGTCTCATTTCACAGATCGGGAACTGGAGGCTCTGAGAAATTGACTTGCAAGAGGGCTAAGGTTTGGGAGATTCACACCTGGAAGCATCTGACCCCAAAACCCATGCTCTTTCTACCATTCCTGATGATCTCCTATAGATAGAGCCAATCATCTACCATCTGGAAAATTTAGATTCACCTCAAATCTTTTCCCCTTTGGAGACATAGGGGTAAATGAATGGTCAGTAGATTCAGATATCAGCTAAGATGCTCTTTAGAAGAGAAATTAGGTTGGTTTCCTAAAGGGATGGGGCCAGTAGGACAAATGGGTAGCAGCTACATAAAGAAAAACTTCGACGCAGGCAGATCATGAGGTCAGGAGTTCAAGACCAGCCTGGCCAACATGGTGAAGCCCCGTCTCTACCAAAGATACAAAAAATTAGCAGGGGGTGGTGGCATGTGCCTGCAATCCCAGCTACTTGGGAGGCTGAGGCAGGAGAATCGCTTGAACCCAGGAGGCGGGGGTTACAGTGAACCAAGATCACGCCATTGCACTCCAGCCTGGGTGACAGGGCAAGACTCCATCTCAAAAAAAACACAAAAAACAAAAAACAAAAAACAAAAAACACTTCGGCCGGGCGCGGTGGCTCACGCCTGTAATCCCAGCACTTTGGGAGGCCGAGGCGGGCGGATCACGAGGTCAGGAGATCGAGACCATCCCGGCTAAAACGGTGAAACCCCGTCTCTACTAAAAAATACAAAAAATTAGCCGGGCGTAGTGGCGGGCGCCTGTAGTCCCAGCTACTTGGGAGGCTGAGGCAGGAGAATGGCGTGAACCCGGGAGGCGGAGCTTGCAGTAAGCCGAGATCCCGCCACTGCACTCCAGCCTGGGCGACAGAGCGAGACTCCGTCTCAAAAAAAAAAACAAAAAACAAACAAACAAACAAAAAACACTTCAGCTCAACATAAATAATTCTAATATCTTAGATCATGCTTTTTTGGGGTGCTTCTTTGACTCACATATCACTTATTCTTCATATTACAATAACTGGAGTGTGCTGTGTCTCTCTCACTACCACAAGTCCTCCTTGAGGGAGAAGCCATGAATGACCCTTCTCTGTATCTCAGGATCTAGGACAGAGGCTGGTGTATCAGGTATAAAATAGCATGTCTGGTGAATGAAGGAATGGGTCAAGCAGTTAGAGATGTGCAAAACTGTCTGGGCTTCCTTGGGAGAGGTGAGTATCCTTCCCTGAGAGGGGGATACATTGAGGGTGGAGGACCACCTGTTAGAGATGCTATTAAGGGTCCTCTAGCTTCAGAGTGTCAAGGTGAAGGTCTCTGTAGCAGATCTTCCTTACTAGTGAGCAGTGATGAGTTCCAAGTGTGCTGGGACGTTGATCTCTGAACTTGAGGGGCAGCCAGGAATATGCTGGGGTGGCAGTGCTCCCTGGACACAATGCCTTTGGCCATGAGCAGCTCCACCTGTCTACTTCAGTGTTCTAGGATATGAGAAGCATACACTGATCCAAGGCGCTTCTACGTCTGAGAAGCTAGGGTTCCATATATCCATGCTTTCTAATCCTTCTCATATCATGTCATAGTCCAGACACACTTTTCTGGAGACTCTACTGCCAGCCTTCCAGATGAGGGAGGAGTCTGTAATGCAGGGACACTTATCTGAATCATTGAATTTGAAAGAGATTTTTGGATTTGCTCTAAAATGTCTAGGGACACAGTGTGGACAGAAGGAGTGCATAGAATTGCTTCATTCCATGTTGATCCATACGGCTGACTGTGCTGTGTGCTCATAAACTCTTCCTTTACGCTGCCCTCTAGCCATGATCTTCCCATCCCTCTCCCTGGGGTTGAGAGAGGAGTACATTTCCCTTTTGCATTGATGGACTTGGCACTTTGGTTAGTGGCGTGTGAGTGGACATAATGCAAGCAGAGGCCTGTGCAGTTTGGCTTGGCTTCTTGCATTTTCCAAGAGAAGAGCAAGGCTCAGGTGGCAGCTTGCCCCAGAATGAGAGATGCACGGAACAGACCTGAACTTAACTATAGCCCAAAGCAGCTGCTTGAACTGGTACAGCTGACTTGTAAACCTGCAAGGGAGGAAAATATTTTATTGTTGTAGGCCCCTGAAATTTTGGCATTAAAAACATGCAGTATTGTACCAGGGCTAACTAATACACTCTAGAAGATAGAATTAGAACCAATGAATGGAAGCTCTAGAGAGGCAGACTAAATGAGTCGTCTTTAATATATTCTCCAAATTCTTGTCTACATAAGGAATATTTATATTCTCTATAAAGGCACTTAGAGGAGACCTTAATTTTATTGAACATATTCATTGATTTGAATTTGGAGATTTGGGAACTGGAGCTGTAGACTGGGAGGATTGCTCTATACAACAGAGGATTCAGGATATGTACTTCCATGTGCAACTAGAGTGGCAGGGAGAGAGGGGAGAGGAAACAGATAAAACAAGAAAAGGCAGAAAAGCATGACTGATATAGTGGAAGGTGATTGCTATGGACTGAATTTTATATCCCTGAAATTCACATGTTGAAGCCCTGAACCCCAATGTGACTCTTTGGAGATAGGGCCCTAGGAAGATAATTAAGGTTAATGAGGTCATATGGGTGGGGTCTCGATCTGATAGAATTGGTGGCTTTATAAAAAGAAGGTGAGAGAGAAAGATTTTTCTCTGTCTTTTCCTGCACGTGTTCAGAGGTAAGACCATAAAAGGACAAAGCAAGAAGGGGGCTGTCTGCAAGCCAGGAAAGAGCCCTCACCAGGAACTGAACCAGCTGGCACCTTGAGCTGGCACCAGCATCTAGAACTATGAGGAATACATTTCTGTTGTTTATGTCACCCATCCTGTGGTATATTGTTCTGGCAGCCAAAGTAGCTTAATACAGTGGTGTACTCCTGAATCTATCTTGTCACGTGAGCCACAAATATTCAGTAGATTTAATTAATATTTAATTCATTATTGAAGTTAATATTAAATTTACTTAATTTTTATTTATTTAAAAATTAATAACATTTAATATAATTTAAGTGAACTCTCAAATGTCTACTGGAAGTATGTATTTTATGGAAACAGGATAAGAAGTTGAGTTTGAGTGAGATGATCCAAAACAGTGATAGCAAATGCAGATGTAGGCACTGACTAAAGGGAGTCAGGAGAGGAAGCTCTGGAAAGACACAGAAACCATAAAGAGGGTTCTGGACTTCCAGAGACTATAGAAAGGGGATTTTAGCTAATTACACATAAATCTCTTAGCATCCAGTTGTTATCTGGGTTACTAATAAAATTTCAGGTTACAGATCCTTTCTGAGTTATGGACTGCATAGACCCTCCCTGGAAGTTTTGGTCAGGATTCTTGTGCCCAGATTAGGAAAATCATAGAAGAAACATCCAGAATGTTTTTATGTGGCTTTTATCTTTCTGTCTGGATATGATGTAATTTATATAGTGTTTTAGAAAAACAATAATGTAAGGTGTTTGTGTTACTATTATCAAGCAGAATAATAATTAATAAGAAATAGAATAAAGGGAGCCCAGGCAGTATCTACTGTGGGGCAGGCATTCCAACGCATTTGGGCAGATCAGGCTGACAGGGGTGGAGGTGGTGGGGGCATTGCAAGTCTATTTGTTTGAGGGGCTGAGAAGCCTCCTGGAGAAGAACTGAGTCTAATGGAAGCAGAAACTGAACAGGAAGAAGAAACTGAGGAGAAACTCCGACTTGTAAAAAAGCTCTAGATAATGGATGGGAGGGCCCACTTCAAAATCAATATGGCTGTGTGTCTAGAGTCTATTTCTAGGGTATGGTCTCGGCCTGCCATCATTGCCTTGTGTCTGAGGAGTCTTGGGGGAGTGGTAGGGGGACAAATGCAGTGTAAGTCAAAAAATGGAAAAATGGTTTTCACTGAACTCATAGAGTAGGTGAGCTGCTTTGTTGCTCACAGACCAGAGAAATGCAAAAGGATTATGTCCTCTGCATCCCTATAAATGACCCTGGTAGGACAGGTGATAGTTAAGAGTCAGAATCCAGAGTTCAGTTATCTTGGCTTTGAATTCAAGTGTTGGCATGTTTTAGCTGCATGATCCTGGATAATTCGCTTAACTTTTCACAGCCTCGGTTTCCTCTCTTGTAAAATGTGGATCATTAGAGTTTCTCGTCATAGAATCTTAAGAGTTAATACTTCATCACAAAGCCAGGAATAAGATGAACCAGCAATTTGTGCTAGCTGCTTGGAGAAGCTCTGGCACGTCTGGGGTGCAGAGGTTTAAGTGTGGTGGTTGGGGACATCTGCAGGGGAAGCTGATGACCAGAGGTGATGAAAGAGGGTGATAGAGAAGTGTCCGGTGGTGGCAGAAGTCCTCAGGAAGCAGCTTCAGTCACTCTTATCAGAGAAAAAGGATAATGCCCTTGGCGGGGCAGCCTTGTTCTCTTGGGGTCTCTGTAGCAGCAGCTGTGGTGTGGGACAGTGGTAGACATGTGTCCTTACCCACAGCCATTGTCCCCTTCTACCTTACTTAACAGAAGATAGTTTGATTTGGATATTGGCAGCAGGCTTAGAAGAGGAGGTCTCAGTGCACAGCCTAGAGAATGAGTCTTGCTTAATCTAGCCAATTATGTTAATTCCATCCCCCTTTGAGAATAACTGGTTAAGGGATGATAGATGACTTGTCTTGGCCAAAGAAATACAAGGAAAATGTTTATGAGGGGAGTGGCTTCTGGAAGGAGTTTTCCTGTTCTCTAAAGAGACAAGTGGGGAGAAAATGCAAATGCACCTCAAGTGGTTTGTAGACACAACCCTGGAGATTTAAGAAACAGGAGCCAGAGGGGAAGATGAAGGAAAGCCTCGTGGAAGTGGAGAGGGCTGTTCATAGGTTCATGTGACAGTCGCTTTTTAAACACACGACTGAAAGAACGCCCCAACTAAAATGTCTGTGCAGCACGTCTAGGGAAACAGTGTAAATAGTTGATTCTATGTTTACATAATCAGGATGTTAATGAAAATTATACAATTTTGTGTAAAAATTGTATACAATTTTGGTATAGTGCAGATTTCATTCTTTCTGTAACTTTAAAATTATTTTTCTTTGAGCACTATGGCAGACATGATCTGGTTGTCTTTCCAGCAGCAATTCCCTGCTTCCCACTGCACCACACATTTCCCAGTCAAGGAGTTTGGGTGCGATGGGCACAGGGCCAGTTTGAATAGTAGTTACACGTGTGGGCTCCCTAGTGAGAATGCATGGGTTAGAATCTCAGCTCTACCACTTACCACTGTGTAAACATAAGCACCTGAGTTGACCTTACTCAGCCATTCCTCTGTTATGAAATGGAGATCATGGTAAAAGCTGGCTCATAAGATTGATGTCAGGATCAAGTGACTCTGTAGAATTATTAGGACACTATTTGGCATATGCTAAGTATTCAGCAAATTTATCCATTTTTCCTGACTTTCATCTCCATCTCTTGGAGTGAGCCCTGATTGATATACACTGTCTCAAATAATCCATTCCCCTGGCTCCTGTACCTCCTGTAATGGGTTCAAGAATGGGCACATGACTCAGCTAGGGGACTTTTCTTTGAACTATCAGGAAGCAGCCTTTTCTCCTGCCCCCAACCACAAAGCTGCAGGAGCTACTGGAAGACATCTTGGGACCCCAAGAGGAGAGCCTGCCTGTGAATAGAGGCTCTGCAAAGAAAGCAGAGCTGAAAAACAAAGAGAGAAACTGTCTCAATCACATCATTTCAGCCCTGGATACAGCCTAGCCTGAAACCCAGATCTGTTTAGCTACATGAGCCAATCAGTTTCCTTTTTGCACAAACCAGTTAGGGCTGGATTTAATATTTCTTAAAGAATATTAATAAACACTATGCTCTGCAGATTAAAGAGACAAATGTGACATGGATTCTGATCTGGCCTTGGAGAATTTAGTCTAACAATGTGGCTAATGTTATGATTTACTGTCTGCTGCTGTTTAAACTTTTAGCCAATTAATCAGCTTATACAGGCAGTCAGTTTGACTTTGAATCATTTGATGTTGAAACAGCATGATACGAGGAATTAATAAAGTTCGCTTTTCTTTTTGGGCAATCATTAATGCTATTGGTCAAATATTTTCCGGCACATGGTAGTATTAAGTTTCTGGCCCCCTTGTGGTTGGGTGGGGCAGTGGGGTTAGCCCCAGCCAATGAGTTATGAGTAGTAGTTAGCATCATCCTGGGCCCAAGCATTAAATTGCAGATTTGAGACCCTTCTGAGCTGTTTTCCCTTTGCATAGCAACTGGCAAAATTCCAGATGGTGGCTGTTCCATTAGCCTGGGTCCCTGAAGGATTTCAGGGAGCATCAACCCACCAACGCACAAGACACATGTGGTGACAGTAGAAAATAAATGCTTGTGGTCCTGAGCTGCTGAAATTTTGGGTTATTGCTCACTGTAACACAACCTAGCTTCTTGAGTGATGCGATGAGGTCTTAGCAAAGTCTTTCTCACTTAAAATGTGCCTGTCCTGTGCCTTTATTTTCAAATCATATCCAATAAGTAATGAAATAGTCTACCTTTAAATAACTCTCCCTCTTTTTCATTTTGTTCATATTTTCAATAATTGATGAATCGTTATGAGCCCATATTGCATAGGATAGAGGGTTGGGAGGAAGCCAGGAAGATGGGGTAGGACAGAAATAATTTTATTTGCCAATAAATTATATCTCAGTCTCTTCTGATTTAGACGATTTTTTACTTTCATTTTGGCAAATGCTTAGTCATCCAGAATTCATCCCCTTTCCTCCCTAAGGTGGCGTCTGGCTGGGAAGGGGAGTTATGTACCTTTGTGGCTGTGGGAAAGGAGGCCTGGGTGGCTGAAGGTTTACCCTGCTGATCTCTGGATGGTTTGGGATGGTTTCCAGGTCACTTGCCCAGATGACCTTGAGACACAGCTGGTGAATCTGGGATCTGTTCTCTTCCTCTTTCTCTGTCTCTCTGTTTCTCCCTGTCTCTGCTTCTGTCTCCTCACATGCTGCCTGTGCTCTATCCTGCCTTCCCCCGTGCTCCCTGTGGCTCTGCCACTTTGCTTCCTGACATGGCTTTGTGAGGTTTGCTGGGGTTCTCAGTGCAGTTACCTTCCACTCCCCTCACCAGGAAGGCATAGGCTTCTGGGTCCTTTCCATGCTGTGGGTAGGAAGGGGCTGATGGACCTCAGGAGGGCACTTTAGGTTGTTTTTCTGCCTTGTCTGTGCTAATCACCAATCAAGCCTGTGTGACTGCCCCGTGTTAGCAGGTGACCAGGGTATCACGGATGTGCAGCAAAGCCCTCCAACTGTCTGCTTCTCTGCTTTGGAATTCTGGAGGTGGAAGCCATTGCACACGTGTCTGATTGCGTACTCCCAACCTTTTTCTTATTTCTGCACTGGGTTGGAAAGCTTAGCAATTTCCCTATCGGGTGGGATTTCCACCACATCACATCCTAAGTATTCTCTGTGCCTTGCTCAAAATACTGTCTTGATAATTTTATTTTACTATTCAAAAGATGAATAGCAAATGTGCTTTTTTTGTCTTTGCATTTCTGCTCCAAGAGTTCTAATCACACACATCTTTCTACTTTCTTTTCTTTTCTTTCTTTCTTTTTTTTTTTTTTTTTTTGAGATGGAGTTTCGCTCTTTCACCCACAGGCTGGAGTGAAGTGGTGTGATCTTGGCTCACTGCAACCTCCGGCCCCTGGGTTCAGGTGATTCTCCTGCCTCAGCCTCCTGAGTAGCTGGGATTATAGGGCCATGCCACCACGCCCGGCTAATTCTTGTATTTTTAGTAGAGACGGGGTTTCACCATGTTGGCCAGGCTACTCCCAAACTCTTGACCTCAGGTGATTCACCCACCTTGGCCTCCTAAAGTGCTAGGATTACAGGCGTGGGCCACCACCCCCAGCCACATCTTTCTACTTTTTTGCCATGGCAGATGGATGCCTTTCATTTATCAGAGAGAAGGTCACATATGTGGAAATGCACAGAAACAGGCACATTCTCATTAAAACTACCTCTGCCATCATTCTAATGTCTTTGAGGAAAAGGCTTATATTTCATTTCTTTCTGCACTTCTCTATGCTGTGTAGCACATGGTAGGTACACACACAGGATGATCTACTTTTCCCAGTTAGTTCAGGACTTTCTTAGTTTTAGTGTTGAAAATCTCATGTCCAGAGAACCTCTCACACTAGAGAGCCTCTCACACTAGACAGCTGTCCTGGTGGGCAAACTGGGACAGTTGGTTACCTTATTTATGCAATTCATATTTATTGTTGAAGAAGCTGGCGATGTTTTTGGTATGAAATAATCATCTCTTATTAATTTAGCAGTGGTTGTGCTCAGCCAACATGTAATTGAGTCATAAGATCTCACTTCAACTAACACATGATTACCCCTCACAAGAAAAGAATAAACAGAGCCCACATTCATGCATTTGCTAATTGTTTTCTCTGGCCCTCTGGTCTTTGGCCATAACAACTGCTGGACTTCAAAGGACTAGAGAAGTGGTTGGCTGGGGTACAGGCCCCACTCTTTAAATCTATTAAAGTCTTATATTGATGGTTTCAAACTGTTAGTTGTTGCTTCTTGTGAGACATACCAGGACAAAGGAGGACAGAGACTCTCATGAATAATTTGTGATAGACAGAAATCCTTGCCATAGTCCTTGGCTCAAAACGGTGGAGGGAAAGGGATAGCATTCAGGATCCAAAAGGTTGGTTCAGATGTGCCACTCACTGGCTGTCATGGCTTGACTAAGGTCTCTATTCTGCTGAAGGGTAAATAAACAGATAACCTTTATACTAGTGCTAATGTGTGGGGATTTATCATGGTCAAACAGCTACTCAGGAGGCTGAGGCAGGAGGATTGCTTGAGCCCAGGAATTCAAGGGTACAGTGAGCCATGTTTGTACCACTGCACTCCAGCCTGGGTGGCAGAGTAAGACTCTGTCTCTTAAAAATATAAGGCTAGGTGTGGTAGCTCATTCCTGTAATCCCAGCACTTTGGGAGGCTGGGATTACAGGAATGAGGTGGGAGGATTACTTGAACCCAGGAGTTCAAGACCAGCCTAGGCAACATAGTGAGACACTCTCTCTAAAAAAAATAAAATTAGCTGGGTGTGGTGGCATGCATCTGTGGTCCCAGATACTGAGGAGGCTGAGATGGGAGGATTGCTTGAGCCCGTATATTAGTCTGTTCTCACATTGCTATAAAGATATATCTGAAACTTGGTAATTCATAAAGAAAAGAGGTTTAATTGGCTCATTGTTCTGCAGGCTGTACAGGAAGCATGGCTGGGGAGGCCTTGGGAAACTACAATCATGGTGGAAGGTGAAGGGGAAGCAGGCACATCTTCACATAGCCAGGGCAGAAGGAAGAGGAAGAAGGGGGAGACGCTATACACTTTTAAACAACCAGATCTTGTGAGAACTCATTCACCATTGTGAGAACAGCAAGGGGGAAATCTGACCCCATGGTCCAATCACCTCCTAAAGGCCCCCTTTCCAACATGGGGGATTACAATTTGACATGAGATTTGGGTGGGAGCACAAATCCAAACCATATCAACCTGGGAGGTTGGGGCTGCAGTGAACCATGATTGTGCCACAGTGCTGCAGCCTGGGTGACAGAGCAAGACTGTGTCCCCTCAAAAAATTATAGTTCCTTATCATGATCATAAAGCCCTTTTATGAAATTGCCCCATTTTGTAACTTCTCCAATCTTTTGGCAAGCCCAGGCATGTTTTGCCCTTCCTCAGTCCTGTTCTATCGCCCATCTGGGACATCCCCGAACCCTCTGTCAGATCAGGGCTTTCACTCTTTCCCAGCCTCCACCAATCTCCAGGCACCTGATTCTCCTCCAAGCTGTCACCTCTCACTTCTCTTAGAAGACTTATGACATTTTCATACCTTTTGTGAATATTAAGTAACCACTTAGCTGGGAATACATGCTCTTTTGCCTTTTTTATTGGTTTTGTGGCCCTTCCCCTGAGGGACTGCACAGAAATGGGTGGAAGGCAGGATTTGAGCCTTGCTGGATACTGGCCTATGGATCCCAGCCTCACACCATCTCATACACAATGTTCCTGACCCATAGCAGCTCTCCCTTTTTTAAATTCATTTTCTATAGTGGTAAAAATATGTATTATACAATTTGCCATTTAAACCATTTTAAAGTATGCAATTTGGTGGCATTAATTATATTCAAAATGTTGTTTGACTTGTTACCACCATCTATGTCAAAACCCTTTTTGTTAACCCAAACAGAAACTCTATGACCATGAAGCAAGAATTCCCCACTTGCTTCCCAGACCCTGGTAACCCCTAATCTACTTTTTGTCTCTGTCAGTTCCATAGCAACTCCATTTACAGTTATACTATGGAGCATGCTATGGAGGAGGTCATAGGCCTTTGTGATGTCTATATGGTTTAATGGTACCTATAAATTTGGTTGTAAGTAAAGCACTCAGATAAGTTCATTATATGAGTGTCATGAATCTACTGTACTTAAATTCTGCCCAGAATTATGTGTGGGGATGTGGGAAATATAGAAATACAAGATTTGGTCTTTGTCAAGGTTAATACATTTATTGCTTCTTGTTCCCTTTGGCCATGAAAAAATATCACACAACTATTGAAGTGCTCTTTGCAGCTGAGAGCCTCAGAATCTTTCTTATCACCATTATCAAGGTCAGCACTTGTCACATTTTAATGGGCACATGACTTATCCGGGCATTATGTCAAAGTGCAGATTCTGAGTAAGTAGATCTGGAGTTGGGTCTTATTTTCTACATTTCTGATAAGTTTCCAGGTGACACCAATACTGCTGGTTTTTGGACCACATTTGGAGCAGTGATGTCATCCAATTAATGAGCTTTGGCGTTCAAGACAAAACTAATCGTCCTTCATGGGTCTATGCCCTCAAGATATCTGAAATCTAGTTGTAGAGACCAATCTGACAATCACAAAATACATGGCAGTATATATGTATATTATATATACTGTATATATATATATATGTATATATGTATACATATATGCGTATATATATGGCAGTATTTCATTAAATTCCACATTGCATGAAATATGGCAGTATTTTATTAAATTCCACATTGCATGAAAACCACCATTGACCCTAGAAAAGTTGAGAGGAAAAGTGGGTAAGACAAGACCTATCTGCTCATGTTTTGTCTTTTCTATTGTAAGTTTCTTTAGGGCAGGGACCTCTTTTTCTAGTTTCAGTTAAAAAGAAACAGGTGGGAATACTAAGCCAAAATTTCCCATACATTTGGCTTTTATTGGAAAGAGACAAACACCAAAAAAAGAAAATTGATATGCTAATTGTTTGCACTTGTATAGCTCTTTTAACTTTATCCAAGTTTATTCCTTGTAGGCATAATTGAATGTAATTCAGCACATAGCCAGGATAGATGTTTCATGGATGTGTTGAATTCAGAACATAGCCAGGATAGATGTTTCATGAATGTGTTGACATGAATGCTCCTCACAACAATTCTGTCAGGTAAATAAACATGTCAGCATTAAGGTTCCAGAAAGGTGACACGTTGATCCAAGGTCACACAGCAAGGTCATAGCAGGGCTGGGATGAGAGTTGAGAGGCCCTGATGTTAGTGTGGTGTCAAGTGGCGTAACTCAGTATGTTAGAAGACTTAACTTCACGCTTCATTTCTCCTGTGACATGGAACAGGAGTAATATGCAGTTTTCCCACTTGTGAGGTTGTCTTGAAGCTCAAATGTGATAATGCTTGTAAAATCATATCATAAACTTTGAAGCTATTTAAGTTTTTTTTAGTAGATTGTTAGATTTTCAGTTTTCCTCCTTGTATATGAGTTCAGAAATTAGTGATATCTGAACAGATACTGTATATATAGCAATAAAGAATTATCCATAAACTCTTTTCAGTTAACTTGAGTATAGATCAACTTTCCTGGTAATAAGTAATTCTACTATTATTAAATTTAAAAATCAAAGTATGTAACTATTTACTCCTTTTAATTCTTTTGGAAAGCAATACAGAGATACTTTTTATCATCCCATGGAAACCTTTAACTTTTCTTACTTGTTTTCTTAGAGATCCTCCTCAAGTTAGAAGAAGAGCTAGTGGAGAAAGTAGAAGTTTTGGAACCAGACAGACCTGAGTTTGGTTTTCAGCTGAACTGTTTTTCTGGATATTATCTGTGAACCCTAGCACCATGCTCACCCCTTTGATGCTTTCCCCTGCACTGCAGGGGTTGGAAGCCTGGGAACTATATTTCCTTTACTCATCTGCCAGGATGGTTCCTGATATGAAAAGGCTCTTCCAGTGAAATGCACTTGCCTGAGACATAGATGGAGGAAGGGAAGTAGAAGCTTTTAGAAGCTTTCCCCCACCCACCCCCCAACTGGCAGCAGGGCCAGATGTGTAGTTTTGGTAAATGTGAGATTCTTTGCAGCAGCTTCTCTATTTATCTAACAGTCATTATCTATTTGGGGCTTTGGAGGAGGTACAGCATTGACAATGTCTTTCTGAATTATCCTTATCTTTGGGAGGCAATCCTTATACCCTAGCTGCAGAGATAAACCTGAAAGCTGGTGATGGGCAAATCTGTCCCCCTATTCCCCCAACATTCACTTCTTGGGTCCCTCCAACAGTCTTGTAAGATCCTAATGCCTAATTAGGATTAACATGCCTAATCTTTTTCAGCTTAAAACATCTAGACTGTTTTCTGTTTGCCTGACCAGTCCCTGACTGACACCACTGCTTACCTGACCTGAGATCTTGGGCAAGACACTTCACCTCTGTGAGTCCCAGTTGCCTTATCTGTGAAATGGGCGTAATGGCTGTAGAACCACTGGGGATTAAGCAAAAAAACAGGGGCTCAGTAATGTTAGCATCTTGTTTTCATACCCTCCTTTACCCCTCCTGCCCTTCAGGACTTATTATCTTCTTCTAGGTCCATAATCATTCCATTATTTTGGTGGGAAATTGATTACAAACCTAGGTGCTATGAAGCTTATTGATGCTTTGGGGTGAACATTAGCTGCCTGACAGTTTTGATTGGATTTGATGTTAGGCCCAGTCACAATGTTCCACTTTTTGGCTTAGATTCATCACCTGTCTTTCATGACAAGGATGGCTGATTTCTGTCAGGATTTTTGTGATTATTAACTGGTGAATTTGTCCTGAGAGAGTCCTTCAACACTTTTCTTATATACACTTCTCAAACTCATTTTTAACTCTGATTCATCTGTCTTGTTCCTAAATGTAGCAAGTAAATTCCTGGCTAAAGAACAAGCCTTCCAAGAGGAAAGTGGTCTTTTTATAATTTCTGGTCTACTTATAGGAACCCACTTGCTGCAATTCTTGCCTTTGAATTTGAAGGGCTCAATAGCCAGTGCTCTTGCCCTGTGGGTGGAGGGGATGGGCGACCAAAACTTCTGTTTTGGTCCCAGCTCTGCCTCTACTGGCCAGAGGCCTTGGGCCAGGAACCACCTCTTCTGGGCCTTGATTTCCTCTCTTCTAGAACTGACAGATCAAATCTCTTAAGGGTTTTCTTGGCTCTGATATTCACTGAATGAGCAGAGGGCTCTGGTGCCTCTCCTGGTCTCCTCTCCATGGCTTGTTTCTTGTTTCTCACAGACGTTGCTCTTCCTACCTCTCTGCCTGTCTGTGTGCTGGATTTCTCTAATGGGGGTGGGATGGATCCTCCAAAGTCTGTACTCTGAACGTCCAAGACTAAGTGAACAGACTCGTTCTGTGGTTGTTTGCTGTATGACCTTGAGAAAATTTCAATTGAATTCACTTTGGAATTCAATTAGTGAGTGCCTAATATGTTCTAAGTGTAGGGTTCCATCATGAGGATGTGAAGAGTCTTCATTAGTTAGGAGAGATAGATAAGTAAATGTGGTGGTGCTGTCAACACCCTTGAATGATTTGCAGCCACAGGCCTTGACCCACCGACATAAGTTTCTGCCTAATTGGTGAAGTTGCTTGCCAGGACTCTGAACCAGTGCATTTTGACTATCAGTCCTGTGAATGGATGATGAAAATACAATGTGATTAATGCTCCTATAGAGGGAAATTCAAGTATCACAGAAGCACAGGGCAGGCACCTAACCCACATTTTGGAAGGAGCTATCATAGCAAGCTTCTTGGGGGAGGTGACATCAGAGTTGAATCTTGAAAGATGAAGGAAGATTGACCAGAGGAAGCAACAAGAGGGCAGGAATCCAGAGAGAGGAAAGGCAAGAAAGGGTGGGGCAGTGTAGAGTGTAAAAGCACCACTGAAACACAAAGTTTAAAGACAGGAGCTATGTGAGATGGATATGCAGAGAACAGACCAGACCCAAATACATAGGTCCTTGAATTAGAATAATATGAAATTTAGATTTACAGTGTCAATATAGCATAGGGTTAGAAGATCTCAAGAGCAATACTGCCTGGTTTGCTGACTACTTCTATTTGCTAGTCATGTGACCTCGGGAAAGTTTGTCAGTCTCTCTGGGGTGTAGCTCCTCATCTATAAAATGGATCTGTAGGGCCTTCCTTAGAGTTTGTTTTGTGTGCAAATGAGAAGAATATGTATTTTTTAGTTGTTGAGTATACTGTAGATGTCTATTAGGTCCAATTGGTCAAGTGTTGAATTTAAGTCCAGGATTTCTTTGTTAATTTTCTGCCTTGATGATCTGTCTAACACAGTTAATGGAGTGCTGAAGTCCATCACTATTATTGTGTGGTTGTCTAAGTCTTTTTGTAGGTCCAGAAGTACTTGTTTTATGAATCTGAGTGCTCCAATGTTGAGTGCATATATATTTAGGATAGTCAAGTTTTCTTGTTGAATTGATCCCTTCATCATTATTTCATGGCCTTCTTTGTCCTTTTTTTTTTAAACTGTTGTTGGTTAAAAGTCTATTTTTTCTGATATAAGAATATCAACCTCTGTTCTTTTTTGTTTTCCATTTGCATCATAGATCTTTTCCCATCTCTCTATGTTAAGCCTATGGTTGTTGTTATGTGTGAGATGGGTCTTTTGAAGACAGCACATGATTGGGTGTCTTTTTTTTTTTCAGTACAACATGCCACTTTTTGCCTTTTGAGTGGAGTGTTTAGACTGTTTACATTTAAGGTTAATACTGATATGGGAGACTCTGATCCTTTCGTGGTGTTGTTAGCTGGTTGCTTTGTTGTCTCAATTGTGTAGTTACTTTGTAGGGTCTGTGGGCCATTTACTTAAGTGTGTTTTTGTGGTAGAAGGTATTGTTCTTTTGTTTCCATGTTCAGAACTCCCTTAAATATTTCTTGTAAGGCTGATCTAATGGTAATGAATTCCCTTAGTGTTGGCTTATCTGGAAAAGATTTTATTTCTTCTTCACTTGTGAAACTGAGTTAGGTGGGATATGATATTGTTTCTTTTCTTTAAGCATGCTGAAAATAGGCCCCAAGTCTCTTCTGGCTGGTAAGATTTCTGCTGAGAAGTATGCTGTTAGCCTGATAGGGCTTCCTTTGTAAGAGATCTGACCCTTTTCTCTAGCTGCCTTTAAGATTTCCTTTCACACTTACTTTGGAAACTCTGAGGATTTTGTGTCCTGAAGATGGATGGTCATCTTGTATAGTGTCTCACAGGGGTTCTCCAACTTTCTTAAATTTGCATGTTGACCTCTCTATTCAGATTGGGGGAATCATCATAGACTGTATCCTCAAATATGTTTTCCAAGTGACTTACTCTCTCTCTCCTCCTCTTTCAAGAACCAAACCTGCAATGAGCCATGGGTTTGGTCTCTTTACATAGTTTCATAGTTCTTGAAGGTTTTGCTTATTTTTTAAAAAAATCTTTATTTTTTTGTCTGGCTGGATTCATCTGAAAGCCCAGTCTTTCAACCCTCAAATTCTTTCCTCAGCTTGGTTTAGACTGTTGTTAAGGCTACCACTTATATATTGAAATTCATATAATGAATTCTTCAGTTCTAGAAGTTCAGTTTGATTATTTTGAAAAGAAGCTATGTTATCTTTCAACTCTTGGATTGTTTTTCTGGCTTCCTTGGATTGGGTTTCAACTGTCTGTTGAATTTTGTTGAGCTTCTTTGCTATCCAGATTCTGAATTCTAGGTCTGTCGTTTCAGATATTTCAATATGGTTAGGATATATTGCTGGAGACTTAGTCTGATCATTTGGAGATATGGAAACACTCTGACTTTTTGAATTGCTGGAGGTCTTGCACTGATTCCTTATCTGAGAGGGCTGGTGTTTCTTTATCTTTTTGAAATTGCTGTCATTTGAAGGGGGCTTTTTGTTCTTATGTTCTTTTTTTCTTTTGAGGGTTTGACTGTGGTATGTGTTGTGTATAGTCAATTGGCTTCATTTCTGGGTGTTTTCAGGGGGCCCAGGCTCTGTATGGATTCCTTAGTTGTGGCTAGTTTTCTGCATTGTTTCACAGATGATACATGGTGAAGGAATTTGTTTTTGTTTGGTGGCGTAATTTAAGCTGAGATCCAGTAGATGGCACTTGACAATAAAAGCCAGCAGATAGGCTTTTACTCAGCCATAGGCCTCCTTTGTATTTCAGTGTGTACACAGCAGTACTCTGGGGAGAGGGAGATGGTAGTGGTGGTGGCAGGGGAAGATGAGTCCCTCACAAAATCCATTCCTAGGCCTTAGGGATCCTCTCCAGTCATTGGTGCTGTGTCCATGTTTCCTTAGCCCTAAGGAGGTCCCAGTTGGGCTGCACTTTCCCCCCTCTTAGGGGCAGCAGAAGCCAAAGGTTAGGTCACCGGGGGACCCACAACTCCCTGGGGGCCTGCTGGTTCCCTGAGCTTGGCAGAGTCAGAGCAGGTTGTAGGGTATGTCTGCGGGTGATCTGCTGATGCAGTGGGTCAAGGCCAGAGGATTTCTGGGTGGAGCAATGGTGCCATGGGTGCATAACTAGTGTATTAGTCCATTTTCACACTGCTATAAAGAAATACTTGAGACTGGGTAATTTATAAAGAGAAGAGGTTAATTGGCTCACAGTTCCACCGGCTGTACAGGAAGCATGGCTGGGGAGGCCTTGGGAAACTTACAATCATGGCAGAAGGTGAAGGGGAAGCAGACACAACTTACATGGCTGGAGCAGGAGGAAGAGAGAGAAGGGAGAGGTGCTACATACTTAAAAAAATCAGATCTCATGAGAACTCACTATCACAAGAACAGGAAGGGGGAAGTCTGCCCCCATGATCCAGTCAAATCCCAGCAGGTCCCTCTTCTAACATTGAAGATTACAATTCAACATGAGATTTGTGTGGGGACATAAATCCAAACCATATCAACTGGTATGGTGCCCTTGGTCTGGGGCTTTTTGCCCAGAAGACAGCGGTGGGACCATCCATCTCATGTTCCCTTGACAGTCTTCCTCTGCTGACTTCCCCAGGAGCAGGTCTGTTCAGCTAGTTTTGTCCCAAGCCATCTGCACCCAGGTTGCTGGGCTACTCCAGGTGTTGTAAGCCATGGGGCTCCCTCAGGCAGAAGCTGCAGCTGGCCAACAGGATACCCCTTCCCAGACTGGTCTTGTGGAGAGAGGGATGCCCAGCTCCTGCACCAGCACACAAACCCACAGCTCACTCTTCTCAGTGTTCTGAGAGTGGTAGCTCGATCTCAGGCCACAGATCTCATCTTACTACTCCTGGGCAGTGTGCTTGAATGCTGAGGGGTTAACACTGGGCCCACAGGTTTGTACCTGGGCCCTTGGCTGTTCTGGGGTCCATATTGCTCCTGGGTGGATGGCAAAACATTCAGTCGGGGCAGTAGAGGCTGGGCTGTGGGCACCTTGTTGCACGAGCGGCCAGGGAGGGGCCTTGGGAGGGACTGAAGGACAATGGGACACGCACATCAGGTGTGACCCAGTATCACAGGATGGACAGCCCTGCTCTCTCCCGGCCTGGCAGTCAGCAGGGGCTAGATCTCACTCAGGGCAAGGTGGAGAGCCTGGGATGGGCGGCTGTGGTTGCGTTTTGCCTCAGCTGTCCCACAGGCAGAGCCTCCTGGGCTTCACACAGGTTCAAGCTCTGCCTCTTCCTACTCTCTGGGAAATTCCACCTGCCAATTCACATGGCTTTGGGGATCATGGGATCTCTTGTAGCTAGGGTCCCACAGGTCCATGGCAGGAGTGTGGTGCCCTGGTGTTCTTTCGCTCACGCCTTCCTTAGGACCTATTCTGGATCAAGAGCTGATCCTGATACTTGGCAACTCTATGCAGGCCTCTCAGATTCCTCCCTCTTCAACCACAGTGTTTGCATCACCTCTCTATTGGCTTTCAGCATTTTATCTCAAAAGATCTGTTTGAAATGTTATGGTTTAGTCAATATTTTTGTTTCTCTTGGTGAGAGAGGCATATCCCGGCTGTGTCTAGTCAGCCATCTTGTCCCGCCCCTGAAAATTAAATTCATTAGACTTGAAAAAGACTTCAGAAATGACTGGCATATAGTAAATGCTCAATTAGTGCTGGCTTTTATCCTTTTACTTCATTGATTCTAAGATGCACATTTTTCTTCTTCTGTAGTATAACATGCCTGAACTTTAGATGTGACTTATAGTGTGTAATACTTTACAATTGCTGCTAAGTAGGCAGCAGATGTGACATTGCCCGTACACGTGTGACCTTGGGTGTAGCCATCCATGTTCTGACTTCAGTAACATGATAAGTATTGTTGATATGACAAATGTTTAATTTCGTTGCCACTTAAAATATCTTAAAAATAATACACTATAATTTGGTATTAAATAAAAAATTATTGTATCTATAGAAAGGCATCAAAACAGAGTGGTAGAAAGTAGATTTGAAAGTAGTGAAGCAAATATTCATTGGTGGGATAACAATAATCCTATATTTTCTTGCAAAGCAAACCCAAGTATTTTTACAGGCTTTAAGAAGGGAGACACCTATAAGAGATGATGCTGTATTAAAATTTCATTAATGTGGTGCACGCAAAAGGATTGCCTGTTGAACACAAAGCATTACAACTGATGGCAACAGAGATTGTCAAATTCTTCAAAATAGATGAAAAACATTCAAAGCAACAAGACGCTGGTGTGAGCAATTCATATATCCCCCTGGGCTATGTGTCATAGTTTAATTGGCAGATATCTTTTCCTTTCTTAGTGGTAAACAAAAATGATGATACAACTTATAATTGATGGCAGATAGCGTTGGATGAAATAGTGTTGTTGTTACTGTTATTATTATCCTGTAGCTGATGAGGAGGCATTAAGCATGGGAATGACATTGTCAGATTTGTGTCTTAAGAAAATGACTTTGTCGTCATTTCTCCATCTGTGACATGAAGGGATTGGATTAGATTCTCTGAGGTACTTTTCTCCTCTAAGATTCTCTGTGTTTGTGAAATCCCAATGCCAGTTACATCTAGTGGGAATCTTTATTGCTAGCTTTCACATAGCACTTACAGGGCACATGTTTTTGTCAAGACCCGCTGACTCCCCTCGTGGATGCAATTGTCAGACACCTATTACCGTTCATTGCAAGACAGGGTCCAGCTTATCTATTCGAGGCAAACTTTTCAGGATAGAGAATTTGCAGATGGAGTAACAGGCATTGATCTGCAGCTCCTTGAAAGCTAGTACTCATGGAGATGTGGTCCCTGGTTAAAAGATGGTGAACATGTGTCTCAGTGGAAAGGACCATTAGCAGATTAAATCCTCCAGTTAGAGCCAGGACTAGGAAATAAATTGATTTATTTAGGGAGAAGTCCAAAGAAGTCACATTAACCTTGTCAACCCCAGGATCTTGAGGGAGCTGAGGCCCATCTGGAGAGGCAGACTTTTAACTTCAGAGGGGTCGGGATATGGATTTCAGTCAGCTCAGATTCTGCTACATCATAGCTGAGTGACCCTGGCTCAGTCTCTTAACCCCTCTTAGATTCAGTTTCCTCGTTTATTCAATAGGATCAATGAAACCAATTTACAAGGGCTGCTGGGAGGACAAAATTAAGTAACAAATTAAGCCTACCTAGCAACTTGGTTGACATATACTAGATAGTCTATACATACTCTCTTTGCCTTCTTCATTTTCTGTCAAGATTCATTTTCTTTCTATTTCTCTGCCTGGAATTAGACTAGATGTGAAACAAATGAATCCAGAATTTATTAAGAACTCCTGCAAATCAATAATAAAGAGATGAATATTTCAATTAAAAATGGGCAAAAGTCTTGAACAGGCACTTACAAAAGAAGATATTACAATGGGCAATAAACATATGAAAAGATGCTCAATGTTGATAATACTGAGATACCTCTATGACACAGTTTGAATATTTGTCACCCCAAATCTCATATTGAAATGTGATCCCCAGTGTTGGAGGTAGGGCTTGGTGGGCGGTGTTTGGGTCATAGGGGTGAATCCCTCATGCCTTGGTGCTGTCATTGTGATAGTGAGTGAGTTCTCGTGAGATCTGATTGTTTAAAAGTGTGTGGCTCCTTTCCCCTGACTCTCTCCCTTGCACCTGCTCCTGCCACGTGACATGTCTGGTCTTCCTTGCCTTCCAACATTATTGGAAGCTTCTTGAGGCCTCACTAGAAGCAGATGTGCTATGCTTCCTGTACAGCCTGCAAAACAGGAATGACTTAAACCTATTTTCTTATAAATTACCCAGCAATATACTGGTACAATATACTGGTACACCACTGTATTAAGCTACTTGGGCTGCCAGAACAATATACCTATATTTCCTTATAGCAATACAAGAACAACCTAACACAGTCTACATCCCAAAAGAAAGGCTAAAATTACACAGGCTGACAGTATCAAGTGTTGGTGAGAGAATGAGGTGAATGGAACTCTCATACTTTGCTGGTGGAGTTAAAAATGGTATAAACATTCTGAAAAACTGGCAGTTTCTCTTAGCATTAAACATGCATTTGCCATATGATAGCAAAATCCAATTCAAAAATTATGATCATGTCTTAACTTTTTATGGAACAATTGAAGGTTCATGGAGTGATGAATTGGAATGTAGTATAATTATTAGAAGTGATTATTACACATTTCTGTTTTTAAAAATCCTGTGTCCTATAGGATAAATTCCAAAAAGTAGGATGGTCTACAAAGGTCCCCCAAGTCTGTGCACTGTCTGTCATCCACCACTGTCTCCCTCTGGCTATGTATCTTATTCTCAAGCTACATGGAAAGGCTGGTTCATTTCCCTCTGAAGTTTTTCTTTCTTAAGCATCTACATCTATGCACACTTTTGTCTGTCTACATTTTCTACCTGATTCCCATCTCCACCTGTCTTGGCCTCAGCCTGGTGAACTGTTAATCATTCTTTAAAACCCATGTCAAGTGTTGTATCTTCTGGGGATCCTTTCCAGATCCTTCCAGGCAGAGTTAGTTATTCCTCACTGTGCTTCTATAGATCTCTGTCATGGCCCCACACCATACTTACTTGTTTAACTGTCTCTATCACAGGTGTGTATACAGCGTTTGCCCTATAACAGAAATATCGTCATGGCAGCCCTCTGTGTTGACTTTTTATGTGCACTTCACAACAAAATCCAACTCCTTCCCATGGCATAGATAGCTATGTAATATCTAGCCCTTCTCTCTGACCTCATCTCATTCCACCTTCCCTTGTTCAGGGGGAAGATCCCAATCTCTGGGAAGATGTAAAACTTCCCAATCTTTTACATCTTCCAAATCTTCATGTTTTACATCTTCTCATCTTACATGTGTTCTCTTCAGAATGGCTTTCCTTGTCACCTCCATAGTATTCCATATTTTCCTTTCCTTGCTCTAGTCACAACTTTTATAAATGCTTTACTTGTTTAATATCTCTATCTCTTTGGCCGTGTAGACCATAAGTTCCATGAAGGCAGTGTCTGTGTCTGTTTTGTTCTGTGCTGTATCCTAGAATTTAGCACAGTGCCTGGTATGTCAGACATTACTAAATATAGATTGACTGGATGCAATGCCTATTAGATGAACTAGTGAATGATTAAAGTAATGATGTATCCCAATTTAAAGAGAATAGTATTGATAATATTATTTAATATATTGATATTATAGGATTGGAATGCATTGTGCTTAATTTAAAAAACTTAATATTTTTTACTTTATAAAAATAATGCATGACCACTGTAACAAGTCAAAGTGTGAAAGATATATAAAAAGTTAAGGATTTTTCCTATCTTCTCCCAATCCCTTTTCTTCGTACTAACCAATGCTAATAGTGTTTGTGTGTAGAGGTACTCTTTCATATATTTACATGTATACACGTATATTTCTTCTTGTGTGTGTGTATTTATATATTTGTATATGTAGTTTTTCTTTTTTAAATGAAAAGTGAGATGACATTTTACACATTACTTTATAACTTAATACTTTTCACTTAATAACATATCATGGGCATTCTTCTAGTTCAATACATATACATCTCTTTATTTTTAATAGCTACATAATATTCATAGCATGACCATCATAGTTCTTCAACCAGTTCCCTATTGATGAATATTGAAGTAGTTTCCAGTGTACTGCCACTATCGTAAATAATCATGCAGTAAACATTCTTATATAAATTTATCCTTATATAATAGGCTATCTTACAATACTGCAAATGCTGGAGGGCAAATCATGCATATTATTAAATAGACCCTGCCAGATGTTTTCTGGGAGGGAATTTACACTTTCTTCAGCAATGTATGAATGCATCCATTTTTCCTTATCCTTACTAAGAAAGGATGCTCTAGTTCTAAAAGTGTTTTCCCATATCCTATTATTTATCAATGAAAGCTTGAAAGGAATTATCATTCTTTTGGAGTTCTGAGGCCTAGGAACTTGAAAAAAAAATGCCCCCTGTCAGCTTCACAGAGGAAAAACAAGCCCAAAGAAAGCAGAGGCACCAGTTCACTCTGTGGCACAGTTCACTGCAGCATTGACTCTGTAAAAGTAAAGTTTTCTGAGCATTAGTTAGACTTTCCACTTAAGCAAGTCCAGTCTGGCAATGGGAACATATGGGAAGGGCTTAAATTTGGATATCGCGTTTAGTGTCAGGGGAGATGTGGTATTAAGTTCACACTGACTACTTTACTTAATAGCATTAAGAGGAGGCTCTTGTGAGCTGCGTCTAAACTGCAGACTCATCAGAAGGACAGATGGGAGTGTGAGGAATGAGATTCTGAAAATCAAAATCAATGGAGCAAAGCCTGATTTATCCCTGTTAATGGTGATTCTTCTCTTAGGGATTTTGAAGACATCTCAGATGTTTCTTCATGCTTGACAACCAACTATTTCTAGTTTCTTCCTTTCGAGCTGGATCCTGCATTTAATATTTCCCTCCGCTGAAAGTGGTAAAGGTAGCACCTTTGCAGTGTGTCAGGTAATTCTGGGAAAGGCTGTAGAAAGGGAAGTCCTAAACTTTTGCATTTTTTCGGATTTGCTTTGAGAGCTCACCTAGCTTATCCACAGAGGCTTGGCGGGGACAGCTGGCCAGTGTGGTGGGGGAGGAGGGAACTTAGAATGGCTTAAACGGCGTTTCTCATACTTCAGTTTTTTTTTTTTTCTTTTTGGGTAACATTGCATTATTTTTGCTTTACCTGTACACTTTCTGTGCTAATCTTTACTGATTATTTTCCTTTAAATCAACTTACTATTAAACCCAACCTTTTCTTTTTTTCTTTTTTATTTATTTATTTTTAATTTATTATTATTATACTTTAAGTTTTAGGGTACATGTGCACAATGTGCAGGTTAGTTACATATGTATACATGTGCCATGCTGGTGCGCTGCACCCACTAACTCGTCATCTAGCATTAGGTATATCTCCCAATGCTATCCCTCCCCCCTCCCCCCACCCCACAACAGTCCCCAGAGTGTGATGTTCCCCTTCCTGTGTCCATGTGTTCTCATTGTTCATTTCCCACCTATGAGTGAGAATATGCGATGTTTGGTTTTTTGTTCTTGCGATAGTTTACTGAGAATGATGATTTCCAATTTCATCCATGTCCCTACAAAGGATGAGAACTCATCATTTTTTTATGGCTGCATAGTATTCCATGGTGTATATGTGCCACATTTTCTTAATCCAGTCTATCATTGTTGGACATTTGGGTTGGTTCCAAGTCTTTGCTATTGTGAATAATGCCGCAATAAACATACATGTGCATGTGTCTTTATAGCAGCATGATTTATAGTCCTTTGGGTATATACCCAGTAATGGGATGGCTGGTAAACCCAACATTTTCATAAAAATGTTAGGTAGGTTTGCTTTTGCACCAACCTAAAAATATGTTTGAAATTTTGGCTTTGAAGTTATATATATGTGTATATATGTTATAGGTATGTGTGTGTGTGTATCCCCACCCAAAGAGCAGAGATAAAATAATTACCACCCTAGAATTACGTAGAAAATTTGTTTAAGCATAAAAGCAGGGGCTGAATGTGGTGCTTATGTCTGTAATCCCAGCAATTTGGGAGGCTGAGGTGGGAAGATCGCTTGAGCCCAGGATTTCAAGACCAACCTGGGCAACATAGAGAGACTCCCATCTCTACAAAAAATTAAAAAATTATCTAGGAATAGTGGCTATACCTGTAGTCCCAGCTACTCTGGAGGCTGAGGTAGGAGGATCGCTTGAGCCCGGGAAGTCGAAGCTACAATGAGCTGTGATTGCACCACTACACTCCAGTCTGGATGACAGCATGAGACCCTGTCTCAAAAAAATGAAATAAAATAAAAAGAAAGAATGTAAAGGAAATTACAGCCCAAAGAACTACAAAATGATAAAATTCATCAAGAAGAAAAACAAATATGGAAGAAAGAAGTAAGGTTCAAGAAAATACTGTAAACAAAGAAACTGTGGAAATATGTAGTTACTCATGAACTATTTAGAGTAAAACCTACACATGAACACACACACACACACACACACACCTTTTTGGATTTAAATAAAACAATGGAAGAAAAATTTTAGACAATAATAACGTAAAAGCTAGAAATGGGGCAGTTCTAATGATTTAAGACAGGGGCGTCCAATCTTTTGGCTTCCCTGGCCACTTTGGAAGAAGAATTGTCTTGGGTCACACATAAAATACATAACATTAATGACAACTGATGAGCAAAAAAAAAGTAAAAAGAAAAATCTCATAAAGTTTTAAGAAAGTTTACGAATTTGTGTTGGGTTGCATTGAAAGCCATCCTGGACTGCACATGGCCTGTGGGCCGTGGGTTGGACAAGCTTGATTTAAAACATGCCAAGTGTCTTGTCCTATTTGAAAGTGAGATAGAGATAATAAATTTGGACTTCATGAGAAAAAACTAAAGAAATATTACGTAAATGCAGTAGTCCCCCCTTATTCACAATTTCACTTTCCATGGCTTCAGTTACCCACGGTGTAGCACAATACGATATTTTGAGAGAGAGGGAGACCACATTTATATAACGTTTATTGCAGTATATTGTTATAATTGCTTTATTGTATTATTAGCAATTGTTAATCTCTTACTGTGTCTAATTTATAAATTAAACTTTGTCATAGGTATACATGTATAGGAAAAACATATATATGGCGATCAGTACTATCCGTGGTTTCAGGCAGGTAGTGGAGGTCTTGGGACATATTCCCTGCCAATAAGGGGGAATTACTGTAGGTCGGTATTAATATGTCTCAAATATTTAGCATTTTTTGAGGAAAGAAGAAGCATTGTATGTGACAGATTGATTTTTAAAACATGCTCAATTCTTTGTCCCTCCTTATGCAAATAACTTTGCAGGTCCTCTTAACAAAAGTCTCTCTCTCTGTTTTTTTATTTAAATCCCTTTAATCTGGGCTAGTTTGTGACTTTCTTTGGCAAGGGAATGTTCTGGAAGTAACGCTGTGCCAGTTTTGAGCATAGCTCTTAAGAAGCCTTTGTGGTTTTGGAGCCCCAGCAGTGCCATGGGAACAAGGTAGGGCTAGCCTGCTGGGAGATGAGAGAACTGTGGCTCAGTTACATCTGTTGTTATTGCTAACAGCCAGCCAACACCAGCCATGTGACTGAAGCCGTCCCAGAGCAGCCAACTCCCAACCAGCCCACTGTCTGATCAAGATGCATGAGCATGCCCAGCTGAGATTAGCTGAACCTGGCCCAGATCAACAAGACTGTCCAGTTGACCCATAGACTCATGTGTCATAATAAGTGCTTATTTTTTTAAGCTGTTGCATTTTTAGCTGGTTTGTTAAACAGCAATAGTTAATAGTATCCTGCATGCTACAGTAGAAATATTCATGAATAAGATGTAATGAACATGAACTTATGTAGACCTTGTAATATAGTTTAAAATATGTGAAGCTAAAATTGATGGAATTATAAGAAAAATTGATGTAGCTATACTTTTAAGAGCAGATTTAATATATTTATTTATATTTATTTAATATATTTATTTATTGGTAGCTCTTTGACTTATAGGTCAAGAGCTACCAATATATTAATATATTTATTTATTAATATATTTATTTATTGGTAGCTCTTTAACCTATAGGTGAAGATATTTTGAGAGAGAGAGAAAGAGACCTATAGGTTGAACAGCTACCAATTCATTGAGAGTGCAGAAGTTTGAAAACTGAGAACAAACTTGAAATTATATATGTGGCTTCATGAAAACATAGAGGATGTACATACATACATACAAAACATTTATAAACACACAAGAACATTTATAGACAAACACACATAGAACATTTATAAACACTATGTATCAAACCATAAAGTTTTAACAAAATCCAAGACATTGTAGAGACCAGATTTCTTTCCAAAATGCAATTTAATTAGAAATTTACAAGTAAAATGTAACTTTTAAAAATACATATACAATTTGGACTAAGTAAAAACCCACTCCTCCTATGCCTCAAAGTAATCACAATAGAATTTAAAATCATTTAGAATGAAATGTTATTACTGCACATTCAAATGTGTGAGATGCAGTGAAACAGTAGGTGAGAGTAAACTTACAGCTTTAATCATGTTTATTAAAAAAACTAGAGGTATGGGAATTACATTTCAATAATAAAACAAAACAAATACCAAGAGACCATAAATCACAAAATACACAGCCAATGAAACCTGCTGATAGATGAGTTACCCTTACAGAGATAAAGAAAGCTACTATATAAAATAATAAAATGCTTTTCATTTGAGGAAATATAACAATGCTAAATTTTCATGCACCCAGTACCACAGCTTCAAATGAAATAGACCAACAGCATTAAAAAATATAAAAGATAATCAACAAATTCACCATCATCAATCATTCAATGTTTTTTCTGGAGGTCAAGCCAATATAATAAGATAAGAAGAAAGAAGTGATATCTAACATTTGGAAAGAAAGAAACATTATTTGCAATGTAATGATTATCTGCATAGTAAATGCAACAGAATCTACAGACGAATTATAAAAATAAATTTGGTGGTGTTAGAAAGAAGCGACATAAGCAAGATTAGTATTTAAAAGTTGATACGGTTTGAATGTTTGTCCCCTCCAAATCTCATGTTGAAATGTGATTTTCAGTGTTGGAGGTGGGGCCTGGTGGGAGGTGATAGAATCATGAGGGCAGATCCCTCATGAATGGCTTAACAACATCCCCTTGGTAATAAATGAGTTCTCGCTCAGTTAGTTCATGTGAGCTCTGGTTGTTTAAAAGAGTCTGGGACCTCCCTCTTTTTTTATCTCTTGCTTCTGCTTTCACTACATGACATCGCCTGATCTCTCTTTGCCTTCCACCATGATTGTAAGCTTCCTGAGACCTCACCAGAAGCAGATCCTGGCACCATGCTTCCTGTACAGCTTGCAGAACCAGAAGCCAATTAAACTTCTTTTTGTAAATTAACCATCCTCAGGTATTCCTTTATAGCGATGCAAGAATGGACTAATACAGAAGTCAATGGTATTCCTATACATCAGCAAAAGCCAGTTAGAAACTTAATAGAAAACAAAAAACATAATGGAGCATAGAAAAAAATCCGGTTTGTAATTATAGCATGAAAGTACTTGAATTAAATTAATGAAATGCATGAATGTCCTTTAGAAACCCATATGTCCCATAGAGAAAGTTAGAAAATATTGTTCAAGGATATTAAAAAAAAATAGTCTATCTTCGCATATGTACTTTAATAAAAATTCCCCAAATAATTTTTTATTTTTGGTTAGGAATTAATAGAATACAGGCTGGATGTGGTGGCTCATGCCTGTAATCCCAGCATTTTGGGAGGCCAAGGCAGGCAGATCACTTGAGGTCAGGAGTTTGAGACCAGCCTGGCCAACATGGTGAACACCCATTTCTACTAAAAGTACAAAAATTAGCCAGGTGTGGTGGTGCATGCCTGTAATCCCAGGTGCTCAGGAGGCTGAGGCATGAGAATAGCTTGAACCTGGGAGGCGGAGGCTGCAGCGCGCTGAGATGGTGCTACTGCACTCCATCCTGGGTGACAGAGCAAGACTGTGTGGAAAAAAAAAAAAAAAAAAAAGAATTAATAGACTACAACTCTTGAGGAAGAAAAATACATCAGAAATCTGGATCTTTTTTTATGAAGAACATTAGCTTTCATTAAAGGGAAACTATAAAACAAATCTCTGATCATGAACATATTTTGTTTATTCTATTTCTAGGCTCAGTGTTCTAGTTTCTGTTAAACTATTAAATATTAAAAAAATAAGCAAGATTTTTTTTGGTAAAAGATACCCAATCAAATTGTAGCAAAGATCTTAAATAAGATTACCTTTGGCTAAATTCTGTTATCTGTAAGTTATAGGTTTCTTTGAAAAATAGAATAAAGATGGTATACTATACAGAAAGCCTGGAAACACAGGGAAAATAACACATTTTTTGTGCTGTTCTTAAACTGATAATTGAATTCATTGCTTTACATTTAGAGATATGAAAAAGCATCTGAAAGTTGATAAAAATAAATAGAACATATGATTTGAAGAATGCAATGAATATATTATTTAAGAATAAATTTATTCCCAGAACTTTGGGAGGCCGAGGCGGGTGGATCATGAGGTCAGGAGATCGAGACCATCCTGGCTAACAAGGTGAAACCCCGTCTCTACTAAAAATACAAAAAATTAGCCGGGCACGGTGGCGGGCGCCTGTAGTCCCAGCTACTCGGGAGGCTGAGGCAGGAGAATGGCGTGAACCCGGGAAGCAGAGCTTGCAGTGAGCCGAGATTGCGCCACTGCAGTCTGCAGTCCGGCCTGGGCGACAGAGCGAGACTCCGTCTCAAAAAAAAAAAAAAAAAAAGAATAAATTTATTTAATGCTTTTTAATTTTTTAGACATCCTGTAAATGATATAACAGCATGAATAGTCTAGAAACAGATGTACACATGAAATTGGGAATTTGATATATGATGGATGGAGGAGAACTACTTAATAAATATTTAATGTGCAGGGTTGACACAATTAGCTTGTCAGAAAGAAAAAATGGATTTTTTCTCATGCTATTTATAGGAAATAAATTTCAGAAGTCTTGAAATACTAAATATAAAAACAAGACTTTACAACTTTAAAAGCAAATATAGGATAAAAAGTTTTGACTCAGTGGACGTACTAGCTTGTAAAGGTTAGGACCTGCTGGGATTACAAATAAAACATCAGATGACAGCGACTTAATACAACTAAACAAGTGTTTCTTACTCATGGCAGAGTTCACTGGGCAGCTTTCCATGGCCTCACTCAGGGACTCAAGACCATTTTATCTAATGGCTCTACCTTACCTTAGGTCTTTGAAATCCTATCTGGATTCTCTGCATCAACCTTATTAATGAAGGAGAAAAGAGCATGAGGAATCATGCAGGACATTTTAGAGGCCAGGCCTGGAAGTGACACACATCACATCTGCTAGCACTCCACTGGTCAACCACAGAGGTGCAACACTGGGAAATGCTGTGGTCTAGCAGCATGTCAAGAAAGAGAGAACATGCATTTCAGTAAATAGCCAGACTTTGTCCTAGGGTAGAGAATATTTTCTTAAACAAGTATATTAGCCCATTCTCACATTGCTGTAAAGAACTACCTGAGACCGGGTAATTTATAAAGAAAAGAGGTTTATCTGGCTTATGGTTTTGCAGGCTGTACAGGAAGCATGGCTAAGGAGGCCATCGGAAACTTACAATCACGGCGGAGGGGTGAAAGAGAAGCAAACATATCTTCACATGGCAGCAGGAGAGAGACAGAGCAAAGGGGGATGTGCTACACACTTTTAAACAACAAGATCTCATGAGAACTCACTCACTATCATGAAAAAAGCAAGGGGGAAAATCTGCCCTCATGATACAATCACCTTCTGCCAGGACCCTTCTATAATAACACTGAAGATCATAATTCGACATGAGATTTGGGTGGGGACAGAGCCAAACCATATAATTCTGGCCCTGCCCCCTTCCAAACCACATGTCCTTCTTATATTTCAAAACACAATCATGCCTTCCCAACAGTCCCCCAATGTCTTAACTCATTCCAGCATTAACTCGAAAGTCCAAGTCCAAAGTCTTATCTGAGACAGGGCAAGTCCCTCTCACCTCTGAGCATGTAAAATAAAAAACAAGTTATTTACTTCCAACATACAATGGGGGTACAGGCATCGGGTAAATGCTTCCATTGCAAATGGGAGAAATTGGCCAAAAGAAACAGGTTGCAGGCCCCATGCAAGTCTGAAACCCAGAAGAGCAGTCATTAAATCTCAAAGCTCTAAAATAATCTCCTTTCATTCCATGTCTCACATCCAGGCTACACTGATGCAAGGGGTGGGCTCCCAAGGCCTTGGGCAGCTCCGCCTCTGTGGCTCTGCAGGGAACAGCCCTTGTGGCTGCTTTCATTGGCTGGTATTGAGTGCCTGTGGCTTTTCTAGGTACACAGTGCAAGCTGTTGGCAGATCTACCATTTTGGGGTCTGGGGGACAGTGGTCTCCTTCTCACAGATCCACTATGCAGTGCCCCAGTGGGGACTCTGTGTGGGGATTCCAACCCCACATTTTCTTTCTGCACATAGTAGAAGTTCTCCATGGGGGCTCTGCCCATGCAGCAGACTTCTGTCTGGACATCCAGGCATTTCCATACATCCTCTGAAATCTAGGTGGAGGGTTCCAACCCTCAACTCTTGCCCTCTGTACACCCACAGGTCCAACACCAAATGGAAACTGCCAAGGCTTAGGGCTTGAACCCTCTGAAGCAACAGCCGGAGCTGTACCTGGGCCCCTTTTAGCCATGACTGGAGCATCTGGGATGCACAGTGCCATGTTCTGAGGCTGCATAGAGTAATGGGGCCCTGGGCCTGGCCCATTAAAACATTTTGCCCTCCTAGGCCTCCAGGTCTTTAATGGGAGGGGCTGCTGTGAAAGTCTCTGAAATTCTCTGGAGGCACTTTCCCCATTGTTTTGACTAGTAACATTTGACTCTTCTTTACTTATGCAAATTTCTAAAACCTTGAATTTCTTCCCAGAAAATGGGTTTTTCTTTTCTAACACATGGTCAGACTACAAATTTTCCAAACTTTTATGCTCTGTTTCCCTTTTAAATATAAGTTCTAGTATCAGGTCATTTCTTTGTTTACACAAATGAGCATAGGCTTTAGAAGCAGCCAGGCAATATCTCAAAGGCTTTGCTGCTTAGAAATTTCTTCTGCCAGATACCCCAAAAAATCTCTCCCAAGTTCAAAGTTCACAGCTCTCTAGAGCAGGGGTACATTGCTGCCAGTCTCTTTGCTAAAGCATAGCAAGAGTGACCTTTGCTCCAGTTCCCAATTAGTTCCTCATCTCCATCTGAGACCAACTCAGCCTGGACTTCACTGTTCATGTCACTATCATTTTTGTCACAACCATTCAATAAGTCTCTAGGAAGTTCCAAACTTTCTCACATCTTCCTGTCTTCTCCTGAGCCCTCCAAATTGTTCAAACTTCTGCCTGTTACCCAGTTCTAAAGTCACTTCCACATTTTCAGGTATCTTTATAGCAGTACCCAACTCCTGGTACCAATTTTCTGTATTAGTGTCTTCTCACATTGCTATAAAGAACTACCTGAGACTGGGTAATTTATAAAGCAAAGAGGTTTAATTGGCTTACAGCTCCACAGGCTGTAAAGAAAGCATGGCTGGGGAGGCTTCAGGAATCTTACCATCATGGTGAAAGGTGAAGAGGAAGCAAGCATGTCTTACCATGGTGGAGTGGGAGAGAAAGAGGGCGAAGGAGGAAGTGCTACACACTTTTAAACAACCAGATCTCACGAGAAGTCACTATTATGAGAACAGCAAGTGGGAAATTTGCCCCCATGATCCAGTCACCTCCCACCAGGCCCCTTCTCCAACACTGAAGATCATAATTCAAAATGAGATTTGGGCAGGGACACAGAACCAAACTCTATCAACAAGATACAAAAATCTTGACCTAGTAATACAAAGTTTGATGAATTTTATCAAATTAAAATTAAACTTCCTAATAAGAAACGTCACGTAAGTGAAATTAAAGTATAAGCTAAGATGGGAAGAAGCAACATATATAATAGACATAATGCAGCATACACACACACACATTCAATGAGTCAATATGAAATAGTCAACACGAGAAACATGCATATAATTTATGCACAGGTATTCACAAAAGAGAGAAATTGGATATCATATAAATAAGACAGGATGTTCAACCTTACCAGTAATCAGAGAGATGCAAATTAAACAACAAAATAAGATACCATTTCTCACCTATAGCTTCGTAAAATTAAAAAATTCTGAAAATACCCAAGTGTTGGCAAATGTGTAAAGAAATAAAAACTTTTATACTGCTTATGGGATTGTAAATTGCTACAGCCACCTTGGAAAACAGTTTGGTAACATCTAGAAAAATTGAACATGTGCATACTCTAGAGAATATACTTGGCATTTCCGTTTCTAAGTATAGCCCTTAACGAAACTTTCACACGTTTATAAGCAGAGTCATGTAAGGGTATGTATTGAAGTAAAGTTTTAAATAACCTAAATCTAAAAAGAATCTACATGTCTATCAATGAGTAAATGGAGAAAGGAATCTAACTAGTCATGAATGAAATAGATCTATATGTTTCAATATGAATAGATTTAAAATGTTAATAAAGTAAAATAAGGAAGTCACAAAGGGATTAATATAATGAGTCATTTATATAAATTAGAAAAATAAACTTTCCATATATGCTTATGGATTTATCATTATAACAAAGCTATGTTGTATAGACTGGAAGACCCACATGAAATTCATGACAGTGATGCCTCTCGGGGAGGGAGATGGAGAATGGAGAATTAGAATGAGGAGGGTGGCAATAGGATTCAACTTTGTCCATTTTTATGTGTTTAATCTTTTAAAAAAGTAGCTGAAGCTGGAAGCAAGTATGATGTCGTCTTAAAATCCTAGGTGGCTCATGACTGTAATCCTAGCATTTTGGGAGGTGGAGACAGGCAGATTGCCTGAGCTCAGGAGTTTGAGACCACCTTGGGGAACATGGTGAAACCCCGTCTCTACTAAAATACAAAAAATTAGCCAGGTGTGGTGGCATGCACCTGTAGTCCCAGCTACTTGGGAGGCTGAGGCACGAGAATCGCTTGAGCCCCAGAGGCAAAGGTTGCAGTGAGCTGAGATCACATCACTGCACTCCAGGTTGGGCTACAGAGTGAGACTCAATCTTAAAACAAAAAAAAATCCTAGGTGTTTAGTATGATATTTGTCATATTTTTATGTATTTTCAACATTTTAGCAAGAAAAAAGATATCCTCACCTTACCCCCATTACCATACACCTCACTATTAGTATTATTTGGTCTCAGCACTGAAATTATTCGATCTCTTAGAGAAAAACAGTAACTGGGTGTTTTCATGAAGTATTAATAAACCATTCCACACTCAGGCATTAAAAATTTCTCTGTTGGTTAGTATTGTTCAGAGGTCTTATTCTGAACAAAGAAGACAGGAGTAGTGAATTGGGTAGTATTTTAAAAAGTAAACGTGATAGTTGCACAAAGGAAAATTTCAAATTAGAATGATTGGGTTACGTGTTAGACCTGAAGAAGAATAAAGCCATTCCTGCAGTTTTCTTCATCTGCTGGGGTGAAGTAGCTCCACTGGCATTAGCCTTAAAGTCAAGCTGGAAGTGCTCCATCCAGAATATAGGAAACATGTAGCAAGTTGCAGTTCAAATACAGCCAATGGACCACTTGAGTGATTTTGATTAGAAAAGGATTTGACACAGGGAATTATTGCTTCAGTAATTGTTGGTAGTGTTGGAGGAGTCAGCTCTTGGCTGGGTCTCCAAGACAGTTTCCAGAAAACTACTGAAGAACTGGCCTAATGGGGGAACTATTTGTCTGCCTTAATCTGTAAGTTGTATGTTATGGCTTAATTTGGCTTCTAGAGCCTGAGATAAGGACTTGGGTGCTGATAGTTCTTGTGTGCAGTTTTATCCTAGAAAGCCAGGATGAGGGCCTGGGGAGACTGAGACAGAGAAGAGTGGGGAATGGCAAGAAAGTGCACATTTAGTGTGAAGTTTTCCACTGTAGACCTCTGAGGACCCTCTGAGGAATTTAATGGAATGCACCTGATAACTCTCCCTTCTACAATGAGAGGCTGGGGCATTTCTCCATGACACCTGCTCCCTGAGGGTTAAGGGTTGGTCTCAAGTGTGTGAACAGTTAGAACTTGGGTTACATCTCTATGAGCTGGACCACATTTTATGACTTTGGAGAAAGTCTGAAGGTTGATACAGAGAAACAGTGACTTGGCATGGCAGGGGCTTGAGGTAGAATGCAGGCAGCTTCCCACCCTAGCTATGCTAAAACCAGGTCAGATGAGGGGATGTAGCATGGAGCAGGACAAGTGTCAGCTATTTTTGGGGAATTGGATTTTCAGCAGTCGGTTACAAACTGACACTACCATAGTCTTGATCTGAGGATTAGGAAGATGTTACTGCAACTATTGGCTGAGAGCTATGTCACCCACTCTAGATCCATCCCCAAAAAATGGACCTCACCTACTGCCTCCTGTCTTCCTGGTTAATCCAGTTCTGGAACTGATGCCCTCAGTGGGCACAGCTGGTAGGAGAAACCTAAATCAGATCCAGAACTCTAGCTGCAAGGGAGTCCAGGATATGGGGTTTTAGAATTCCAACCTCTGCAGGACCAGAGGAGACCTTAGAAGTTTGATACAGATATTGACCTGGCCAGAATTACCCTTTCTGCCCCACACATCTGATGTAGTTCTATTGCTTTGTTATTTTGGTAAGGCAGGGTCTTCCCTTGAAGCCTATCCCCACTCAGGCCCTTCTGCAGGTTGAGCTCATTGAAGAGGGAGAGACAGCATCATCTTTCAGGGGCAGCAACCTCTTCAACATTCTTAGAGCTCTCTGATTTGTTCTCTCAGCTCTCATCACAATTGTAATTATACAATTATTTTAAAAACTGAGGACTGCTGTCTTTCTGCTAGACCAGAGGCCTGTGGGGGCAGGAATCATGCCTCTGGCTTGTTTACTTTTGTCCCTAGCACCTAGAATATGCCTGGCACAGGTATGTAGGCATGCAATGCATATTATTTGAATAAATGAATAGAAAAAAATTACCATTTCCATCCAAAAAATGAATGGAAAAAAACTACAGTTTGTGTTTCCTTTATCTATACGTGGATGTTTTATCAGTGCGTTAGGAATAAAACAACCTACATTCAACATTGCTTTTGAAAATAAGTACAGTAAGAAAAAGGTCTGGTCTAAAGTGACTAAATTATTCTACCTAGGGAATGTGATATTTTTGGCTTTGGCTGTTAACTAAAGGCTGCTATTTCCAGTCCTGGTCTGGAACAGACATTAGTGAGCCAGGCAGGTGGTCACAGAGAGTGACAGAGAAAGACAGGATGATAATTTTCTACTCTGATTGGTCTGGAGAATCTAAAAGCAATATACTGTGTAACATAAGATAACATCAGGAAGAAGGAATGAAGTTGTTTATGAAATCCTATTAAGAGGGATTTTCACAATAATTGGATGTAGAGGAAAAATATACAATCTTTGAAATTGGGAGGCATATTGTACAGGATGCTTTGAAAGGTTCTTTCGGGTTTTAACTTAGCTGACTCTGAATAGACACAGACCTTCTTAAATATTATTTGAGCTATTTCTTGTTCCCAGCAATGTTTAGATGTATTGTTTATTTCTACTCCTTCTAATAGATCTATTATTATTATCTTCATTTTATAGAGAAGAACCCTGGTGATTGGACAGGTTACTAATCTACCCAAGGTCATACAGCTAACAGGTGAAGATTTCTAGTTTTTGCCTGCCTGATTCCAGAGTGCATGCTCTTAACCACTGCTCATGACCCCACGCTGCAGGGTCAGCAGACCTGGGTTTAAATTCATGCCTTCCCTTTCCTTACCAGCATGTGGCTAAAACCAGTTGGGCCTCAATTCCTTCAGCAGTATGATGTAGATAACACTTGCCTTGCAAGATGGTAGTGAGAATTGGAAACAACAAATATCACTCTATACATAGTAGTGTTACTTTGTGTAGACAATTAGTAGACAGTGGAAGGGTAGGGTGCTCAGGATCTGGGGCAGGGAGGTGTCAAAGAGGCAGAGAGCACTTACCTGTCTGCTGACTCCCAACACGTAAGCTGTGAGCTCCTTACCTTTTCTGTATTCTATCCTCCAAAAATTTGCAGAGCGGAGGCCATGCACTTGAAGCACAGTGCTAATTTCAATGTTCTTCTTGAGTCCCCATGAAAGGTGCAATACTCACAAGTGTTTTTATCTTATATCCATGAAATTGCCATCACAGTCAAGACTGTGCAATATCCCTCATTCCCCAAAGTTCCCCTGTACCCCTGTGCACTCTTTTCTTCCAGCCCCTTCCTCATGTCCCCAGGCAACCCTGATATAACTTCTGTCACTATAGATTAGTTTTTCTAGAATTTTATCTGGGCAGAATAATGCAGTATGTACTCATTTTTGTCTGCCTTTTTTGCTGAGCATAAATAACTTTGAGATCCATTCATGCCACTGCTTGTATTAATAGTTCAGTCTTCATATTGCTGATTAGAGTTACTTTGTATGAAGGCACCACAGTTTTCACAGTCTTTTATTTTTAATTTTTAATAGCTTTATTGAAGTATAACATACTGTACAAAACATACCTATTTAATACATGCAATTTGATGGGTTTGTACATATGTGTATGCCTGTGAAACCATAATTATGTACAATCAGGATAACTAACATATCTAATACTTCCAAAATTTTTCTTGCATCCTTTGTGGTATTTTTTTTTGGTGGTAAGAACACTTAACCTAAGATCTACCTTCTTAAGAAATTTTTAAGTGCATAATACCGTATTGTTAACTGTAGGCACTGTTTTGTGGCGGATCCCTAGAACTTATTCATCTTGTATAACTGAAACATTATACCCATTGAAAAACAGCTCACCATTTTCCCCTCTCCCAAGCCTCTGAAAAACTCCATTCTACTTTCTGAGTTTGACTGTTTTAGATATCTAATTCAAATGATTCATGCAGTATTTGTCTTTCTGTGACTGGTTTGTTTCACTTAGTATAATGTTTTCTAGATTCATTCATGTTGTTGCAGGTGGCAGGATTTCCTTTTTTTAAAAGGCTGAATTATATTCCATTGTATGCATGTACCACATTTTCTTTATCCATACATCTGTTGATGGACATTTAGATGGTTTTCTTATCTTGGCCATTATAAATAATGTTGTAATGAACTTGAGAGTACATATATCTATTGGAGATCCTAATTTCAATTCTTTTGGATATATACCCAGAAGTAGGGTTGCTAGATAATAGGGCCACTATATCTTTAACTTTTTGAGGAACTTCCATACTCCACAGAGGCTGCACCATTTTACATTCCCATCAATAGTCTATGAGAATTCCAATTTCTCCACATTTTCCCTACCACTAGTTATTATTATTATATTTTGATAAAAGCCATCCTAACAGGTATGAGGTGATATGTCATTGTGGTTTTGATTTGCATTCATTTCCCTGAAGATTAGGGATGTTCATATACCTGTTGGCCATTTATATGTTTTCTTTGGATAAATGTCTATTCCAATCTTTTGTCCATTTTAAAAATTAAGTTTTTATATCGAGTTTTAGGTGTTCCTTATATAATGTGGACATTAATCCCTCATCAGATACATAGTTTGCAAATATCTTCTCCCATTTCTTAAGTTGTCTTTTCAGTCTGCTGATTACTTTTGCTGTGCAGAAGCTTTGTAGTTTTATGTAATCCCATTTGCCTAATTTTGCTTTCATTGTTCATGCTTTTGGTGTCATATTTAA